>NC_000016.10:88945790-89587067 GCF_000001405.40 Homo sapiens | reverse complement strand
CCAGGAAGGAGTACACCCTGTGGAACTTCCGGCCGGCGGAGTCAGCGTCCACCCCCGCCAGGGACACTGAGGCCAGTGCCAGCTGGGATCCAGGCCTGCCTCCCGCAGGCAGCCCAGTCCCTCTGGGGTGCCACCCTCCTCTCCTCTCCCCCATCCTCTCTCCCCAACCTCGCCCTTCCCCGTCTCTCAGCCCCTCCCCAGACGTGCTGGGGCCCACCAGGCCTCTGGTTGAGGGTCCATCCAACAATCAGAGGGAGGCAGCGGAAGCCCCTCTTGTGGGTGGGGAGGCTTCGGGCACAGCCACCTCTCACCTTGAGGTCAGCCAGGACGACCACTCCTGAGTTCTTATAACTGCGTCTCTTCTGCTTGTATTTGGGGTTCACACAGTCCCACTGGGCCTGGGGCAGGAACAAGCAGAGGCCCCCCAGAGTGGTGGCTCTGAACACCTACCAGGGAGACCCTACCCAAGACCATCCCCAATAGCGACGGCAGAGGGCCCCGTGGTGGGGAGGGGAGGGGAGGGCACTGCTGCAGGGCAGCAGGAAGGGGCAGAGTGGGTCATACGGGAATGAAGAGGGATGGGAGTTGCATCCCCCACCCGGCATGGCCCTGTCATTAAGCCCAAGGACACTGAGGCCCAGGGACGGGGGAGGAAGCAGGGCCCAGGGTGGCCTCCCCACTGCACCCTCACCCGGCTGCTGTGGGCTGGGCAGACACAGGGGAGGGCACCCCTTGGCCCCACCTCCCACCACCCCTGTGCCCAGACCCAGATGGTGCCTGAAATGTCCAGCTGAACCTGATGGGGGCCACCCCTGCTATGACCCCTCAGGAGCCAGCACCAGGGTCCACCATCCTCAGCCTTCTCTGGTTATAACAAGTCATTGTCACCACTCCCCACAACCCCATCAGGACAGTGGGACAGGGTTTCACAGCCTCTGTGGCAGGGCCAACACAGGCGTAGCCCAGGTGTGCCCCCGACTCACCTGCCCCTCCCCAGAGGCCCCCCTCACCTGCCCCTCCCTGAATGCCCCCTCCCCCTGCTAACTGCCCCTCCCTGGAGGCCCCCCTCACCTGAACCTCCCCAAAGGCCCCCCCAACCTGCTCCTCCCCAGAGGTGCCCACCCACATGCCCCTCCACGGAGGCCCCTACCCCACCCCCCACCTCCTCACCTGACACTTCCTGGAGGTACCCCCCCAGTCCTGCTCACCTACCCCTCCCCGAAGGCCCCCCTCCACCCCCACCTGACCCTCCCTGGAGGACCCCCTACCCCGTCCTGCTCACCTGCCCCTCCTCAAAGGCCTTCTGCATCTCCTCGAAGGTGGTAGAGAATTCTCCGATGAAGTCGTGCTTTCCTCGAGAGTCGTAATCCCAGACCAGGCACTGGGGAGCCCAGTCCTCCTCAGCACTGCTGTCTGGGGGCCCCAGGACCCTCCCACCCGAGCCCAGGTGTCTCCATCGCAGCCCACATCCAGGCCACCCCCTCACTGCCCCCTTGGTCCATCCCGTCCCCCACCTTTAGAGGCCTTGTCTCCTCGCAGCTGCAGAGGGAACTCAGAGAGACTTTGAAGGCCTCCCACACCGGGTTCAGGTTGTTCTTCACCACCTGTGGGCCGGGAGGGGCTGGCTCAGGGGAGGCCCAGGGCCCTGGGATCCTTGGGGGGGATAGAGACCTGGGTGGAAGAGCAGCTGTGAGGCGGGCACAGCTGGCCCTGCCCCTGCATCACCCCAGACAGCGCCGGGGCCCTGAGCTGGGGCTGGCACCCACTCCCTGCACGAAGCCATGTGAGGACCCGGGAGACACATTTCCGAGCCCTGTGCCTCCACCTTCGTAACTTCTGCCACCTCTGAGCCACCTGCGCTGCTCTCTTCCTTAAATAGATTCATTTTCACTCAAGTTAATTTCTCTCAAAAGAAAGCACTCTCTCCCTGCCGTCGCTGAAATCCCATTTCACCTGCAGGAAGTGGAAGGTAGGTCTAAAAATAATCACAGCCACGACTACACAAGCCTGCTGGATTCTGGCCACAGCCACGGCCCCCAGGGCCCTGCGCCTGCGGCTCCCTGTTGGATTCTGGCCATAGCCACAGCCACCAAAGCCCTGCGCCCACAGCTCCCTGTTGGAGGCTGGGAGCTCCTCCCATGTGGCCAGAGATGCGTGAGGGCTGGGGACAGCCCCTTCCCCTCCCTGTGTTCCCATCCCCGGCCGCTCACCTCCGTCCTGTACACCAGCTGCAAGCCCTGGTCGTCGTTGACCCTGTAGAGCTCCAGGAAGGGGTCGGACTTGCTGAAGAGGTCCTGGGGAGAGGCACAAGGGCTGCTGGGCCAGGCACTGTGAGATCGGGCTTTGGATGGGAGCTGGCTTTGTCGTTTCCCAGGGCTCACTTCATGCCACCAGCCGCTAATTCCTCAGGCACAAAACGAGGCAGCCAGTCCCCGCCGACAGCATCTCGTCCCTCCCTCCCGCCCCCAGGGATCTGACCACGGCGGGCAACTCAGCCCTCCATGGAGTCACCCTGCACACCCTGCGACTCAGCCCTCCACGGACTTGCCCTACACACCCTGCGACTCAGCCCCTCCAGGGAGACGCCCTACATGGCGGGGTTGGACCCTGTTCTGCCCACCCACGTGACGAGCCCGCAGAACCGCGCGCTGTTCCAGTTCCTCCTGTCACGACAGTGGCCTCGGGGGTGCTGGGCCTATTTCCCCATCCCTGAGCAGGGTCATGAGTGGTCCCCACAGGAGGGAGCTGCCCCAGCCCCAGCCCAGCTGCCAGGAGGGGCGGGAGAGCTAATGGCGGTGACAGTGATGATGGCGACCGTGACGGCAGCACGCCCAGCCCCAGGCACACTCCGCACACGTCTCACACGGGACATAGCCACGCGAGGTCAGCGCTGGGCAGGGACCGGGTTTTCGAACCGGTTCCCGGACCTCAGCCTGAGCCAGGCGTGCCCGGCACCTGCACTCACCTTGTCGTCCAGCTTCCTGGCCCGGAAGGAGAGCTCCACGTAGCCGTTGTTCCCCGAGATGTCCTCGGCGATCACCTGGCAGGGGGACGCCCGGGCTCCAGGCTTGGCCAGGTGGGGCCTGACCCCACCGTGGGGGACCAGAGGCCCCAGGCTGGCTGACCCCACCCAGCGGGGCCTGAGAGGAGGTGTCTGTGTACCCCCGGGGCTGTGTAGCTGCCGGCTCCTGCAGACCCTCCCTGGACGGCACGCTGCTGCCCATCTTCCGCCCACAACACCCCTCGGAGCCACAGCAGCAGGGCCTGCAGGCTGCAGGGGTGCGCCCGGGTCTCACCGTGATGGTGGACTTGCCAGCGTTCCTGCCAAACTTGAGCAGCAGCGGGCGGGTCACCTTCTTCTGGGCCACAATCTGTAAGTCAGAGGCGTCAGGCAGGGAGGGGCAGGCGGGGACGGCTCCTGACCCTGGAGACCCCACCGCGCCCTCACCCGGACTCTCAGGCCTGTCCTGTCTCCCCATCCCCCACCATGAGCTTCACTGCCCAGGGCCCGCGCCCCCTTTGTGGCTGCTCTCAAGCACCTGCCATCCCTGCGTGTGGCCACCCCTGCACGTCCACCACCTCACGGCGCCAGCAGTCGCCCAGGGGAGGCAGAGGTCATCATACCTATTTACCAGGTGAGGAAACAGGCTCAGGTGGAAGCCAGGAAGCAGCTCACAGCCCAGCTGGCCTGCACCTGCACAGGTGTGGCGGACGCCCCTCCACAGGTAAGCAGGGCTGCCCTGACCCTCTCCAGGCCCAGGTGAGAACCCGCAGAAGCAGAGGCGAGGCAGCTCAAACGGCCCCGGACCCTCACGCCCAGCATGTCCACGTAGCCACGGGCGGCAGAAAGGGTGTGAGCGAGGTGCCGGCCCAGGACCCCACCGCCCACTCCTCTTCGAAGGTGCCAAGGAGCAGAGTTGATTGTTCGAAGTGGACTGGGGCTTAGACCCTGGGGACCTCCTCATGCAGCCGGGGCCTCCTCCTCCTCACCAGGCCCTGCTGGACTTCCGCCCCATCGGCTATGAGCCCACCTGGGGTGGGTGGCGGATGACAGGCCCAGGCCCCTGCAGCCAGGTCATCTCCTCAGTGAGGAGCAGGACGGGGGCACACGGCCCTCCCAGGCTCCGTGTCCGAAAGGAGATGGTGATGACCCCGGCCAAGCGGGGTGGCCGTCATCTCCTCACACGTAAGTGATCTCAGCAACCATCGAATGGCCCACCAGGTAGCAGGTGTGTGCTTCCCACCTGCCCTCACACCTGCTACTGCCTGGCGGATGCTGGGAGGTCACAATGAGGTAGGTTGAATACAAAGCAGAGAGGGGCAGTCCCTCCACCCCCAACCAGGGCCGGCCTGGCCAGCAGCTTCTGAGCATGCGGCACTTTCCACACAGAAGAGAAAGCAGATCCCAGGTCAGGGCTGGGGAAGTCAAGTCAGGTTAAGGGGTGGGAAGGCTCTCTTAGGGGTGCAAAGGGGTCCTGGGTGCTGGGAGGGGGAGCCTCGGGCCAGGCCCCCCAAGATTCCCTGATTCAAAGGTTTCCTTCTGGGGCTCCTGAGCCAGGGCCTCTGCCTCACACCTGGGACTCGCCTGCCGGCCTGGTTTGCTTCCAGGGAGGGCGCAGGAAAGGAGTGGCCTCCCCTTTCTGGCAGGAGAGCAGGTCCTTAGGAGAGAAACGGGCTCAGGCTAACACAACAGATTCCCCTACCAGGAAATACGAGATCGCTGATTTGTGCCAACAGCGTTTAATAAGCACTTCCTGGATCCCTGGCTCTGGGCTGAGTTACTGTTTACTTGAATCACATGAGGAAACAGTTGAGGCAGAAGTCAGGGGTCAGAGGTCAGGTCAGGCTCAAAGCCACAGCACAGGGACTGGATGCCAGTAGCTTCTCCCTTGACCGTGGTGCCCTGCAGGTCAGCTGGGTGGCCACAGAGCAGGAACCCACGAGGGGCCTCCTCATTGCTGGAAGTTTGCACATATCCACAGCACACGTGCTCACACACACATTCATATCTGCACGCAGGTGTCCACACGGACCCTGTGTGTGTGCTTATGTGAACAGGCATAGGATGTCCTGCACGGATTATGACATACATGTGCACCTGTGTGTACATAGAAAGGTGTCCAGGCCAGACACAGTGGCTCATGCCTATAATCCCAACATTTTGGGAGCCCAGGGTGGGTGGATCGGTGAGCCCGGGAGTTCAAGACCAGTTGGGGCAACATGGTGAGACCCCTGTCTCTTCAAAAAATGCAAAACGTAGCCAGGTCTGGTGGCGTACACCTGTAGTCCCAGCTACTCAGGAGGCTGAGGTGAGAGGATTGCTTGAGCACAGGCCGTTGAGGCTGCAGTGAGCTGTGACTGTCCCACTGCACTCCAGCCTGGGCGGCAGAGTGAGAACCCAACTCAAAAAAACAAAAAAAGCATGTCCATATTTCTGTGTCCGTGCCATCCTCTTCCATCTGTGCCCTCCCTAACTCTCAGTTTCCTTATCTAAAAAATGGGGAGGACAACAGGATCGATGGCACGCCAGCTCCGACCGAGGCTGCAGGGGGATGAGTCACGCAGACATTATGTTGGGTAAAAGAATTCCACAGCAGGGAGAACACGCGCTGTGATTCATGGACGTGGAATTCCAGAAGAGACGAACCAGGCGGGGAGCTGGCCACAAAGGGGCAGGGGCAGCTGCGGGTGACGGGATGTTCCGTGTGATGGGTGACGGGATGTTCCGTGTGACGGGTGATGGGATGTTCCGTGTGATGGGTGACGGGATGTTCTGTGTGACTGGTGACAGGATGTTCCGTGTGACGGGTGATCGGATGTTCCGTGTGAGTGGGTGATGGGATGTTCCATGTGATGGGTGATCAGATATTCCGTGTCAGCGGGAGACGGAATGTTCCGTGTGACGGGTGACGGGATGTTCCATGTGATGGGTGAGATGTTCTGTGTGATTGGTGAGATGTTCCATGTGACGGGTGATGGGATGTTCCGTGTGACAGGTGACGGGATGTTCCATGTGATGGGTTACGGGATGTTCCGTGTGACGGGTGACGGGATGTTCCGTGTGACAGGTGATGGGATGTTCCGTGTGATGGGTGAGATGTTCCATGTCAGCGGGTGACGGGATGTTCCGTGTGATGGGTGAGATGTTCCATGTGACGGGTGATGGGATGTTCCGTGTGACGGGTGATGGCATGTTCCGTGTGACGGGTGATGGGATGTTCCGTGTGATGGGTGACGGGATGTTCCGTGTTACAGGTGACGGGATGTTCCGTGTGACGGGTGAGATGTTCTGTGTCAGCGGGTGATGGGATGTTCCGTGTGATGGGTGAGATGTTCTGTGTCAGCGGGTGACGGGATGTTCCGTGTGACAGGTGAGATGTTCCGTGTGATGGGTGATGGGATGTTCCATGTGACGGGTGATGGGATGTTCCGTGTGACAGGTGAGATGTTCCGTGTCAGCGGGTGACGGGATGTTCCGTGTGATGGGTGAGATGTTCCGTGTGATGGGTGATGGGATGTTCCATGTGACGGGTGATGGGATGTTCCGTGTGACGGGTGAGATGTTCTGTGTCAGCGGGTGACGGGATGTTCCGTGTGATGGGTGAGATGTTCCGTGTGATGGGTGAGATGTTCTGTGTGATGGGTGATGGGATGTTCCGTGTGACGGGTGATGGGATGTTCCATGTGACGGGTGATGGGATGTTCCGTGTGACGGGTGATGGGATGTTCCGTGTGACGGGTGAGATGTTCTGTGTCAGCGGGTGACGGGATGTTCCGTGTGATGGGTGAGATGTTCTGTGTCTGCAGGTGATGGGATGTTCCGTGTGATGGGGGAGATGTTCCGTGTCAGCGGGTGACGGGATGTTCCGTGTGACGGGTGAGATGTTCTGTGTCAGCGGGTGACGGGATGTTCCGTGTGACGGGTGAGATGTTCTGTGTCAGCGGGTGACGGGATGTTCTGTGTGATGGGTGAGATGTTCCGTGTCTGCAGGTGATGGGATGTTCCGTGTGACGGGTGAGATGTTCCGTGTCAGCGGGTGACAGGATGTTCCGTGTGATGGGTGAGATGTTCCGTGTGATGGGATGTTCCGTGTGACGGGTGACGGGATGTTCCATGTGACGGGTGAGATGTTCTGTGTCAGCGGGTGACGGGATGTTCCGTGTGATGGGTGAGATGTTCCGTGTCAGCAGGTGACGGGATGTTCCGTGTGATGGGTGAGATGTTCCGTGTGATGGGTGTGGGATGTTCCGTGTGACGGGTGAGATGTTCCGTGTCAGCGGGTGACGGGATGTTCCGTGTGATGGGTGAGATGTTCTGTGTGATGGGTGATGGGATGTTCCGTGTGATGGGTGATGGGATGTTCCATGTGAGCAGATGACGGGATGTTCCATGTGATGGGTGAAGGGATGTTCCATGTGACGGGTGAGATGTGATGGGTGATGGGATGTTCCGTGTGATGGGTGAAGGGATGTTCTGTGTGACGGGTGAGATGTGATGGCTGACGGGATGTTCCGTGTCATGGGTGAGATGTGACAAGTGATGGGATGTTCTGTGTGATGGGATGTTCCGTGTGACGGGTGATCGGATGTTCCGTGTCAGCAGGTGACAGGATGTTCCGTGTGAGGGGTGAAGGGATGTTCTGTGTGACAGGTGAGATGTTCCGTGTGACGGGATGTTCTGTGTGACGGGTGATGGTCAGCTGTGTACAGTCACCTAAACTTGTCATTCTCAACCCTTAAGATTGATGCATTTTATCGTAAAATTTTTTTTTTTTTTTGAGACAAAGACTCACTGTCACCTGGGCTGGTGTGCAGTGGCGCGATCTCGGCTCGCTGAAACCTCTGCCTCCCAGGTTCAAGTGATTCTCCTGCCTCAGCCTCCCCAGTAGCTGGGACTACAGGCACGCACCACCACGCCTGGCTAATTTCTTTTCTATTTTTAGTAGAGATGGGGTTTCATCATGTTGGCCAGGCTGGTCTCGAACTCCTGACCTCGTGATCCCCCCACCTCGGACTTCCAAAGTGCTGCGATTACAGGCGTGAGCCACCGTGCCCGGCCTGTAAATTTTACCTCAATAAAAAAGAAGGACCCGTCCTGGCAAGGTGTGAGGATTCCGTGCAGCACAGGAAGTGCTTAGCGCAGTGTCCAGCAGGGCCCAGCACATCAACAGACACTCTCATCACGACTTGCAGAAGCCACTTTTGGGCTGGCTGTGGAGGCCGTAACCCAGAGAGCATCACCAAGGAAGCAGTGGCCACCGTAGGACCTGCTGCTCACAAGGAGGCTTCTTTTTTTTTTTTTTTTTTTGAGACAGAGTCTCAATCTGTCACTCAGGCTGGAGTGCAGTGGTGAGATCTCCACTCACTGCAACCTCTGCCTCCCGGGTTCAACCGATTCTCCTGCCTCAGCCTCCAGAGTAGCTGGGATTACAGGCACATGCCACCATGCCCGGCTAATTATTGTACTTTTTGTAGAGATGAGGTTTCAGCATGTTGGCCAGGCTGGTCTCGAACTCCTGACCTCAAGTGATCTGCCCGCCTCGGCCTCCCACAGTGCTGGGATCACAGGTGTGAGCCACCACGGCCGGCCACCAGGAGACTTTTAGGTGCTGATATGGAGGGGCTGCTGCACGTCGTGGAAGTGAAAACGCAGGATGCAGAACAGGGAACGTAATTTGTGTATTTTTGAAAAAAGAGGAAAAGTGGGCTGGGCACCGTGGCTCACGCCTGTAATCCCAGCACTTTGGGAGGACAAGGCAGGCGGATCACGAGGTCAGGATTTCAAGAGCAGCCTGACCAACATGGTGAAACCCCGTCTCTACTGAAAATACAAAAATTAGCCGGGCGTGGTGGCGGGTGCCTGTAATCCCAGCTACTCAGGAGGCTGAGGCAGGAGAATCGCTTGAACCCAGGAGGTGGAGGTTGCAGTGAGCCGAGATCACGCCACTGCACTCCAGCCTGGGTGACAGAGCGAGACTACATCTCAAAAAAAAAAAAAAAGAAAAAGAAAAAAAAGAAAAAAGAGGAAAAGTGATAGGCTGGTTTGCTCCTGTGAAAATCTCTCTCTGGACAATGTCCAGGGACCTGGCAGCAGCTGGATGGGGCAGGATGGAGGCGCTCCACAGCCTTTTATACCTTCAGGCTTTAAAACATACGAATGTATTACCCAGTTCAAAATTACATGTATATTTTAATCTAATAATGACTGTTCAGGAGGAGCTGAGGAGGGGGCAGAGCCAGGTTGGCCACCCCAGCAGGGTCCCTGCGGTGCTGGTACATCAGCCTTGAATCGGCTGTGGCCCCCACGCCAACCGTCCTCCTCCCTCCGAGGGGACGGGGCACCCACCTGCCCCAGGGTGCACTCCATGCCCCCCAGGAAATCGTCCTCCTGACAGCTGAAGCCGCTGGGCCCATGCGTGTCGTACACCTCAAAGCGCAGCCTCTGCACCTCCTCGAAGTAGTAGTCCACCGTGAAGACCTTGGAGAACACGGGATGCAGGCTGCTCCGGACCACCTCGGTTCTGCCCACCTGCAAGTGCACCTGTGAGCCGACCCCACTCCAGAGGCTTCCACCCCGGGCTCCAGACCTCCATCTCCCCTCTGCCGCTCACCCACGCCCAGGTACCTCAGGAGGACTCATACCCTGGGAAGACCTCCTGCCTGCTCTCTGTCCATGGGACCACAATCCCGAGGGCCACCCTGGGGGTCACCCCTGGCCACCACTGTCTGCTCCACCCTCAGATCACAGATGGGGAAAGTGAGGCTCACAGAGGACGAGAATGACACGCTGAGTCGGGGGCGAGATCAGATTCACACCCTGGGCTGGGCAGCCCTAAAGTGCAGGCCGCTCCCCAGCACCAGCTGAGTGGGGAGGGGGCGTAGGGTACAGGGGGGCCCTCCCTCCTGGCTGGGGTACCATGGGCTCACCAGCCTCTCCCATCCCATGCAGTTCCCTGGTCCAACTGCCCCGTAAGGACAAGACCCAGCTGGGCCAGTAGGCTACTCATTTCAGAATCCTGAAAAATCCTGCACCTCAAACCAAGGGCAAACATGGGCCACCCGTACAGCTCACGCTCTGAGGGTGCGGGCACGAGGCCTCCGTGGGGATGGTGGGCTCGGGATGTGAAGGGTGGGCTCAGGCTGTGAGGGGCGGGCACGGGGCCTCCGGGGGCAGCCGGAACCCTGGGGACAGGCGGTGAGGGCGGGGCAGGCCCTTCACCCTCAAGGTGGATGACCGGAGACGCCACCGGGTGACCGCGTCCCTTCCACCGCCCGAGCAGCCGCCCGGGCCCGCGCTGGAGCCTGGAGAGACCCCTGCGCCGGGGAAAAGCGCTGGCGCCCCGCGCGGACTGGGGTTCGAGTTCCGGCTCCTCCGCCCGCTGCGGCTTCGCGCCATGCGTTTCTCGCCCTTTCGAGGTGAAGCCACGCGTTTCACGCGAGATGGTGACCGAGGAAGCGCCCGTCTGGCGCCGGCCCCGTGCCCCTTCGGACCCCAACCGCGATCACAGCGGGTTCGCTTGAGACCCACGTTGGAGCGGGAGCCCCGGACGCCTGGAGGTCCGCACCCCAGCGCGCGCTCCCTCGCCGGCCTGCTCCCGCCCAGCCTCCCGCCCCCCGTCGGCCGGCGCCCCTCACCCCTCAATCTCCTTGCGCCTCTTGGTCGAGCCCCCTGCCCGCGCCTCATGCCTGGGCGCTTCACTCTGGCCCGGGGCCCCCTCCCCGAACCCTGGGCCGCACCCCTCACTGCGGGGCACCCCCCTCTCTCCTCCGAACCCCGCTCGCCGCCACCTCCTCCAGCCCAGCCTCTCCCCACAGCTCTGGACACCCCACCCCCAGACCTGGTAACCCCCAACCCTGACCCCGAGCTGAGCCCCAGCTCCGGGGGGCCCCGCCTTGCGCCCCACTGGCCTCAGCGCGCCCGCTCTGGTCTCCGCATCCCCAGCTCGGCGCCAGCCCCGGCCCGGTGGCCTCTCGGCCTCCCACGCCCCGGCCCTACCTGCACCCACTGGCCCTGCGCCTGCTGCAGCAACGCCACGCTGGGGTCGGACTTGGTGAGCGGGTCGCGGTCCAGCAGGTGCCGGCAGCTGAGCCGCAGCTCCACCTTCGAGGCGCAGGGCGCGGGCAAACCCCCGGGGGTTGCCGCCGCCCCGCGCTCCGAGCCCGCGCTCATGCTCCCGGCGTTCGGGGGCCCGGCTGGGCGCACTGAGGGGCCGCTGCCCGCGAGTCGGCGCCGCCGCGGCGCCCGGGAAATGGTGGCCGGCCCAGGCGTGGCCGCGCTTCCCTGAACGCCTGCCGGGCGCGGGCGCACGTGGCTCGGGCGGCCGCCGCGCGGGGACTGCAGGGGGTGGGGCGCGGCCGGGGGGCGGGGCCGGGGAGGGGCGCGGCGGGAAATGAGGGCAGGGGGCAGAGGCAGGGGTGCCCCTCGGAGATGCCCGGGAGGAGACAGCTTCTAATTCCCCGGGGACCCCCCCCCCAACTGATAGCTTTGGGGTCAGGTCGGGCGCGCCCTCCCCGGCTGTGCGCATCCCCGGCCCAGGGACCGGCTCCGGGCTGGAGGCTCCGAGCTGCGCGGGGCCTGAGCCCGGGTTCGGACCCAGGCAGACACTAGGGGAGGCAAAAGGGGGACCCCAGCTTGGCACCAGATCCCCGCGCCCTTCCCGGATCTCTAGGATCCCATTTCCAGGCTCCGCTGGTTTCGGGTACTCGCCACCTCCATCAACAAGCATTTAGTGGGCGCCTGTTGTGTGCAGGCGCCGCGCTCGTCTGGGGCTGGAAGGACCGTCCCGGGGGGCCGAGGGCTGAATCGCGGTCTGATTCCGAGGGGTCCGCGGGGCACGGTCCACACCAGTCCCCCGAGGCCGGGGCGGGGCGGGGCAGGCCTGGGTTCCGTGGGGGGTGGGCCCGCTCCGCCCTGAACTCACTCCCCCACCTTCCCCATCACCGGTCCCGGGGGAGGGAGCAGCGGAAGAGGAGGCGTCGGCGGGGACAGAAACCACCTCGCAGTCCACTCTTTTTGCCGATTTCTGCCTAAAAATAGGGCACGGACCTCGCCAAAAGCCACGGGGGTGGGGGGCGAGGGTGAGGGAGACATTAAGACTGAAGAGGCGGGAAGACCGGGCGCCTCCGCTCAGCCTCGGCGATCAGGACTCTAGAAGAAGACCCTGCGGTCAGAGGGGACCGCCGCCGACAGGGCGAGGAGGCTCAGGGCCCCGCCGGCGGGAGGCAGCACAGGCAGCCTCGGCCTGGGAGGAGGAACGCGGCCAGCGGCGTCCCCTCGCGGTCGGACGGCGGGATGGCGCCGGGCGCGGCTGCAGGGCGGGGAGGCCCCACGGGGCTGGCAGGGCCGGGAGAGGCCATGGAGACCGGCTCCTGCCTTCCCGGGAGGTTGGCTAAAGAGGCGAGGAACAGGTCAGGGCGCAGCGAGGCCTGCAGGGCCCCATCTGCTGTCTCCCCGGCCTCTGCGCCTCCTCCCTGAAGCCCGCAGTGGGCAGAGGCCAGTCCCGCTCTCTAGGGACCAGTCTGGGCCTTCCCGGCCCTGTGTCCTCCTCAGCCCAGCCTTCCAGGCTGCCGGGAGGCCACATCCTCGGTCCCCAACCACTTCCATGGGAAAAGGATGCGAAATTCAGGCAAAGGGTGCGGGCGCCCAGGCAGCTCCTGCAGGCCGTGCCTCCCGCTCGGTTCCAGCAGCCCTGGGACAGTTTTCCCCAGACCAAGCTCCGCTTCCTGCCTTGACCTCACCCGAAAGCTCCTCACCACCGCCCTGAGGTTTGCTCGTCTGCAGTGTGGCGTGAGGCCTGAGGTCCACCAGGCTGTCTGAGGGGTACCCGGCTTAAACCTGGAACACCCCAGTTCAGCCCTTGGCTGTCACATAGCGGCACCCTGGCAAAATAACAGATGGCTTCCAAGCAAAGGACGCAGGGAGCCAAGAAAGATCACAGAGTTTGGGAATTTGAGTCTCTGAAGCCCAGGGCGATTTGGGATCTCCAGCCACAGCCCTCGGCCGGCTTGCTGTCTCCTGACTGACAGCCCTGACTGCAGCCTGCTCTAATGGAGAGAAACCACAGAAGGAAAAGCCGATTCCCCTGTGGCACTGGTGTCTGGACGCTGCCTGCCCCTGCTCAGGGATCAGCCCGCAGTAGGCCCAGGTACAATGGAAGGACCCCGCAGGCCATGTGGAGCCATCTTTCCAAGGCTCCCCCTCCCAGCTTTCCCTGCAGGGCCAGACACAGGAAATGAGATCCACACACATACACGCAGGAATAATAACCGTGTTCCTTGTTGAAATATTAGACAATGCAGATAGGGAGTAAAAACAAATTTCCAGACCCCAAAGCAGCCCATCACCTCCCCACATCTAACCCTCCAGGTTTTTTTTTTTATGTGCAAATTTCTTTTAATTGTCAAAAAAAAAAAAAAGGTGCCTAACTCTCAGAGCCCTTCCCACACTTGAGAGGACTCTTCAGTATCTGCACGCCAGGCTCATCACGCGGGCCAGGCCCGGGACCCCACGCCAGGCTCATCACGCGGCCCAGGCCCGGGACCCTGCCTGGCACGGTTGGAGCACCATAGGTGTTGGTGCAGATGGTTTCTGTTCTGTAACCTGCTTTTTTCTTTCTTATTGACAATATTGCATTCAATGGTTAGCCTGGATCCCCTCATCACTGGGTTACCTATGAGACCCTCTGATTAGTGCCGACCCCCACGGCTATCCAGAGGCTTACACATGATCAATTTTAGGAGCAGCAATGACATATCTGTGCCCAAGTGCCCTGTGTGGCTTCCTGGCATCCAGGACTCAGATACTTTTCAGGCCCAAGTGCCTCTGCCTCAGCCTCTCCCACCACCCGACCCCTACCTACCCTGCAAAGCCCAGCCCAGTCTGAACCGCCACCCAACATCCCTCCCTGGGCTCCCGGCCCACACGTCCACAACATCAGTTCCACTGTCCAGGGCTGTGCTGCCCATGACCTCATCCACCCTGGACCAGGAGTCCACCGAGGCCTGAGTTAACACCAGTACAGGTCCCAACACAGAGTCTAAGACAACAAACTCCAGGCGGATGAATGAAGTGCGGATCAGCGAATGAAACGCAGCTCTGGTGGCTGCTCTCTGGTCCTGGATCTGCCTCGAGGGTGTCATCTCCATCAGTCACAGAGTCCCCATCTCCCATTTCAGTAACACTGGCCACGAGGCCAACCGGGAGCAGGGAAACCTGTCCAGGGCCTCCAGAGGTTCCCGGCAGACCCCAGGCCCACTGCTACTGCCTTGAGGCACATCCCCTGGAGCCAGTGCTCTCCCCCACACTCTGACAGCCCTTTGTCCCTGAGCCAGGTCCAGAGTCCATGGCCTCCTCCCTGGCCGTCCTGAGCACACAGCTGGTGTGCTCCAGTGGACCGGTCCGGGGCTCGGTCCCCACCCCTGAATGCAGGGTCCTCGAACCTGCCCTTCATGTGGAGAGATTGTCCCAGAAGTTGCCTCAAAACAAGAAATTGCAGAGGGTGGGGGTTACTAACAGGATTGTTTAACAGGAAACAGCTCTCCACGTGTCCGGATGGGTGCTGCTTTTTTTAATCTGGTTGCAAACCTACCCTCTTCTTTTCTTTCCTCCTAAAGAAAGGTTATTTTATCTTAGAACATCTGCAACCTGTCTGGATCAGATTGTCTTCCTGCAGGATCTGATGCTGATCTTATTTGAGAAATCAACCATGCCCAGAGGCGGCCACGCCGGCTGTTGGCTGAGACAACACACCTGGCCAGTCTCAGTTCCTCGCTGACCTTGTTACAGCCTCAGAGACCTGGGGACTGATTAGGGGGACTTTCTCCTCCACCACACTCAGCACATGCAGGCACGCACGAGCACACGCCACACACGTGTGCCAAATACCGCAGACACGTGCACGTACTCATGGAGAGACAGCCCACACGCAGACACGCCAGGCACCCAAGACACACAAGCGCAGACACAGGCCACCCCAGGGCAACATATGTTCCAACCAGGGGGTCCCCTTCCTCCACTTCCTTCCCCCAACACCGTCTTCTGGGTGTGGATGAGACCCCCTTCTTCGAGACTCCCTTCTCCTCCAGGCGCGTTCTCGCGTGCAGCCCCGGGCCGCCATCCCTCCTGCCCCTTGTCTGCATGCAGCCAGGAGCAGACCATCCCAGCCCCCAGCATCTCTGCCCAGCAGGAGACACCACTGCTGGCGGGAGACATGGCTCAGAGAGGGCGTTGTGGTGGCTGAGACCACACAGCAGGGGTGGAGCTGGAACCCAGAACCCAGCTCAGAAGCCAGCGCTCACACCTTCCTCGGCCCGTCCAGGCCCTGGGGTGGAACTGGAACCCCGCTCAGAACCCAGCCCTCACGCCTTCCTTCGCCCGTCCAGCCCCCGGCGTGGCTTGATGGCTTTGCTGCCCTTGCCCAGAATGTTCCCAGCAGACCCTCAGGAGCACTTACTGTGGAGGGGCCCAGACTTCACAGCCCCTGTGCAGTGAGACCCAGGGGTCAGGGTCCCTGCCCAGGACTGCACGCTGGGGACACCGTCCGGGACTGGCTCTTCCTCACCCCCTTTGGCCCTCCTGAGCCAGGACCCCTCTGTGCTCAGACTCAGGCACCAGCCATCCCAGAGTCCCCAGGACTTGGGCTCCTGGTCCCACTGTCCCCACTCCTGGGTCCTCTCTTCTTTCTGACTGCCAAGCCTGCTGACCAGCAGTGGCCCTGGGCCCCTGGACCACCTCCCCGGCCCCCGGACCGCCTGTACCCACTCACCTCCTCCCGTCCCCGCTCACCTCCTCCCGTCCCCGCTCACCTCCTCCCGTGCCCCGCTCACCTCCTCCCGTGCCCCGCTCACCTCCTCCCGTGCCCGCTCACCTGCTCCCGTGCCCCGCTCACCTCCTCCCGTGCCCCGCTCACCTCCTCCCGTGCCCCTCACCTCCTCCCGTGCCCGCTCACCTCCTCCCGTCCCCGCTCACCTCCTCCCGTCCCCGCTCACCTCCTCCCGTGCCCCGCTCACCTCCTCCCGTGCCCCGCTCACCTCCTCCCGTCCCCGCTCACCTCCTCCCGTGCCCCGCTCACCTCCTCCCGTGCCCCGCTCACCTCCTCCCGTCCCCGCTCACCTCCTCCCGTCCCCGCTCACCTCCTCCCGTCCCCGCTCACCTCCTCCCGTGCCCCGCTCACCTCCTCCCGTGCCTGCTCACCTCCTCCCGTCCCCGCTCACCTGCTCCCGTGCCCCGCTCACCTCTTCCCGTGCCCCGCTCACCTCCTCCCGTGCCCGCTCACCTCCTCCCGTGCCTGCTCACCTGCTCCCGTCCCCGCTCACCTCCTCCCGTGCCCGCTCACCTCCTCCAATCCCCGCTCACCTCCTCCTGTGCCCAGGGACCACCTCCCCAGCCCGCAGACCACCTGTGCCCACTTGCCTCCTCCCAGGCTGCCCTTTTGCAGACTTGCCCGACCTCCCCACCACGCTAACCCTCTGGACCTCACTTCCTTCCAGTGTCCTGTCGACTACCCAGAACCAACTCCTATAATCCTGAGGTGCTGCTGGGAGGCCTGACACTGGGTGGCTGCTGTCCACGAGGTCCGTGCACTCGGATGAGCAGCTGAAGCCCAAGCTGAGCAGGGCCTCGGAAACCCACGGGCCTGTGAGTGCCACCTGCTCATGACAAGCAGGCTGTGCCCTGGGCGAAGGCCCCCGGCTAATGGTGCCACTGCTGCTGGGGGCTCTGTACCCGACTGGGGGGCCAACCCCTCAGACAGCAGCTGTGGGGTCACTGGCTTCTAAGCCTGTGTCGCCACCGCCCTGCTCCACTGAGGCTCTTCTGAGACCAGCTCTCTCTACCCCAGTGCCACCCCTCTGCTTGGCGCTGGCGCCTCTGTGGCCACACGCCTTCCTGGTGCCCACCTGTCCCCTCAGCCAGTGTGCTCCAAGGTCAAAGGAGGCTTCTGGGAGAGCACAGTGTTGCGTCCAGCCCGTGCTTGAGGGAGGGGCTCGCACAAGGGTGAGCGTCAGGAGATGGGCACCAGATGGGTGGCTACTGACCACAGGGCCAGGGCAGGAGCAGAGAGGCCCGGAGGAGACTCTGGTCCTGTGGGAGGTGATGGCCGGCAGGAGCTGTGTCCCCGGGGCCGGTGTCCTCAGGCCATCCCAACTGATGGACGTCCTGGTTTTAGTCTTGCTTGAGTCATCGGAGGCTTTTGATGCTATTCTTGGTAAAAAGCCGGCCTGGAAGGCTGCTCGGACACTTCCCTCCGCTCTCTGGTCCCTTTCATCAATAGCCTAGTTCTTCTCCCTCCTCCCCGGGAGGCACCACCCTTTCTGGGGAGTTACTCAGAAGGGCAGGTGCTGCCAGGGACCGTGCCACATCAGACTGTCCCCCAGCACCATGCCTTGGTGGTACCGCTGCAGATGGGGAGCCTGAGGGTAATACAATGGGGAGGCTGGACAATGGCCGGGCCAAGTCTGACACACCCTCTACTGCCCTGCCCCTCTCACCAGTGCAGGAGGCCCCTGAGACTGGCTGTGACATCCAGCCGCCCAGGAAGGGGGTCTGGAGAAGGCCATGGGATGCCAACCCCCTCTCTCCCTGGGCCACCTCCAGAGAAGGCACCCAGACCCTCCACCACCACAGCCCTCCCCCTGCCCACTCTGATGCTGTGGGAAAGGGAGGAGCTCCCGGGGTCCCTTCTGGCACCAGGCTCTGCCAGTGTCTCGTCTTCTCCACAGGTCCCCTAGCCGCAGCCCATGAGGCACCTGCCCAGGTACAGGTAAGAGGCCAGACCGTGTCAGGAATGGAAACGTGGGGAAGGTCAAGGGAAGAGATGCTTGATTATTTTTAGACAGTCTCGCTGTGTCGCCCAGCCTGGTGTGCAGCGGCGTGATCTCAGCTCACTGCAACCTCTGCCTTAGTTCAAGCGATTCTCCTGCCTTAGCCTCCTGAGTAGCTGGGACTACAGGCGCCCGCCACCACACCTAATTTTTTTTTTTTTTTTGAGAGTCTCCCTCTGTTGCCCAGCCTGGAGTGCAATGGTACAATCTCTGCTCACTGCAACCTCCGCCTCCCGGGTTCAAGCGAATCTCCTGCCTCAGCCTCCTGATTAGCTAGGACTACACGCGTGTGCCACCACACCCAGCTAATTTTCGTATTTTTAGTAGAGACAGGTTTCATTGTATTGGCCAGGCTGGTCTCCATCTCTTGACCTTGTGATCGGCCCGCCTTGGCCTCCCAAAGTGCTGGGATTACAGGCATGAGCCACCGCACCCAGCCAACTTTTAAAATTTTTGTAGAGACAGGATTTCACTATGTTGCCCAGGCTGGTCTTGAATTCCTGGGCTCAAGTGATCCACCCACCATGGCCTCCCAAAGGCTGGGATTACAGGCATGAGCTACTGCACCCGGCCGGCCAAGATGAAGCTGAACATTTGCAGAGACACGCTGAAGGGCAGGGGAGTAGTTTGGTTCAGTTGTGGTCCCAGCTTGGGGCCGTGCCTGGGAGACAGCAGGTGCCCTTAACTTGTAAATTGCTCTTATCTTGTGAACTGCCCCTAACTCGTGAACAAATACCTTCCTCCCTTCATCTCCCTGCCTTTAGGTGACCCTTCCGCCTCCCCTGCGGCCGCCTGTCTGCCCAGCACCTGCTCCCCATCAGCCCCCGCCTCGTTCCTTGTGGCCCACTGCTCTCACGGCGCCTGGTGTGTTGGGCAGCACACCTGCTGAGTGAGCCACACAGAGGGCCCAGGGCCGGGGCTGGTCAGTGCCCTCAGCATCGGCAGTGGGCTTCTAAGCAACTGAAAACTCTTCCGGCCGACTGAGGAAGAGAAAAGGTTAACAGGAAATTCCTCAAACTGCAGGGCAGTGCCCCGAAGCCCACAGTGAGGACAGCGAGGGCACCTGCCTCGCCTGGACTCAGCGCTCACCCGGGACACATGATGTGACTTTTCTGCCCACAGACCTATGGTTCGGCCTCACAGCCATCAACAAAGTGTGGGGCCGGCAGGGCCTGGGCTCAGCTCACCGCAAGGAGCCTGGGCAGTGCGGCAGCTTCTGCAGAGGGAGGGGTTCTGCGTCCCATTCCCCAAGTGGGTTCTGATGTTGGAAAGTCAAAAAGAATGACCAACATCCACTATCAATGCTGAGTTTGCGGTCCATCCCACCACACCATCGCCTGAAAGAACATCTCATTTGCTCTCCGAGTCAAAAGGAAAAGAGCAAGCAGGGAAAGAAATGTTGTCAACAGGTGATAGAAGGCAAAAGTTCCTTAACATATAAAGACCAGCTGCAGTTCAAGAAAATGATGAACATCACAATGAAACACGAGAGGAAGGAGGTAACGGGGCCCCGCGGAGAGACAAGAAGGTCCCAGTAACTGGAGATGCTCAACCCTGTGAGCAAATGAAGACAGCAGCACTCCAGTTCTCCCGCCTGCAGGACTGCGCAGACACAACGCCGTCCGCCCTTCAGAGGCACAGGGAGAAGCCAGGTCCGTCCAGGTGCCTGGCACAGTACGGCACAGGGCACACAGTGTGGCATCAGCTGCTTTCATAAGAAACAGAAGTCCAGATTCTTGTGCTGGAATACGCTTGCACACACCATCTCCGGACAGACCCGGGCGCAGCTGCTGCCAGGGTGTGGGACGTGAAGCGGCTATTTGCTTCGCACTCCTCGCTTCTGTGTAGCTGGACTTTTTTTTTCTTTTTTTTTGCTGATAGCATGTATTTCTTCTATAACTTAAAAAAAAATTTTAAGATACAGAAACCATAAAAATAAATGCAACTAATTATAAACAAAAAACGAATATACGGAGACACACAAAAATAGAGCAAAGAATGCAGGTACCCACTTCTCTGGTTCAAATGAAAAAAACACCAAATAACCTAAAATGACTGTAATTTCTAAATTACAACAGTTCTAATCAGTATTATTTCTTTTCTTTTTTTTTTTTTTTGATACGGGGTCTCTCACTCTGTCACCCAAGATGGAGGGCAGTGGCACAGTCTCGGCTCACTGCAGCCTCGACCTCCCGGGCTCAGGCCATCCTCCCGCCTCAGCCTCCTGAGTAGCTGGGATGATAGGCGCACGCCACCATGACGGCTAATATCTTTTTTTTTTTGGTGGCCATGGGTCTTTGCCATGTTGCCCAGGCTAGTCTCAAACTCCTAGGTTCAAACGATCTGCCGTCCCCGACCTCCTGAAGTGCCGGGATTACAGGCAGGAGCCACTGTACCTGGCCTATTTTTTTCCTTTTTAAATGATTTGCAATTACATATATTTTTAACAAAGCAACTACAGGATAACCAGATTCCAAATGAAACTACGCCTGGATGGGCGAGGTACACGTGTTACAACTCAAAGATGCACACTCGTCTTCCAGGGTCGAAACTACTGCATAATAGTTTTGTTTTTTTTTTTCCTGAGATAGGGTCTCGCTCTGTCATGCAGGCTGGAGGACAGTGGAGCGATCTCGGCTCACTGCAGCCTTAAACTCCTGGGCTCATGCCATCCTCCCCCCTCAGCCTCCCAAAGTTTTGAGACTATAGGCGTGAGCGACCTCACCCAGCCCTGCATGATAATTTTAAAATAGAAAAGGAAAAATACAACTTGGGAAAACTGAAATTCCTAATGTCTAGCCAAAAGAAAAAGCAAAATAAACAATACATGGAGGAAAATTGTGTGCAGCTCCTATCCGCACACGTCTTCCCCTTTAGCTCGGGCCAGAGCAGCCGGTGTGAGAAACGGTGCATCACCGAGGCAGGCGACTCGTGCCTCCTGAGACTATCCCCGATCACCGGGGCAGGAGACTAGCGCCTTCTGAGACTATCCCCGATCACCGGGGCACGTGACTAGCGCCTCCTGAGACTATCCCCGATCAGTTCTGCAGGCGCCGGAGCGCGCCTGGCCCCATGACCCCCGTGGGCACTGCTGGCAAAGCCCCACCCACTGTGGGAGGCTGCCCCAGAGATGAACCTGCCGTAAAACCAACGCTTCTACAAAAGGCCACGGGCACCACAGAGCCAGCCCGTGCTCCCCGGGGGCGACAGGCTGAATAGGAAATGCTCACACCCCGAAGGAATCCTGCAAAACGGAATGAGGAGCCTGGGCGCACCTGCACTTCCTCCACCGGGCAGCAGACCACAAGCTCGTGGCACACAGGTCAGTTTCTCAGGCTTCACAGCTTGGCTGCCCTCCCTGGGACGGCTCACATGGACGAAATCAAGGTGTTCCCAGAGCCGCTTTGCCTGAGGTGCGGTGGGGGCCCTTCCTCTCAGCTCCCAGTGACCCACGCCATGGCAGCTGCCCCTCAGGGCCGGCGGAACCTGTCTGCGGCCTGGCACAGAGGGCTGGTTCCAGCCCGGGTTCCACAGCGCCCCCTAGGTCAGGCCCACACATCACAACTGAAAAGCCACTTCCTAGTCAGGACGGCCCCACTCAGGGATGGCCACACTCGGGCACGGCCCACACTCAGGCACTTGTCCCCACCAGCGGGGTATCCTGGGCCGACAGGTGCTGAATCAGGCGGTCCCCAGGGACTAAGTTAAAACAAAGGGCCCCTTTGCATCTGGTGGCAGAGTCTTTCTTGGAGCAGACAGGCCCGTACCTGGATCAGGAGATCTTGCTCCAGCTACAAGGACTGAGTGTCAGCAGGGAGGCTGCCTCACCCACCTGCCCAGCCCCCCAGCTATCCTGCAGAAGCCTTCCTCAGCCCCAGGAAGGGCAGAGCCGCACTAGCTGCATTTCAGGTAGGGGAGCAGCAGGCAGCAGGCAGCCCGGCCCAGCCCAGCCCAGCCCAGCCCACATCCATGACCCTCACCAAACTCACAATGTCCCAGCGCAACCTAGAAAAATGACCTCTTGCTAAGAGCACCGGCCAACAGCAGGGCCCCAGACAACAGAGAAAGCCCATCCTCTCCTGTTAGGGCTCTTAATAGATTAAGCAAACGGAGAGAACGTAAGGTTAGCAACACAGCCCTGGAGACTGTGACTTTCAGTGAAATGAGGAGGGGACTCTGGCAGGTTCAGTGCAGACTACCCCGCCCCAGGTGCACAGATGATACCTGAACCCTGACTTCCCGTCAAGTCGGCTGGTAGGAGGGCCCCCGGAACACGCAGATCAGAGTGCTTTTGTCCCACAGTAAAAACAGCAAGGCGGTGTGATGGGGCACAGACCTCTGCTCCATTCACGTCACCACATGGCATTACCTACTCCAGGTGCGGCCCCGCAGGCAGCAGGAAAGGCCCTTCCCCTAGTGCGGTGTGGGCAGGGAGGAAGCAGGCTGGAGGGCAGAGCGCTGGAGACCCCTGCACCCCCCACGGCCAGTCTTCAGCCAGGTTGGAATCCACCAGAAATCTTCAGGCCCTCTCACGTGAGAGGGATTCGAGCCTAGGCTCAAGCTTCCAACCATCCACCTTGTACAACTTTTTTTGAGACTGAGTCTCGCTGTCACCCAGGCTGGAGCACAGTGGTGCAGCTCGGCTCACTGCAATCTCTGCCTCCTGGGTTCAAGCCTACCAAGTAGCTGGGATTACAGGCGTGTGTCACCACTCAGCTAATTTTTGTATTTTCAGTAGAGATGAGGTTTCACCATCAGGTGATCCACCCGCCTCGGCCTCCCAGTGTTAGGATTACAGGCGTGAGCCACTGCACCCGGCCCACCTTAACTTTACATAGGACAAGAGTCCCAAACATACAAACTGATCACGAAGTTAACATATACACCTCAGACAGGAAACTGGTAGCCAACAGCCTGCAAGTCATCTACTAGATGTTTAGATGTTTCCAAACAAGCAAGGTGTCATCGTGTATCAAGTGTGGCTGTGAGTGCAGCAGCAGAGGTAGCAGCATCACCTATTTCCACGCCAGTAACAGCTCCCTGGGTGCCTCAATACCGGCACCCGGCAGAGGCATGTAGACAAAACAGAATCTGACTCGGTCCCTGAAGCTGCTTCTCTGGGGTTGTCATGGCCATAGCTGCCAAGGAGAGCAGGTGCTGCTGTGAGCTGGTAGGACTAGGGCAGGCTGTGTCTGAGCACTGCACGAGAAACCATGCTGCCCTCGGACACAGAAGACATGGGGATGCCAGCTCAGACCAGGGCACCCTGGCACTCTCTCTGGCTGCCTCTTGTCCATGAAGCAAGAACAATGGCTTTAGAATGTTTTTGTTTAACAGGAGAGGCCGACACTTGGCAGGGCCATCTCATACCTTGGTGTCTGGGTGAAGAAGCCCATTGAAGGAAGGGTTAATCAGAGCAAGAGGACCATGGTTACCGGGCACAACAAGCTTAAGAATGACGCCCCAAAGTCCAAGATGCTACATTAACTAGAAACTGCTTTGCTTAAAAAAGGCAACTCTAGGTTGGGTGCAGGGTCTCGTGCCTATAAACCCCTCTACTTGGGAGGCTGAGGGAGGACTGCTTGAGGCCATGAGTTCAAGACTGCAGTGAGCCATGATTGTGGCACTGTACTCCAGCCTGGGTGCCGAAGACCCTGTCTCTTTTTTTTTTTTTGAGACAGTCTCACTGTTGCCCAGGCTAGAGTGCAGTGGCGTGATCCTGGCTCAGTGCAGCCTCTGCCTCCTGGGTTAAGTGATCCCTCACCTCTGCCTCCCAGGAGCTGCAACTACAAGTGTGCAGCACCAAGCATGGCTGATTTCTTTATTTTTAGTAGTTCTGACATGTTGGCCAGGCTGGTCTTGAACTCCCAGCCAACCTCAAAGTGCTGGGATTACAGCTGTGAGCACCAGCCCAACCTTGCCTCTTTAAAAAGAAAAAACACAAGTCCACTCTGAAGTCAGCCTCTGTAACCTCCCCACAAGAAAACCGTTTTACATCAGTCACTAACCAAACAACCAACAGTGCTTCAACACAGAAAGTAAAGCATTATCCAGGGCTTGGACTGTCTTTCAAGAAAGCCCCAAATCCCCTGGCAGGAGGAAGTCACAGCAGTGAAGCCCCATCCCAGGCCCAGTTGTTCCCACGAAACACACCACGTGGAGACCCAGCATGACTGCCGACTGATTCCAAGTCCCCAGGAGGGCTTTATTTTTTCTTTTCAACATCCTGTTCTGCGGCTTCCTTGGCTCTTTTTGCCCGTATGCCGAAGAGCCGGGCGTTGGCACGGGCCATACGGAGACTAGCGAAGGCTTTGAAATTCTTCTCTTCCTCAGTGATGACTCGAGCTTTCTCCTTCTTATAGACCTAGAAGAGAAAGACAGGTTGTTAAACCCACATGCACCAAAGGGCAAGGGAACAACCAAGCGTCAGGAGAACCTGGAGGACCTCCCGGGGATTGGGGGTCAGGTTCGCTGCCATAAGTACTGCTGAAAAGCAACCCTGAGTCAATCACCTTCCCTGGGATTTAAAAAAAAAAAGAAAAACCCTCCCTGAGCTGGACATGGCGGCTCAAGCCTGTAAACCCAGCAATTCAAAACCAATGTAAGCAGCATAGAGAAACTCTCTTTCCAACAACAACAAAAAAACACAAAACAAACAAAAATACTTCCCAATGTATGGCTTCATGGTTGCAAGAAGTAAAAACTAAGAAGAAATGTTCCTTTCCGCAAACCTCCACACCCACAACTGCCACTATTAACGTTCTTAAGCCTGACCCCCATCACCCGCATCTCAGATACCCACGTGTTCACCCACTGATCTCGTCTGAAGCCTGGATTTGAGTAAGTGTTCACTTACGTTCCGGACGGGCATGACCGGTCCGGTCAGCTGGGTGGCCAGTTTCAGTTCTTCAGCCTGTTGGTGAATGAGAAGAGTTAAGTGGGGTTGGCCGCACTGCTGCAAGGACTCCACCCTCACCTGGCCCCAAACTTTCCCCTGGGGATTCCGTGTTCAGGACCAGTGTCTGAGCCTTTTCTACAACACACTTTGTGGCCCCAATGTTAAGAACAGTCCTTATTAGTTAGGTGACTATATCTTACTGAGTTGACGCAACACGCACGAGACAGTTATCTACCTGTGAACCACGGGCGGGGCAGAGAAAACTGTTCCCTAATTTAACTACCCGGAAACGTATACAATGGACTCTTTATCAACCTTATCCTACAAGGTCTTTCTAGAAATATTTTGGAATACGAAGCATTTTAGGGAGAGCAACGTCAATGGAAAAAGCTGCCTCCAAGTCACACAGCCTTGCCATGTCCATTAAGGTTATCTCTGCGGAAACGCACAGGTGAACCTTAGCAGTCCCGCTTAGCTCATCACCCACAATGTTTTGGTTCTTCTCACCCCAGCAAGACCCAGGGACCGGTGTCACTGATAAAGGAGCCAAGCCTCACTGTCCCCGCGCACCAGGACGGCCAGAGAGCCGTGTACTCACAGAACTGTCTCCCTTCTTGGGGGCCGAGGGCTTCCTGGGGAAGAGGATGAGTTTGGAGCGGTACTCCTTCAGCCGCTGCACGTTGGCCTGCAGGGACTCCGTGGACTTGTTCCGCCTCCTCGGATCCACAGAAATGCCGATGGTCCGGGCCACCTTCTTGTGAATGCCGGCCACCTGCCCCAGAACCAGAGAGAGATGGAGACAGGCCCGGGCTTTCTCCAGCCCCGAGGCCTGGATGAAAAGCCTCAGCAATCAGATGGAAAAGGGTTCAAATGTGCTTTCATCAAGGCCGTACAGCGATTCCGGAGAATGTCATCACGCGACTGAGGCCAACAGAGGGGACTTCGGGGCCTTCCTGACACCGCAGCGCTGCCAGTACTCACCCTGAGCTCCTCCAGGCTGAAGCCGCGGCCGGCGCGCACCTTCGTGTGGTACCGAACCGTGGGGCAGCGCACGATGGGCCGGATGGGACCCGACGCGGGGCGCGGGGCGATGCGGCGCGCCTTGGCTTGCCGGGCCTTACGTCTGGTGGAGAGAAGCGCAGCGGCGGTCACCCTTGCCTAAGGCCGCCAGGCCAGCGCTCCGCGACGGTTGCAGACAGCGCCCCCCGCCCTGGCATCGGCCACCCGCAAGCCAAGGCGCAGCCGCGGGCACGAGCCCCAGGGGCAGCCCCGAGCGCAGGGCTCACCTGCGGATCTTACGGGCCGGCTGGTTGAACCACGTGGCCACGCGCCGCTGCCAGTCCTTGTGGAAGTGGGGCTTCAAGACCATGCCATTCCGGCTGGGCGCCATGGCTGCCTACGGCCCTGCGGCTGCGGACGAGAGGGGAGCGAGTGAGAGGCCGGACCCCGGGCGCGCGCACCCCCCCGGGCCTCCGCCCCGAACCCTCCAGACTGGGCCGTCCGGCCGCGCCTAGAGCCCGGGCAGCGGCCGAACGCTGTCTGCGAAGAAGAAGGGGCCCATCCACTCCCGCGTTGGCTGAAGCGCCAGGCCGATGGCGCTGGATGATGCCCAAAGGCCAGGACCCAGTCTCCCTCACCTCCTGCGCAGGAAAACAGCCGAGCGGAAAGGAAGCGGCCCCGCAATGCACTCTGGGATGATAGCAGGGCCGGCCAACCAGAAGCGCCGGGCGCTCTGACCAATCAGAGCCCCGAAAGGAGGAACTGACGTCGCCGCGGCTCTCCCGGCAGCCCTAGGGCCGCCGTCGCAGACATGTTGCCGCTGAGAATGCGGCGGGGCGGCCGTGATTCCTGGGCCCTGAGTAACCGACGGCCGGACTTGCTTGACGTCCGCCGTTACTGCCCCGGCGCTTCAGCCGCTGCGCGGGCCGCGGCCGAGTCCTGTCTTGCGGGCTAACGCGCGCGAGTCCGGTATCTGGGCCGACGGCGAACGGGCGACGCCCGAGGAATTCTGTTTGTTCACATTTGTGAGACACGTTTGCAGCGCAAAGGCAGAAAAACTTCAGTGACATCCGAGTTTGCGCAACCTAAGGCCTTCGTCCTTGTCGTTCCAGCGTTTATTCTCCTCCCATCCATTTAGAACATTTGTGGTTTTTTTTTTTGTTTTTTTTTTTTGGAGACGGAGTCTCGCTCCGTCGCCCAGGCTGGAGTGCAATGGCGCGATCTCGGCTCACTGCAGCCTCCGCGTCCCAGGTTCAAGCAATTCTGCCTCAGCCTCCCGAGTAGCTGGGATTACAGGCGCCCGCCGCCACACCCTGCTAATTTTTGGTATTTTAGTAGACGGAGTTACTGTTGGCCTCTGTCGCTTTCCCTTGGCCCAGGATTAGGTGACTTCTCTAAGGTCAGGGGTACCCGACTGAAAATGTCACACTCTGACCTGCTGTGCCTACTGCCTTCCTTCACAAAGAAAAGCATCAACAAAAAGCCATCTCTTCTCTAGTATAAGTCTGTGAAGGCACCATCCATCTTACTGCTACCTGGAAACCTTTAAATCCCAATAACCCTCTTTCTTCCCTACCCTCACCCAATCACCACGCTTCCTCCTGGTAAAACTTATTATTATTTTTTTTTTTTGAGACGGAGTCTCCCTCTGTTGCCCAGGCTGGAGTTCAGTGGTGCGATCTCTGTTCACTGCAAGTTCTGCCTCCCGGGTTCACGCCATTCTCCTGCCTCTGCCTCCCAAGTAGCTGGGACTACAGGCGCCCACCATCACGCCCAGCTGATTTTTTGTATTTTTAGTACAGACGGGGTTTCACTGTGTTAGCCAGGATGGTCTCGATCTCCTGACCTCGCGATCCGCCCGCCTGGGCCTCCCAAAGTGCTGGGATTACAGGCGTGAGCCACCGTGCCTGGCCAACGTAATCCACATTTTAAGAATTTCACAGTTCCAGCACTTTGGGAGGCTGAGGTGGGCGGATCAGCCGAGGTCAAGAGTTTGAGATCACCCTGGCTAAGATGGTGAAACCCTGTCTCTACTAAAAATACAAAAAAGCTGGGCGTGGTGGCGCATGCCTGTAATCCTAGCTACTTAGGAGGCTGAGTCACCAGAATTGCTTGAACTGGGGAGGCAGAGGTTGCAGTGAGCCAAGATCACATTACTGCACTCTAGCCTGGGCAACAGAGCAAGACTCAGTCTCAAAAAGAAAAAAAAGTATTTCACAGGCCAGGCACGGTGGCTCATGCCTGTAAATCCCAGCACTTTGGGAGGCCGAGGCGGGTGGATCACCTGAGGTCAGGAGTTGGAGACCGGCCTAGCCAACATGGCAAAATCCCGCCTCTACTAAAAATACAAAAATTAGCCATGTGTGGTTGTGTACACCTGTAATCCTAGCTACTCCAGAGAGTAGGACAGGGGAATCACTTGAACCCAGGAGGCAGAGGTTACAGTGAGTCGAGACTGCACCACTGCACTCCAGCCTGGGTGACAGAGTTAAGCCTCCGTCTCAAAAATGAAAAATTTAAGAGCTGGGCGTGCTGGCTCACACCTGTAATCCCAGCATTTTGGGAGCCCAAGGCAGGCAGATCACGAGGTCAGGAGATCGAGACCATCCTGGCTAACATGGTGAAACCCCGACTCTACTAAAAATACAAAAAATTAGCCGGGCGTGGTGGCAGGCGCCTGTGGTCCCACCTACTTGGGAGGCTGAGGCAGGAGAATGGCGTGAACCCGGGAGGCGGAGGTTGCACTGACCCAAGATCGTGCCACTGCACTCCAGCCTGGACTACAGAGCAAGATTCCATCTCCAAAAACAAATAATAATTAAAAAATAATAAATTAATTTCACAAAAGGCTTGGCACAGTGGCTCACACCTGTAATCCCAACACATTGGGAGGCCAAGGCAGGAGGATCACTTGAACTCAGAAATTCGAGTCTAGCCCTGTCTCTACAAAAAGTACAAAAATTAGTCGGGCATAATGGTGCGTGCCTGCGGTCCCAGCTACTTGGGAGGCTGAGTCAGGAGGATTGCTTGAGCCCAGAAGATCGAGGCTGCAGTGAGCCGAGATGGCGCCACTGCACTCTAGCCTGGGCGACAGAGCAAGACTCTGCCAAAAACCAACACAACAGCAAAAAAAAAACAATTACCGAGGACACTACCCTTGGCTACACCAGCTAAAACCCTCCCATCGATGTGCTGGTCTTTGGATTTGGAGAACTGGGGCAAAGGTCAAGGCATCTCTCAGAGATGCCACCCTCGGGTGTGTGACTGCACCTGTGGCTGCCTCCTTACTGCTCCGCCAGCGTTTCAGTGTTGCAGCAACAAGAGGACAATCCACTCACGTCACTGCACCACAGGGAGGGCAGAAGCAAGGGGGCCGGAGTGGGAGCCGCATGCCCCGGAACTCAGGGCCAGGGTGTCCTGGGTCGTCTTCTATCCCTACGGGGTCCAGGCCCCAGATTCCTACAGAAGGAGTTTTTCACTTAGTCCCTGCATTACTCAAATTATAAACTGAAACCACAAGACCCTGTGATCCAGGGCAAGCCCACCAGCTCCTCTGCATTAGAGCTGGCCAGACAATGCAAATGTAGATTTTCCAACTACACAGTTTATTAGTAAAGTATCTCAACAATTCTCAGAGCAGTAAAAACCAAGGCATCCCCAACACTGCATGCGTGACTAGACCAGCAAGAAGTCCTCAACTTGCACCAGTCCACATGGCAGCAGGGGGCAGTGGTGAGTCCTCCGGAGCCCAGTGCCTGGGCCTGACTGGCCCCATTGATGAGTGAGCTGGATGACAGGGCCGCTGGAGATAGGACAATCGGCTCACAGGGTCCTTTCATGTCCGATCCCCTTAGCATTCCGAGGGAGCCACAGGAACTGGGGCGGTCGTGCAAGCGTCGGCATGAACAGGGGTCTGTTTGGAGTCTGAATGCTCTGCTGCCTCTGGGTGGCCTCAGCCACACTGGGAACGACTGTCTATAACCCTGGGAACTCGAAGTGTTCCATGCTCACTCGGGAAGCACTGATAACCTTCCCCATAGGGGAAACGACTCACAAACACAGGACTCCGTCAGTAGTTTCTGCAGAGAAACTTAAAATCATGAAAAGGGTCATCAATCAACAGATCTCAGAAGTCACTGTGCAGGGACTACTGAGGGCCGCGAGAGGAAGTGCAAACCTCAGCTGAAAAGCAACTCAGGGTGGCTGAGTGAGCCCTCACTTCCCGGACCACCCGCACGTGCAGCCAACACCTCCCAACTACTTGGGCCAAGTCGGCTCTTCGCCTCCAAGTGGAGGCTGCTGGGTCTCTTCGGTCTCCTCCTCGCCCAAGTCCTGTTTCTCCCTCTGGGCGTCGATCCACCTCTGCGGTGCGATCATTTTCTTCGGCCCATGGGGCGGCGGGCCAATGAGAGCCTCAATGTCCTCATAGTTTATCACTTCCTTTTCCAGAAGGGCGTTTGCCAGCTAGAAAGAACAGGCATAGCAGTGTGTGAGTCCCCAGGGCAGACAGAGCATCTCTATGTCCTGGGGAGGTGGCAAGAGGCGTGAGGGCCTGTCTGTGTGCAGGACACCCAGGACAGGCCACTTTCCCAGGGAAGCGGAGGCACGGAGGCAGCTCCGAAAGAAGAATCACCCCCATCTCAACCTCATAAATGATTTTCCGGCGGCCAGCCTCATTAATTTTTCTACTTCTATTCAAAATCTTGGCTTATTTTTGGCAACTGCAATTTCTTTCACCAAACAAGACGTGTGTGTCTACAGGGAAGGAGATGGGTAAAATGCTGAACCCTCCTGATTGAGGAGAGCAGCACTGGGAGAAGGAATCTGAGGCGAAGTTGTGTGAGCTGGGACCTCTCAAGTTGGGGAAGTGAATTTCTGCCATTCTAGGTGGGATCCTGGAAAACACTTGAGACACCGACTGTCCTGTGCCGGTGGACCTGCCCCTGGGGTGGCCTGGCCAGACCACAGAAAACACTGCCACAGCCACATTTCACTGGTTTCTGTGAAGGCAGAACTCTTCCAGATTTTTTGTTGTTGTTGTTGTTAATTACCTGCTCCTTTCCTCACTCTTCCAGATTTTCTAAAGAAAATGGTAACCCCTGAAGCTAGGGTGATTTACCTGTGGCTGTATTGCAAGAGACAAACACTTCCTCTCTAGGGCTGGTGTGGGATTTTACTAAGTTCTGCAACCCACTGAGTGTGTGAGTAGCTGACAGTTCATACACGGGGCAGACACACCACTCCTCAGCCAGTGAGAAGCCTTGCCTGCAGCTTTGCTCCCGTTGTGGCTCCCACTGTGATGTGCCCGAGCTCTGCAGAGCTGCTTTGTCAACCGTGATGAGCATGGGTCCACAGGCAGGCCTGCTTCAGCCGGGGACGGCACCGCCCACACCTGCCCAGAGGCGGCTGCTGCTGGCTGGGGACGACAGTCTAAGGGCCCCAAACACGATCCCCACGTGACACACAGTGCTCGCTTGAAAGACACAAGGGGAGGCTGAAGAAACAACTACCTATCCACTGCCTACCCATCTGTTCACAACATGGGACAAAGAGCCGTGCACCTCTCCTGAGTTCTAAGCAGCAGTTACCAAACCCAGGGACAAAAACGTTCACTCCAGCTCTGCCCACTGTGAGAAACACATCAGACAATCGCAACTGAGGAACGTCCTACAAAACATGAGACCAATCCTCAAAACTGCCAGAGCCCTCAAAACAAGGGAGGTCTGAGGAACTGTCACCCCAGAGGAGCCTAAGAAGATGGGCGATCAAACGCCATGTGGACTCCCAAGACCGGAAAGGACACTGGGGAGACTCAGCACATCTGAATCACGTGTGGACCCAACACCGCGGGTCGGCGGGGGCTCCTCAGGTGGGAGGACTGCCCCATGGGGGCCTCCACGGGAGCGAGGCAGGGTGGCAGGGAGCTCTCTGCACCGCGCCTGCAACTTTTCTACATCTAACACTATAATCAGCGTGGGGCTGTGGCTCACGCCTGTAATCCCAACACTTGGGGAGGCCGAGGCAGGCGGATCACCTGAGGTCAGGAGTTCAAGACCAGCCTGGCCAATGTGGTAAAACCCCACCTCTACTAAAAATACAAAAATTAGCTGGGCATGGTGACGCGTGCCTGTAATCCCAGACACTTGGGAGGCTGAGACAGGAGAATGCTTGAACTGGGGAGGTGGAGGTGGCAGTAAGCTGAGATTGCACCACTGCACTCCAGCCTCGTGACAGAGAGAGACTCCATCTCAAAAAAAAAAAAAAAAGAAAAGCCGAGTGTGTTGGTGCATGCCTGCAGTCGCAGCTACTCGGGAGGCTGAGGCAGGAGAATCACTGGAACCCGGGAGGCAGAGGTTGCAGTGAGCCAAGATGTCGCCATCGCACTCCAGCCTGGGTGACAGAGCAAGACTTTGTCTCAAAAAAAAAAAGAAAAAAAAATTCCTACTCTAAAATTAAAGCTTTGTTTTAAAAAAATGTTCAAGAAAAAAGTGTAAGACTTGGGAAAAGATTAAACAAAACTGACAAAACATTGGTAATTGCTAATGGCAGGAAGAGGCACAGGAGACTGTGGCAGCCTTCTTTCTACCTCGGGGGAACACACTTGACGAGTTCAGGATAAAAAGTATGGAACACGTAAGTTTCAGTTGAGCTGGGTAGAATTCACATCGGTCAGAGTGTTCTCTGTACTCTGTGTGCCTTGGAAATACTTCACGAGAGGGGTGGGGACCGTGGGTGCTGTGTGGACACTGTGTGACGCCGTAGCCCCCACGCCTGGCCAGGGCCTCACCGCCTGCAACTTGTCCAGGTTGTCCTGCAGCACCTTCTCGGTGTGTCTGTAGGCCTTGGCCACCAGCAGTCTTGCTTCCTGTGAGTGGAGGGAACTGTGTCAGGGGCAAGGCTGGCCGCCTGGCTCCAGCACCAAAGCACAGAAAAGAAATGGCAGACTGGGAACACGGCCTTTCCCCTCCCAGGAGGAACAGGACTCCTCAGCCGACAGGTGGTCTCCTGCCCCTGTGACCAGTGCCAGGAAAGCAGGGCTCCGCATGCCAGCCCACCCACCCACACCCACCCACAGCTGCCTCACAGGCACACATCGGCCCTTCCTGGCCCAGTCTGAAGGACATGTGGGCCCTGGGTCTATTGCTCGGTGTATTTATTTGATATTCTTCCCAGATTCACATCTATAATTTCATTAGGAGCATCTATGTCCTCATTTGAGAAGAAAATACTCCACAGGTGGGAACTACAGCAGAGCCCAGAAGGAAGAAACCCAGGTGGGGCCTGCAGCTGAGCTCCGCTGGGGCGGCCGTGGGCGACCCTTGTGTGGTAGACCCAGGGACTCCCTCCCCGGGGAGCACAGAGGGCAGCGGTGTGGCCAGAGCCGACTCACATGGTCCATCATCTGCTGCAGGCCTTGGCTGAAGGGGCGCCGCCCGATGCCCATGAGGCCCTCCTGCGCCTCAGGGAAGGAGATGGGCCCGATGCCAGGTGCCATCCCAAACTGCTTCACCATGGAGTAGGCGATGCGGGTGACCTTCCTCAGGTCGTCCTGTGCCCCTGGAGGGCGGGGTCGAGACAGAGGCATCCTCAGCACTGCAGGCGCAGAGCAGTGCTGGGCCCCAGGTGTCCCGGTCAGAGCACTGAGGCAGCACCACCTCCATCCCCTTCCTCCCGAGGACCCACCGTGAAGCTGGACAGTGAGGACGTTGGCACCTCACCACTGTTCCTTAAGAGAGTCTTAAAACTTTCCGAAATGCTCTTTTATTTGGAAATCTAGAACCCGGGGGCATACTGGAGCTCACTGCATGGCAGTTCTCAAGCACAAGCCCAGGCCTATGCGAGGCAAACCCATGGACCTGGAGCCCAGGGGCCCCCGGGACCCTCCTTCAGCTCTCTGGATATCCCAGTGCAGTAATGGCTTCAGAACAATGAAGCCGCTTCAATTTTATTCCGTTTCCTGTAGCCATTACCAACAATTAACCAATTAAATGTGTCTAGAGTTGGCATATAGGTTAAGTTTTTGTCCAATTAAATTATCTAAGAAGTCTTGCTTAGCTCCAACTCTCTTATGACCACAACTTATCTTTTACAAAATACTTAATAAATTCAAAGCTACGTCTACACCAGATTCACCCCATGGCATGCACTGGAACAGAAGGAGTCATGCAGGGAAAAGCGCTCTGAAACCTCCAGGGCCCGCGCCGCTGCTCCTCACCAGAAGTGACCTCGTTGAAGGACAGTGCTTCCGAGGCCCGTCCTCCCAGGGCCATGCACATCCGCTCAAACAGCTGCTCCTTGGTGAAGAGGTGCTGGTCTCTGGGGAGCATCTGAGCAAAGCCCAGGGCGGCGTTTGTCCGAGGGGTTATGGAGACCTGGCACAAGGTCAAGATGACCCAGGTCAGTAGGCAGGATGCGTGGGCTTTGAGGAGGAAGGTGTGGGACTAAGAGGTCTCCGTCATTAAAGCGTCTCAAAGCAGGAAGGCAAATGTGCAGCATCCTCTACAACAACAGGGGATCCTAACACTCTAGATGGCCAGCCCAGAGACAGCAGCGTTCCCACCACAGGTGCCTGTTCACACACTGCCGGGAAGTGTCTTCTCATACATGACTAGACAGGCAGGGAGTCAAGAAGACAAGGCCCGTAGAAGACAGCTGAGAGGCGAAGGACAAGTTTCACCCCCGATGGCCGCTGCGCTGACCCCTCACACCAGCGACAGCTACTGAGGGTTCAGAGCAATGAGAACCCCACGATGCTGAGGCAGCAGAGGCTGTCCTCACCTCTGCTGCTCCCCCACAGCCCCACATCAGGTGTGCAAGGAGGTGGCGCGGGGCAACGAGCTAACTCGACAACACGGAACCGCTGAGTGGGAGACGGACGGAGACGGGGCAGGGGCTGGCCCAGCTGCTGCTTCTGAGAATTGTGGCGGCGAGATGGCCACATCCAAGTGCTCTGAGAATCCCGAGGACGCTTAATTTAAAATCTAAAACTAGGCTGGGCGGGGTCGCTCACATCTGTGATCTCGGTACTTTGGGAGTTAGAGGTGGGCAGATTGCATGAGCCCAGGAGTTCGAGACTAGCCTGGGCAACATAACGAGACCCCTTCGCTACAAAAAATATAAAAATCACTCGAGCCACCAGTGGGGCATGCCTGTAGTCCCAGCTATGCAGGAGGCTGAGGTAGGAGGATCGTGTGAGCCCGGAAGGTCGAGGCTGCAGTGAGCTGTGATCGCACCACTGGACTCCGGTCTGGGCAACAGAGAGAGAGACCCTGTCTCAAAACAAAAAGAAGCTCTAAATAACGGCTGCAGTGATGATTGCATTAATGACCAAAACCATAACAGCCAATTCACAACCTTTTCCTGGCAGGACACTGAGCCTTGGGAAAGAGACTCACTTTTTCATTGTGACTATCTGACTTTTGCCCATCAAATACAGTAAAAATTCTTTTTTTTTCCCTTTGAGAGACAGTCTTGCTCTGTCACCCAGGCTGGAGTACAGTGGCACAGTCTTGGCTCACTGCAGACTCTGCCTCCCGGGTTTAAGCGATTCTTGTGCCTCTACCTCTCAAGTGGCTAGGGTTACAGGTACGCACCACCACGCCCAGCTAATTCTTTTGTATTTTTGGTAGAGATGGGGTTTCACCAGGTTGGCCAGGCTGGTCTCGAACTCCTGACCTCAAGTGATCTGCCCGCCTTGGCCTCCCAAAGTCCCTGCATTAATTTTGATTTCTTGACATACCGTGTTAAAACGTCGTGTTCACTGCTGAGTTTTTTAGTGTCCCATAAATGGGACCCCCAGCTGAGTGTCCACTCGCCCCACAGTGGGCCTAGCTCTGGTCCCATGACTGTGGTGCACATCGCCAAGGAGCAGCACGGATCTGGTCCCCAAACGCTGCCTCAGCCCTGCTGAGACCCTGGGATGGGCAGGACGCTCTCTGATTAACACGCAACTTTGCTACAACTCACACCTGAGAACCAATCACGGAGACCAGCACTGACAAACCAAGCTGGCAACTGCTACAGCGTATGCATTGTTTGCAGTGAACCCTGAGGTAGGAACACAGCACTGCCGCCTTCTCAGGTGAGCCTCAAACCTGCACGGCTTCCTGGGGCTCCACTGTAAAGACGGCACCTGCGTTCCGAGTAGAGACCTCCTCTTGGCAGCACTCGGACTCCCGGTGGTGGAGCCACGTCTTAGAGAAGCTGTAACATCACCATTTGGTAAGAATAAATGTCCATCGAGTTCACAGCTGCCTACAAGAGTAGTTTTTTGTTTGTTTGTTTGAAGTAGAGACAGTTTTGCCCTGTTGGCCAGGCTGGTCTTGAACTCCTGACCTCAGGTGATCCACCATGCCCAGCCTAGAATAGTATTTTTTAAATGTACACTCAACTCACTTCTTTCCAATGTTAGGAGTCATTTGGGGTGGACAGGCAAAGGCAGCGAAACCCCATTGCATGGTGTAACCTTCCACGAGTCACCCCAGTAGCAGCACCATGCTCCGATGTGACACAGCCCACTCCTGCCTCCCACGTCCGAGTTCCCGCCCATCAGTCGCCACCCACCCTGCTCCATGGATCATGACAGTGGCAGGCTTTCCTCTCACATGACCTACAGACACAGGCGGGACTCCCCAGTCAGCTACAGACACAGGCGGGACTCCCCAGTCAGCTACAGACACAGGCGGGACTCCCCACCCACCTTTGGCCAAGGCCCGTGGAGCCGGCACCTGCCAAGACCCACCTTCATCACGGCCTCCGTGTGCTCCAGCATCCAGCCCACCAAGGCGTGGCCCGACTCATGAAACGCAACCACTTTCTGTTCTTCCTTGGACAGGATCTTGCTCTTTTTGGCAGTCCCTGAAAGAATGCCGGGGTATGAGTTGGGCGCGGTGGCTCACGCCTGTAATCCCAGCGCTGTGGGAGGCCAAGGCGGGCGGATGACCTGAGGACAGGAGTTCGAGACCAGCCCGACCAATATGGTGAAACCCCGTCCCTACTAAAAATAGAAAAATTAGCTAGGTGTGATGGCGGGCGCCTGCAGTCCCAGCTACTTGGGAGGCTGAGGCAAGAGAATCACTTGAACCTGAGAGACGGAGGTTACAGTAGGGCAAGATCATGCCACTGCACTCCAGGCTGGGCGACAGAGCAAGACTCCGTCTCAAAAAACAAACAAAAAAGAATGACGGGGGGGTGAGCTGAGACCCCGGCCTCTCCCTGGCTGGGCCCTGCTCCTGCCCCGTGTGGTCAAAGCAAGCCTCTCTCTGCACATCTGCCTCTTGGAGCTGCAGCTGCGGCTCTGGACACCCCAACTCAAAACGACACTCTTCAGGTCAAAGGGCTGTTGAAGGAGGTCGTGATTTCTTCTTTTATAAATGTTGCAATCATCGAAATAGCTCCTGCTGCTTTTAGGAACAAGTGCAACCCTCTGAGGAGTGTCTCCTCCTGCCCCATGGTTGGGGGGGTGCCACAGGGTCGGGGCAAGGGTCACAGAACAGCAGCTTTTGACTTTCTCCCTGGCAGGATGGGCAGAGGCCTCCTCTGAGTTACGGGCCTCCTGCTTACTTTCCCTCTCCCCTCAGACCTGGAGGCGCAGCTCCCATCCCCATCACTTTCTGGATCCTTATGGCTTCTACTCACCCCTTCAGAAGCTTTTTGCCTCAGGGACAAGGCTTTTTTTCTGTCAGTGACAGGGTCTCACTCTGTTGCCCAGGCTGGAGGGCAGTGGTGCGATCACGGCTCACTGTTGCTTCAACCTCCCAGGTTCAAGCAATCCTCCTGCTGCAGCCTCCTGAGTAGCTGAGACCAGAGGTGTGCTCCACCACCATGCCTGGCTAATACTCTTTATTCTTTTCTTTTAAGAGATGGGGTCTTGCTGTATTGCCCAGGCTGGTCTCAAACTCCTGGCCTCAAGCAACCCTCCTGCCTCAGCCCCCAAAGTGCTGGGATTACAGGCATGAGCCACAGTGCCCAGCCAGGGACAAATGTTTGCATTAAATCTCCCCTGTTCAGCTTACTGGTGAGGCTTCATTTCCTGTCTCAGATTTTCCACACATCTGTAAGTGTCCATTCTGTACAACTTGAATCAGCTCGTGGTCCTGAGCACTCAAGTACGTCATGTATTTTCTTTCAACTGGCTTGTGGTTCCCACTCAGTCCTTCCTGCTTTGCTACTATTATCAAAAGCTTTTCGATTTCCACATAAAAGTAAATGGTTACACGAAAATAAATTTCAGTAAGACACAGGCAGCGCCAGTCCTCTCGACCCGCAGGGCTGTCGGAGAGAAGCCAGGTGTGTTTTGCAGTGTCTGGCACAGCAGCTGCCCCACTCCTCTGCAGGAACCCACTGCTTTCCCAAGCTGAAGCCCTGGGGACCTGCAAGAGGCGTGTTCGTGCTAGGAATTCACTCGAATTGAGGGTGAGGAACTCGGTTCTCGCAGGGATAGCTCGCAAAGGAGGCTCGTGCTCCTCAAACACCTGGGGCAAGAACCACTTCCCTTTTCAAACGTTCAACCTGTCTCACACTGACAGTGCGGGTCTGAACTCCATTCCATGAGATGACTGATCACGTCTGGGTGTTGCCATCATAGCTATGGAAACCTCCAGCAGCTCCGATTCCCAGTTTGGTCCTCTCTCCTCACAGACGTCGCAGACCCCACACTGAGCAGCCACGGAACGGCAGTCAGAGGCGGTCAGCCCACCGGTCACCCGTCACCAAAACTCATCTCCCGTTCCTACTGACGGTCGGGACCATGAGTTTCACCAGAGGTGGTGCTGCAGATCCACACCTCTCCGCAGAGCCCCTGCTGCGCTGAAAGCACGGCTGTCCCTCCACAGCCACGGGCGGCAGCAGCCCTCCGGCCCACAGTCAGCGGCTGGAGCTCAGCCCCCATGAGGCTGGGGCTAGGCTGAGCCCACCACACCCAGGCTGGCAAGACATTTTTAGTTTTTATTATTTTTATTTTTGGGGGGCATTTTTTATTTTTATTTTTTCACTTTCTTTGGCAAGGCATTTTTTATTTCTGTTGGACGAGCGTCTACTCTTAGGTAAATCTGTGATATTTTAAACTAAGGAAAAGTACAAGGTATCATAAAGACATGAGTTACGCAGAACTGAAACGCAACGTGTGTTCCTTCCTGTGTGATGGTTCCATCCACCTCACCTCTCAATACCTGCCTGGGTATTTCTGGGGTTCAAGCCCTGCTAAGGAGGGCCTTCACCCAGGGCGCGCCCCCTGTACCTGCGAGGACGCGCTCCACGGCGTACTCGAAGTTGAGAGTGTGCACGGAAGTGTGTCCCTCCCGCGCCGCGTGCAGCGCAGCCTCATTGCAGATGTTGGCGATGTCAGCCCCTGTCAACACAAACAGCCACGGTGTGGGTGGGTGGGTTTCTGCTATCAGGGCTTAAGAGGAGGAAGGGGCCCTCAAGGGAGAACAAAGATGGCCGGGCATGGTGGCTCACCCCTGTAATCCCAGCACTTTGGGAGGCTGAGGTGGGCAGATCACCTGAGGTCAGGAGTTTGAGACCAGCCTGGCCAACAGGGTGAAACCCTATTGCTACTAAAAATACAAAAATTAGCCGGGCGTGGTGGTGAGCGCCTGTAATCCCAGCTACTCAGGAGGCTGAGGCAGGAAAATCGGTTGAACCCAGGAGGCGGAGGCTGCGGGGAGCCAAGATCACGCCACTGCACTCCAGTCTGGGCGACAGAGTAGGACTCTGTCTCAAAATAAATAAGTAAATAAATAAAAGGAAGAACAAAGAGGGAAAAGAGACCAAGAACCAAGAGTGCTGGTGAGAGCGTCTGGGAGAGAGGCACGGGGAGCTGGCGCCAGGAGCAGAGCTGGGGAGAGCGGCAGGCGCCGGCGCCAGGAGCAGGGGTGGGGAGAGCGGCAGGCACTTGCACCGTGTTCCACTGAGGCCATTCCACAGACGAGACACAGAACCGCCAGGCTCCATCCGCCCTGACGCCCGTCTCTCCTCCCAAGGGCAGTTAGTTCCACACCCCATCTTGTGGCTGATTCCACCTAACAGCTCATGAGCATTGATGGCAAAGAAATTAAAGGCTCTCTAGTAACCACAAAATTCTAGTGAAAGACCCTAACGAATAATCAAAGGGCAAATTCATCTCATAATAAAAGGGAGGTTTGTTGACATTAACTTTTAAAATGTGAACCACACAGCAGGAAAAGCATCTTGAGGTATGATTTCTATTTCTACAACTTGACAGAGACCGTGAGGGTCAGAGGGAGGCGGCTTTGCCGGGACTGCGTGGTCTGACTCTGGGTCTGACGGGAAACGCCGGCATGACTGGTCACTGTGTGGAAGCAACATAACTCCACTATCTCTGGAAACAACACAGACCGGGAACCACCGTCTGCTTTTCCACCCCGGGGCGGAGGACGGAGTGCGGGTGCCGTCTGGACCTCCTGCTGCCCCACATACACATCAGCTCCCTCCCAGGCTTGTACTGAGCAGAGGCCCCCAGAGAAGGAGCAGCGCCCACCCCACAGAGGAGGCCTCGATGCTGTTTGCGCAGGTGACACCACCTGCCCTCAGGACGTGACGCTGCCCAGGCTGCGGGTTGAGAACGTACCACTGAATCCTGGTGTCAGCTCTGCCAGACGCTGGGAGTAAAAGGTGCTGGACTGGGTCAGCTTCAGGCTCTTCAGGTGCTGCTCAAAAATCTCCCGCCTCTCCTGCCAGAACCAGGGGAGGAAAGACAGTCGGGCTCAAGCCTAGTTACTGCCACAGGTGCGGCATGTTTGTCTGTGGGGGGGGGGGGTCCCCAAGTAGCTGGGATTACAAGTGTGTGCCATCATGCCTGAGTTTTGTATTTTTAGTAGAGACGGGGTTTCGCAAAGTTGGCTAGGCTGGTCTCGAACTCCTGGCTTCAAGTGATCCACCTGCCTCGGCCTCCCAAAGTGCTGGGGTTACAGGCGTGAGCCACCATGCCTGGCCACAAGCAGCATTTTAAACACGAACAGAACACTGTTGGATGGCCGGGCCCGGTGGCTCACACCTGTAATCCTAGCACTTTGGGAGGCTGAAGTGGGCAGTCTGGCCAACACGGTGAAACCCCATCCCTACTAAAATACAAAAATTAGCCAGGCAAGACGGCGGGTGCCTGTAATCCCAGCTACTCGGGAGGCTGAGGCGGGACAATCACTTGAACCTGGGAGATGGTGGTTGCAGTGAGCCGAGATCGCGCCGCTGCACTCCAGCCTGGGGGATAGAGTGAGACTGTCTCAAAAAAAAAAAAAAGAGAACGCTCTTGGAAGGAGAGGTGGGTGGGGATCACTTGAGGCCAGGGGTTTGACACCAGCCTTGGCAACACAGCGAGACTCTGTTAAAAATTAACCAGCACGGCGGCGCACGCCCATAGTAGTCCTAGCTCCTCAGCTTGAGCCCTGAAGGTTGAGGCCGCAGTGAGTGGTGATCGCAGCACTGCACTCCAGCCTGGGTGACAGCGCAACACCCTTTCTCTAAAAATTGAAAGAAAAATTAAAAAGAAAAAAGAAAAAATTATAGCAGAATAGCTAATGAAGCACGTCACACACAGCAAATGCTTATTCTGCAAAACTTCCAATTCCCACACATGTTCCATGCGTCTAAATCCTGATGTAAAATGTTTCTTACACAGTCAAAAAGCCAGGAGCCGCCCTCCCCTGGAGAAGCTGCCCTCCCCTGGAGAAGCCGTGTCCCCTGGAGAAGCTGCCATCCCCTGGAGAAACAGTGTCCCCTGGAGAAACAGTGTCCCCTGGAGAAGCCATGTCCCCTGGAGAAGCCGTGTCCCCTGGAGAAGCCATGTCCCCTGGAGAAGCAGTGTCCCCTGGAGAAGCCGTGTCCCAGCGGGAAGGGCTTCTGCTCCGCCCTTCACTCTCCATCCCAACAGAGACTGAGCACCGGCTGAGAGCCGCTGAGCCCAGCCCTGCTCCCCAGGCTGCACTGATGGAACATTAACCCACCAGCAGACCCGGAGGCCCTCTCTCCAAACCCTCCGCTCCATGAGCTGAACTCCTGCTCCCTCAGGGCAGCAACAAAGGCCCTTTGGCCAGGAAGTGTAACGTCCAACCAGAGCCCTGTGACAGAGGAGGGATCAGGCGAGAGGCCTCAGGACTTCTACTCCCACCCCAATTTCAGGGCAGCTGCACAGTCCACGTCCCCAGAGCCCACGCTACGGATGGAAGGAAGTGATGCCACACAAGAATAAAGTTTCCCACAATTTTTCCTCCTGGATTTTGTTTCAAAGGATTTGCTATAAAAACCAGACTGATACCCAGGATAAAAGGAAAACCAATAGCAGGTGAACAGAACTGCAAAACCCCGAGCAGTGAGTGCAGCCATTGGGCAGGTCTGCCAGGGGGCGTGCAGCCAATGTGGGGGCCACAGCAGTGAGTGCAGCCGGTGGGCAGGTCTGCTGGGGGCGTGCAGCCGATGCGGGGGCCACGCTGGACACTGCCAGCACCTGTGGGGCTGTGACAGGCTTCACACCAAGAAGTGTCTTAGAGGAGAGGCCAGACCACTCAGAGCGAGTGGGGGCGGCCCAGGTGGAGTGGGAGAGGCTGGGATCCTGGCTCTGACCTGCAGCGTGGGGAGATCAATGAAGACGTGCCGGTCCAGTCGGCCTGGCCTCATCAGAGCACCGTCCAAAATGTCAGCTCGGTTCGTGGACGCCAGGACGATGACATGGTCTGTGGTACCCATTCCTGAGGGGACAGAGCAGACAGTGGCTCTGAGGGTAGGGGTCCTGACACAACAGATTTCCCCTGCAGGTTCCCCTTCAGGACACAGGAGGGAGAGAGACCCCCCTAAGGCCCAGAGAGAAAGGAACAGCCCGGTCCTTCTGAACTAGGAGCCGCGATCCCCCATCGCTCCCAGCCAGCATCACCAGGAGGAACAGGAATTTGCCTATTTTGACAAGTGCAAACAGCAGAACTGTCCAAGGCCCTCCGGGAGCTCCTACAGCATCCTGGAGCCTCTCCCTGCCTCACGGTGCCATCTGGGAGCCGGTCCTAACAGCCACCCCCCACCCCCCACCGCCCTGTCATCATTATTGTGACTTTGTAACATTTTAGCTAACACCCAGCTTTAGGCTGTGACTTGGAAACATTTTATCTTCAACGTCTGGCCCTAGGCCCTGGGTTTCAGGCTTGACGTTTGTCATCGGAGAATTTAAAAGTGAGTCCAGAAACGATCACTGATCCCTGGTGTATGTGAACCTTGACTGGCCCTTGATGTGAATAAATCAACTGCGAAAAGAGATTTATGAAGCTGCTGGGAACACCTGACTGGATGCTCGTAAGAACGTTCAGGTGTTATGATGCTGTGGTGTTTCTCTGAATTTAAAGAAACGTACTCAGAGCATATAAGATTCAAAACTATGGGTTTGCTTTAAAAGAATCCAGTCCACCAGGTGCAGTGGCTCACGCCTGTAGTCCCAGAACTTTGGGAGGCCGAGGCAGGCAGATCACGAGGCCAGGAGTCCAAGAGAAGACTGGCCAAAATGGTGAAACCCCACAAAAGATACAAAAAATTAGCCGGGTGTGGTGGCGTGCACCTGTAATCCCAGTTACTCAGGAGGTTAAAGCAGAAGAATCGCTTGAACCTGGGAGGCGGAGGTTGCAGTGAGCCAAGATGACACCACTGCACTCCAGCCTGGGCTACAGGGCAAGACTCCGTCAGGAAAAAAAAAAAAAAAAAAAAAGAATCCACTGGTGGCCAGATGCGGTGGCTCACGCCTGTAATCCCAGCACTTTGGGAGGCTGAGGCAGGTGGATCACCTGAGGTCAGAAGTTCTAGACCATCCTGGCCAAAAGGGTGAAACCTCATTTCTACTAAAATACAAAAATTAGCTGGGTGTGGCGCATGCCTGTAATCCTGGCTACTCGGGAGACTGAGGCAGGAGAATCGCTTGAACCAGGAAGCAGAGGTTACAGTGAACCGAGATTGTGTCACTGTACTCCAGCCTGGGCGACAGAGCAAGACTCTCAAAAAAAAAAAAAAAAAGGAAAAGGTCCACAATAAACAGTGTTAAAAGTAAAGATACGACAAGACCTACCTTGACTAATGTAAGAACAGGACCCGTGACTAATGTAAGAACAGGATATAGCCAGGCGCGGTGGCTCACGCCTGTAATCCCAGCACTTTGGGAGGCCGAGGAGGGCGGATCACAAGGTCAGCAGATGGAGAGCATCCTGGCTAACACAGTGAAACCCCATCTCTACTAAAAATACAGAAAATTAGCTGGGCGTGGTGGCGGGCGCCTGTAGTCCCAGCTACTCCGGAGGCTGAAGCAGGAGAATGGCGTGAACCTGAAGGGTGGAGCTTGCAGGGAGCCGAGATCACGCCACTGCACTCCAGCCTGGGCGACAGAGCAAGACTCCGTCTCAAAAAAAAAAAAAAAAAAAAAAAAGAACAGGATCTACCATGACTAATGTAAGAGCAGGATCTACCGTGACTAATGTAAGAAACCCTTAATAATCCCAGCACGTTGGGAGGCCAAGGTGGGAGGACCATGTGAGCCTAGGAGGTGAAGGCTGCAGTGAGCTATGATCATGCCCCTATACTCCAGCCTGGGCAATGGAGTGAGACCCTGGCTCCAGCAACCCCATGTTCTTAGGACAGGACCTTGAACGCTCTGAGGAGGCTGAGGGGCCTGACCAGCTTCTCCAGGGCCACTGTCCTGAGCCTCACTAAGCCGTAGCCGCCAGGTCTGGACAGCAGCTCAGTCCAAGACACACCCCACTCCCAAGCAAATCGCTCCCGAATTTCAAAGAAACTTTGAAAGACACAACCATTCTCCCTGGTTCCACACGTCAGAATGTGATAAGCTGGGATGCTAAGTCCCAGTCACATTTCTACAAGGGAGATCACAGAAGAGAATCACCTCGCCAAGGCAAAGACAGTGTCTTAAAATCACGGTGACTTTTAAAATAAACTCAGAAACAAAAACAGGCAGCAGAAGCACAAGTGCCTTGTCTCACTATGACACGAGGAACAAGAGGCTGGGGAGGGTGGGGACTGGGACCCAAGCTGGCCCCTCCAGAGCTGTCTGGAAGGCCTGCCAAGGCTTACTGCTCAGTGTCGTGGAGCGCCTTCCTTGCAGAGGCCAGGGCTGTGGATACAGAATTCTGAAAGATTGTATAAACAGTGAAAAAAATGGGAAAAGTAATAGGAACACCGGTCTCAAAGAAAAACAGCAGCCAGGCCAAAGAGGTGCAGTGCGAGCTCCTAGAGGGGGCGGCGCCGGGTTCAAGCACAGCTCGGCCTTCAGCAGAGCCCAGCCACCCTGCGGGGCACGTGCTCCCCACCGGGCTATGTGTCAGGATGGCCACCCTGCGGGGCACGTGCTCCCCCCGGGCCGCTATGTGTTAGGATGGCCACCCTGCGGGGCACGTGCTCCCCACCGGGCCGCTATGTATCAGGGTGGCCACCCTGCAGGGCACGTGCTCCCTACCGGGCCGCTATGTGTCAGGGACATGTGGTTTCAGGATACAGACTTCCTGGGACTGGACACATGCTCCCCCTGGGCAGCTATGTGTCAGGGACATGCGGTTTCAGGATACGGACTTTCTGGGACCGGATCCCTGGTGTGACTTTTTAAGTTTTGTATTCTGATGGTAACAGACACACAACAAATTGCAAAAACAGCACAGAGCAGTCCCTTTGGCCCTGGTCCCCCAGCAGCTGTGCGTTCAGTAGCTGCAAAACAAAGGCAAAGCCAGGAGACTGACATGGAAACGCCAGGCCCCTGCTCAGATGCCCCCACTCCTATGTGCTCTCACCTGTGTGTGTGCTCCACAGATGGACACCTGTGTCACACGCACGTTCACATAACGAGCATCTCCCCTCAAGACACAGAACCGCCCTCCCCAGAGGCATCCCTCCTCCCTGGAGACCTCCCCTAACTGCTGACAACCAGTAACCCGTTCTCCATCCCCAGAATTTTGTTATTTTGACAATTTCGTACAAGTGGAGTCATACGATACTAAGCCTGGCTCTTCTCACTTTGCGTCATTTCCTTGTTGCTGCAGGAAGAAAGTTTCCTTCTACTGCTGCATAGAACACCATGATAAGGATACACCAGTTTCAGCTCTTCTATTGCTGCGTAGAACACCGTGATAAGGATACACCAGTTTCAGCTCTTCTATTTCTGCGTAGAACACCGTGATAAGGATACACCAGTTTCAGCTCTTCTATTTCTGCGTAGAACACCGTGATAAGGATACACCAGTTTCAGCTCTTCTATTTCTGCGTACAACACCGTGATAAGGATACACCAGTTTCAGCTCTTCTATTTCTGCGTACAACACCGTGATAAGGATACACCAGTTTCAGCTCTTCTAGTCGCTGTGTAGAACGCCGTGATAAGGATACACCAGTTTCAGCTCTTCTATTTCTGCGTAGAACACTGTGATAAGGATACACCAGTTTCAGCTCTCAGCCACTGAATGGCACCTGGGTCACTTCCAGTTTTTAGCTATTACAGGTAAATGAGCGTCGGCGCCCAGGCATTTCGTGTGAGCCTAAGTCTTTGCTTTCCTGGGATGAGCACCCAGGAGGGTGGATGCGGGGTCATGTGGTGAGCGCATGTGGACACGGGGTCACATGGTGAGCACACGTTTAGTTTTTTAAGAAGCTGCCAAACTGTTTCCCAGTGAGGCTGCACCACGTCACACCCCCATCAGCAGCGTACAAGGGATCTGGTTTCTTTGCATCCTCAGCAGCGTGTGGTGTTGTCACTGTTTTTTGAGTTTTGTTTTGTTTTTGAGATGGGGTCTCGCCCTGTTGCCCAGGCTGGAGTGCAGTGGGGTGACCACGGCTCCCTGTAGCCTCGAACTGCCAGGCTCAAGTGATCCTCCCACCTCAATCTTCTGAGCAGCTAAGACTACAGGTGCGCACCACCACTGCCAGCTAATTTTTGTATTTTTTTAGAGACAGAATCTCACTATGTTGCTCAGGCTGGTTTCAAACTCCCGGGCTAAAGTAATGCTTCCAACTCAGACGCGCAAAATGCTGGGATCACACGTATGGCCCAGATCTGGGCCGGTCACTGCTCTTTACTCTAGCTCTCCTAAGAGGTGTGTGTTCCTATCAAAATCTCAGCAAGATACTTTGGTAGATAGGAACAAGCGTATTCTAAAAATTACAGGAAAAGGCAAAGGAATAGCTGAAACAATTCTGGTAAAGAACAAAGTGGGAGGAATCACTCCACCTGCTCTCGTCTCACAGAAGCGAGAGACCAGTTGTGTGCGGAAGGACAGACTCACAGAGCCAGCACAGACCCCCACATGCACCTGAGCTCCGGCAAAGGTGCAAGCACAACTTGGTGGAAAGAAGACAGCATTTCAGACCAGTGGGGCTGGAGCACTTTTCCACAGGCAGAAAATGAACCTGACCAAACCTCCCACTTCATGTAGACGTTAACTTAAAATAAGATCATGGATTAAATATAAAACTTCTATAAGATACCCATGAGAGGCCAGGCATGGGGGCTCACACCTGTATTCCCCACACTTTGAGGAGCTGAGGTGAAAAGATCATTTGAGCCCAGGAGTTCAAGAGCAGGCTGGGCAACAAGGTGAGACCCCCAACTACACAAAAAAAATTCTTTTTTAATTAGCCAGGCATGTTGGTGCACACACCTGTGGTCCCAGCTACTCAGGAGGCTGAGACGGGAGGACGGCTTGAGTCCCAGAGGCTGAGGCTGCAGTGACCCATGATCGCACCACTGCACTCCAGCCTGGGTGACAGAGCAAGACTCTGTCTCAAAGAAAAGAAAAAAGAAACCCACAGGAGAAAATCTTTAGGATCTAGGAATAGGCAAACAGTTCTTTTATTTATTTGTTTTTTTGAGAAGGAGTTTCGCTCTTTTTTGCCCAGGCTGGAGTGCAATGGTGCGATCTTGGCTCACTGCAACCTCCGCCTCCCGGGTTCAAGCGATTCTCCTGCCTCAGCCTCCCAAGTAGCTGGGATTACAGGTACACGCCACCACACCCGGCTAATTTTGTATTTTTAGTACAGATGGGGTTTCTCCATATTGGCCAGGCTGGTCTTGAACTCCTGACCTCAGGTGATCCACCATGCCCGGCGGGCAAACAGTTCTTAGACTTCACAGTAAAAACGAGATCTATAAAAGCAAAAATTGATAAACTGAACTTTATCAAAATGAGCAGCTTTTGCTGTTCCCCGTTAGAGGGTGAAAGGACAAGGGACACATAGAGTGCGTAAACCACATGTCCAAAAAAGGGCTGTGTTCAGAGCCCTGGAAAACACTCAGAACTCAGTCAAGACACCCACTGGGAAAATGGCCCCTTGGGCCTCGAGATCTGCACCCCCAAGCCCTGAGCTCCCACCCCTTAGCTCCTGCCTGGGTTTCCCACAGTATCCTCAGTGTTCAGGGCTGCCTGCTGGTCCACCATCACTGGGACCTAAGACATTGTCCAAAAAACAAGCAACCAAACTCAGGATAAAGGACCGGCTGCCACAGCCTCACTTCCCACAGGGCCGCAGACAGGACCCCTGAGAGGCCCTCAACTTGCCGCAGGACCCGACAGTTTGGGGGATGTTTTTGGGTCAGAGGCTCCTTCCATTCCCTGTTGGAGACGCATGTGGAAGACGGCAGGGCAGGCAGAGGCAGCACCACAGGGAGCAAGCCACGGACAGAAGCTAGACCTGACCCCGCTCTCCCGCTCAGAGCCTGAGATCCTTGAACCAGCACCCACTTCCTCTGAGAGGACAGAGGGCAGAAACAGCAGCATCACCTCTGGGCCACGAGCAAGTGCTCAAGAGCTGACTCAAGTGGGAATAAGCCATACTGCCGGCCCCTCCCCGCCTGCGGAGCCCAGAAGCCCAGGGCTCCTCGTCCACCCGGGGAATAAGCCACACTGCCGGCCCCTCCCTGCCTGCGGAGCCCAGAAGCCCAGGCCTCCTCCTGTCCATCCGTCCCCCAGGCTCACTGTCCATTCTGCTTGGACCTGGGAGAATTTCCCCCCGTGCTCTCTAAATGGCTCTTGTCAAGATTTTACCAACAGGACTTCCACATGGAGTGGTGACAGTGGATGCCCTGGCTATGTGGGTGTGGAGGGTACTCGTGCTTTCTTTGAGGGATGTCTCAACGCACCAGGACAGCACGAGACGCCCAACCCGAAGTGGCTGCTGCCACCTGAGTGCGCCCTTCCAACCTGAGGTCTAAAATGGGGAAGAAAGCTGCATCCCCATCCCGCTCCCGGCAGAGCCAATGCTTCTGAGTGGGAGAACACACTCTGAACCCCAAGTGTGGTTCTCTGCGCTCCAGCCTGGCCACACCAGCGTCACCCAGGGCTCGGCAGTGCTCGCAACCCCCAGGGAAGTACAGGGGCAGTCGGCGGGCGTGAGTTGTGAGTCAGACGGCCGGCTCCTGCTGGGCCTCAGCTTCTCCCTCTGCCAGCGCCCATCTACCCACCTGGCAGGCAGTCCACGGCTCCCAGGGCAGAGCGTGCTTGATACATTTACTGCCACATTAAGGACAAAGGTAGGGGTGTCCCGGGTCACACTGGGACCAGGACCAGGACCCCAGCTTCCCAGGACCTCATTCACTGCCCAGACACTGGGAGCCTGGACCTGAAAGAGCTCACGGCAAGCACTGCCAAGCTCACATGCTGATGACTTTATTTTTCACAGACTGAAAAAACAGAGCCTGGCATGGTGACTCAAGCCTTGAGTCCCAACTACTTAGGAAGCTTGAGCCTAGGAGGTGGAGGCTGCAGTGAGCTATGATGGTGGCACTGCACTCCAGCCTGGGCGACAGAACGACACCCTGTCTCTGAAGAAAAAAAAAGTCGAAGCATAAAATGTTCACAGCAGCCTTTTCTGTGTGTGGCTGCACGTCAGGGGCCGTCGTCTTGCTTCCACCACCAGGGGATGACTACGTTGAAGGGAGGCCTGTGTGAACCGCTGGGCTTCCGCAGCTCCCGCGTGTGGTCAGCGCCGACGCTCCCCATCAACGCTTTCCAGCACAGGAGCCGGGACCTGGACGTCCATCGCCGGCGGTGCCTCCAGTGCTCTTTGACTTGCGCCCTTCCCGGGGGCTCTGGGGTCCGCAGGACACCGCCATGGACCGGCTGACGTAACCAACAAGGCTTGGGCTTTTCTCTTCCCCAGTGAGATTTCCCCACGACCGGCACAGCGTCGGCCCTATCCTGTGCGCTTCCATGAACGGAAGCAACAAAGCCTGGCCTGGGACCTCGGCAGGGCTGAGCATGCACAGCTGTGGCTCTGCATAAAGGGACTTGTTTAGAGCTGGCACTCAACAAGAGGCCTTCAGTCAGCGGATTCCCAGGCCTGAGCAAATCCGGGGGCGGAAGCAGCTATTCTTATGATGGCACAGAGAGGTTATGTGGAGAAGATCGTTTGATATACGCTTGCCTTTGGGCTCAAGTCACTCAAAAAGGTGGTCTCTATCTTCAGTGCAAAAGGCAACCCCAGCAGAGCGAATGACCCTCCATTGCCCTCCGTGACCCTGTGGGCTCCGTGAGACAGGAGCAGGCGGGGGTCTTTCCTCTGAGCTTCCTCATGGTCCCCTGGGAGGGTAGCTGGTCAAGAGAGGCACCTGGTTGGAGAAGAAGGCCGCAGACTCACAGGACGAAGACCTTGGTGTCCACGCCACACAGCCAGAGCAGCGCAGCCGCCCGCCTCGCCCGATCTCACCCGCCTCGCCTGCCTCGCCCACCTCGCCCGCCTCACCCGCCCTCACCCGCCTCACCCACCTCACCTCACCTGCCTCACCTCACCCGCCTCACCTGACCTCACCCGCCTCACCTCACCTGCCTCACCTGACCTCACCCGCCTCACCTGACCTCACCCGCCTCACCTCACCTGCCTCACCTGACCTCACCCGCCTCACCCGCCTCACCCGCCTCACCGAGAGTCCTCAGACTCTGCGGCCAGAACCCAAGGTGCTCTGCAGATTTCCTCAAAACCCAAACCACCCACCCATCCTTGAGCAGCCTCCAGAAGCAATGGTCAGAGCCACACTGAAGGCCACACAGCACCAGAGCGGCCACACTGAAGGCCACACAGCACCAGAGAGGCCACACTGAAGGCCACACAGCACCAGAGGCCACACTGAAGGCCACACAGCACCAGAGAGGCCACACTGAAGGCCACACAGCACCAGAGAGGCCACACTGAAGGCCACACAGCACCAGAGCGGCCACACTGAAGGCCACACAGCACCAGAGAGGCCACACTGAAGGCCACACAGCACCAGAGCGGCCACACTGAAGGCCACACAGCACCAGAGCGGCCACACTGAAGGCCACACAGCACCAGAGAGGCCACAGTGAAGGCCACACAGCACCAGAGAGGCCACAGTGAAGGCCACACAGCACCAGAGAGGCCACAGTGAAGGCCACACAGCACCAGAGAGGCCACACTGAAGGCCATACAGCACCAGAGAGGCCACAGTGAAGGCCACACAGCACCAGAGAGGCCACAGTGAAGGCCACACAGCACCAGAGAGGCCACACTGAAGGCCACACAGCACCAGAGAGGCCACATAAAGATGCTCTGCAGAGAAGCAGTACAGCGAGCCTGTAGGCTCCAGAGGCCTCTAAAACGCATGGTGATCTCCGCTTGAGGTACAGGGCAGCTCTCCCAGCAGAGGCGGTGGGGTCCCTGAACCCCAAGGACCCACCTCTGAGGACGGGTCTCTCCTCAGTGACACCTCAGACATCACAGAATCTGAACTGCTCACCCCACATCTCTGAAGACATTGTGTTCTCTGAAAACTCGACTCCCATGACCACTTGCTGTGTGTGCAGAAGGCAGCCATTCAGGTCTCGGTTGCTCACGCGTTAGTTCCTGAATAAGCGTGTTGAGAGACGACTGGAGACACGGGGGACAAGCAGCAGGAGAGGTGTGAAGCATTCTCCGCAAACGTCGTTGCGTCCTGCACACTGTCGGGAATCTCACTTTCATCTTCTAACCTCAGAGCTTTCAGAGCCTAGAGAACACTTCTGTGGGCATCAGTCTACCTGACTTCACAGCAGCCCAGAGGCAGACGGGAACGCGGGGCACCCAGAAGAGACGGGCGCCAGCACAGGGAACATGGAGCACCCAGAAGAGATGCATGCCAGCCCAGGGCCAAAGTCCTCAGCAGAGTCCACCGCCAGCGACAGGTGCAGCGACACTGTAAACCTCAAGGCACACCACAGCACTGCTGCACCAATCCTGCCAAATGCACTGCTCGACCTGATCCTGAGGACATGTCACAGTTCCAGAGATGACATTCCTGAATGTCACTGGCCTGTACAGTGTCACAGTCACCAAAGACAAACACTGAGGAACAGTGAAGCCCACCTGTAATCCCAGCTACTCGGGAGGCTGAGGCAGGAGGATTGCATGAGCCAAGGAGTTCAAGACCAACCTGGACAACACAGCAAGACCCTGTCTCAAAAAACAAGACCAACAAATGACACAGGAGGGGAAGAGACCAAGGAGACCAAACATCCACATCGGGGGGGCGGAAGCACCTGTGGATGGGTCTGGGGGGCAGTCACGGACAGCGTGGCCTGGTCCGAACCTGCAGACCATGTATGTCACAGTCAGCCTTCAGGGAGCTTGCAGGAAGGCATCAAAGAACACTCTGACTACCGTGGCAACGCTTCTGTAAGTCTAAAGTGATTTTGCAATGAGAGGTGGAGCAAGCTCCCCCTTAGCTGAGTAGTCAAAACTGGGCTGTGCATGTGTGCTAACACACACGACTCCAGACAGCCACAGGCAACAAAGAAAACAGGAAGTCAACGGCTCTCTCGGAGCCAGAACACTTGGGGAAAAAAAGTCTCCCTCATCTACAATACCTAAAATGTAACTAGAATTCTGATTAAAAATAAATCTTACAAAGCAGAGACTTCAGAAGATGCTTGTACTTATGTTAACACAGCCTGATTCACCACAGTCCACATGTCCACCGACGGGCAAATAACAAGACGCAGCCCCTACACACAAGGCAGCATCGTTCAGCCTCAAAGAGGAAGGAAATCCTGACACGTGCCCAGTACAGGTGGCCCCTAGAGATGTTATGTGCTTGAAAGAAGGCGGATAGCAAAGGACAGACACTGTAGGACTCCAATTCTATGAGGTCCCTACAACAGTCAAACTCAGAGACAGACAGCGGGACACAGGCTGCAAGGGGCTGGGGATGGAGAATGGGGAGGGTTGAATGGGGACAGGTTTTCGGTTTGAAGAGAAAGTTCTGGAGACACGTGGTGGTGGCGGTTGCTCAACAGTGCGAATATACTGAATGTCAATGAACTTCAGAATGATTAAAATGGTAAATCTATGTGAACGTATTCATTGTCTTTTAGAGACAGGGTCTCGCTGTGTTGTCCAGGCTGCAATGCAGAGGCTGTTCACAGGCGAGACCATCGCACAGCACACTCCCTAGCTCAGGTTCCAGCACTCCTTCTGCCTCGGCCTCCCCAACAGCTGGGAACACAGGCCTGCACCACCAAGCCTGGCTATCTATTTTACCACAACAATATCCACATAAAAAAAATAATAATAATCTTGCAAAACTAGCTCAGAAGAAAAATAATTCCATGTCACCTTTATTGGGTCAGCTCCATTAAAAAAAAAAATTGTCAAAGCCAGACCAGAAGTCATTTTCAAGGGGTCACAACAAATGGGGTGTCTCCCTCGCTGCAGTGCAGCACCCTGATGCTCTGCTCCGCCCTCTAACCAGCGTCACACCCTCTCCAGGGGGCACAGGGAGAGACGTGGCAGCACAACCAGACAGACTCATTACACCTAAAATTATGAGTGGCACAGCTCTTCCAGAATCTGTCTAGCAGTCCCTCTGGGTTTTGCTGCAAAGCCCCTAAAAAACAGTAATAATGAAAAAAAAAGCCTGGGTGCTAAGGCTCACGTCTGTAATCTCAGCACTTTGGGAGGCCGAGGCAGGCGGATCACGAGGTCAGGAGATCGAGACCATCCTGGCTAACACGGTGAAACCCCGTCTCTACTAAAAATACAAAAAATTAGCCAGGCGTGGTGACAGGCGCCTGTAGTCTCAGCTACTCGAGAGGCTGAGGCAGGAGAATGGCGAGAACCCGGGAGACAGAGCCTGCAGTGAGCCAAGATTGTGCCACTGCGCTCCAGCCTGGGAGAGAGAGCAAGACTATCTAAAAAAGAAAAGGAAAGATTACATCTGACGTACCACTTATATTCCTACTTGTCTTTTTTACTATTGTCTTGACCTTTTTTTAATTAAAAGCTGTGTTTTTTTTTTTTTTTTTTTTGAGATGGAGTCTCCCTCTGTCACCCAGGCAGGCTGGAGTGCAATGGTGAGATCTTGGCTCACTGCAACCTCCACCTCCCGAGTTCAAGCGATTCTCCAGAGTACTAGCGATTATAAGCACCTGCCACCACACCCGGCTGACTTTTGTATTTTTGTAGAGATGGGGTTTCAGCATGTTGGCCAGGCTGCTCATGAAATCCTGACCTCTGGTGATCCGCCTGTCTTGGCCTCCCAAAGTGCTGGGATTACAGGCGTGAGCCACTGCGCCGGGTCTGAAAGCTACATTTCTATTTTTTTTTTTTCTTGAGACAGAGTCTCACTCTGTCACCCAGGCCGGAGTGCAGTGACACGATCTTGGCTCACCACAACCTGTTCTGAAAGACATCGGAAAACCTCCTCTGATGGTGCAATGGGGGTGCGGGGCGCACGAGCACTGACCATCCATTTCTACCAGAAGCTGGTTGAGCGTCTGCTCCTCCTCCGTGTTGGAGAAGCCGGACATGGTGGTGGAGCGCTTCTTGCCCACCGCGTCGATCTCATCGATGTAGACGATGCAGGGGGCCCGGGCTCGGGCTTCCTTAAAGAGGCTCCGCACACGGGCAGCGCCGAGGCCTGAGGGGACACAGAGAGAATCAGGAAATGGGCAGTTAATAAAAAACAAAGCCTCTTCCTGTACCCGGGCCAGACAAAGTTCTACACCAAGGACAACTAAAGCTACCAGCTCCATTCCCTACAAACAGACACACGGCAGCTGCTCGCGGGGGCCCCTGGCCACCCCTCAGGGTTCACACGCACCGTGCTGGCCCCCCAGGCCACAAGTGACGGTGGCTTTGAAGCAAACATCATGTGCTTCGCAGACAAAACCCCTCCGCCAACCCAGACCTCGCTTTCCTTCTCTACTCCCCCACCCACCCGTGTCCCTTTCAGTCCAGACACCAGAGGAAGGATGTGTGAAAGGAGCCAGGTAGTCAGCCAAGCCCACCCACAGCCCCCAACCACAGCACCTACCTCCAATGACCTCCACGAACTCTGGGCCGGCCATCGCCAGGAAGGGCACCTGAGCCTCCGTGGCCACCGCCTTGGCCAGCAGCGTCTTCCCACAGCCGGGGGGGCCGAGCAGCAGTGCGCCCTTTGGGACCTTGGCGCCAAGCTGGAGGAAGCGTTCTGGGCTCTGGACGGCAGCAGACAATGCAACACTAACTACTTGGGGATTCCGTTTTTTTGTTTTTTAGAGGTAAGGTCTCTCTGGGTCACGCAGGCTGGAGTGCAGTGGGTGCCATGATAGCTCACTGCAGCCTCAAACTCCTGGGTTCAAGCCACCCTCTCACCTCAGCCTCTCGAGTAGCTGGGAATATACAGGCATGTGGCACCACGCCCAGCTACTTTTAAAAACTTCTTGCAGGCCAGGTGCGGTGGCTCACACCTGGAATTCCAACATTTTGGGAGGCTGAGGCAGGCGCGTAGCTTGAGATCAGGAGTTTGAGACCAGCCTGGCCAACATGGAAAAACCCCGTCTCTACTAAAAATACAAAAATTAGCCGTGCATGGTGGTGGGCGCCTGTGATCCCTGCTACTCGGGAGGCTGAGGCAGGAGAATCACTTGAACTGGGGAGGTGGAGGTTGTAGTGAGCCGAGATTGTGCCACTGCACTCCAGCCTGAGTGACAAAGTGAGACTCTGTCTCGAAAAAAAAAATTAATTAAATAAAAAAATGTTTTGCAGAGACAGGGTCTCACTGTTGCCCAGGCTGATCTCCTACTCCTGGGCTCAGTCACTCCCCTGCCTCAGCGCCCCGAGGTGCCAGGACTACAGGCGTGACCCACTGTACCAGGCCTGCAGAGGGAACACATGTCAGCCCCTCGAGGTGCCAGGACTACAGGTGCGACCCACCGTACCAGGCCCGCGGAGGAAACGTGTAAGTGACGCACGTGATAGGCAGCTCATGCACTGCCACCAACTGGCTAAGGTGTTTATGTGGTTCTGGAAAAAGCACAGAGCTTTGCAAGGGATGAAGGGCCCAGGACGGCTAACGGCACAGTAGGCATGGGTCTTGGCAGCCTCTGCTTGGCTGAACCATGTGCACGAGGCTTGTGCTGCTGGTTGAACAGGCACCAGCACCTGCTTGGTGTCCCCATGGGACATGGTAGAGGTCACCGCCAACCCACGACACGTCATCGATGGAATTCCAGGTCCCGCAGGAGCCCTTCTGGGAGAGGAGGACGGCCGGCCTCTGCTCACACCTCCCTCCCGGCCCACGCTGCTTTCACCTTCAGATAATCCACAAACTCGCGGACTTCCAGTTTGGCTTCGTGCATTCCTGCCACGTCTTTGAAGCTGACTCCTTTCCCCATCTTCCCATCCACAATGGTGAAACGAGCCATTTTAAGCTGATTCTGTGCAGAAAGAACAAAGTGCAAGGAGCTGGGCGAAGTCAGGAAATCAGCAGCACGATGCCAGCGCTCAGCCCACGCACCTGAGCCGCCCCAACCCCACGTCTCCATCCTAGGATCCCAAGGCTTCACTCATGTCAGGCTGACGAGGCTCACAGTCAGTCTTCAAGCACAGAAGGGAAATGTTTCGTCATTAATTAGTAAGAAACTTATCTAGCAATTTGCTTTAAAAAAAATTACTCAGCCAGGCATGGTGGCTCACGCCTGTAATCCTAGCACTTTGGGAGGCCGAGATGGGCGGATCACGAGGTCAAGAGATCGAGACCACCCTGGCTAACACGGTGAAACCTGTCTCTACCAAAAATACAAAAAAATTAGCTGGGTGTGGTGGCAGGCACCTGTAGTCACAGCTACTTGGAAGGCTGAAGCAGGAGAATCGCTTGAACCCAGGAGGCAGAGGTTGCAGTGAGCTGAGATCGCACCACTGCACTCCAGCCTGGGCAACAGAGCCAGACTCTGTCACACACACACACACACAAAAAAGAAAGGCCAGGTGCAGTGGCTCATGCCTATAATCCCAGCACTTTGGGAGGCTGAGGCGGGAGGATCACCTGAGGTCGGGAGTTCGAGACCAGCCTGAACAACATGGAGAAACCCCGTCTCTACCAAAAATACAAAATTAGCTGGACGTGGTGGCGCGTGCCTGTAATCCCAGCTACTCGGGAAGCTGAGGCAGGAGAATTGCTTGAATGCGGGAGGTGCAAGTTGCGGTGAGCTGAGATCGCACGGCTGCACTCCAGCCTGGGCAAGAAGGGCGAAACTCCGTCTCAAAAAAAAAGAAAAGAAAAACGCAGATTCAACTGCCCTGTAATCTCACAAGGCTCAGGCACCCCAGAGTTAGGGGTGAGAGGCCCTCAGGCAACATTGGTTACTACACGCCTTACAGCCGGACCATGGGAAAGGAAGGTGAGCTGCTGTCTAATTGTGGCTTCAGGCTACTCTCTGCAACAGGTTTTCCCTGTGTATTCATCGTATAGCTTATGGGAAAAGTATTCAGCAAACACAAACCAGAAAGAGTTCAGAGAGCTCTGATTTACAGAACTTACAAAAGCACTGAATCCACCTTCCCTTCCAGTCATCCCGGCCAGACGGAAAACATACCACAGGATGGCCAGGCCCACTGCCGTCATCCCCACAGAGTACAGGGCACTGCCGGAAGAAAGAGAGGCAGGCACAGGCTCAGACGGTGTCACGTGACAGACGCAGGCTTCCAAATCAGAACCACTGCTGGCAATGTTTCCAAGATGAGACGAGGAATCCCTACGTCTGGGACCGATGCGCAGATTAAAATGGTTGTGGAAATGGGTTCTCTCGTCTCATTCTCGCTGACTGTGCTTTTTCATGAAAGCTTCCCAAATGGTCAGACTGAGTGTGCAGATGCCGGAGATCTAGCCAGCCTTGTGACAATAACAACGTTCAGGTTTTTCTATTTTCAGTATATTTTGTTTTCAAATGTAAGCGATCAGCTTCAATCAGGCAGGCAAGATCAGCCTAAGAGTAAAAAGCAAATCTCAGGCCGGGCGCGGTGGCTCACGCCTGTAATCCTAGCACTTTGGGAGGCCGTGGCGGGTGAATCACAAGGTCAGGAGTTTGAGACCAGCCTGGCCAACATGGTAAAACCCCATATCTACTAAAAAAATACAAAAATTAGCTGGACATGGTGGCATGCGTCTGCAATCCCAGCTACTTGGGAGGCTGAGGCAGGAGAAATGCTTGAACCTAGGAGGTGAAGGCTGCAGTGAGTCAAGATCGTGCCACTGAACTCCAGCCTGAGCTACAGAGCAAGACTCCATCTCAAAAAGAAAAGAAAAATGTAAGAATAAACCCTGTGTCTACTAAAAATACAAAAAAACTTAGCTGGATGTGGTGGTGTGCATCTGTAGTCCCAGCTACTCAGGAGGCTGAGGTGGGAGAATCACTGATCCTGGGAGGTCGAGGCTGCAGTAAGCTGAGATTGCACCACTGCACTCCAGCCTGGGCGACAGAGTGAGACCCTGACTCCAAAAAAAAAAAAAAAAAAAAGCAAATCCCAGGACTTTTGCCCTCATCCTGAGGAGGGGCTGCCCTGGGCCTGCCCCAACCCTCCATCTTCTGTACATCATCAGCCTACAAAGACACGAGAATGGGCCTGCCCCAACCCTCCATCTTCTGTTCTGTACATCATCGGCCTACGAAGACATGAGAATGGGCCTGCCCCAAACCTCCATCTTCTTCTTTTTTTTTTTTTTTTGTTTGAGATGGAGTCTGGCTCTGTCACCCAGGCCAGACTGCAGTGGTGCTATCTTGGCTCACTGTAAGCTCCGCCTCCCGGGTTCACGCCATCCTCCTGCCTCAGCCTCCCGAGTAGCTGGGACTACAGGCACCCGCCACCGCACCCGGCTAATTTTTTTTGTATTTTTAGTAGAGACGGGGTTTCGTCGTGTTAGCCAGGATGGTCTCGACCTCCTGACCTCGTGATCTGCCCGCCTCGGCCTCCCAAAGTGCTGGAATTACAGGCGTGAGCCACCGCGCCCGGCCCAAACCTCCACCTTCTGTCCATCATCGGCCTACGAAGACACGAGAATGGGCCTGCCCCAACCCTCCATCTTCTGTACATCACTGGCCTACAAAGACATGAGACACACAGCCTCAGAGCAGTGATCTTCCAGGTGTTGCTGGGTTATAGAATTAAAGGTGCATCTTTTTTTTTTTTCTGTAGAGATGGGGTTCTCCATGCTGCCCAGACTGGTCTCGAACTTGTGGGCTCAAGAGATCCTCCCTGCCTCAGCCTTCCAAAGTGCTGGGATTACAGGCATAGCCACTGCACCCGGCTAGAGGTACATTTTGATCAAGGGAGTACTTGCCAGTCACTGGCATTCTACATCTTCAGAGATTACAAGTCAACAATAAACCTCTGTTTCAGTACCCGCTGGCCCCTCATTTGTCCTACTAAGGAACCTGTCAGGGTCCATGGTCCATACGTGCTGACAGCTCCCACCTGGTCTGTTTCCCTCTCAACACTGAAATGAGAATTTCACCTTCCTGTGTCTACCCTTTTCCCGTTCCATTTTCCTGTCTGTAGAAGAGAGCAAGCCCAGGACATTATCACGGTCCTCCTTGACTTTCTTTCTTACTGCTAGGCTGATCTTGCCTTGCTAACTGAAAGTGATCGCTTACTTTTGAAAACAAAATATACTGAAAATAGAAAAAGCTGAACGTTGTTATTGTCACAAGGCTGGCCAGATCACTAGGTATCTCCGGCATCTGCACACTCACTCTGACCATTTGGGAAGCTTTCATCAAAGAGCACAGTCAGTGAAAATTATACAAGAATGTGAATTCAGAAGCGCCACACAACTAAAGAAAGTGACTAAACAAACTCCAACGGACTTGCACACGGTTGGCCTCCACAGCCACAGGTTTCATCTCTGCAGGTTTAACCAAGCACAGAATGAATGTATCTGGGGAAAAACGTGCATCTATACTCAACATGCACAGACACATTTTTGTCATTATTCCCTAAAGTATAACAACGATTGAAATAGTATTTACAGGGTATTGGGTATTATTATCAACCTACAGATGATTTAAAGCATATCAGAGAATGTTCTTAGGTTACACACAAAGATTTCGGCATTTTACACCAGGGGCTGAGACTTCGCCATCCTACGTCGGGGGCTGAGACTTCGCCATCCTACGTCGGGGGCTGAGACTTCGCCATCCTACGTCGGGGGCTGAGACTTCGGCATCCTACGTCGGGGGCTGAGACTTCGGCATCCTACGTCGGGGGCTGAGACTTCGGCATCCTACGTCGGGGGCTGAGACTTCGCCATCCTACGTCGGGGGCTGAGACTTCGGCATCTTACGTCGGGGGCTGAGACTTCGGCATCTACATCAGGGGCTTAGACTTCAGCATCCTACACCAGGGGCTTAGGCATCCTCAGGTGCTGGTATCCTTGGGAAGTCCGAGAACCAGCCCCCATGGATACCCAGGGATAACTATATTTCCAAATCTCCTGGCATTGTATCATTCACTTCTATATTTATTTAACCCTCCCACTAAAAAGTCTAGTTAACTATAGGCAAAGACAGTTTGAGATTTTTGATTGCAATCTGTTTCTCAGATTACAAAGCCAAGTTAGGTTTAGTTCAAGCATCAACAAATACATCCAACATACTTTCCAAAGAATCCTGTTCGCTTGTAGGAAACTGGGATCCTGTCCTTGGCCTCGATATTCAGCTCATCTTCAGCTGCTCGAAGCTTCTCTTCAAACTTGTCAATATTTGCAACCTGCATTCGGTACATCAAGGCTAGCCGCTGGGGGGCAGAAAGGAGAGGGGACCATGAGAAACGCAGGGACAGACGAGCAACCCTACAGTCAACAGAGAGCCCGCCTGGAACTCATGGTAATGACAACCTCAGCATTGTGAAGAGGACACCATTCAGAAACTAGAGGTGATTCCTAACGTACGACGGTTCCACTTACGGTCTTTCCATTTTACAATGGTGTAAAAGCAATATGCACACTAAGCTCCTTGACCTACGATGGGGCTACCTCCCAGTGAGCCCCTGGGAAGCTGAAAATATCCTAATTCAAGGAACATCTGTACTTCCAAGTCTAAAAAATTTGTTTCCTCAACCACAATTTGAGAAATAAAATTTCAACAGATAGACTTTCTATTTTCCACTCATAGGAAAACTAAGAAATGGAGGGATGTCTGCAAGTTAGCTCACAGCCCCACGTCTGATGTGTGCCTCAGACTCAGCTACACCTGCAGACACAGCAGGAGCCCCCCAGAGGCCGGCGAGGCTGCAGCACGGGACTGAGGATGGCAAAATCAAGACTACGGCCAAAAACAGATGTTTTAGGAAACTGCGGCCACAGAGGGTTCATGTTTAACCACAAAACCTGAGACTGTTCATCCCTCACACCAGGACACCAACAGGTCCGTCTCCCTGGCACACGATTCTCCAAACGCAGCGTTTTCCTAAGTAAACTCCGCATGTTTAGCTCAGATTTCAGCATGACTGGACGGCAACACCCCAAAGGGAGGACACAGACGGACTTGCGGGACTCTCTTTGAGGTTAACTGGAAACTCCAGCAGAGGACAGGGATGAGGGGTGGGGATGGCACCTGCTGCTCCCTCACTCACACCCCAAACTGCTAAGACAGAATTCTGAGCATTTTCTCTTTAAGGCAGCTGTTTTATCAGGTGACTCGTCTAGAGCTGAGCATAGTGTTGTAGGTTAAAATAACCTTCCAGACTGAAATAATCAGGCATCCACCAGAGGATTTACGTGAATGAGCACCGTCTTCTGCACTTAGCCATGGTGTATTTTAAGAACAAGGTTTCCTGTTTTTAAAAATAGCAAGACAGCGCCAGGCGTGGTGGCTGACGCCTGTGATCTGGCACTTTGGAAGGCCAAGGTGTAAGGATCACTTGAGGCCAGGAGTTCAAGACCAGCCTGGGCAATATAGTGAGACCTCATCTCTCCAAAAAAACAAAAAATTTAAAAATTAGCCAAGTGTGGTGGTGCGCGCCTGCCATCCCAGCTACAGGGGAGGCTGAGGTGGGTAGATCACCTGAGCCCAGGAGATCAAGGCTGCAGTGAGCCGACATCACACACACCCCTGCATCTCAGCCTGGATGAGACAGAGGGAGACTCTGTCTCCAAAAAAAAAAAAAAAAAGCAAAAGAAAAGGAAAAAGCATTCTGAATCCTGAGTAACCCAGCAAAGGGGCAGAAGCTCTGGTGGAGGCCACGGTCATTTCCAGACCCGGGGGTGGGCCACACCAACCCCAGACCACTTTCCTAATCACTGGTCCACACATTACCCTGGGTTAAATTGCTCCAAGCACATGTTCTGACGCACTCTTGGAATCTAAAGTTACCAGATCTGGCTGGGCACGATGGCTCACGCCTGTAATCCCAGCACTTTGGGAGGTCAAGGTGGGCAGATCACCTGAGGTCAGGAGTTCGAGACCAGCCTTGCCCAACATGGAGAAACCCCATCTCTACTAGAACTACAAAAATTAGCCAGGCGTTGTGGTGCACGCCTGTAATCCCAGCTACCCGGGAGGCTGAGCCAGGAGAATCCCTTGAACTCGGGAGGCAGATGTTGCAGTGAGCCAAGATCACATCACTGCGCTTCAGCCTGGCCAACAGAGCGAGACTGTCTCAAAAACAAAAACAAAAACAAAGGCAACCAAATAAATGCAAATCAATGGGCTGAGGTCCCTGCATGAGAAAGAAGCATGCCCTCAATCACAGGTATCCAAAAGGATGGCAACAGCCAGCGCCCACACCCTCATTCACAGGAGCCCACAGCCTCACTCTCACAGGCTGCCAGCCTGTGCCCACACCCTCACTCACAGGCCTCCCGCACCCTCACTCACAGGCCGCCCAAACACCACGGCTCCAGGGTGCAGGTAGACTTCCACCACGTCGCTCTCAGGCACCACCTGGACGCGCTGCACCTCGCCCTTGGCCAGCATCTCGTGGACAAAGTCGTTCCAGGAAATGCTGCCTCCGCTGGTGCTGAGAGCATTCAGGAGGCTCATGACAACCGCGATGACCAGCAAGGTGCGCAGCCGCTCTCGGTACATCTGGTCGTCCCGCTCACGGCGTCTCCTCTCCTCTGAGCCGGCAGAGAAGCAAAAGGGAGAAACAAACACATGAGCAACAGACACGGGCGACATCCAGAGCTTCCTCAGGAAAGCTCAGCTGGACGGGGAGGGGCAGCGTCCTGCACAGAAGATCCTGCACTTCCTCCAATTCTTCCCTGACGTTATCAGAGACAAAGACTAACGCTGTGCTGTTCGAGGTCACCCACACTTCATTCGCTGAGGTCACTTCAGTGAGGAGCAGGAGTGGTTCCCACCTAAGAGGAAACCATTTCTAAATCGAAACACTTAGACCTGGGCACAACGGTGCACGCCTGTGGTCCCAGCTACTTGGGAGGCTGAGGCGGGAGGTTGAAGCTGCAGTGAGCCGTGATCGCGCCACTGTGCTCCAGCCTGGGTGACAGAGAACGACCCTGTCTCAGAAAAGAAACGACCGTCCCAGGCCGTCCGAGCCGTCACAGATGCAGTCAGCTCTCCTGCTGCAAAGTGCAAGCTCACAATGGCCATGAATCCAGTTGCTTGGAGTTTGATCAAATACTAAATATCAAAACATACACAAAAGTTATTAAAAACGATTAAAACAAATACCTTTTACCACAACCTGCCTCAAGAAATAATACCTTCCCAATCCCACTGAAGACCCTTGTGCCTTCTCTCTCCCTACCCAACAACCATTCTGAACTTTTTACTCATCAGAATGACTAACATTTAACAGAAAGTTGTAGGTTATCACAACATCTGAAAATAGAACTTAAAAATATCATGAGATACACTGTTGAGTCTAAAGGCATATACTCCAGACCACTTGACTCTAGAATTTTCCCAGAGACCAACTCTTTATGAGAAGCACCAGGTGAATTCTTCTAAATTACCTTCCTCAGTTATTAACACCCTACTGAAGACACGGTGGCATTATGCTTAGCTCTCAGAGGATGGAAAAGACATTCGGCCCCTGTTCTCCAGACATTGGGATACCTCGAGGGGAGGTGGACAGGTGCACCCTGCAGACAGCAAGAGACCGACTCAAGGCCGGCCTGGGGCCAGCACAGAGGGGATCTGGAGCAGCGGGCGCTCACTCACTCTTCATGGAGGCCTGCAAGGAGGCGTGGCAAGCAGCGCCAGGCAGCGAAGCCAGGGAGACGCCTCTGAGGAGGGCATGGTGGGGAAAAGGACAGCCAGGATGGCCACTGGGCAAAATGCCCGCAGGGGTCACTTCCCACAGTCCAGGGCCCAGGTGGGGAGTAGTCCTGCAGCCAGACAGGCTCCCAACAGTGACCACCACAGGCCAAGCCACAGTCTTCCCTCAAACCCCCTAGGCAGGTCAGTCTCTCCTCCAGTTCTGGGAAGGGCGTCATCTGCAGAACACCTGCGCCTGCGGACAAACCACCACGGACACAGCAGCGGGAACGACATCATCTCCAGAACACCTGCGCCCCTGCGCCTGCGGACACAGCGCCACGGACCCAGCGGCGGGAACGACGTCATTTCCAGAACACCAGCGCCTGCGGACAAACCGCCACAGACCCAGCGGTGGTAACGACGTCATTTCCAGAACACCTGCGCCTGCGGACAAACCGCCACGGACCCAGCAGCCGGGACGAGAGGCTCACGTCTTCTTGAGATTCACAGCTCTTCTCCTCCTGCATTGTCTTGCGGGGGCTTCATGCTGGGATCAAAGCCTGGCCTGGGCACGTCCCATGTACCACCTTCCTTTCCAACAATCATTTTAGACGAATTCAAACAATTTTTAAATCGGCTTAAAAACACAAAATGAAACCCACTAAAAAGGTGGCAAAATAATTACTTTGAAAACATGAAGGTATATTTTAGATATCACTGTTTTGTTACAATCGATCCTAATCGTGCATCTAATACTTAAATTTCATATTCACAAAGGCAATTATTTAAAGCCCACCGCTTATTTCAGAGAGCAAATTTATGTTCTCAGGTGAGTATCCAATTGTTAGAAACTACTTCCAATATTTAATTACCAATTGTGTTTTCTACTAGAAACATGGGGTGCACTGGGAAACTGAGAAATACTTCCCAGCAGCTACTCTAGCTGCCCTGGAGGGCCAATCCAGAATCACGACCCACACTGCTCCCGGGAAACTGAGAGAAATACTTCCCAGCAGCTACTCTAGCTGCCCTGGAGGGACGATCCAGAATCACGACCCATGCTGCTCCTTCAGCTCTGTGACTGTATCAACAGTGTCCCATTTTCTTTTCTTTTTTATTTTTGTTGAGATGGGGTCTCTCTCCGTCACCCAGGCTGGAGTGCGGTGGTGCACTGCAGGAGAAACCCACAGTGCTTCATGAGCATATCTGGGCTCACTGCAGCCTCCACCTCCTGGGCTCAAGTGATCCTCCCAACTGAGCCTCCTGAGTAGCTGGGAGTACAGGTGCACGCCACTGCGCCCGGCTAATTTTTTAAATTTGAGTAGAAGATGAGGTCTCACTATGTTGCCAAGGCAGTCTCAAACGACTGAGCTCAGGTGATTCTCCCACCTCAGCCTCCCAAAGTGCTGGGATTATAGGCATGAGCCAAATCCCAAATAATTTCTAATAAAAGTAAAATGACAGCTTGGATTTGGTCTACAATAAACACCTCTTCTGCTTTCGTCACAAACGTGTAGCCCTTCTCCAGTGAGGGTCAGCCAGGCATGTTAATTCACAGGTGTGTGACACAGGCTGGCTCTTAGCCCCGCTGTGTCAGGGAGCAGGATCTGCCCAACAAGACGCTGAGGCCACACAGCCCTCGGGAGAGCCTAGCCCCATCATGACACCTTCTGCTGAAGCTCCTTAGGTTCCAATCATTTCACTGTTCAGTGAGCCCTCTCTAGCCTCCGTGTCTTCCTCGGTGGCAAGAAGGAGGCCAACAGAGCACCCAGGACACAGGATCACAGAGAAGGCTCTTCCAGCCACAAGTGAAGGCACCGCAGGGAAAAATCCATATGCTCTGTGAGCACACGCAGGTGGATGACCTAGAGAGCCAGGCCAAGGAGGGTCCACAAACAGGCCTTGCACACGTTCTGGGGTGGCGCAAACCAGTACAACCCTGTCTGATAACTGCCTGGCAAGATGTATCAAGCGCCATAGACAGTATTTAGTTTCTTTAATTCAAAAATCCTACTTCTGAAACTTTAACCTAAGGAAACGAACCATAAGAAATTCCAGCCGGACGCAATGGCTCACACCTGTCATCCCAGCACTTTGGGAGTCGAGACAGGTGGATCACTTGAGTCCAGGAGTTAGAAACCAGCCTGGGCAACATAGCGAAAACCCATCTCTACAGGGGGAAAAAAAAAACACAACGTAGCTGGGGCTGGGCGCAGTGGCTTACGACTGTCATCCAGGCACTTTGGGAGGCTGAGGTGAGTGGATCACCTGAGGTCAGGAGTTCAACACCAGCCTGGCCAACATGGTGAAACCCTGTCTCTACTAAAAATACAAAAATTAGCTGGGCGTGGTACCACGCGCCTGTAAGCCCAGCTACTAGGGAGGCTAACGCAGGAGAATCGCTTAAACATGGCGGGCGGAGGTTGCAGTGGGCTGAGATCGCGCCACTTCACTCCTGCCTGGGCAACGAAGAGTGAAACTCCATCTCAAAACAAACAAACAAACAAACAAACAAACAAAAGCACTCTAGGTATAAAAGGAACTTCCTCTGCCTGCAAGACCCCCCATCTCCTTCCCATGAAGTCCTTAACTTCTGTTCAACCCAAACGCCCAGCGCGTCCCTTCCACTGCGCTGCCCGATGCACCTCTTCCCGCCACGCCTTCAGTGTTGTGGTCATTTGTGCCTGCGCACCCAGGGCTGCAGGTACCTTCCTCCTGTGTGCTTCCAGGACGGTTATTCAGGATGCTGAGACGAGCCGCCAGCTCACACAGAACTGGGGTGTGACCTCAGCACCTGCTGCCTGTGTTCCTGAGGCTGTCCGCCAAGGCGCTCAGGAAACGCACATGCCTCCTGAGCCTCATATGCACACCTCGTGGACGGCAGCCTGCAGGACCACTGGCAAGTTTTGTTGCCAAAATCCCTCTTCGAGGAAAAAAAGTCAATTGTTGACAATTAGATATTATGATCACATAACTCACTTCAATCAGTCATCTAAAAACAAACGGCTGATACCACTGAGTCTCAAGGAAGCAGCCACAGGGGCCACATCAGGCTCATCCCACTTGGAAACCGCCCCTGAAGACAGCAGCCCCGAGCGCCACAGCTGACCCTGACAGAGGAGAGGCCTCCGGGGCAGGGGCTCCACCTTGACGCATTCACACTTCACAGTGGAAAGGGGCCTTCTCCACAAGAAGCTGTGTGAAAATGTTAGCAACTGCTGCCGGGCGCGGTGGCTCACGCCTGTCATCCCAGCACTTCGGGAGGCTGAGGCGGGTGCATCACCTGAGGTCGGGAGTCTGAGACAAGCCTGACCAACATGCAGAAACCCCATCTTTACTAAAAATACAAAAAATCAGCCAGGTGTGGTGACGCATGCCTGTAATCCCAGCTACTCGGGAAGCTAAGGCAACAGAATGGCTTGAACCCGGGAGGCGGAGGTTGCGGTGAGCTGAGATCGCGCCACTGCACTCCAGGCTGGGCAACAAGAGCGAAATTCCGTCTCAAAAAAAGAAAAAAAAAATGTTAGCAACTGCTTTTTTTCTAGTTTTCTAGTTCTAGTTAGCAACCGTGAAGTAACTGTACCTTCACATGTAGTTGTAAGAAATGGCACAGAGCAGGCTGGGCGCAGTGGCTCACACCTGTAATCCCAGCACTTTGTGGGGACCGAGGCAGGCAGATGATGAGGTCAGGAGTTCGAGACCAGCCTGACCAACATACTGAAACCCCATCTCTACTAAAAACAAACAAAATTAGCTGGGTGTGGTGGCACGCGCCTGTAATCCCAGCTACTCAGGAGGCTGAGGCAGGAGAATCGCTTGAACCCGGGAGGTGGAGGTTGCAGTGAGCAGAGATCGAGCCACTGCACTCCATCCTGGGTGACAGAGCCAGACCCCATCTCAAAAAAAAATAAATAAATAAAAATAAATGACGCAGAGCAATACCTTGTCCCCCTGCTTCCAGGGGTTCCATCTCACAAAACTATGAACAGTATCACAGCCAGGCTCTCCCACCACGACGGTCCACCAAGCTCCCCGGGGTCATCCCATGACACACGCGCAGTGTGTGCCCACCGCAGCTGAGGCAATCCAACCACAGGCTCCCTCCGGCTGTCTCCTTCCCCCATCCTTAACCCCTAGCAACCACGAATCTGTGTTCCATCTCTTTAATTTTTGTCTTTAGAGAATGCTGTATAAAAAAAAAATCATACGGCATGTGATCTTTCAGCTCGGCCTTTTTTCACTCCGTATAATTCCTTCTGGGTTCACCCGCGTTATCAGTGAGCGGGGCCTTTTTTCCACTCCGTGTAATTCCTTCTGGGTTCACCCGCGTTATCAGTGAGCGGAGTCTTTTTTCCACTCTGTGTAATTCCTTCTGGGTTCACCCGCCTTACCAGTGAGCAGGGTCTTTTTTCACTCCGTGTAATTCCTTCCAGGTTCACCCGCGTTATCAGTGAGCGGAGCCTTTTTTCACTCCGTATAATTCCTTCCAGGTTCATTCGTGTTATCAGTGAGTGGTGCCTTTTTTCACTCCGTATAATTCCTTCCAGGTTCACCAGTGTTATCAGTGAGTGGTATTCCAAGCAAATACTTTTCGGGCAACCACTACTTACAATCATTCTGCACGGCTGGCAAAGCTGTTTCTAAGCCACATTCAGTATCGTTCTTTCATTTAAGGAGGTGGCAAAAGAATCTTCATCTGAACAGACGCCATGCAGTTCAGCATCAGACCAGGGAGAAGGCCTGCCTGAGGGCCGGGACTGTGTTGTGCCTGTCTGATCAAGTCAGCAGTCCTGAAAATCCACACAAACCAACTCCCGCCGAAACCACAGCAGAGGGCCCAGGGGAAACCCAGAATAGGTTCTCACAAGAAAGATTATTTGGCTCAGTAAACAATTATCCTCTAACGCAAATTTAACAGACATTATTTTCTCCAAGCAAACTATAGTTCAACCCAAAACAGAATAAACATAAAACAATCACTTGGCCGGGCGTGGTGGCTCACGCCTATAATCCCAGCACTTTGGGAGGCCGAGGTGGGCAGACCACAACGTCAGGAGATCGAGATCATCCTAGCTCACATGGTGAAACTCCGTCTCTACTAAAAACACAAAAAATTAGCCGGGCATGGTTGCGGGCACCTTTAGTCCCAGTTACTCGGGAGGCTGAGGCAGGAGAACTGCTTGAACCCACGAGGTGGAGTTTGCAATGAGCCGAGATCGTGGCATTGCACTCCAACTTCGGCAACAAGAGCGAAGCTCCATCTCAAAAAAAAAAAAAAAAAAAAGACGACGACAATTACTCAGATGCAGGAGAGACACGCATGTCAGCTACACGCAGCCTCATCCATAAGCAGATGCAGGGCCCAGGAGAGCAAAGGGCATGGTGACTGCCTGCCCTTCCTCACGCCAGGGCACCTGCCAATGCAGCAACGACTAGGATTTCACTGGACAAGCACCTACCACATGCCAGGAGTGATAACCAGGAAGCTGCCATGGCTTTGCCTTGCCATGGCAACGGAGGCTGCCATGCCATTCCTTCCAGGAACCATGACAACGGAGGCTGCCATGCCATTCCTTCCAGGAACCATGACAACGGAGGCTGCCATGCCATTCCCTCCAGGAACCATGACAACGGAGGCTGCCATGCCATTCCTTCCAGGAATCAGAGTTATTAGTGGGGCACACGTCCCTGGTTAACCGTAACACAACACACAAGGCTGAATGCAGAATCCGCACAGGCCACACAATTCTTCCCTCTTCTATGACAGGTGACCCTTCAGCAACACAGGAGTGAGCTATGTATGATCACGGACACGTGGATTTTCTTCCACCCCTGCTACCCAAGACAACAAGACCAGCCCCTCGTCCTCCTCCTCAGCCCACTCAAGGTGAAGGCCATGAGGATGAAGCTCTTTATGGTGATCCGCTTCCACTGCATAAATAGGAAATATATTTTCTCTTACGACTTTTTTCTTTTTTCTTTTTTTTTGAGACAAGAGTCTCGCCGTCGCTTTTTTCTTTCTTAATTTTTTTTTTTGAGACAGAGTCTTGCTGTGTCGCCCAGGCTGGAGTGCAGTGGCGCGATCTCGGCTCACTGCAAGCTTCGCCTCTTGGGTTCACGCCATTCTCCTGCCTCAGCCTCCCGACTAGCTGGGGTTACAGGTGCCCACCACCACGCCTAATTTTTTTTTTTTTTTGTATTTTTAGTAGAGACAGGGTTTCACCGTGTTAGCTAAAATGGTCTCGATCTCCTGACCTTGTGATCTGCTCGCCTTGGCCTCCCAAAGTGCTGGGATGACAGGCATGAGCCACCACGCCCGGCCTTTTCTTTCTTAATTTTTTATGTTTGAGACAGAAAGGTCTCACTCTATTATCCAGGCTGAAGTGCAATGGCACAATCTCAGCTCCCTGCAACCTCTGCCTACCAGGTTCAAACGATGCTCACGCCTCAGACTCCGGAGTAGCTGGGATTACAAGCACGTACACCACACCTGGCTAATTTTTTTTTTTTTTGGTATTTTTAGTAGACAAGGGGTTTCACCATGTTAGCCAGGCTGGTCTCGAACTCCTGGCCCCAAGTGATCTAACTTTCTTCTTTTATTAAAAAAACGAACGGCCGGGCGTGGTGGCTCACACCTGTAATCCCAGCACTTTCGGAGACCAAGGCGAGTGGATCACCTGAGGTGAGAAGTTTGAGACTAGCCTGACCAACGTGGCCAAACCAGGTCTCTACCAAAACTACAAAAATTAGCTGGGCTTGGTGTTGCATGCCTGTGATCCCAGCTATTCGTGAGGTTGAGGCAGGAGAATCACTGGAACCCAGGAGGCAGAGGTTCCAGTGATCTGAAATTACGCCATTGCACTCTAGCCTGGGAAACAAGAGTGAAACTCCAGGCTGGGCACGGTGGCTCACACCTGTAATCCCAGCACTTTGGAAGGCCAAGATGGGCAGATCGCCTGACATCGGGAGTTTGAGACCATCCTTGCCAACATGGTGAAACCCTGTCTCTGCTAAAAATACAAAAAATTAGCTGGGCGTGGTGGCGCACGCCTGTAGTCCCAGCTACTCGAGAGGCTGAGGCAGGAGAATCGCCTGAACCCAGGAAGCAGAGGTTGCAGTGAGCCGAGATCGTGCCATTGCACTCTAGCCTGGCGACAGAGCGAGACCCCATCTCAAAAAAAAAAATAATAATAATAATAGTAATAATAATAATAGAAATGAGGGTCTTAAACTCCTGGGCTCAAGTGATCATCCCACCTTGGCCTCCCAAAGTGCTCAGATTACAGGTGTGAGCCACCGCACCTACCCAGCAAATTTTTTTTTATAAAAAGGTCAGCCGGGCGTGGTGGCTCACACCTGTAATCCCAGCACTTTGGGAGGCCGAAGTGGGGAGATCACGAGGTCAGGAGTTCAAGACCAGTCTGGCCAACATGGCAAAACCCTGTATCTACTGAAAATACAAAAATTAGCTGGGCATGGTGGTGCATGCCTGTAATCCCAGCTACTCAGGAGGCTGAGGCAGGAGAATCGCTTGAACTCAGGAGGCAGGGGTTGCACTGAGCCGACATCGCACCACTGGACTCCAGTCTGGGCAACAGAGCGAGACTCCGTTTCAAAAATAAATAAATAAATACAAAATAAAAGTTAAAAAAAAAAAAGGTCCAGGGCTGGGTGCGGTGGCCCACTCCTGTAATCCCAGCACTTTGGGAGGCTGAGGCACGCAGATCACGAGGTCAGGAGATTGAGACCATCCTGGCTAACACGGTGAAACCGAGTCTCTACTAAAAATACAAAAAATGAGCCGGGTATGGTGGCGGGCACCTGTAGTCCCAGCTACTCGGGAGGCTAAGGCAGGAGAATGGCGTGAACCTGGGAGACGGAGCTTGCAGTGAGCTGAGATCACACCACTGCACTCCAGCCCAGGCGACAGAGCGAGACTCCGTCTCAAAAAAAAAAAAAAAAAAAGGTCAAGGCCAGGCACGGTGGTTCACACCTGTAATCTCAGCACTTTGGGAGGCCAAGGTGGGTGAATCACCTGAGGTCAGGAGTTTGAGACCAGCCTGGCCAACAAGACAAAACCTCATCTCTACTATACAAAAAGAGGGCCTGACGCGGTGGCTCACGCCTGTAATCCTAGAACTTTGGGAGGCCAAGGTGAGCAGATCACAAGGTCAGGAGATCGAGACCATCCTGGCTAACATGGTGAAACCCAGTCTCTAATAAAACAAAAAAATTAGCCGGGTGCGGTGGCGGGTGCCTGTAGTCCCAGCTACTAGGGAGGCTGAGGCAGGAGAATGGCATGAACCCAGGAAGTGGAGCTTGCAGTGAGCCGAGATTGTGCCACTGCACTCCAGCCTGGGCGACAGAGCGAGACTCCGTCTCAAAAACAAACAAACGAACAAAAAACAAAAAATTAGCAGGGTGTGGTGGTGAGCACCTGTAATCCCAGCTACTTCGGAGGCTGAGGCAGGAGAATTGCTTGAACCCGGGAGGGGGAGGTTGCATTGAGCTGAGATCGCACCACTGCACTCCAGCCGGGGCAACAGAGTGAGATTCTGGCAAAAAAAAAAAAAAAAAAAAAAAAAAAAAAAAGTCAAAGGACACACTTTATTGAAATGTTGAAGTATACAGGGAAAGAGCCCTGAAATCAATTCAGAACAATTTTGTATGAAGATTCAGAAGTCTTTTAGAAGATAGTTCTGAGTGGCTGTAAGCATTGACACTTACCGTAAAACCAACAGTAAGCTGAAGATGAGCCTAAAGCCAGAAACGCCTAAACTGAATCCACCTGCGAAACACTGGTGTCCCTTCCCGCAGTTATGACCTCCCCTCGAGAGCTCAGTAGGGAGAGTCAGAGCTCCTCTCTCACAGAGTAAAGCTGTCCCTGGCCTTGGCAAATGCAGCGTCTCACACAAAATCAATCAAGAAGGACGTCACTCCTGAAACAAACTCCTGCTAAACTCGAATTCACAATAATAATCCCCTCATCCAATAGCTGAACCATCATTTCCACATCCTGAAAGCTTTCCTGAAAAGCAACATGGGAAGAAAAAGTCCTTATGACAGTTCCTCACTCGCCTTCCAAGGCCAGGTGCCTTTCTAGAAAGATGAGCTCTGCTGAGCAGGGCGTCCATCTTAACAACGCTGATTTCCAGCGAGAGGCCTCAAGGATCCAAAAGCAAAGCATTCCTGAAGCTGAGTTCAACCCTTCTGCCCCCTGGGGCTGTGAGTCTGAAGCTGAGCCTCCAACTCCTGGGCTCAAGCTCCTCCAACTCCTGAGCTATGACTACAGGTGCACACCACCACGCCTGGCCAATTATTTTCTTCTTTTCTTTCTGTATAGATAGGGTCTTTTTAAATTTAAATTTAAATTTTTTTTTTTTTGAGATGGAGTTTTGCTCTTGTTGCTCAGGCTGGAGTGCAATGGCATGATCTCCACTCACAGCAACCTCCACCTCCCAGGTTCAAGCAATTCTCCTGCCTCAGCCTCCCGAGTAGCTGGGATTACAGGCGTGTGCCATCACGCCCGGCTAATTTTCTATTTTTAGTAAAGACGGGGTTTCACCATGTTGGCCAGGGTGCAGGTGATCCGCCTGCCTCAGCCTCCCAAAGTGCTGGGATTACAGGTGTGAGCCACCACGCCCAGCCTTTTAATTTGCAGTGAGACAGGGTCTCGCTATGTGGTATAGGCCTCAAGTGATCCTTCCACCTGGGCCTCCCAAAGCGTTTCGATTACAAGTGTGAGCCACTGCACCCGGCCCATCTCCCCATTTTCCAGACTGGTTTCACCTTGCTAAAAGGAAAACAGAAATGTAAAGACATCCAGAGGCAGCTACTGACTGAAGAACATCAGATGAATATACCTTCGTCCTCTTCAGGCGCCTTCCCCTTCGACTTATCCTTCTCCTTATTCTTCTGCTTCAACCTTGAGGTGTTAAAATAGAAAGTACCACCTATGAGAAATAGAGAAAGGATTTAACAATTAAGTTTTGCAACCACAGGGGAGGCATACAGGACAACAGTGTACTCCTAAATAACCAAAGCAAAACAAAAACCATCTGAAAAACCTACTTATATCCATAAGATTTATAAATATGAAATAAAGCATATCCTATATCACTTAGTCCAGTATTTCCTAATTACAAAATAATAAACTATTTTAACTTACGTTAAATATCTTTGCTACTTAAATTGCTAATGTGAGGGAATAAAAAATAGTTATGAACACAAATTTGGGAAAATATCACGAATCCCTTTAATATATGAAGTTGCTTTAAAAGAACTTAAACACGCCAGGCGTGGTGGCTCATGCCTGTAATCCCAGCACTTTGGGAGACCGAGGCAGGTGGTTCACGAGGTCAGGAGTTCAAGACCAGACTGGCTGAGATGGTGAAACACTGTCTCCACTAAAAATACAAAAATTAGCCGGACGTGTTGGCAGGCGCTTGTAATCCCAGCTACTTGGGAGGCTGAGGCAGAATTGCTTGAACCCGGGAGGCGGAGGTTGCAGTGAGCTGAGATCACACCACTGCACTCCAGCCTGGTTTACAGAGCAAGACTCCGACTCACAAATGGTTTCCAGACAAGTGGCAACAGCAGCAGCCCAGCCACCACCAAGAGGGGCCGGCACGACACTCCTCACACAGAGCTGTCTCAAAATCTGAACAAATCAGCGTTTACAAATGGGGGAGGCCAGGTGCAGTGGCGCACGCCTGTAATCCCAGCACTTTGGGAGGCCGAGTCGGGTGGATCACGAGGTCAGGAGATCGAGACCATCCTGGCTAACATGGTGAAACCCCGTCTCTACTAAAAATACAAAAAATTAGCCGGGCATAGTGGCGGGCACCTGTAATCCCAGCTACTTGGGAGGCTGAGGCAGGAGAATGGCGGGAATCCTGGAGGCAGAGCTTGCAGTGAGCGGAGATCGCGCCACTGCACTCCAGCCTGGGAGACAGAGCAAGACTCCGTCTCAAAAAAATAATAATAAACAACAACAACAACAACAACACAAAAATGTAGCTGTACGTGGTGACACATGCCTGACTTCCCAGCTACTCAGGACGCTGAGTGGGAGGAGAACCTGGGCCCAGGAGGTTGAAGCTGCAGTGAGTAGAGATTGCACCTGGGCAACAGGGCAAGACCCTATCTCAAATAATAATAAAAAATAATAAAAATAGGGAAAGAGTTTCACAACCATGACCTGAAATGTAACTTTCTTCACAAAGACATGAACGGGTTCACCAGTGAAACGGCCCCGGTTGCCACTTGCATGTCACCTCAGGCTTAAGGAGGCTGAAGCATGTGCTTCCTGTTTCACAGCCACAGGCACCCGTGAGCTGACGTTAAACACTGACAGCAGATGAGCCAGTTGCTGATGCACGGCCAGTGGGCACGGCACTCTCCCTACCCATGTGTTGGCACAAAGCTGTTTAATGTTAGTTAGGAGTAGAAATATTTTACTTTTTCCCTGTTCCAACTCCATAAAGGGGAGCGTGAAATAAAAGTGAGAGGTGTCAATCCTTCAGGTTCTTTAACCTAAAGCCAAGAGAGACCAAAGAATGTCACAAGGTTTCATTAAATGATTTATTGAAGAGCAAATTATTTGCAGGGTATTTTTAGTGATTGTGTGGATATAAAACATCTGTAGCCACTTTGTAAATCCTTACTAAACATTCTTGCAGCTGACTAGATAACACGAAAAACCTTTTTCAAGCAGCCCAATTACTGGAATACAGCAGAATTTTTTTTAAAAAAGGACAACTTGGCCAGATGCGGTGGCTCATGCCTGTGATCTCAACACTTTGGGAGGCCAAGGCAGGCTGATCGCTTGAGTCCAGGAGTTTAAGACCAGCCTGGGAAACGTGGCAAAACCCCATCTCCACAAAAAATACCCCCCAAAAATTAGCTAGGCGCTTTGGTGTGTGCCTGGAGTCCTGGCTCTATGGAAGGCTGAGGTGGGAGGATCACTCCAGCCTAAGAGGTCAAGGCTCTGCAACTGGGGGATAAGGGAGTAAAGAGGCCCCTTTGGGCCTGGACAACAAAGTGAGACCTTGTCTCTACAAAAAACAATTAGCCGAGTGTGACGGTACACGCCTGTAGTCCTAGCTACTCCGGAAGCAAAGTGGGGAGGATCCCTTGAGCCCAGGAGTTCTAGGCTGTAGTGAGCTCTGATCACACCATTGTACTGCACTCCAGCCCGTGCAACAGGGCGAGATCCCGTCTCTAAAATAAAAAAAGATCAGCCTCCCAAGTAGCTGAGGCGGTAAGTGTGCAGTCATGCTCAGCTGCTTCTTTAAACAGATACATACCTAAAAGTTGCCAGAGTCTGACTGGATTCTGAACTAAATGTTGTTTCAACAACAATCCGTTGATCCCTTCAAAGGTAGGGGTTAGCAGTCTCAATTGTAAGCTCTGAAAAAAAAAAAAAAACAATACTGGAGGTCACACCAACATTAGAGAGTACCAAAGCAATGCAGACTAAAAATCGTTTTTAAAAGTTCAAATATATAATTATTTGTAATATCTACATTGCCCTGAAATATAAAGTAATAGTCTGAGCAATAGGTCAAAGCTTTAGGTAACATCAAAATGTCAAAAGCAAGTAAACAGGTTAAAACACAGTAATTGGCCAGGCGTGGTGGCTCACGGCTGTAATCCCAACACTTTGGGAGGCTGAGGCGGGTGGATCACATGAAGTCAGGAGTTTGAGACCAGCCTGGCCAACATGGTGAAACCTCATCTCTACTAAAAATACAAAAATTAGCCGGGCGTGGTGGTGCACACCTGTAATCTCAGCTACTCAGGAAGCTGAGGCAGGAGAATCGCTTGAACCCGGGAGGCAGAGGTTGCAGTAAGCCGAGATAGCACCACTGCACTCCAGGCTGGGCAACAAAGGGAAACTCCATCTCAAAAAACAAACAAATAAACAAACAAAAAATCACGATAGTGGCCAGGCACGGTGGCTCATGTCTGTAATCCCAGCACTTTGGGAGGCTGAGGTGGGAGGATTGCTTGGGCCCAGGAGGCAGAGGCTTCAGGGAGCCATGATCAGGCCACTGCACTCCAGCCTGGGCGACACAGCGAGATTGTCACAAAAAAAAAAAAAAAAAAAAAAGAAGAAAACAAAACACAGAAGTACATTGGCTGCTATCCCATGGCCTGAAGCTTCTGCAGGAGAAAGGGAGCAGCCCAGCTCTCCAAAGGCCACAGTGGCTGCCCAGACACGGGGCTCCTGCTGTCACCAGAGAGTGGCTCCTTGTAGAACATTTCCAGGTACCAAACCAGTTAACAAGTATATACTTTCAGAGTTCTCCTTTCAAGATAAACATTTTCCCATTTAAATATGTTTTATGGCCGGGCGCGGTGGCTCACGCCCTGTAATCCCAGCACTTTGGGAGGCCGAGGCAGGCGGATCACAAGGTCAAGAGATGGAGACCATCCTGGCCAACATGGTGAAACCCCGTCTCTACTAAAAATACAAAAATTAGCTGGGTGTGGTGGCGCGCACCCGTAATCCCAGCTACTCAGGAGGCTGAGGCAGGAGAATCGCTTGAACCCGGGAGGCGGAGGTTGCAGTGAGCCAAGACCATTGCACTCCAGCCTGGGCGACAGAGCGAGATCTCTGTCTCAAAAATAACCGAAAAAACAACAACCTAAAAGGTGTGGGCTAAGCTCCTAGGCGAGGGCTAGGAGAAAAAAACATCAGCCCAAAAGCTGAAGGACACAAGGTCTGGTTTTCGGGAGGAGATGCTATCCTATCCTTAGCAGAACCTGAAACAAGGCCGCACTACAGGGGGTGCTCAATGACTGTATCAATAACGTGCCGAGCTACATGACAACAGCAAAATGCAGCTACAGGGTATTTTGCGGACACAGAAACGTTCTGGGCCCCCTACTCGGCAATAACCACCCTAACTGGAAGGCGCTGGAATTCCTGGTGACGGAATCGATCCACAGGCGTGGACTGTAAATTAGTGCTACGCCGGAAACCGTTACTGGATTCCACTTTAAAAGGCGAGGAAGACGGGCGGAGAACATCCACACACAACAGACGGGTTGGGAAAGTCCACGCCGAGGACTGCGCGGATCCCAGCCCTGCCTCTTCCCGGCCCGCCCAGCGCCCACGATCCAGGGCCCCAACAGTCGCTCCGCGCCGAGGTCCACAGCTGGGGGATCCGCGGGCCCACAGGCGCAGGCTCCCCCGCCGCAGGGGCCAGGCGGCCTCCGACCCGCCCCGCCGGGCTGGGCCTTACAGAGCAGAGCCGGGCGGGAGGTGGGGCCCGGACTCCGCGGGGATTTACCTGCAGAGCTCGGCCTCCAGCCTCGGCGAGGTCCCCCGGAGGCCTGCTGGCCATGTACGGCCGCCCCCTCCCGGGCCTGGCGGGGAACCCTGGACTCCAGGCCGGGCCTGGGCCCCACAGCGGCCGAGGACCCGGGCCTGGACCCCGGCGGAGGGCACGGAGCAGCAGCAGCAGCACGGCCATGTTGGCCTGAAAGCCGCGCCTGCGTGATCCGCGGGGCGCTACACGGCGCCTGCGCGGCGGGGTGGGCGGGGTCTGACGTGGCGCCTGCGCGGTCCCCACAGCTGCGCCCCGCCGCGCCCGGGTGCCGCTTGCCGCACCCCCGAGCCTGAGCCCGTCTACCTCGTGGCTGCCTGAGGCCCGGGTATGGGGGCGCGCGTCTGCGAGGAGGTCGCGGGTGCCCTGGTTTTTTTGAAGCCGGCCTTGTATTCCCAGGGCCTGGCGGGTGAATAACCGGCCGGGTCGTGGCTGCGTGGTCGTGCTCCGCCCGCGCCGAGGGGCCTCACGCCCGGGCAGCCTGCGTCACCCGCAGGGTTCGGTCACAGGCGAGGGCGGATGGTGCGGGCCGGAATCCCGCCTGCGAGTAGAGGCCCGCGCTCAGGAGGGCGGCGCCGGAGGCCTCGGGTCGGGAGGGCCCCTTCGGGTGTGAGGAGCGCAGGAAGGGGGCGGTTTTCCTGCGTCTTGAGCCGCCCGAGGACGAGGACTGAAGTTGCAGCCGCCGCAGGGAGGGCAGCCCCGGAGGAGGAGGGTCGTGAGGGAGGGAGCGCGCAGTGCGGCGCGGCCTGGCAGGCGTCTGCAGAGCTCGTCCCGCACACCTCTGACTTCGGAGCGCTCCGTCCTGTGCCTTCGGACTGGCTCACCTCGGAGGCGCTTCGAGCCTCGGTCCTGCCCCGGCCGCTGCGCGAGCCCATCGTAGGAAGCGGGGAGGCGCCGTCTGGAAGCTTAGGAAGAGGCTCTGTTCTCTTCAGGGTCCGCCCTCCGGGCCCGGGCAGGGTCCCTCGTGGGCTCCCAGGCGCGCGGGGTCCTCCGCCACCCCGACCCCTTCCTCCGTCCGCCTTAGGTCTAGAGCTGACGCCAAGAGCTGGAAAGCTTGTTGAGTAGGAAAAGCAAAGACTAGATGGTCTGTCACAGAGGTAGGATGAGGGTGACCTATTTATTTTTATGCTTTTCTGTACTCCGCAAATTCGTAACAGTGAATGCCAGTGACGACAGCCAACATCACCGAGTGCCTAGCTCCGTGTCGAACACCCATGTAATATTCACAACCCTGTGCAGCGAATACAATACCTCTATTTTACATGTAAAGAAAGATTCAGAAGTATTAAAAGTAACCTGCCTAGGATTACAGCTCTGAAGTTAGGGCAGAATTTCAAGGCCGGTCTGGTTTGTTTCTGGACCTGCACTCACTCCACCACTACAGACGAGGTTGCAAAGCCAGTGGGCTGCGTGTAATCCTCCCTCTTCCTCAGCCCCGAGACGCTCAGGAAAGTGTTTTCAGTTATCGTGGTTATCCGCCCTCAGCCCTCCAGTGGGCCGGGTGCCTCGGCAGAGGTGCTCGGGGCTGGGGAGGTGTTCTGTTGGTTTGTGGAGAGGACCTTCCCCTACACCCAGGGCTGACACTGATTTTCACAACTGAACCGCTTTTCCTTTTGCTTCTTATTGTACAGTCAGCCTTCGCAGTGAATCCAACCTTGCCGTTTCCTCCTCCACTATTTTTTCTTTCCCTGATTGAAAGACACCAGGTGGGCCGGGCGCGGTGCCCTCCCCCTCCCTCTCCCTGCCCTTCATCCCAGCACTTTGGGAGGCCAAGGCGGGCGGACCACGAGGTCAGGAGATCGAGACCATCCTGGCTAACACGGCGAAACCCCGTCTCTACTAAAAATACGAAAAATTAGCCGGGCGCTGTGGCGGGCGCCTGTAGTCCCAGCTACTCGGGAGGCTGAGGCAGGAGAATGGCGTGAACCCGGGAGGCGGAGCTTGCAGTGAGCCGAGATCCCGCCACTGCACTCCAGCCTGGGCGACAGAGCGAGACTCCATCTCAAAAAAAAAAAAAAAGGTCACAAATCCTCTGAACGCACAGGCATAAAGGGTTGTGGGGCTCGGTCACTTCCTAGAACACAAAAAACCCTTTCGGAAGTTTGGTTGGGTTGGTCACGGGACAAGGCTGGAGAGAGGGTGAGGGCACACATTTGGATGTGTTTGGGAGGAGTTTAAGTGTAGTCCTATTAATATTGTTTGAGATAAGTTAAAATTGTTTCCTGGCAATTCATCAGAAGCAGTGTGGGGTGTTGGCAAGAGGCCTCCTCTGGGGAAAGAACACTGGGTTCTGTCTCCTCTGGCCTATGACCTTAAGCAAGTTATTAGCTTCCTCAAGCCTCAATCTTCTCAGCGGTAAAATGGGGATGATAATTATCTGCAAAGCAAGGCTAATATCAGCCTTGGGTTTCCCACAGGGTGGTTATGAAGATAAAATGCAATAAATGTGTGTGAGGGCAACTGACGAGCCAGGAAGCCTTGGCATCCAGAGTTATTACTGGGACGTCATGGGAAATGAGGATATGGGAACAGAGTATTTATGCATTTATTCAAACTCATCTCTAACAACCGTGCTTTGAAGGCTGGCTGCATCCCAGGCCCTACAGGTGAACCGTGACTCTCAGCTCTCAGCTTCAGCCCCTGCTGTAGTGGCGGCAGCAGCAGAGGCTCACGTAGCCTCAAGCAGTAGGGGTTTTGTTTAAGGATTCGGGTGCCCCATGGTTTGGGGGTTTTGTTTTTATTTTGCTGCATGATTTGGATTCAAGAAGAAGGATCTGTAGGACAGTGGGCTCCCGGGTCTGCCTTTGCCCTCATAGCCTGCAGCAGAGCAGGACGTTCGCTTTCCCTTCTCCGCCTGTGTGTTCTTCCTGCACTGCCTAACTGCTGCTTGCTCATTTGTGCTTCCGTGTCACCCCTCCTCAGCCCTCTGAACTCTGCACGTCAGGACTTGGCACACTTCCTAACTGCTGCTTACTCATTTGTACTTCCGCGTCACCCCTCCTCAGCCCTCTGAACTCTGCGCTTGGACTTGGTGTGACTTCCCTTCCCCGCCTATTCTCTAGAGGCAGTCTCTTGGTGACTCCTGGTTTGGGTCAGGGCACGCCTTAGGTCTCTGGATGGCTACCAACCCCAGGTTCCCTCAGCTCTAGCCCCATAAGAGAGGAGGCCTCAGGAGCGCCTAGGGCAGCCCTTTCAGCCTGGGCTGTGGGAAGGGAAGGTGGACAGAGAGGAGACCCCATGCCTTTGTTCCCTGTTGATGCAGAAGCATTCTAGGCTCTGTCCCTTATTCCTGCTGTGGGCTGAAGCTTCAGGCAAGGTGCTCTACAAACTTCAGTTGCCTCATCTATCAAACAGTAACGTTTAACATTCCAGAGACAGAAGTTGATCTTTGGGACTTTTTTTGATTTTAAGATCTAGGCTGGCTGGGGCGGTGGCTCATGCCTGTAATCCCAGCACTTTGAGAGGCCGAGACCGGTGGATCACGAGATCATCAGGAGATGAGACCATCCTGGCTAACATGGTAAAACCCAGTCTCTACTAAAAATAGAAAAAATTAGCCGGGCACGGTGGCAGGTGCCTGTAATCCCAGCTACTTGGGAGGCTGAGGCAGGAGAATCGATTGAATCTGGGAGGCAGAGACTCCATCTGAAAAAAAAAAAAAAAGATCTAGGCTTCTGGCTGGGTGCTATGTCCCACGCCTGTAATCCCAGCACTTTGGGAGGGCAAGGCAGGTGGATCACTTGAGGTCAGGAGTTCAAGACCAGCCTAGCCAACACGGCGAAACTCTCTTTCTACTAAAAATACAAAAAAATTAGCCAGGCACGGTGGCAACATGCCTGTAGTTCCAGCTACTCGAGAGGCTGAGGCATGAGAATCGCTTGAACCTGGGAGGTGGAGGCTGCAGTGAGTTAAGATCTTGCCACTGCACTCCAGCCTCAGTGATGAGTGAGACCCTGTCTTTTTTTTTATGAGACAAGGTCTCACTCTGTTGCCCAGGCTGAAGTACAGTGGTGCGATCTCAGCTCACTGCAGCCTCTGCCTCCCAGCTTCAAGCGATTCTCCTGCCTTAGCCTCTCGAGTAGCTGGGATGACAGGCATGAGCCATCGCGCCAGGCCAAGACTGTCTCAAAAAAAAAAAAAAAAAAATCTAGGCTTCCTTATTAATATCTGAACAAATAATTACATATTTGCTTCTTTCCAAATTTGGCAGCAACTAAACTTAAAAATTTTTTTAAGTACATTTGCTTTTGCAGTTAGCCTGGCCTCCAGAGCTCTTGGACTGCAGCACCCATAATGATGGCCAAAGCCGCCCCCACGGCGACTCCTCCTGCTGAAGCAAAGTCAGGCAGAACAATAAGGTATGTGTTGAATATGAGGATGTCTTACATAAAACATGTTACCTTGTGGAATGCTTGAAAATAAACGAGTTCATCTCTGTAAATTTTAGTACATTTTCTTCCTGAAGCTCTTTCTTAGGAAACAGTTTCTTCTTATATCACTTGTTAACTGGGCTTTACTCATCCATGTAGAACCAGATTTTATTCTTCTTTAAAAGATGGGGCTGGGCGTGGTGGCTCACGCCTGTAATCCCAGCACTTTCGGAGGCCGAGGTGGTTGGATCTGGATTACCTGAGGTCAGGAGTTGGAGACCGGCCTGGCCAACATGGTGAAACCTCATCTCTACTAAAAATACGAAAATTAGCTGGGTGTGGTGGCAGGCGCCTGTAATCCCAGCTACTCAGGAGGGAGACTGAGGCAGGAGAATCGCTTGAACCCGGGAGGTGGCGGTTGTGGTGAGCCGAGGTCGCGCCACTGCACTCCAGCCTGGGCAACAGAGTGAGACTCCGTCTCAAAAAAAAAAAAAAAAAAAAAAAAAAAAATGCTGGGCACCGTGGCTCACGCCTGTAATCCCAGCACTCTGGGAGGCCGAGGGTGGGTGGATCATCTGAGGTCAGGAGTTGGGAGACTATCCTGGCCAACATGGTGAAACCTCCTCTCTACTAAAAATACGAAAATTAGCTGGGTGTGGTGGCAGGCGCCTGTAACCCCAGCTACTTGGGAGGCTGAGGCAGGAGAATCGCTTGAACCCAGGAGGTGTTGGTTGAAGTGGGCCGAGATCGCATCGCGTCACTGCACTCCAGCCTGCGCGACAGAGTGAGACTCCACCTCAAAAAAAAAAAAAAGGGTGGGCGGATCACCTGAGGTCTGGAGATTGAGACCAGCCTGACCAACATGGAGAAACCCCGTCTCTATAAAAATACAAAATTAGCCAGGCGTGGTGGCACATGCCTGTAATCCCAGCTACTCTGGAGGCCGACCGAGGCAGGAGAATGGCTTGAACCCGGGAGGTGGAGTTTGCTGTGAGCTGAGATCGCGCCATCGTACTCCAGCCTGGGCAACAAGAGCAAAACTCCGTCTCAAAAAAAAAAAAAAGAAAAGAAGATGGAAAGTTCATTCCTTTTTTTTTTTTCTTTTCTTGAGACAGAGTTTTGCTTGTTGCCCAGGCTGGACTGCAATGGCTCGATCTCGGCTCACCACAACCTTCACCTCCCGGGGTTCAAGCGATTCTCCTGCCTCAGCCTCCCAAGTAGCTGGGATTATAGGCATGTGCCACCACGCCCGGCTAATTTTGTATTTTTAGTAGAGACGGGGTTTCTCCATGTTGGTCAGGGTGGTTTCAAACTCCCGACCTGAGGTGATCCACCTGTCTCGGCCTCTCAGGGTGCTGGGATTACAGGCGTGAGCCAACACGCCTGGCGGAAAGTCCGTTTCTACTAGCAAGAAACCTGTACAGGAATTTGAGCATGACTAAATAATCATGTATTCCTCAGCGTTTCTTTAGATTGTTGGGTGTGGGACTTTGGGCAGGTGTTTAAGGACCTGGAAGGGACAGCCTATGTCCTCTCCACGTGACGGGAATCCCCACGGCCCTGGGCAGTGCATTCCGAGTTCGCCAACGTGGCAACTTAAAACAACAAATGCTTATCTCACTCTGTTTCTGAGGGTCAGGAATCTGGGAGTGGCTCGACTGGACCGTTTAGTCTCTTGGACTGGACAAGCTTGCAGTCCGACTAACTGATGGCCAGGGTGTGGCCAGTTGGGAGGGGGCAGGTAGCAGGGGAGTGGGGAGCGGCCAGGGAATGCTGGAGAGTCCGAGGGGGAGTGCTGCTGAGGACTAATAAAGTCTGTGGTAAAAGCATGACTGGCTGCTGAGAGAATGGACTCTAGAGAGGCCAGAGGTGGGAATGTGAGGCCAGGGAGGAGGGAGGCTTTTGCAGCAGTGCCAGAAGGTAAGGATCCTGGCAGGACCGAGGCATGGGGCTGGTTCTCCCAGAGGATCCAGTAAAGCCTGGGGTGTCTTGGTGCCCACTCTGGGCTGCGTTCTCTGATCTGCAGCGCCAGGAAGAGAGAAGCCAGCAGAGGCCAGCATGTGGCTGCTGGTGGCCCAGCTGCTGAGGGCGATGAGGGTGAGTCTCCAGACCGGCCTCTGAAACGCCAGGACAGGGCCGCAGACACCAGGCTCAGTGTGGACATGGAGCAGGAGGAGGGCTTTCTTTTTGTTGTAACTTAAAGGGCTGGTTTGACAAGGAACAGGTGGTCATTTCATTTTTTTTTTTTTTTGAGATGGAGTCTTGCTCTATTGCCCAGGCTGGAGTGCAGTGGCTCAATCTCGGCTCACTGCAAGCTCCGTCTCCCGGGTCACGCCATTCTCATCTCAGCCTCCCGAGTAGCTGGGGCTACAGGCGCCTGCCAGCACGCCCGGCTAATTTTTTTCTATTTTTAGTAGAGATGGGGTTTCACCGTGTTAGCCAGGATGGTCTCGATCTCCTGACCTCCTGATCCACCCGCCTCTGCCTCCCAAAGTCCTGGGATTACAGGCGTGAGCCACCGTACCCAGCTACAGGTAGTCATTTCTACATAAAATCCGAACCCCGGCTGGCCCACTTCAGACCTCCTCACCTCGCGGACCCATGGACAAACAGAACCACATGAGTGGACTTGGGCTGGTGCTGGGATTTTCCTGGGGTGCTTTCAGCAGCCTTCCAGAGACCAGCATGCCTTTCTGGTTTCTGGAACGCTCAGTGAGCTTTGGCTGGGGAGCACAAGGGCTGATCAGGTTAAGTTCAAGATTATCTGGAGATGGACAGGTACTTTTGCTTTATACACACCTTGAAACCTTGAACGAAAGCATGCAGTTTGGGTTTACCATCCCCGTCCCTGCTGTGTATTTTTTTTTTTTTTTTTTGAGACGGAATTTTGCTCTGTCATGCAGGCTGGAGTGCAGTGGCGCGATCTCGGCTCACTGCAACCTCCGCCTCGCGAGTTGAAGCAATTCTCCAACCTCAGCCTCCCAAGTAGCTGGGACTACAGGCACGCGCCACCATGTCTGGCTAATGTTCTGTATTTTTAGTAGAGATGGGTTTTCACCATGTTAGCGAGGATGGTCTTGATCTCCTGACCTCATGATCCGCCCACCTTGGCATCCCAGAGTGCTGGGAGCCACCACACCCGGCCTGTCCCTGTTGTTTTATGTTTTTTTTTTTTTTTTTTTTTGAGACGGAGTCTCGCTCTGTCGCCCAGGCTGGAGTGCAGTGGCGGGATCTCGGCTCACTGCAAGCTCTGCCTCCCGGGTTCACGCCATTCTCCTGCCTCAGCCTCCCAAGTAGCTGGGACTACAGGCGCCCGCCACTACGCCCGGCTAATTTTTTGTACTTTTAGTAGAGACGGGGTTTCACCGTTTTAGCCGGGATGGTCTCGATCTCCTGACCTCGTGATCCGCCCGCCTCGGCCTCCCAAAGTGCTGGGATTACAGGCGTGAGCCACCGCGCCCGGCCTGTTTTATGTTTTATTTAGGTTGACAGTTTATTTACTTCAGCCCTAAGGCAGTCCTATATGAAGTTACAGTTTCGTAAACAGAACAGATGAAATAGAACAAACTCGATAGACTACGTTTGCAACACTTTACCGGTAAAGGGAAGAACCAAAGCACTTGTCCAGGAGGATATGGGCTAAGCAACACCGTTACTCCACGAGGCCCAGAGGAGCTGGCCTCCCTGCAGCATGGGGACTGTGCATGGGACCACTGAGGAATGATTGACAGTAATTTAAAACTAAAACTCAGGAACAGCCAGTAGCATTTCTATATTTAACTCATACAAAATATATTCTTTAATGTTTCTGAAAAAAATTTAAAGTTGCAAAGTAAAACTGGGTTTCAGTAACAAAATGTATTAATTCATATGACACTGAGCACCTATGCTCTCCCTGTGTTGTTTTGTTTTTCCAAGATGGGGTCTTGCTCTGTTTCCAGGCTGGAGGACAGTGGCATGATCACGGCTCACTGCAGCGTTGGCCTCCTGGGCTCAGGCAAGCCTCACACCCAGCTAAGTTTTTACTTTTGGTAGCGTTGAGGTCTTGCTATGTTGCCTGGGCTAGTCTCAACTTCTGGCCTCAAACAATCCTCCCACCTCAGCCTCCCACAATAACTCCTGCTCATTAACATATGAAACATTATCTGTTAAATTTCCTGGAAATGTTATTAATATCTTCTGGCTGGGTGCAGTGGCTCATGCCTGTTAACCCAGCAATTTGGGAGGCAAAGGCAGAAGGATTGCTTGAGCCCAGGAGTTTGAGACCAGCCTGGGCAACATGGTGAGACCCTGTCTGCACAAAAAAAGAAAAAAAAAAATAGCTGGGGGTGGTGGCGTGTACCTCTAGTCCCAGCTACTCCGGAGGCTGAGGTGGGAGGATTGCTTTAGCCTGGGAGGTCAAGGCTGTAGTGAGCCTTGATTTTGCCACTGTACCCCAGACTAGGTGATAGAGACCTTATTTCAAAAAAAACCCAAAAAACAAAAAAAACCTATTTTTCCAGACAAAGGTATCTGTGATTTTATGCATTTTAAAAGGGAACTTGTCATATGAGACTCATGGCTCACACCTATAATCCCAGCACTTTGGGAGGCTGAGGCAGGTGGATCACCCGAGGTCAGGAGTTTGAGACCAACCTGGCCAACATGGTGAAACCCCCGTCTCTACTAAAAATAGGAAAATTAGCCAGGCATGGTGGCGGGTGCCTGTAATCCCAGCTACTGAGGAGGCTGAGGCAGGAGAATCGCTTGAACATGGGAGGTGGAGGTTGCAGTGAGCTGAGATGGCGCCACTGCACTCCAGCCTGGGCGACAGAGCGAGACTCTGTCTCAAAAAAAATAAAAAATAAATAAGAATCCCTTGCAAGCCCTCTCTAGCTGAGACGTCCTAAAGTACTGTTAAGGATTTGAGAAATGTGTTATTAAACCTTTATTGAATTCAGCACTAGTAAGAAGTTCTGAATTGGCCATCCTGTAGTATAAGCATTATAGTTATTCCCAGAACTGGCCCAGCCAGGGGATGGCTGTCATGACGGCTTTAACCACATAACTCAGCTTAATTCCCAAGGGCCGATTTCCAGGGATAGAAGGAGCCTCCATGGCCCGTAAATCTTCGGCTGCTTCCCAAATCCAAGGAGCAGCTGGAGAGAGTACTGTGTCACGCACCGGATACAACCACACACAGGAGTTTCTGGTACATCATGTGCCAGTTACACATCCACAAGGCAGAGACTGGAGTCCTTGCTGGGACAGCGTTTGAGGTCCGTTCTGTTTCCTCCCTGCTACTGCAGCAGTGCTTGGAACCGTGTCTCCACACAGCAGGCCCTGAAACCTTTGCTGAATGAGTGCACGATTAATTTTCTCAGCTAAGTCCCTGCTTTCTGCAGTCTGCAATTCATTACATAAAATACATCAGGCAGTATTATGACAGCCTTATTACGAAAAAGTCCTGAGAAGTTTTCTTTTTTTTTTTGAGATGGAGTCTCGCTCAGCAGTGCGGTGATCTAGGCTCACGGCAACCACCGTCTCCCGGGTTTCACCATGTTGACCAGGCTGGTCTTGAACTTCTGACCTCAGGTGATCCGCCCACCTTGGCCTCCCAAAGTGCTAAGATTACAGGCATGAGCCACCGCGCCCGGCGACTTTTTTTTTTTTTTTTTTTTTTTTTTTTTTTTTTTTTTACTCCCAAGCTTCCCAGTTGGATTGTAAATATGTAATTTGTGATATATTGACAAAAAAACACATCATATATTTAGACTTTAAAATGACACCAAAACGGATAGGGCTATAATTAGGCAATAAAAAGAAATAAAAGGTACAGGCTGGGCGTGGTAGCTTATGCCTGTGATCTTAATACTTTGGGAGGCTGAGGCAGGAGGGTTGAGTGAGCCCAGGAGTTTGAGGCTGCAGTGAACTCCAGCCTGGGTGACGGAGCAAGACCCCATCTCTAAAAATAATAAAAAAATAAAAAAAAATTAAAATAAAGGAAATAAAAAGTGCATGTTGTGGAGGTGCTCGCCTATAGTCTCAGCTACTTGGGAGGCTGAGGTAGAAGGCTCCTTCGAGCCTAGGAGTTTAAGACCAGCCTGGGCAACACAGTGACAACTAATCTCTGAAAAACAAAAAGAGAAGAAAAGCAATAAAAGACACGTAAATTGCAAAGGAAGAATTAAAAGTATCTCTGTAGGTAATATGACTTTTTAAAATTCTAGCTGTTTACTTTTTTTTTTTTTTTTGAGACAGTGTCTTGCTCTGTCGCCCAGGCTGGAGTGCAATGGCGCGATCTACGCTCACTGCAACCTCCGCCTCCAGGGCTCAAGGGATTCTCCCGCCTCAGCCTCCGGAGTAGCTGGGATTACAGGCGCCTGCCACCACGCCCAGCTAATTTTTTGTATTTAGTAGAGATGGGGTTTCACCATGTTGGTCAGGCTGGTCTAACTCCTGACCTCAGGTGATCCGCCCGCCTCAGCCTCCCAAAGTGCTGGGATTACAGGTATGAGCCACTGTGCCCGGCTAAAAGCTGGACTTTAATTTAATTAATTAATTAATTAATTTATTTTTTGAGACAGTTTTGTTCTTGTTGCCCAGGCTGGAGTGCAATGGCGCGATCTCGGCTCACAGCAACCTCCGCCTGCCGGGTTCAAGCCATTCTCCTGCCTCAGCCTCCGGAGTAGCTGGGATTACAGGCATTCACCACGACGCCCAGCTAATTTTGTATTTGTAGTAGAGACGGGGTTTCTCCATGTTGGTCAGGCTGGTCTCAAACTCTGGACCTCAGGTGATCCACCCGCCTTGGCCTCCCAAAGTGCTGGGATTACAGAAGTCAGCCACCACGCCCGGCCACAATTTAATTTTATTTATTTAGAGACAAGGTCTCGTGCTCATCTCCTAGGCTGGAGCACGACGGCGCGATCTCAGCTCACTGCAACCTCCGCCTCCCCGGTTCAAACAACTCTCTCACCTCAGCCTCCCAAGTAGCTGGGATTACAGGCATGTGCCACCGTGCCTGGCTAATTTTTCTATTTTGAGTACAGACAGGGTTTCACCACGTTGGCCAGGCTGGTCTCGAACTCCCGAACTCAGGTGATCTGCCCGCCTAGCCCTCCCAAAGTGCTGGGATTACAGGCATGAGCCACTGCACTCGGCCCTAATATGACTTTTTAAAAGTTGGCTGGCCGCGGTGGCTCATGCCTGTAATCCCAGCACTTTGGGAGGCCAAGGTGGGCAGATCACCTGAGGTCGGGAGTTTGAGACCAGCCAGACTAACCTGGAGAAACCCAGTCTCTACTCAAAATAAAAAAATTAGCGGGGCAAGGTGGTGGGTGCCTGTAATCCCAGTTACTCGGGCAGCTGAGGCAGGAGAATGACTTGACCCCGGGAGTCGGAGGTTGTGGTGAGCTGAGATCAAGCCACTGCACTCCAGCCTGGGTGACAGAGCGAGACTCTGTCTCAAATTAAAAAAAAAAGCCAGGCCCTGTGGCTCACACCTGTAATCTCAGCACTTTGGGAGTCCGAGGCAGGTGGATCACGAGGTCAGGAGATGGAGACCATCCTGGCCAACATGGTGAAACCCCGTCTCTACTAAAAAACAAAAAAATTAGCCGGGTGTGGTGGTGTATGCCTATAGTGCCAGCTACTCGGGAGGCCGAGGCAGGGGAATTGCTTGAACCCGGGAGGCAGAGATTGCAGTGAGCCAAGATCATGCCACTGCACTGCAGCCTGGACGACAGAGGGAGACTCTGTCTCAAAAAAAAAAAAAAAAAAAAAAAAAAAACTAGCTTTTTACCTTTTTTCAATACATTTTATATATATTTGAGGTTTACAACATGATGTTATGAGGCTGGGCACGGTGACTCACGCCTGTGAGCCCAGCACTTTGGGAGGCCGAGGTTGGGGGACTGCTTGAGGCCAGGAGTTCGAGACCAGCCTCACAACACAGTGAGCCCCCAGTCTCTAAAAATAAAAAATTTTAAATTAGCTAGGTGTGGTGAGTCACACCTGTGGTCCCAGCTACTCAGGAGGCTGAGCTGGGAGGATCCCTTGAGCCCAGGAATTTAAGGTTACAGTGAGTCTTGGTCATACTATTGCAGTCCAGCCTGGGGGACAGAATGAGACCCCGTCTCTAAAAAAAAAGGAAAAACAAAAACAACAACAACAAAAAAGAAAGACGGTACATTTCATGTTATGTGTATTTTACCACAATAAAAATTGGGGATAAAATAGAACAGAAAATAGTATTTGACAATAGACACTGCAATTGATAGGGCTACCGACAAAGTACGGAGTTTAGAGTTTTAAAAATTGGCCGGGCGTGGTGGCTCACACCTGTAATCCCAGCACTTTCGGAAGCTGAGGTGGGTGGATCACCTGAGGTCAGGAGTTCGAGACCAGCCTGACCCATATGGTGAAACCTCGTCAATACTAAAAATACAAAAATTAGCCAGGCGTGGTGGCGGGCGCCTGTAATCCCAGCTACTCGGGCAGCTGAGGCAGGTTGATTGCTTGAACCCAGGAGGTGGAAGCTGCAGTGAGCCAAGATCACGCCACTGCACTCCAGCCCGGGCAACAGAGCTAGACTCTGTCTCAAAAAAAAAAAAAAAAAAATTTGGGGTGTAGCTTAATGGACCCGAGGTCAGGGGCTCCAAGAATATCTGAATATCGTTTCATCCCACAGCACCTCCTGCCTTTGAGATCTGGAAGGTGATACCCCACAGTTATGGTAACTGGGAAGCAAGACACATCACAATTTATTGTGAAATGAGCTTGGGTTCCAAATCCTAAAGCTAGGAATGCTGGTAAGCTGGGGCTGACCACAGAGCTGAGGCCAGGCCTGCTGGACTCAGACTGAGCTGTCAGTTCTCACCACAGGGCCAGGGGGAGGGGGCAGAAGGGAAAGGCCAGAGGTGGGCCTGCTCCGCCCGTTTCTGCCACTTCTGGAGAAGAGGAAGCAGAAAGAATGCAGGGGGCTGGGCTGCCTCCCTTTACCATGACCTCTGGCTCATCTGTAAGGAAGGGGCAGAGGGTCCCACTGTGCACGCAGTTGCTGGTGGGTCCACAGCAGAGAGTGGGGTGTCATGCGGGAGCAGGACTGTGGAGTAGCTTTGCAAGCCTTTACTTAGGGGCAAAATGATGTCTGCACATCCCTTCCCAGAAGGGTGGCTGTCCAACACTGCCTGGCGCTGGGCTCTTCCCCATGAGCGTACCAGATCTGGGAGAGCATCGTCAGAGGCAGTGCCTGAGTGTTTGGCTACACAAAACAGCACCGGGTCTTTCCTGGAGCCACATGTGGCTGATGTTCAATGAACAATTAGCTTGTTTCAGGGAAGAGAGACACCTGAGAATTTAAGAGCTTTTTGTTGGGGACTTAGTCGGGTTCACAGCTCAATCTACAGCTCCTGGGTCAGTAAGTGCTAAGTGATAGGCCCCGAATCAATGTTTGCTGAATGAATTCAAGAGCTCAGGGTGGGGTGGGGTGAGTTATAGTAAACACAGTTGCAAGCAGCAATGGAGGCATCCCGGGATGGGCACTGTAAGGACCAGGCCTTACTGAGGAGGCTGGGATGCTCTGGAGATACAAGATGACTCCAGGAGTGTTTTTCATAGATGGCACCTGGACCACCTTGGGTGCACACTTTTTTTTTGAGATGGAATTTTGCTTTTGTAGCCCAGGCCTCTGCCTCCAGGGTTCAAACGATTCTCCTGCCTCAGCCTCCCGAGTAGCTGGTATTACAGGTGCCTGCCATCACACCCAGCTAATTTTTGTATTTTTAGTAGAGACAGTGTTTCAACATGTCAGCTAGGCTGGCCTCGAACTGCTGACCTCAGGTGATCCACCCGCCTCAGCCTTCCAAAGTGCTGGGATGACAGGCATGAGCCACCGCGCCCGGCCGGGTGCACACTTCTGAATCTCACTCCAGATCTACTCAATCAGAATCTCTAGAGTGGGGCCCAGGGAACAGCGTTAAAGGACACAAGCATCCTGGCCAACTATTTGAGCATGCCCCCCACAGGGGCTCCAGATCAGGGTTTTGTAGATCTGAGAGGTTTTCTTTGGCCCACAGAATGTTTTACAAATTAATTGCCCTTAATGAAATGTCCCATAAAAATTTAATTTCCAGGTTGGAGAATGTGGCAATGCTGGTTCTCCAGCAGCTGTCACCATGGCCCCTTGGGGCTGTGCTGGCCACCTGGCCCTCCCCGGCCTCTCTGCATCCTCCTGTTGCTCTGTTTCTACTCAAACTACTGCCACAGTTTCCCACTTGGCCTCACTTCCTTCATGCTGTTTCCAGGCTGATGTTGTAAAATAGGAATCTGATCTTCAGGCCTCGCGTTGGAAACCTTCACTGGTGCCCTGCTGCTATTAGGCCAAGGAGCACTGCTGCACCCCGATGGCCTCCCTGCTCCTGCTTCCGTCTGGCTGTGTCTCCGGTTTCTGTTGCTGCGCCCCTCATGTCCTGTACCCATCACCCACGCAGGAGGTGCAAAGAACATCTCAGACTTTAAGTGCACAAAACTAAACTCTTTTTTCACCCAAACCGGCATCTTCCTTAAAGCTCTCTTCCAGACAATGCTAACCTCACCCTGGACCCTTCTTTTACAGCCCACAAAACCTTGCCGACTGTCTTCAGTCCAACCGTGGCTCTCTACTCCATCTGCACTGCTGTCTCTGTGCGTTCATCATCTCACAGCCATCCTTTCATGCAAGTTGGACCATCGCCCACCTTCCCACAACCCTCTGACGGCTTACCTTTTTCCTCAGGATAAAATCCCAACTCCTTTTTTTTTTTGAGATGGAGTCTCGCTCTGTTGCCCAGGCTGGAGTGCAATGGCGTGATCTCGGCTCACTGCAGCCTCTGCCTCCCGGATTCAAGTGATTCTCCTGCCTCAGCCTCCGGAGTAGCTGGGATTACAGGCGCACGCCACCACGCCCGGCTAATTTTTGTATTTTTAGTAGAGACGGGGTTTCACCATGTTGGCCAGGCTGGTCTCAAACTCCTGACCTCAAGTGATCTGCCTGCCTTGGCCTCCCAAAGTGCTGGGATTACAGGCGTGAGCCACTGCACCTCACCTCAAAGATTTTCTCTTTTTCTTGAGACGAAGTCTCATTCTGTCGCCCAGGCTGGAGCGCAGTGGCGCGATCTCGGCTCACTGCAACCTCCGCCTCCCGAGTTCAAGAGATTCTCCTGCCTCAGCCTCCTGAGCAGCTGGGACTACAGGCACCCGCCACCACCACACCCAGCTAATTTTTGCATATTTTTAGTAGAGATGGGGTTTCACCATATTGGCCAGACTGGTCTCGAACTCCTGATCTCATGATTCACCCGCCTCGGCCTCCCAAAGTGCTGGGATTACAGGCATAAGACACCGCGCCTGGCCAAGATTTTCTAATTAGTGCATTTCCTGGCTCCTTTCCCTTTACTCTGCATTTCTTTTCTCTACCATACACGTTCTACTTCTGTCGAAATTCAGTTTGCTTTTACCTTAGTGTATTTTCAGATTCTGTTTCGAAGGCCAACTGCCTGCTTACTCATATTAATATTTTGCACTTTAAATTCCCCTGATAGATGAGCATGGTGGTGCAGGCCTGTAATCTCAGCTCCTCAGGCGGGAGGATCACTTGATCCCCGGAAGTTTGAAGCTGGACTGCGCTGACCGCACCTGTGAATACCACTGCCCGTCAATCAGCCTAGGGGAAACATTCTCGAGTGCGAGCATGACGGCTTAGGTTGATGTTTTTCAAATTTTCCCAATGATGAGTATTGTAAGGGACCAAAATAAAAAAATGCCAATGCCTAGTCCCCTCTCATCTAGAATAATTCCATAGGTGATGATGGGGTCCAGGACTCTGAATTTCGTCAATTTTACCAAATACTTCGTCCAGTGAGGCAAATATGGAAACACTTGGATCACCTCTTCGTGAACGCACATCAGCGCATACGCCGGCTGTTTTTATCAGGCGCTCACCCCTCATCCAATGGCGTGACTAGTTGTGGGTGGAGCCCGAAATCTGGCTGCCTAGAGAAGGCTGAAGGTCCAGTTATAGCATAACTAATGTTTCCCCAGAGCTCACATACGTGCCAAGCACCGTGCTACAGCCTCCACAGCCCCTTCATTTAATCTTCCCGATGGGCCTATGAAATAGGTGCTCCTGGCCCGCACCGTGGCTCATGCCTCTAATCCCAGCACTTTGGGAAGCTGAGGAGGGAGGGTCGCTTGAGTCCAGGATTTCAAGACCAGCCTGGGAAACACACAGAGAGCCTATCTCTACGAAAATTTAAAAAATTAGCCGGGTGTGGTGATGCCTGACTGTGGTCCCACCTACTTAGTAGGCTAAGGTGGGAGGATCCTCTGAGCCCGGGAAGCTGAGGCTGCAGTTAGCACTGCACTCCAGCATGGGCGACAGAGTGAGACCCTGACTCAAAAAAAAAAAAAAAAAAGAATAGGTGCTACTTGTAGTTCCCATTTTACCCACCAAGAAACTGAAGATCTGAGAGACAAAGCCTACAGGGTGACCGCTAGTCACTGGTAGGGCTGGGATTTGAACAGGGGCGGTTTAACAACTGATCTCTCGACCATAATGCGTGTTGCCCAAGAAAAAAGACCGTCCTCACGGTCCTATCCACTCCGGACTTTGCAATTCCGTTATTTCGTAAATTGAGGCCTATAAATAGTTTGCTTACCCGTTGTCTTAGTCCCCAGTAACATGCAGAACTAAAGAAGAAACTGAAGGAGCACCGATTTTGTTCACCTTGCTTTTTGGTTTAGTTCTGGAGGAGAACACAGGTGCACTTAGAACAGGATCCACACTTACCAGAGGCTTGATTCATTTTAGCTGCAAAGAAAACCAGTCCTCGTCTACCTTTTTCGCGTGTTGGAGAACTAACTAGCAAGGCAGGGAATGCGGTTCGTGGGCGCTTGGCCTCCTCAAGCGGCTCAGGCTCTCAGAGCGCGAGGCCCAGGGGCTCTGGAGCCGCGGCCGCGACGCGCCCGAGGGCCGTTCTCTTCGACGGCAGAGCAAGAGTCACCGCGCGGGAGCCCCGAGCGACCGCCCCGCTGCCCCGGTACCCTCCCCTCGCAGCCGCCCAGAGCTCTTCATGCCCCGTGACGCCCGTTAGGGCAGCGCGGCCGGAGGCCGGGCCGGACGTGGCCCGAGATGTCCGGGGGCAGGCAGAAGACCACGGGCACGCGACAGGCAACCGCCGCCTCGGCTCTAGAGGTGGACGTTTTGTCTCCCTGCGCTTCAATACCAGATTTTGTTTCCAGACGACATCCCTGTTGCTTCCGGCACTTGGAAAGACCAATCGTCAGGCCCGAGAATGCAAGACCCACCCTCCTTTGCGACGGAGGCAGCCAATCCAGTTGCTCGCTACTTCCAGTGTCGCATGCGCCCTTACGCAGGACCCTGCCCAATCGTTACCGGGACGTCCTCCTAGTCCCGCCTCCGGACCGCCAGAGAGGCTGTCAATCCCGCCTCTCTCCTTCACTCCATTAGCGCACTAACTCACGGCGCTGTGACGTGCACAGCCCCTGCGGCCGGCCGGGGCGGGCCAATGGCGGTGGCGGATACGGCGGGCCAATGGGCGGGAGCGTCTCATGCGGCCGGCTCCCGCCGCAGCCGCCGCTGGGTCCTGGAGCCAGAGGCCGCCCTGAGACGGTGCGCGATGGACCGAGGGCCCCAGCCGGGGAGGCGCCGCCGCCGAGCCCGCGGCCAGACGCCCCATCAGTAGCGTCCGCACCGGGAGCCGCGGCTCTCGCCCGAGCCGTGGGCGCGCCCGAGGGGCGGGCTCGCCTCCCGCCGTCCCTCGCAGCTCTGCCGGGCCCGAGCCCGCGCCGCCGCCGCCGCCGCCTTGCCGCTCGGGCCGCGCGGCCCGGGAAACGCGGCCGCGGGCTGCATGGGCAGCGCCCGCGCCCCGCCGCTGAGCCGTCGCGGAGCCGCGCAGCCCTCGGAGCACGGTGAGAGGCGCCGCTGGTCTGGGGGCGGTGGTCGGGGCGGGCACGGGGCATTCGCGCGGCCTTGCGGCCTGCAGGCCTTCCCCGGCGACGGAGCTGCGCCGCGGGCCTCCGGGCGGGCCTGGGGGGTCGGGGCCGGGTGGGCGGGGGTCTTTGGGGGCCCGGGGCGATCGTGAGGGACCAATAATGGGTCCCGGAGCGGGCCTACGGGTCCGGGTTCGGGGCAGCCGGGGGTCTTTGGGGGCCCGGGGTGGCCGTGAGGGGCCCATAGGGGGCTCCGGGGGGGGCCTGGGAGGTCGGCGGAGCTTGGGTCGGCCGTAAGGGGCGGACGGGGGCTCCGGGCGGGCCTGGGTGGCCGGGGGCCCGCGGCGGCTCTGAGGGGCCGATTGGGGGCTCCGGGGCGGGCCTGGGGGCCGTGGGGGCCCGGGGCGGCCGTGAGAGGCGGACAGGGGGCTCCGGGGCGGGCCTCGGGGGCTCGGAGCGGCCGTGAGGGGCGGACGGGGGGCTTCGGGGCGGGCCTGCAGGTCTTGGGGACCTGAGGCTGCCGGGAGGGGCTGCCAGGGGGCGCTGGCCGGGCGCCGGGTTCTGCGGAGCTGGGGCGCCGACCTCTGACCCGCGAGAGGGGCGCCTTCGCCGTGCTGGTCGTAGTTGTTATTCTCAGCGTCCCTATTATTATCGCTGTTTTGAAATGAGAGCAGGCGGCTCTCGGGCTCCGAGCCGGAGGGGGAGGGCGAACTGGGGACCTGGGGGCGTCGGGGTTGCAGGAGGCGCGCGTAGGCCGAGGAGGGGCAGGAATGCGGGCAGCCGTGTGGGGGGTGTTAGGGGGAGGGTAGGCGGGCGGGTGTGGGGGGTGGCTGGGAGGAAAGCGGTGGCGGTGGCGGCTGCAACAGCAGCCCTTGGCCTCAAGGAACAATGTGAGACGTTGCCTGAAATGTTAATTTCCGTTCCTCATTTCATCATCCCCTGGCAGGGCGGTAGCTGTGTGTGTGGTGTATGTGTGTGCGCGCGCGCGCGCGCGCGCGTGTGTGTGTGTGTGTAGGGTTGGCCCTGCCACATTGATTCAGTCCCCTCTCAAAGAGGGATTGTACTGTTAACTCTTGTGTTTGTGTTATTTGGGAAGGTTGGTCGGGGGGAGTCTTGATTTTTCTCGAGGCTTGCTCTTTTCCTGGTGCCCCATTAAGATTTTCTGCTTCTGTTGTGTTTTTGGAAGGTTAGTGTTATATATCAGCTTCCAAGAAGTTTTGGAAGAGGCTTGGGAAGATGAAGCTGGTCTAACAGCTCCCTATGCTTTGAAACTGTTTTCCTTCTATGTAACATGCTTAGGATTCATCGTTTTTGTAGATTATGAGTAGTTTTGTATCCTTTTGCAAGAACAGGGTTTTATGGTAGAGAAATTAGATTTCAGGCTTTCTTACATGAGGAGAGAGTTTTATGCAGTCATTAGAGCAATATCCTTAACACTTGAAATGAGAAATAAAAGTGTGCACAGTTGTTGAACTGCAAAACTTAGAGAATCTTTTGATCCTTTTTGGGATGTTGAGACTTAGCCAAACATATAAGATGATATTACCTGTGGAAAAAGTGCCATCGAAACAGTTACTGTTTTTGTTGTGTGCAGACCTAGTCTATGGCATAACGTTCAAAATCGGAGACCCTGAGGCTGTTTCTTTGGTTTCTCTGAGACCTTGATTTCTCTTAGTAAGTATTGGCTGCCCTGGAAGACTTCGAGTTCTGTTAGAGAATGATTACAGAAGTCCTCTGATTTTACTCTGCAACTGTAGTTAAACTAGAAAAAAAGGGGGGGGGGCGGATGTCTTGCTCAGCCTTCATTGTGACCCTTGCATTGGATCTCGTATAGTTGGTGTGGCCTCCCCTACCCTCCATTCAGCTGTTGTTCTCCTCTTTCTGTAGTTTCTCCCCGAAGAGCAGGATCTCCTTCGATAGGCTGGCCATCTGAATGGAACTGGATGGGAGGGAACAAAGACCAAGTTGCTGTGACGTTTTCTCTGTTCTTCGTGATGCCTCTTAAGTTTGTTGAAAAGTTCCCCACAAGATAGTGCTAAATTTGACCTAAACTTGAAACTTTCAGCAGTTTTTTTCTTCTGTTCTATTTTTGCTGTAGTAAAATATACATAACACAATTTACCAGAATTTTGTTTTTAAAGGTGTCACCTTTAAAACCTGAGTTCCTCTTTTGCAGCTCTCATTTGCGTCAGCCTTCTGACTTGCATTGCCACCGCCAGATGCTTTTCTCCGGACTGGCCATGCTGGGCACCCCATACCAGCAGTGCCATCACACCCTCCCAGATGGGCTGTTGATGACGAGCGGCTGCCATGTTAGCGGTAATTACAGTGTTGATACGGTGGCAAGTAGAACTCCCTACAAATAGAGTGAAGGAAACTATGCTGTTTGTGTTGGACAGTATTTTTCCAAGAAGTTTTTGTGCCCCTTTTTATTTTATTTTATTTTTATTTTTTTGGAGTCTCGCTCTGTCGCCCAGGCTGGAGTGCAGTGGCGCAATCTTGGCTCATTGCAACCTCCGTCTCCTGGGGTTCAAGCAGTTCTCTGCCTCAGCCTCCCGAGTAGCTGGGATTACAGGCGCCCACCGCCACGCCTGGCTAATTTTTGTATTTTTAGTAGAGATGGGGTTTCACCATGTTGGCCACGCTGGTCTTGAACTCCTAACCTTGTGATCCACCTGCCTTGGCCTCCCAAAGTGCTGGGATTACAGGCGTGAGCCACCGCGCCCGGCCTCTTTTTGTGCCTTTTTAAGTAGATTTGACATAGAAAGGTTATGCTTCATCAAATATAAGAGGAGTCTTATTTTGCATATGGGCAGAGAGCCCATCATCAATTAAATAACATAATTAGAGAGTATCAGTAAATGCTGGCTCAGAAAATAATCTGCATTTTGTTGCCAAAATAAGTGTTTTGATCTGTCCATTACTCTGTGTAACTCCCTTCATCCTCAAATCGTAAGTGTAATGGGTGAGTGTCTCTTAATAGCAAGGTATTTGTAGTTAATCGGTGAAAATGATGGTGCATCCCTTGTCTGGTGGCTGCGTCAGTTTGTGACTCTTGTGTAGTCAGTGCTCTGTGGGAATTCAGTGTGGCCCGTTTGATAAACTTTATAGAAAAATGGAATGAATTCAAATAAAAGTTATTGTCTTGAAATTTTGAAATGTTTTCAGTGTGTGTTCTCTTAATTTGAAATTGTTTTTTTCTTTTTTTTTTTTTTGAGACGGAGTCTCGCTTTGTTGCCCAGGCTGGAGTGCAGTGGCATGATCTCGACTCACTGCAACCTCCACCTCCTGGGTTTAAGCAATTCTCCTGCCTCAGCCTCCCAAGTAGCTGGGATTACAGACACCTCCTACCAAACACGGCTAATTTTTTTTTATTGTTAGTAGAGACTGGAGTTTCACCATGTTGGCCAGGCTGGTTTCAAACTCCTGACCTCAAGTGATCCACCTGCCTCGGCCTCCCAAAGTGCTGGGATTATAGACGTGAGCCACCATGCCTGGCCTCAAATGTTATTTTTATGATAACGTCCCAAATGGTGACTGTGGCCTAACTCTGATACCATGCCCCATTCTTGACCCTGCCCCAAGCTTCCAGTCATTCTGGCTGCGTTGGCCTTGCCTTTCCTCAGTTGGGCCATGTGCCATAGTTTGTGGCATGGCCTCGACATACCTCGCTGCCATCTCATGCAGATCCCCCCAAACTCCAAGATAACTCCTACTCAGCCTTTGCGTCTTAGTGTAATATCACTTCCTTTAGTAAGTCTTTTTTTTTTTTTTTTGAGGCAGGGTCTCGGTGTGTTGCTCAGGCTGGAGGGCAGCGGCCAGTTGCGTGAACGTGGCTCTCTTCAGTCTCGACTCCCTGAGCTGAAGCGATCCTCCCACCTCAGACTCCTGAGTAGCTGGGACCACAGGCATGTGCCGCCGTGCCCAGCTAATTTATTTTACTTTTTGTAGAAACAGGGTCTTCCTGTGTTGTGTAGGCCTCAGCCTTCTGGGGTTGGCTTACCTCAGTCTCCTAAAGTGTTGGGATTATAGGCATGAGCCACTGTGCTCAGCCCCCTTTTGTTTTCATTACAAGTTTGCTTTTATAACTTAGATAAAGGTGGGAAGACAGTTTTCACAATTAAGGCAGAACAAGAGATAAAGAAACATAAAGGGAGAGTTGTCTTTGTGGGAAGAAAGTGCTTTCTGTGAAAGCACTTTTAGCAGGACTGCTGTTTTCAGGCCAGAGTAGAAGGGCCAGAAGCAGTTTTTATTCAGATTTCCTCATCGTTTCCATCAAGGTCTCAGTGACTGTAAAGGATGGGTTGAAATCAGTCTGGACTAAGTGTGGTTTGCTGCTGCTGCTTATGAGGATTAAGTGTCTCGTTTGTCCGGAGGCCCCTCTGGTCACATGTAGCTGAGCAGGTGGAGTGATATGAAAGTTTTAGCATTTTAATGAAGAAAAAATGATCTCTTTGGAGGGAAAGACAACGAAATGGAGGTGTGCCCTATTGATTTTTTTCTGTATGTTTAGGTTTTCAAAGTTTCTTTGTAAATGAAACTGTTATGTAATTGGCAAAAGTTTGCTTTTTAAAGACTAATTGTGGGTATATTTGGGAGATTGCGACTTGTTTTAGATTTTTGGGTTTACAGTAAGGGGCTAGGGTATTTGGTGGAGGGGAACTGGTTGATTGTGGTTGAAAACATTCAGATACTATTCTAGCTCTAAGAAACCTCACAGTTTTGTTTTGTTTTGAGACAGAGTCTCTGTCACCTAGGCTGGAGTGCAGTGGCACGATCTTGGGTCATAGCAACCTCTGCCTCCCGGATTCAAGTGATTCTTCTGCCTCAGCCTCCCGAGTAGCTGGGACTACAGGCCCATACCACCACTCCCAGTTAGTGTTTTTTTTTTTTTTTTTTTAAAGTAGAGATGGGGTTTCCCCATGTTGGTCAGGCTGGTCTGGAACCCCTGACCTCAGGTGATCCAGCCGTCTTGGCCTCCCAAAGTGCTGGGATTACAGGTGTGAACTACCGCGCCTAGCCAGAAACCCCACAGTGCTAAAGCTGGCTCTGTGAATAAAGGGTTAAGAGGGTTTTCAGTGTGAAAATAAAAGTAAGCCGTCCTGTCTGTATGGCTGAGATTTTTCAGGGGCCTAGAGGACCGAATCCTGTTGAGTGAAAATCCAGTCTTCTGGGCTTCCCCACACCCGCTTTCTCTCTTCCTCTTGGAGGTCAAGGTTGAGACAGCTGTCAGGGTGCTGCTGTCTCAGTTACAGCGTCCTTGTGGCTGGTGGAGGGTGAGACCTGTTTCCAGGCCTGTCCTTCGCATCTGTGCAGTGAATTATTTATTATCCTGGAAATCTGTAGGGCTCTTTTTTCCACGTGTAAAGCAACCAATGTGTACCTGTTCATTATTTGAAAATGTTGGCTTTTTCTCAACAAACCATTTTTATACCATATGAAAATTTCTTTTGTCATGGTAAAATTCAGAAGACTTTCCCCTTCATTACTTAACTCTAAAAAATGTGACTTTTAAGAATGGCTGAAATTGAAATGTTATTTGTAAATGCCTAATAACTTTATGATATCAGAGGTTATTTTTTATGTAAAATTAGCAAATAAACCTCTTTTCTTGGTGCATTGATAGTAAGTTGCCCTTCCTCGACTCCCTATGGCTCTTTTCAGACTTAGGATGCTAATGGCTTAGAATAAATTTTGGAATGCAGTATTTCCAAGTAAAGGGAAGATTGCGTAGGCTGCTTGGTTCCTGAGGTTTTACTAGAGTTAGGATTAGCTTACTGCTGCATTCATATCTGACACAATCAAAGAAGACTTTGGTTTAATTCTGGATGATGATGTAAACTTGAAATCATTATGGCTGTACTGTTTAAACTTATCTAAAATAGAGAAGGTAAGACGCAGTGAAGGACCTTATTTTTCTCTTAAGAAATCAAGCTTTGTTAGTATCCACCATGTTTCTAGATGTGGTTTTACATCTTGCAAAACAGGAAATAAAAGTAAAAAACCAAAAAAACCCCAGAGCACCACTCTTGAAAGGATTAAGTTTTTAAAAATGATTTTGACTAAGATGTCTGGCTGATTAAAGGATGTGCAGAGCACTGAATAACCTTTGCCTTTTCTGATGGTGACAAAGAAGAAATCCAGCTTTCAGGCAGCCGAAGAGCGTCTCGAGAGCTTGTAGTGTTAGTATTCCACAGCCCCACAGTTGATTCGGATTTCAAGGAATTTTTAGACTTTGTGGATTTTTTCTTCACTATAATTGTATGTTTGGCTCCTAATTTATTTAAATTACATACATAGATATTTTTGTTACTTTGAGAATAGTCTATCTGAAATTTGAAGTTCTTTAGAGCTTAATATATTAAATATGCTAACACTCAAAACATTTTCTTTCTTTTTTTTTTTTTTTGAGATGGAGTTTCCCTCTTGTTGCCCAGGCATGATCTTGGCTCACCGCAACCTCCGCCTCCCGGGTTCAGGCGATTCTCCTACCTCATCTTCCCGAGTAGCTGGGATTACAGGCACGCGCCACCACTCCTGGCTAATTTTGTATTTTTCGTAGAGACGGGGTTTCTCCGTGTTGGTCAGGCTGGTCTCAAACTCCCGACCTCAGGTGATCTGCCTGCCTTGGCCTCCCAAAGGGCTGGGATTACAGGCGTGAGCCACCATGCCCGGCCTAAACATTTTCTCACAGGCATTTTTCCCCTGACACATGCGAGAGGTATCTTTGAATTGTATCCTTTATCTTTTAGTGTGAAACTCAGAAAAGTGATGCACGCTTGCACTTACAGTTCAGGTAAAATGTTAAGCATATTCAATGAGATTTACATTCATGCTTGATTTTTCTTTGGCAAAGTCTTTAGATCTGATTCTGCTAAACTTGGGTTCTCACCAGATGACTGGCTTTTAAAAGAAGATGATGTTGAAACTGACTCTTGTAAAAAAGGACATTTAGTAGAAGCTAATGGTACGGTGAAGTTTTAGAGAGTTGAGGAGAAAATCTGTCTTAGAACTTAATCTGTGCCTTTTCCTTAATAGCTTTCTTCTAAGCCCATAAATATATTGGTTCAGGGGGATGAGTGAAGGCAAATGGAGGGTGTGGAAGGGAGACAGAGAACAGCTCTTGGGCGTTGGAGAAGTGCTGGGACTTGTGTCAGTGCTGCCCGTGTTGGTTTTCCAGCGCTGCTGTAACTAACCACCATAACCTTAGATTTATTGTTTTATAGTTCTGTTGATTAGAAGCCTAACATGATCTGCCTGGGCTAAAATCTGGGTAGGTAGGGCTGGTTCCTTCTGGAGGCTCCAGGGGAGAATCTGTGTTCTTGTCTTTTCCGTGTTCCAGAGGCTGCCTGCATTCGGCCTGTAGTGCTTTCCTCAGTCTTCAAAGCCAGCCTCATGGCATCTCTCTGACTCCTGCTGCCCACCCGCTTTTTTGGAGAGTCTCGGCTCTGTTGCCCAGGCTGGAGTGCAGTGGCACAATCAAGGCTCACTGCAGCGTCGACCTCCTGGGCTCAATCAATCCTCCCGCCTCAGCCCCCCAGCAGTGCTGGAATTACAGGCATGGAGCCACTGTGCCTGGCCCTTGTTTCACTTTTGGATCCTTGTGGTTACAAATTGGGCCCACCCGAGCACTGCGAGGTCATCTCCCTCTCTGCTGATTAGTAACCTCAGTTCCCTTTTCCACGTAACCTAAGGCATTCACAGGTTCCAGGGGTGAGCAAGCTGGAGGTTTTTCCAGTAATGTTCCCTTGCTGTCCTCAGATGCCATCCGGGATCCCACATTGCATTTAGTTGTCATGTCTCCTTAATCTCGTCTGCAACCATTTCTCAGCGTTTCCCTGTTTTTCATGACCTTGGCAGTTTTGATGAGGGCAGTCATCTTTTTTTATGTCTTTGTGACTGACCGTTCACACATTGGCATGTTTGTAAAGCACGGTGTGGCTGACGTGTGGCTCACCTGACTGCTTTTCCAAATGGGGTGCAGTGTGCTCTACAGTGGGAGAACAGCTTTGTGTCTTCTTTTAGCTGGAAGGAGCTACATGTTTTATAGAAGGGACTTCTGAAACTAGACAAACTCTGCTTTTTCTGATGTTTCACTGATTTCCTTCACAGATGTTCATTGGCTGCTCACTGGGTGCAGTGCTGTGGCCTCCTGTTCTGAGATCTGGGAGAAAGATGCATTTAGTTGACTAAAGCTTGCATTAAATATTGGTTCTTATGAAAAGAGAGATCATAGATCAGAGGAGGGAAAGGCTCTGTGACCTGGGAGATTTAAGGGAAGAAGTGCTATTTTTTTTTTTTTTAACTGTAAGCTATGTTTCTGTTTTAAAAAAAGAATCAGTAGAATGTCACTGCAGAAATCAGAGTAAGGGCATCTTCGACTTCGGGAAGGCTGGGGACAAAGGCTGGGAAGGCCGCATGTAACGTGAGAATGTCAGCCAGACGTGTCTGAACACGAAAGCCCATCCAAGAAGATGGAAGATGACAGCAGATTAACCTGGAAGCATGACTGGAGTTGGGTTGTGTAGGGTTTGCAATGATAGACCTGAATTTCATTTGCTTACTTGTTTTGAGGCAGAAGATGATGTGTCAGAGTTTGCAGGCGGTGGATGCCTAGATGAAAGCACTGGCTTTGCAACACCATGGTGCCTAAATGGTTCTTTTTTTGAGACAAGGTCTTGCTCTGTCACTCAGGGTGGAGTGCAGTGGCGTGACCATATCTCACTGCATCCTTGAGCTTCTGGGCTCAAGTGAGCCTCCTGCGTCAACGTCATGAGTGGCTAGAACTACAGACGTGCGCTAATTTTTAAAAATTCTTTGTAGAAATGGGGTTTCGCTATGTTTCTTAGGCTGATGTTGAACTCCTGGCCTCAAGTAGTCCTCCTGCCTCAGCCTCCCAAAGTGCTGGGATGACAGGCACAAGACATCACATGCAGCCTTAAGAAGATCCCTACAAGAGAACCTGGAGAAACTTGAAATAGGGAAGGGGACTCGAAAGCACACTGTGTAGGTGAATTGTGAAGACTTCATGGTGTTAACTGGTATTCATTAAAAAGACTTGGAAAAAGAGAAGATGAATTGATTCCCAGTGGAGGGAATGGGGCAAACATTAGTTAGGAGAGTGGCTTTGTGAAACGATAGAGCAAAGGAGACAGAAAAGAAAGCAGGAATGGGGAACGGGGTGGTGGGGCAGAAGCTGGGTGCTGTTTATTTTGTGCCTACTGTGTGTCACTCTCCATTCTCTGCCCTGGGGACATTTGACAGATGTGGACGTCACTGGTGTGATTTGCCCACATTCTGGAGGGAGAAGTGGGCATCTCAGTTGAGGAAAGGAAATGGCTATCTGGGGAATTCTTGAGGGGCACAGCCCAGGACGGAGCCTTGTGTTAGATGGGTACCTGCTGGCTCTGCTCAGCTCGGCAGATGTGTTGCCTAAATGACTTTAATGGCCAAGGCAGACTGGTATTTGCCCTCAGATATTTTGTCAGGACAGTGTAAAATGTGGGCCAAGATAGTGGTTTTGGGTCCAAACAGAAGGGGGTTAGAGATTTTGGAGGTTGAAGCCTGCTGCTAGAAGGAGTATAGAAAGAAGAACGGGGATTCTGTTTGCCCAAATACATGGTTAGGCTCATCTTGGACTTGTTTTTGTTTTATATCTTCTGTTACTTCTATGCACATATTAATAGATACCTAATTAATATTTGGTTGGAAATCTTAAAAGTTAGGATTTTTTTTTTCTTTTTTTTTGAGATGGAGTCTCACTCTGTCGCCCAGGCTGGAGTGCAGTGGTGTGATCTCGGCTCACTGCAACCTCCGCCTCCTGGGTTCACGCGATTCTCCTGCCTCAGCCTCCCGAGTAGCTGGGACTACAGGCACCCACCACCAGGCTCGGCTAATTTTTTTGTATTTTTAATAGAGTCAGGGTTTCGCCATGTTAGCCAGAATGGTCTCAATCTCCTGACCTTGTGATCCACCCGCCTTGGCCTCTCAAAGTGCTGGGATTACAGGCGTCAGCCATCACGCCTGGCCTAAAAGTTAGGATTTTTAAAAAGGCTTGTGGTCTGAGAAGGAAGGCAATAATACTTGGCAGGAAAGACTTAATTTTTTTTTTTTGAGACTGAGTCTTGCTCTGTTGCCCAGGCTGGAGTGCAATGACACGATCTCAGCTCACTGCAACCTCTGCCTCTCGGGTTCAAGCATTTCTCCTGCCTCAGCCTCCCGAGTAGCTGGGATTAGAGGTGTGTGCCATCACGCCCGGCTAGTTTTTTTTTTTTTTTTTTTGAGATGGAGTCTCGCTCTGTCACCCAGGCTGGAGTGCAGTGGCACAATCTCGGCTCACTGCAAGCTCCGACTCCCAGGTTCATGCCATTCTCCTGCCTCAGCCTCCCGAGTGGTTGGGACTACAGGCACCTGCCACCACCCCCGGCTAATTTTTTGTATTTTTAGTGGAGATGGGGTCTCACCGTGTTAGCCAGGATGGTCTCAATCTCCTGAACTCGTGATCCGCCCCCTCGGCCTCCCAAAGTGCTGGGATTACAGGTGTGAGCCACTGCGTCTGGCCTTTTTAAAATTTAATTTAATTTTTTTTGGGGGCGGAGTTTCGCTCTGTTGCCCAGGCTGGAGTGCAGTGGTGTGATCTCAGCTCACTGCAACCTCCGCCTCCTGGGTTCAAATGATTCTCTTGCCTCAGCCTCCAGAATAGCTGGGATTACAGGCATGTGCTACCAAGCCCAGCTAATTTTTTTGTATTTTTAGTAGACATGGGGTTTCTCCGTGTTGGTCAGGCTGGTCTCAAACTCCCGACCTCAGATGATCCGCCTGCCTCGGCCTCCTTAAGTGCTGGGATTGCAGGTGTGAGCCACTGCGCCAGGCCTAGATATTTTTTATATCAGGTCACATGTGTTTTATCTAGGAGGCAAACTTTCCTTGTAATTAGTGTTTTTTTTTTCCTTTTTTTGTTTTTGTTTGAGTGGAGTCTCGCCACTGCGTCTGGCCGTCATTAATGTTTTTCTAGTGATGTTGCACTCTCTTGACGTCAGTTAACTGTCACCTGAATCTTCAGGGACTGGGTTGGGTTGTGGGGTAGGTGGTGGCGTGACTTGCTGTTGATGGGACTGCTGTCCACAGGAACAGGAGGACCCACTAGTTACACAGCTGCCAAAGGTGTGGGTCTTGAGGCCCGAAGGTTGAGGTTGCAGTGAGCTGAGATCATGCCACTGGTCTCTAGCCCCGGTGACAGAGTGAGAACATCTCAAAAAAGAAAAGAAAAAGTGTTGGGTCATTATTTACACACCCAACAAGTGAAAGGTCTGGAGGGCCCAAGTGAGGACAGCTCAGTTCAGGCATGTTTAACCTCCAGATTACCTCATCCTTGAGAAATTTAGGAATAATCCCAGTGTCAGTCTTTGGAGGTGTGGTTCTTTGATGTTAGTCATGGGAATAAGGAATTTGCATTAAGCCTCAAGAATTGTGGAAAGTCCTAATGAGAAATGTCACGGGCAGAAACTGCCACCCGCTTTAGTGGTGCAGGTGATGGCTGTGCCGGAGAGCTGCGCGTAGCCGGCTGCTGGAGGAGAGGACGTGGCCTGTACAGGCAGCTTCGCTCTGGGGGGTGACTGTTGGAGGGCAGCGGGGACGAAAGGGACACATTTGTATGATGCTCAGTTGTCAGCAGGATGTCCAGGTTGCTTTTTTGGAGGGCAGTGGGTCCTTGAGACCTTGAGACCCATTCTCTTTGGAAAGTAATGAGTTACCGGGTGGGGGCTGTAGGAGGATGTTCAGTTGTGGTGTGGAGGCGTCGGGTTGCTTAACCTCAGAGGGATCTTTTTTCCTATGAGTTGTGTAGAAGAGGATGTCTTCCATAGATTTGAAGGACGTTAAAAAAAAAACCAACCCCAATGTGGCTTTCCTTCTTTCTCACTAGGGTGATAGTCCGACGTGCATGTCTGTTTCCTGGACCCTGGATGTGAAAATGGGGTTCTTGAAGGCACTGGGAGTGTTTCTCTGCTGGCCCCAGAGGCCTGTGTGTGCTGCTGGCGAGGCAGCTGGGCCACTGTCACTGTGCCCTGACAACAACGTTGGGAACTGTTCCTGAAAGTGTTAAACAAAATTTCAGTTTATTAAGCGCTCCTCTCATTAAGCCATTGTTTTATTTTTCTTTTTTGATTTTTTGGGCTTCTTTTGAAGCCATAATAAATTGGAATAGAAAGAATACATACCAAGAAACAAATATTAGGTCTGATTTTTTAATTTTTTGTTATTATTTTTGAGATGGAGTCTTGCTCTGTCCCCAGACTGGAGTGCAGTGGCGTGATCTTGGCTCACTGAAACCTTCGCCTCCTGCGTTCAAGCAGTTCTCCTGCATTCAAGCAGTTCTCCTGCCTGCCACCACACCTGGCTGATTTTTGAATTTTTAGTAGAGTTGGGGTTTCACCATGTTGGCCAGGCTGGTCTTGAACTCCTGACCTCAGGTGATGTACCTGCTCAGCCTCCCAAAGTGCTGGGATTACAGGCATGAGCCACCGCGCCCGGCCTCTCCAATATTTTTATTATTAAAATGCTAAATACTGCCGGGCCCAGTGGCTCACACCTGTAATCCCAGCACTTTGGGAGGCTGAAGCGGGTGGATCACCTGAGGTCAGGAGTTCGCGACCAGCCTGGGCCACATGGTGAAACCCTGTCTCTTCTAAAAATACAAAAAATTAGCTGGGCGTGGTGGCAGGCGCCTGTAATCTCAGCTACTCGGGAGGGTGAGGCAGGAGAATCGGTTGAACCCAGGAGGTGGAGGTTGCAGTGAGCCAGAATCGCACCACTGCACTCCAGCCTGGGTGACAGAGTGAGACGCCATCTCAGAGAGAAAAAAAAGAAATTACGCGTGGTGGCCCATGCCTGTCATCCCAGCTACTGAGGAGGCTGAGGCAGGAGAATCGCTTGAACATGGGAGGTGGAGGTTGCAGTGAGCCGAGATGGCGCCACTGCACTCCAGCTTGGGCACCAGAGTGAGACTCTGTCTCCAAAAAAAAAAAAAAAGGGGAAATGACTTAAAGGTGATGGCTTTTATACTTCTATTGTGCCTGTTTTCTGAGATATAAATTTAACTAGCTAATTCTCTCGTGTTTTAAATAGTAGACAAAGAAAGACAAGACCAAAGGAGAACCTTTTTCTCTGTTTCTTACTCCGTCTGCTTTTATTAATAGATGCTCACGGTGTGGTCTTCCACTCACTTCCCCTTTCATCTCTGAGCTTAACGAGCTCCTCGTATTATAGATTGTTACCATATCATGTGTTCCAGTCTGTGCCCGTGTATAAACGTGTGTTGTGTGTTACGCGATACTGTGAGATGAGTCTGCCCAGAGGGACTCTGAAGTCAGGACTGTGTCTTTTCCACACCTCTCCACCCCAGCTCTCATCATGCCTCTGAGAGAACCAGATTCAGAGTGTGGTGAGGGGAGGATGAAGTGGTTTGGGGTGGGCCTTGGGCCCCCATCTCTTTGCTGGAAGTGTAGTATACCTCTAGGATATGTGTCCAAACTGTTGGCTGTGAGACCAAGGAGGAGAAGTCTTTTTTGGCAGGCTAGTGCCTGCGGCTTGAGGTCTCAGTGTCTGTAACTGCCAGGCTGCAGAGCCCCACCTGGCTGAGTCAGGAGTGTGTTGTAACCTGCCCACCTGCCCAGGCTGGTTAGAAGCAAGCGTAGGCGTTGGGTCTGCCTGTCCTGGTCCAGGCACCTCTCCTGGTTTGGCCAGGTTTTGGTTTGTATTTATTCCTGATGTTGATGTGTAAATGATATCGTTACAAAGCAGGTAGTTTGCTTTGCTATTCTACGAATAACCCAAGAACCTGAGGATAATAGGACACGTTAACAGTCTGCTAGTTGAGAGTTCTGTTTCTGTGACTTCAGGGGACATATGACCATCCCGATTGTGGTGGGTTATTAAGGCTGTGACAAGTCACAGGTGGCTTTAGGGATGTCAAAGATAGGCAAAGATAGGTTCATTTGAATTTGATTTCATCTTTTGAGAATGGGTTGGTATACCTGAAATTGGCTTTGTAGTTTTGGTATTTTGATGTGAGAAGGCATTGGCTGAATTTTTTTTGTTCTCATAATTTGCATATTTTCTGTGTTTTCTCCATTGTTTGGCTCAGTTGTTTTCTTTTTCTTTTTTTTTTTTTTTGAGACACAGTCTCGCTCTATCACTCAGGCTGGAGTGCAGTGGCGTGATCTTGGCTCCCTGCAACCTCCACCTCCCGGTTTCAAGCACTTCATCTGCCTCAGCCTCCCAAGTAGCTGGGACTACAGGTGCCCACCACCACGCCTGGTTAATTTTTAAATTTTTTTAGTAGAGACAGGGTTTCACCATGTTGGCCAGGCTGGTCTTGAACTCCTCACCTCAATTGATCCACCCACCTTGGCTTCCCAAAATGCTGGGATTCCAGGTGTGAGCCCCCGCACCTGGCCGGGGTCAGTTGTTTTCGTGTTCCTTATCCCTCTTTAAACTTGGGAGAGCATTTTGTGTTTCGTGGAGATATCACAGCATAGAACAGAATTTTGATTGTAATTGTTTGTTGTTGACTTGCTGTAGTACTGTTTTCAGACTTCCAGTGTGAACGATAAAAGATTATCTTAAAATTTTAGGAAAAATTATCTTTTGTGTGGGTAGTGAATAAATAATTAGCATTAATGTTACCGATGTCTTCTACCTAGTTCTTTATCAAAATTCTTTTCCTGACTGCAATATTTCATTTTAATAGAGAATAATTTTCATGTGAAACTGCTTGCTTTATATTTTCTTTCTGGTTGCTATAGAAACAGTGCAGCGTGGTGGGTTACGGGGCTTTCATGAGGGAGCTCTCTGGGAGGCAGCAGTCACCTGGTGATGAGGGAGGGGAATGGAATTGTCTTCTTTCACATCCCAGCTTGGCCACGGAGCCTCAGGAGCTGCATCATCAGAATGATTGGATTTTCTTGTCCCTCCAGCTTAAATGCTGTGGGCTTTGTTCTCCAGTGGAGTGGTCATTGCCTTTTTTCCTACCTGTGAGTTAGTCCATCTCTCCAACCCACTGACGACCCAAGAGCTCCCCAGCCTTTCTCTGCCCGTCACAGTCAAGAGGGTCTGTTGGAAAATTACTGACTGAACAACAGATGCCAGAGATTGCCCTGAATTGTGGAAGTCCCGGCTGCCACCCCCTTACTTGAGGTCCTCATCTCACTGCACCAGCAGGGGTGAGGAGAGGGCAGGGGTGGCCCTGCACAAAGCTGGGGAAGAAAGGAGGCAGCTCCCGGCCAGGCAGGGCCCAGCTTTCCTTCTAGATCATCAGCACAAATTTGCGTTTGAAGATTTAACTTACATTTTATTTTTTTATTTGGATGATACATGTGTAAGTTTTGGGATGTTATGCAGTGTTCTGAGGATTGACGTTGGTGGCATATGTAACCTTGAAGGCAGCATTTTGTTAATTATAAAAAACTTGGAATATAGTGATTGAGTATGAAATAATTGAAGCTGTGAGTTCAGTTATGAAGAACTTGGTCTCGGAGTCTCTCTGAGCTTGGGAGGCTGCCTTGGTCTCAGTGGGGTTGGCATCATGTGTGTTGGTGGTAGGTTGGAAAGAGCATTTGGAGTTCTGAAGAGTGACCTGTGCTGCCTTTCTGGCAACCAGTCATTATTTGTGCATGGAAGGAAGTAGCATGGATGAAAGCTTTTCTTTCAAATGGGATGATGTGTGGGGGTATATTTCTGGTCTTAAATTTTTTTTTTTTTTTTTACATAAGGTAGAGACAGGGTCTCACCATGTTGCCCAGGCTGGTCTCAAGGTCCTGGGCTCAGTCATTCCTTCCACCTTGGCCTCCCATAGTGCTGGGATTACAGGCATGAGTCACCATGCCAGGCCAGTGTATTTATTTTCTACTGCTGTGTAACAAATTGACACACAACACATTTATTATCTCACAGTTTCTGTGGGTTGGAAGTCTGGGCACAGCTTAGTGGGATCCTCTGCTCAGGGTTTCATCCGGTTGCAATCTAGGTGTTGGGTGGGACTGTGATCTTATCAGAGGCTCGAGTGGGGGATGGTGTGCTTTTGAGCTCTTTCAGGTTGTGGCAGAAGTTATCTCTTGCTGATTGTGGGACGCAAGTCTTTGTTTTCTTGTTGACTGTCCCTTGAGGTCTCCTCTTGACTCTTAGAGGCCCCCTGTACTTGCTTGGCGCATGGCCCCTTGCAGCTTGGCAGCTCACTTCAAAACAGCAAAGAGTCTTCTGCTTCAGTAGACTAAGTCTTACGTAACATAATGTAGTCATGGGAGTGACAGCGCAGCAACTTTGCCACCTAATGCAACCCAGTCAAGGGAAAGCCATTCCATTGTTTTCACCACATTCTGTGGGTTAGAAGCACGTCACAGGTCCCACCCGCCTTGCACTCCGGGCAAGGTGGCTACAAGGAGGCATGGACACTGGGTGGGGAGATTGCCAGGCTCACCTAGGGTCTGTCTGCTGGCCTGGGGTGTTCTTCAGAACCCTCATTCCCTGGATACTGACATGTCAGTCTCTGGGAATTGGTTGCATCTCTCTCTCCTCCATGACGTATCAGTCTGTGGGAGAGCGGTGCGTCTCTTCTCTCTCCTCCATTTGCATGCATTCCCGGACCCACTTGTAGAACGGAAGTAGAATCAAGACTCGTGGCCACAGTTTGGGTGGATGGGACACTTGGGCTTGCCCTGGTACTATCAGGCTGTTTGCCCTATGCCTTGCATTTCCCACTGTCCTGCCTGCCTCTCAGGCTTATGGTGAGGATGAGGTGAGATGAGATGATGGATGTGGTCAGTGAAGCAGCTGGTCAGGGCCTGGTGGAATTCTACTCTAGTCCAGTCTGCCTCTTTCTCCACCTCTATTCTCTAGGCAGAGATTGGTTATTTTCAGTAGTAAGTATGGACTCATCAGAGTTCTTGAGGTCTTTGCTTCCTGCCTCAAATTCCCTTCTCTCCTTTCCCTGACTGATGCCTACTCATCCTTCAGGCCTCCATGTTCCCAATGATCCTTTTTTTTTTTTGAGGCAGGGTCTTGCTTTCTTGCCTCGGCTGGAGGGCAGTGGTGTGATCCTGACTTATTGCAGCCTTGACCTCCTGGGCTCAAGCCAAGCTGTCCTGGGTAGCTGGGACCACAGGTGTGTACCACCACACCTGGCTAATGTTTGTACTTTTTGTAGAGTCGGGGTCTCACTGTGTTGCCCAGGCTGGTCTCCCAACTTCTGGGCTCAAGTGATCCTCCTGCCTCAGCCTCCCACAGTGCTGGGATCACAGACATGAGCCACTATGTCTGGCCCCCAGTGAGCCTCTTGATCTCATGGTTGAGCTCTTTTTTCACTTGTGACTTCTGCCATTGGTTAGATTCTCACCTTTGGTCTTGCGGTGCTCTCTGCTCCCCTCTGTGGTAATAATTTATTGTTGTGTTGTAATTATCTTTTACTTCCTTTCCACTAAGTGATATTCATTGGATCCTCAAATAAAAGGCTTGGCACACTTAGGGCAGATACCTAATAAAACAGTAACACCTCTGTGGTCAGTATTTAAACGGTGTGCACAGCCATTAGAATGGAATAAGCTGGGCGCAGTGGAATGGGAGGTTGATGTTGCAGTGACACATGAATGTGCCACTGCCCTCCAGCCTGGGGGACAGAGCAAGAGCTCATCTCAAATAAATCAATAAATGGGTCAGAGGAGTGTGATGTGCTGGTGACTCGGGTCCTGCTCTGCCGCCGGAGCTTTTCCAGCCTTGCTGCTCCTTTGCTTTGGATCTTTTCATTCCTAGGTTTATTGTTGAGTCTGAGACGGTTTTTTTTCTCCCTTCCCCTTCCCCTTAGTAAATGTGCAGATCTCCTGATATTGCACCTGACTTAGAGATCTTGGTACCGTCCCTACAGATCCACACAAACACAAAAGCACAGGTGATACTCAGGTTGGAACATGAAGATGCAAAGTCAGCATCCCCATTTGCCTCTCACTTTTCTGTCTTCCTTAGCTGTGTCCTGCGAGTGTTTATTGGGCAGTGTTGACAGCAGCTTCAGTCTCAGAAAAAGGATGGGAAGTTGCTCTCAGACTCGGAACCCTAAAGCTTGGTCGGAATTAGGTTTCTGCCCTGATCCTGATGCTCTTTCTGCCCGGTGGAGAGCACCTTTAAAAGTAGTCACCTGAGGGTCAAGGATGGGTACAACAGCTTCCCATTTTATTCTAGGAGATGTGTCTGGAGATAAAATGAGCATGTGATGTTTGGCAGGGCTGCATGCCTCGAGGGTCATAGCCATTGTCCCTGATGTTCAGGACCTGGTAACTGGGGGAGTAAGGACTTAAGGTACATGTTTTCCTGTTTCCTCTTTGCTGTGAGTTGTATGTGAGTTGATTTGGGTGGTAAATGAAATCATATCTTTTTTTTTTTTTTTTTTTTTTTTTTGAGACAGAGTCTCACTGTCGCCCAGGCTGGAGTGCAGTGGCATCATCTCAGCTCACTGCAACCTCTGCCTCCTGAGTTCAAGCAACTCTCCTTCCTCATCCTCCCAAGTAGCTGGGATTACAGGTGTCCGCCACCACGCCCGGATAATTTTTGTATTTTTAGTAGAGAGGAGGTTTCATCATGTGGGCCAAGCTGGTCCTGACCTCAGGTGATCTGCCCACCTCTACCTCCCAGAGTGCTGGGATTATAGGCGTGAGGCACCACACCTGGTCATGAAATCATATCTTAAGTGTCTCCATGGTGGCCTAATTTGTTACCTGAAGCTTTTTCTCAGAGCAGCCTCTAGCAAAGAGAATCACTTCCTGTGGACTCCTTCAGGGCTGCAGGGTAACTTGATGAGTTCTTGCCGTCTCGTGAATTCCTGAGTGGTGAGAGCACCACTCCACACAGGACTTCGGGGCAGCAGGCTTTTAGGTTTTGCACACAGTTCCTCGAAAGCTGTGATTTGGAAATCGCTAGAATTTCCAGATAGTAACTAGTTTGGAGGGTCAATAGTGCTTTAGTTTTATTTATTTATTTTTTTTTACTTTTAAAACAGAGGTGGGGTCTCACTCTGCTGTCAGGCTGATCTCCAGCTTCTGAGCTCAAATGATCCTCCTGCCTTGGCCTCCCAGAGTGCTGGGATTACAGGAGTGAGCCACTGCGCCCAGCCTCAGTCATGCTTTTAAATTGAGGATGTAGGAAGGAAGGCTTTGGCTCCCATGCTTTCATGAGATTTCCTTTTTTTTCTGAGACAGAGTCTCGCTCTGTCGCCCAGGCTGGAGTGCAGTGGCATGATCTCAGCTCACTGCAAGCTCCGCCTCCCAGGTTCACACCACTCTCCTGCCTCAGCCTCCCGAGTAACTGGGACTACAAATGTCCGCCACCGTGCCCAGCTAATTTTTTTTTGTATTTTTTAGTAGAGACGGGGTTTCACCGTGTTAGCCAGGATAGTCTTGATCTCCTGACCTTGTGATCCACCCGCCTGGTACTACCAAAGTGCTGGGATTACAGGCATGAGCCACCGCGCCCGGCCACGCCCGGCTAATTTTTTGTATTTTTAGTAGAGACTGGGTTTCGCCATGTTAGCCAGGATGGTCTCGATCTCCTGACCTTGTGATCTACCTGCCTTTGCCTCCCAAAGTGCTGGGATTAGAGGCGTGAGCCATCGCACCTGGCTGCTTTCATGAGATTTCTTAGAGACTAATACTTTAGTATTTACCCTCCTTTCTCAGTCTATGGTGTTAACCAGTATTCCCTACCTACGTTTAGTCTGTACACAAAACACCCATGGCTGCCTCTCCTCAGACTGACCTGCGTTGACCTGGACCTGGATAAGCTCCTCACTGTCATCTGAGGGGTGTGTTTCCCCTTGTGTGCCTGTCCTAATAGTGCATCCCATTTCAGCGCTTTTTCTACAGGGCAGGATTTGTAGAAAGGGTTTGAATCTTAGTGATAAGCTATGACCATGAGTAAGTTACTTCATTTTTCCTCGCTTTTGGTTTTCTTGTAAGAATTGGGATTATAGGCCGGTGACATTATAGGCATGGTGACTCACGCCTGTAATCCCAGCGCTTTGGGAGGCCGGGGCAGGCAGATCACAAGTTCAGGACACGGAGACCATCCTGGCTAACACGGTGAAACCCCGTCTCTACTAAAAATACAAAAAAATTAGCCGGGCGTGGTGGCGGGCGCCTGTAGTCCCAGCTACTCGAGAGGCTGAGGTAGGAGAGTGGCGTGAACCCGGGAAGTGGAGGTTGCAATGAGCCGAGATCGCACCACTGCGCTCCAGCCTGAGCGACAGAGTGAGCTCCGTCAAAAACAAAAGAAAAGGAAAAAGTACAACTGACTTTGTTTTTCTGAAACGGAGCCTCACTCTGTCTCCGGGCGCGATCTTGGCTCCCTGCAACTGCCGCTCCCGGGTTCACGCCATTCTCCTGCCTCAGCCTCCCGAGTAGCTGGGACTACAGGCGCCCGCCACCACGCCCAGCTATTTTTTTTGCATTTTTAGTAGAGACGGGGTTTCACCGTGTTAGCCAGGATGGTCTCCATCTCCTGACCTCGTGATCCGCCCGCCTCAGCCTCCCAAAGTGCTGGAATTACAGGTGTGAGCCACCGCGCCTGGCCTACTTTTTCCTTTCTTATTTGCGTACGTTTTATCTCCTTTCTCTTGGACTAGAATCTCCAGTACGGTGTTCAAAAGAAGTGATGAGTGGAGATCAACCAGGTGCGGTGGCTCACGCCTGTAATTCTAGCACTTCGGGAGGCCAAGGTGGGTGGATCACCTGAGGTTAGGAGTTTGACACCATCCTGGGCAACACAGTGAAACCCTATCTTTACTGAAATGCAAAAAAATTAGCTGGACGTGGCAGTGTTTGCCTCTATTCCCAGCTGCTCAGGAGGCAGAGGCTGGAGAATCTCTTGAACCTGGGAGGCAGAGGTTGCAGTGAGCCAAGATTGCGCTACAGCACTCTAGCCTGGGCGACAGAGTGAGACTCCATCTCAAAAGAAAAAAAAGAGTGGATATCACAGGCTTATTTCTTTTTTTTCCTCTTTTTTTTTTTGAAACAGAGCCTCGCCCTGTGGCCCAAGCTGAAGTGCAGTGCAGTGGTGGCTCACTGCAGGCTCTGACACAGGCTTATTTCTGATGGTAATTGAAAAGTGTCCACTTTTTCACCATTAACCATGATGTTTGCTGTGGGATTTCATAAAGGCACTTTATGAGGTTGAGGAAGTTCCCTTCTATTACAAGTTTGCTAAGTATCAGGAATGGACATTGAATTTTATAGTTTTCTTTTACATTTATTTATCATTTGGTTTTGTTTTTTGAACGTTTAACCAATCATGTATTCCTGGGTTAAACCCACTTGGTGACAGTGTATCATTCTTCCTGTAGGATACATTGGCTGGCAGGGTGTCAGCTGAGCCCTGTACGTTTCAACATCCAGCAGGCTGGCCATTGGGGCTGCCAAGAACAGTAGGGCAGCAGAAGCAGGGGCCACATGGCTTCACTTTTGCTTCGTCCTTCTTTTTTTTTGAGATAGCGTCTTACTCTGTTGCCCAGGCTGGAGTGCAGTGGCGCGATCTCGGCTCACTGCAACCTCTGCCTCCCAGGTTCCCAAGCAATTCTCCAGCCTCAGCCTCCTGAGTAGCTAACATTACAGGCCTGTGCCACCGCGCTCGGCTAATTTTTGTATTTTTAGTAGAGACAGGATTTCGACATGTTGGCCAGGCCAGTCTTAAACTTCTGGCCTCAAGTGATCCACCTGTCTCAGCCTCCCAAAGTCCTGGGATTACAAGTGTGAGCCATTGCACCTGGCCAACTTTTGCTTCATTCTGTTGGTAACAGCAAATCGGTGAGTGAGACTGGGTTCAAGGGGTGCAAAATAGACTTTCCCCCCGACCTCATGATTGGAGGAGCTGCACTCACGTTGCAGGTGTGGGTGAGAAGGTGATAGAGTCTGTGCCATGTGGCATAGCTACTACAACAACTTAAACCCAAATCCTCTTAGTTTTGCTGTAGTCATCCAAATAATTGTTTAGATTTCTGCTTTGGTTTTCCTTTTCAAGTTAACACTAAGTTAATAGACCCTTCTTTCCAAGTTCATGATTACAGTGTCATAAAGTGATAAAGACTGCAGTCTGGGCGTGGTGGCTCACACCTGTAATCCCAGCACTTTGGGAGGCCGAGGTGGGCAGATCACTTGAGGCCAGGAGTTCAAGACCAGCCTGGCCAACATAACCAAACCCCGTCTCTACTAAAAATACAAAAAAACTTACCTGGGTATGGTGGTGCGCATCTGTAGTCCCAGCTACTCGGGAGGCTGAGGCAAGAGAAACACTTGAACCCGGGAGGCAGAGGTTGCAGTGAGCTGAGATCACGCCACTCCACTTGAGCCCGGGCAACAGAGCGAGACATTGTCTCAACAAACAAACAAAACAAAACACTGTGGGTAGCAAGTCACCCAGTCGTCTTATCTGATTTTTAAAAACATATGCAGTATGTCTTACGGTATCTTGATTAGATTCACAACAGCATTTGGGATCAGCTGTGCAGTGCATCCTGCGTGTTGAAGAGTGATACAGGGTCAGATGCAACGCCTGTAGTCTCAGCACTTTGAGAGGCCAAGGCGGGGGATCACTTGAGACCAGGAGCTCAAGACCAGCCTGGGCAGCATAGCAAGACCCCGTCTCTACAAAAATAAAAATAAAACTTAGCTGGGTGTGATAGCGTGTGCCTGTAGTCCCAGCTACTTGGGAGGCTGAGGCTGGATGGCCACTTGAGCCCAGGGTTTCTTTTTAGAGACAAGGTCTTACTCTGTGGTCCAGGCTGGAGTGCAGTGTTGCCATCACAGCTCACTGCAGCCTCAACTTCCTGGGCTCAGGCAGTTTTCCCACCTCAGCCTCTCAAATAGCTGAGACTACAGGTGCGTGCCACCATACCCAGCCAGCTAATCTTTCTGTTTTTTTTTTTTGTAGAGATGGGGTTTAGCCATGTTGCCCTGGCCCATCTCAAACTCCTGGGCTCAAGCGATCCACCTGCTGTGGCCTCCCCAGGTTCTGGGATTATAGACATGAGCCGCCGCTCCTGGCCTGATTGCAGCTTGTGGGTTTGGCAACTTTGGTCAATAAAAGATTATGTGGTCTTTTTCTCCCTGCGCCTTCTCACTCCTGGCACAGAGTTCCTGCAACCATTGGAATTTCTTATATGATAGGATGTCATTTGTTATTCATAACTAGCTCCTTTCAGATCACACCAGAGTTTAAGCTAATGAACTGACAGGGTAGGGGTGGTCACCAGGAAGACCAGATGATTATTAGAGGGCTAGGGCTTTCATCTCCGGCCACTGACCTCCAGGGAAGGGAGCAGGAGCTGAAGATGGAGCTCTAAAAACTCTCGAACATGCCCGAGTTGCGGGAGGGCCCCTGCCGCCCACACTTGGCTCTTTGCATCTTTTGTTTGCTGCTACCGAGTTGTCTTTTTTATATTTTCCATGTCGAACATGTGGAATACAGTTCAACAGCTTTTAATGTCTTTGTCTACTAATTTTAACACCTGTTTCAATTCTATGTTGGTTTATTTCTTTTAACCTCATTATGGTTTGTATTTGTGTTTTTTTGAGCACTAATCGTCGTTTTCTGAGGCTTGTATTTTTTCCTTCTTTGCCTAGTGATTTTGTTGGATGCCAGGCATTAGGAATTTTACCCCGTTGGGTGATGACTTTCTTTTGAAAAATGAACGAGATCTGGTTCACAGAATACAAAATTTACCATTTACAGCTCACAGTTTAGTGATTTTTAGTATATTCATTATATTGTGCACCCATCACCACTGTCACATTCCAGCAAGTTTCCATCCTCATGCGGTCCCCTGTGTCATCAGTCCTTGTCCCCCTTCCCCCTTTCCCTGACAACTGGTACTCTCTTTTCTATCTCTCTGGATTTGCCTATTGTGAATGTTTCCCATAAATGAGAATTAAGTCTTTTGGGTTTTAGATAAATAAGATCATCATTTCTTCTTCAGAGAATTGAACTGTCAGCAGGTGGGGGCTCGTTGCTTGTAGGGGGTGGGCTGCATGCGCTCTGGTGTTTACCTGGTGTGCCTGAGCCCACGGCCAGTGCAGCAGGTTCTGCCAGCATCTTTTTCTGGGCAGCTTGTTGAGTTTATGACACAATCTCCTTTTACTGGTCCCTGTTGTGATTGGCACCCTGACCTTTTAGAAAGTGTGATGGTGGCCAGGCGCGGTGGCTCACGCCTGTAATTCCAGCACTTTGGGAGGCCGAGGCGGGCAGATCATGAGGTCAGGAGATCAAGACCATCCTGGCTAACACGGTGAAACCCCATCTCTACTAAAAATACAAAAAATTAGCCGGGCATGGTGGCGGGCGCCTGCAGTCCCAGCTACTCGGGAGGCTGAGGCAGGAGAATGGCGTGAACTCAGGAGGTGGAGCTTGCAGTTAGCTGAGATCGTGTCACTGCACTCCAGCCTGGGCGACAGAGCGAGACTCCGACTCCGTCTCAAAAAATAACAAAAACAAGAAAGTGTGATGGTGGCTGTGGAGCAGAGGAGTCTTCTTTAGCTCGTCCACGTGACGTGCAGGAGTACATGGGAGTCGTGTGCTGGTGGACACACAGAAGCGACTTTTTCCTTTGTCTCATGGTGGAATGCTGGAGGAGCAAGTGTTCCCACCTGCTGAGCAGCTGAAAGCAGGCTTTCCGCGGATGTGTGCGGGCGGGCGGTGTGGCACAGAAAGGCCTCGATGGACTGTCTGCTCTTCACGGCAAGAGTGTGCTGCCCCTGTTCTCTGTCGTGGCCTCTGCTGTAAAGATGAGAGAAGTCCAACGCCAGTCTAATTCATGATTCTTTTTTAGTTAAGCTTTTTAGGATTTTGTGGAAACTTGTAGGATTTTCTGTTGATATGTGGGAGTCTGACATTTTGCTATTTTTAGGGTTTAGATTGTGACTTTTTTATATTGGTTAGCATCTTGAAGCTCTTTTAATATGCAGACTTGTCTTTTTAACTCCATCTCAGTTTTTCTGTCAAGGGCCAGTTAGACCTTGTGGCCGCATGTTCTCTGACAGCTCTTCAGCTCTGCTGTTGTATCATGGAAGGAACCGGGGCCACACTTAAAACGAGCCTGGCTGTTTTCCAGTTACAACTATTACTAACACTGAAATTAGAATTTCATATAATTTTCACTTACCACAAAATGTTATTTTCTTTTTCAACCAGGTATAAATATAAACCTCATTCTTAGCCTGTGGACTGTCTAAAAAAGACATTGGGCCAGATTCGGCCCCTGACCCCCAGGTGGTTTCCCCATCATAGTAATCATAGTAGATGAACTTGGAACTGTGTAGCTTTATTGGTTTTTCATCCTTGAAGCTTGCTTTTCCTCTGCAGTGGTCCTGACTTTCTGTAGAGTTTGATCTCTGCGGCTTCTTCCTTCTGTAGAGTTTGGTCTCTGTTTTCTCTAAACTTAAGTTATTTGTCTGATTTCATTTACTTTCTGTTAATTTAGGTGCTTAATTCTGGTCAACTATTGACATGTCATTCTTCTGTTTTCCAGTGCTGTTACAGATTTATTCTTTTCTTTTTTTCTTTTTCTTTTCTTTTCTTTTTTTTTTTTTTTTAAGATGGAGTCTCACTCTGTCGCCCAGGCTGGAGTGCAGTGTTGCGATCTTGGCTCACTACAGCCTCCACCTCCCAGGTTCAAGCGATTCTCGTGCCTCAGCCTCCTGAGTAGCTGGGATTACAGGTGTCTGACCCCACGCCCAGCTAATTTTTTGTATTTTTAGTAGAGATGAGGTTTCACCATGTTGGCCTGGCTGGTCTTGAACTCCTGACCTCGTGATCTGCCTGCCTCGGCCTCCCAAAGTGCTGGGATTACAGGCGTGAGCCACCACGCTCTGCCAGATTTATTCTTTTCAAAATGTTTGTTACTTTAAGAAATTTTAGATAAGAGGGTTAGATTCCACCATTGTGATCTTTTTTTTTCTTTTGAGATGGAGTCTCGTTCTGTCACCCAGGCTGGAGTGCAGTGGTGCGATCTTCGCTCGCTACAGCCTCCACCTCCCAGGTTCAAGTGATTCTCGTGTCTCAGCCTCCCGAGTAGCTGGGACTACAGGCGCCCGCCACCATGCCTGATTAATTTTTGTATTTTTAGTAGAGACGGGGTTTCACCATGTTGGCCAGGCTGGTCTTTAACTCCTGACCTCAAGTGATCCGCCCACCTCACCCTCCCAAAATGTTGGGATTACAGGTGTGAACCACTGTGCCTGGCGTTAGCGTTGTGGTCTAATAGTACTACAGTACTATTGTTTTTTGTAAATAGAATTGCAGTCTGAACAGGAAGAACTTCCACCATAGGTGTTTTGAAGAAGTTAATTTTTTGCATAAGTAGAAAGCCATGGGAGCATTAAACTTAACAGTCTATTGCTTGTGTGGTAACGTAGGGAATTAATTTTGAATTAAATGTGAACTAGACAATTTGCTGTGGAATACTACGTTGAAATTATTGAAAAACACTTATCCAGTGTGAGGCTTTTTTTTTTTTTAATTTATTTATTTTTTATTGATAATTCTTGGGTGTTTCTCATAGAGGGGGATTTGGCAGGGTCATAGGACAATAGTGGAGGGAAGGTCAGCAAATAAACAAGTGAACAAAGGTCTCTGGTTTTCCTAGGCAGAGGACCCTGCGGCCTTCCGCAGTGTTTGTGTCCCTGGGTACTTGAGATTAGGGAGTGGTGATGACTCTTAACGAGTATGCTGCCTTCAACCGTCTGTTTAACAAAGCACATCTTGCACCGCCCTTAATCCATTTAACCCTGAGTGGACACAGCACATGTTTCAGAGAGCACAGGGTTGGGGGCAAGGTCACAGATCAACAGGATCCCAAGGCAGAAGTTTTCTTAGTACAGAACAAAATGAAAAGTCTCCCATGTCTACTTCTTTCTACACAGACACGGCAACCATCCGATTTCTCAATCTTTTCCCCACCTTTCCCCGCTTTCTATTCCACAAAACCGCCACTGTCATCATGGCCCGTTCTCAATGAGCTGTTGGGCACACCTCCCAGACGGGGTGGTGGCCGGGCAGAGGGGCTCCTCACTTCCCAGTAGGGGCGGCCGGGCAGAGGCGCCCCTCACCTCCCGGGCGGGGCGGCTGGCCGGGCGGGGGGGCTGACCCCCCCACCTCCCTCCCGGATGGGGCGGCTGGCCTGGCGGGGGGCTGACCCCCCCACCTCCCTCCCGGACGGGGCGGCTGGCCTGGCGGGGGGGCTGACCCCCCCCACCTCCACCTCCCTCCCGGACGGGGCAGCTGGGCGGGGGGCTGACCCCCTCACCTCCCTCCCGGATGGGGCGGCTGCTGGGCGGAGACGCTCCTCACTTCCCAGACGGGGTGGCTGCCGGGCGGAGGGGCTCCTCACTTCTCAGACGGGGTGGTTGCCGGGCAGAGGGTCTTCTCACTTGTCAGACGGGGTGGCCGGGCAGAGGTGCTCCTCACATCCCAGACGGGGCGGCGGGGCAGAGGCGCTCCCCACATCTCAGACGATGGGCGGCCGGGCAGAGACGCTCCTCACTTCCTAGATGTGATGGCGGCCGGGAAGAGGTGCTCCTCACTTCCTAAGTGGGATGGCGGCTGGGCGGAGACGCTCCTCACTTTCCAGACTGGGCAGCCAGGCAGAGGGGCTCCTCACATCCCAGATGATGGGCGGCCAGGCAGAGACGCTCCTCACTTCCCAGACGGGGTGGCGGCCGGGCAGAGGTTGCAGTCTCGGCACTTTGGGAGGCCAAGGCAGGCGGCTGGGAGGTGGAGGTTGTAGCGAGCCGAGATCATGCCACTGCACTCCAGCCTGGGCACCATTGAGCACTGAGTGAACGAGACTCCGTCTGCAATCCCGGCACCTCGGGAGGCCGAGGCTGGCGGATCACTTGCGGTTAGGGGCTGGAGACCGGCCTGGCCAACACAGCGAAACCCCGTCTCCACCAAAACCAGTCAGGCGTGGCGGCGTGAGCCTGCAATCGCAGGCACTCGGCAGGCTGAGTCAGGAGAATCAGGCAGGGGGGTTGCAGTGAGCCGAGATGGCAGCAGTACAGTCCAGCTTCGACTCAGCATGAGAGGGAGACCGTGGAAAGAGAGGGAGAGGGAGACCATGGGGAGAGGGAGAGGGAGAGAGGGAGAGGGAGAGGGGGAGAGGGAGAGGGGGAGGGAGAGGGAGCGTGACGCTTTTTTTAAATGAAGCTCGTGACAGACGGAAGTATACCAGTGATTAAGAAGATGCTGGGATGGGCTTTTTCAATAGATGCTCTGCAGGTTTCCAAAATGAGTGCCAGAGGAGGGGAGAGGGCAGTGTCAGAGTCTTCTGAACATTCTGAGAGCTGAGCTGCTGTGAGACAGGCTTAAATGAGAACCCTAGTTTTCAAAACTTAATGTTTTAATGGGAATGACCATAGTTATTAGTGTTAAAAGATACATTTCTTCTTATTTATTTAGAAGATGAAGTTCAGAGAATTTAGGTAGCCTAAATAAGATGGCATAGTTAGTAATTCTATGAGCTTTTCCTTGTTTAGTAAATCGGTATTAAAATGGAATTATTAAGTGGGGTGTGGTGGCTCACGCCTGTAGTCTCAGCACTTTCGGAGGCCGAGGGAAGCAGATAACGTGAGCACAGGCGTTTGAGACCAGCCTGGGCAAATGAAGATACCCTGTTTCTACAAAAAATACAAAAGTTAGCCAGGCGTGGTGGCAGGTGCCTGTGGTCCCAGCTCCTCAGGAGGCTGAGGGGAAGGATTCCCTGAGCCCAGCAGTATAAAATTGACCATTTGTACCATTTTTGAGTGTGCAGTTCTCTGGTATTAGATTCACACGGTGCAAAGCCATCACCACCATCCCTCTCCAGAACTTGGTCTTCCCAGACGACACCGGCTACCCATTAACACTAACTCTTCATCCCTCTCCCCATAACCTCGACTCTCCCCATAACCCCTGACCACCAATCTGCTTTCTCTTATGAATGTCACCACTCAAGGCACCTCTCCTATAAGGGGGGGGGGGGGGTCATACGATATTTGTCCTTTCTTCTCTTATGAATGTCACCACTCAAGGTGCGTCTCCTATGGGAGGGGGTCATACGATATTTGTCCTTTCTTCTCTTATGAATGTCACCACTCAAGGTGCGTCTCCTGCGGGGGGGTGGTCATACGATATTTGTCCTTTCTTCTGTTATGAATGTCACCACTCAAGGTGCGTCTCCTGTTGGGGGGGGGGGTCATACGATATTTGTCCTTTCTTCTCTTATGAATGTCACTGTCCAAGGCACCTCTCCTGTAAGGGGTGGGGGGTCATACAATATTTGTCCTTTCGTGACTGGCATATTTCCCTTTTGGATCAGTTTGTTCCTGTGGGTCAGAATCTTCATTTGAACAGTTTGCCCCACAGCTCAGATTCCTCAATTGTGACTACCCCCTGCAGGTCAAATTCAATTTTTGTTTACTTATTTTTGAGACAGAGTCTTGCTGTCTTGCTCGGGCTGGAGTGCAGTGGTGTGATCGTGGATCACTATAGCCTCGACCTCCTGGGCTCAAACAACCCGCCTGCTTCAACCTTCCATAGTGCTGAGATTACATGCGTGAGCTGCTGTGCCCAGTGTCAAATTTAATTTTTGTTTTGTTTTGTTTTTGAGACAGAATCTCGCTCTGTCACCAAGGCTGGAGTGCAATGGCACTATCTTGGCTCACTGCATCCCCCACCTCCCAAGTTCAAGCAATTTTCCTGCTTCAGCCTCCTGAGTAGCTGGGATTACAGGCACCTGGCACCACGCCCGGCTAATTTTTTGTATTTTTAGTGGAGACGGGGTTTTGCCATATTGGCCAGGCTGGTCTTGAACTCCTGACCTCAGGACATTTATAGGATACACTTATTATTTTTATGACCAAAGCATGTGATTTTTATTTTTTAATTTTAATTTTATTTTTTAATGTTTTTTGTTCTTGTTGTTTTTGAGACGGTGTCTTAGTCTGTTGCCCAGGCTGGAGTGCAGTGGCGCAATCTCAGCTCACTGCAATCTCGGCCTCCCAGGTTCAAATGATTCTCCTGCCTCAGCCTCCCGAGTAGCTGGGATTACAGGCGCACACCACCACGCCCAGCTAATTCTTTTGTATTTTTAGTAGAGACGGAGTTTCACCATGTTGGGTAGGCTGGTCTCAAACTCCGGACCTCAAATGATCCACCTACCTCAGCCTCTCAAAGTGCTGGGATTACAGGTGTGAGCCACCGCACCTGGCCTTTTTTTTTTCTTTTTTTTTGGATACAGGGTCTTGCTTGGTCACCCAGGATGGAGTGCAGTGACACGAAATTGGCTCACTGCAATCTCGACTTCCTGGGCTCAAGCGATCCTCCAGGCTCAGCCTCCTGAATAGCTGGGACTGCAGGCACGACCACCATGCCCAGCTACTTTTTTATTGTTTGTAGACATGGGGCTGGTCTCAGACGCCTCAAGAAATCCTCTTGCCTAGGCTTCCCAGTGTGCTGGGATTACAAGCATGGGCCACTGTTCCTGAATTTTATTTTTTTAAACCTTTTTATAGAACACGATCAGTTGTTTGATAAATACTGAAACAGTACTAGGAATCAGTTTTTTAGTTGTTTACCAAACATATTATGCAGGAACTGAATTCACAAAAAGTTGTTTTGAAATTTGGTCCACAAATTCACTTAAGGTTGGAAATAAAAAACTTGTAAGAGGCCGGGTGTCGTGGCTCAAAAAGAAAGGAAAGGATACTTTCAGGCTTAGAGTTAGTCTTTTTTGTTGGAAATTTTCACAACTTCAGAAAAACTTCATCAACAGGTTTAGAAGCATCCGTTTTATTGACTTTCCCGATTTCTTCGTATGAGTCAGTAATTGTTTTTGTTAACTTGAAGATGGGTCTGAATTCTCTTTTCCAAGCTCTCTCTGCTGGCTTCACTCTTACCACTGTTCCCTCCTCTCAAGACATCCTTTCATGTAGATCTCATTATTATGGTCAGAAAACAGAACCAGATGCACATCTGCCTTTCCCATCCATGCTCTTGGCCCAACCTTGAAGGTTGTCTTGATTTCTTAGAAACTCATCAAGAATTTATTCTTAGCATTGGCAGCCATTGTCTGATCCATTTCCCATGTGAATAAATGCATGTATGGTTATTTCATCTAGCACAGTCTTCCCTTGTTTAGTATAGTTTTTGAAGAGTTCACCACTGTGAATCTGGGTTCTTTCATCACAGAGAAGTTTTCCTGAAGACAGGTGTATGTGACCAGGGTCACGACGGTGTGGGTTTGCTGCGTCCCCTTGCCAGTGCCAGGACCCCTGAGGAACCACAGGACCAGTGGGCAGCTTCATGAGGCCGGGGCCGCAGAGGAGATGCAGGCAGCCAGTCAGCAGCAGGAAGCTGAGGCCTAGGGCACGCAGTGGCCAGCAGCAGGCTGGCTCCCTCTTTGGGAGGTTAAATCAAGTTTTGGTTACCAAAGGCAAAGCAGGCTTGGATTTTGTTTAAGGAGATGCTGTTGAATGAAACAGCTTCTTTGTAGCAAGCAGCCTTGGAGATGATTAATGGAACATGTCTGAACTTGCCAGAGTGATGTTCAGCCTTCCAGTGGAACTGCAAAATCATGAGTGAAAGCGTGGCAAAGTATTTTCTTTAATGTAAAATGTTATTCCTAAGAAATGAAATTACGTGGCCGGGCACGGTGGCTCACGCCTGTAATCCCAGCACTTTGGGAGGCCGAGATGGGCGGATCACGAGGTCAGGAGATCGAGACCATCCTGGCTAACATGGTGAAACCCCGTCTCTACTAAAAATACAAAAAATTAGCCGGGCGTGGTGGCGGGCGCCTGTAGTCCCAGCTACTCAGGAGGCTGAGGCAGGAGAATGGCCTGAACCCGGGAGGCGGAGCTTGCAGTGAGCGGAGATCGCGCCACTGCACTCCAACCTGGGTGACACAGTGAGATTCCGTCTCAAAAAAAAAAAAGAAATGAAATTACGTAAAGCAAGTGCTAAAGTACAACAAGAACAGGAGTTTATGTTTTGAAGAAAATTGGTTGAGTTTTATTTTGGTTAAACCTCTAAAGCACCGTTTCAGAAAGCTTTTTTTTTTCTTTTTGTGTCACTGCTTTCCTGGGGCCACCGCACAGCAGAGGTGTCTGAGAACAGAGTTGCAGGTGGATGGCTGCGGTCTCCAGTCCCCAGGTGTGGGGTCTCCAGGGCTCTGGCCAGAACATCTTTCTTTGGGAGCAAGTCATTGCGAGGTGCCGTCTCAGCTGGGGTCTGGGTCTGAATCTGACGATTGTGTATTGGTTCGCGTGGCTCCATTCAGCTCCACACTTGTGTGTTTCACATGTACCTGGATTTCTTCAGTGATGTTTATACCTGTATACTTTATATAATAAAAGCAGCCATTTTAGAAGGTACAGTAGGATGAGTTTGACAGTTTTGATACCCCAGGTATTAAGCACCAGCTTGACACAGACATTTCCATCACCGCAGAATGCCCATTTGTAACCAGAACCCTCCACTGCCCCAAGCACTGCCAGCCCACTTTCTGTTATTGTGGATTAGTTTTGCTTATTTTAGAATTTCATATGAATGGAATTTGTAGTCTTTTTTTTTTTTTTTCTTGAGACGGAGCCTTGCTGGAGTGCAGTGGCGCGATCTCAGCTCACTGCAGCCTCCGCCTCCCGGGTTCAAGTGATTCTTCTGCCCTAGCCTCCCGAGTAGCTGGGATTACGGGTGCCCACCACCACGCCTGGCTAATTTTTGTATTTTCAAGTAGAGACAGGGTTTTACCATATTGACTGGGCTGGTCTTGAACTCCTGACCGCATGATCTGCCCACCTCATCCTCCCAAAGTGCTGAGATTACAGGCGTGAGCCACTGCGCCTGGCCTGGAATTTGTAGTCTTTTGAGTCTGACATACTACTTTAATTTTATTGAGGTAAGACTCGGCCGGGCGCGGTGGCTCACGCCTGTAATCCCAGCACTTTGGGAGGCCGAGGCGGGCGGATCACGAGGTCAGGAGATCGAGACCATCCCGGCTAAAACGGTGAAACCCCGTCTCTACTAAAAATACAAAAAATTAGCCGGGCGTAGTGGCGGGCGCCTGTAGTCCCAGCTACTTGGGAGGCTGAGGCAGGAGAATGGCGTGAACCCGGGAGGCGGAGCTTGCAGTGAGCCGAGATTGCGCCACTGCACTCCAGCCTGGGCGACAGAGCGAGACTCCGTCTCAAAAAAAAAAAAAAAAAAAAGACTCACATAACGAACACCCCACCACTCTGACCATTTGAATGTGTACAATTCCATGGCCTGTAGCACATTTACAACTTTGTGCAACTAGCACCATTATGTCTATTCCAGGATATTTCTGTTCCCCCCGAAGGAAGCGCTCCACTTCTCCGCAGCTCTTCAGCCACTGTTGACTCTGTGCCACTGTGGATCTGTCTATTTTGGAGACTTCCTAGGAATGAGTTCATATAATATATGGCCTTTAGTGTCCGGCTTCTTTCACATAACGTGTTTTTGGAGTCCATCTATGTTGTATGTCTTGGAACTGTATTCCTGTTTACTTGTGAATAATGCTGCATTGTCTGGGTGTAGGCAGGGTGTTTACCCATCCTGTCTTGATTGACACTTGGCTTGTTTCCATCTTTTTTTTTTTTTTTTGAAACGGAGTCTTGCTCTGTCACCCAGCCTGGAGTGGCGTGATCTCGGCTTGCTGCAACCTCCGCCTCCCGGGTTCAAGTGATTCTCCTGCCTCAGCCTCCCGAGTAGCTGGCATTACTGGCACATGCCACCACGCTCGGCTAATTTTCTATTTTTAGTAGAGACAGGGTTTTTCCATGTTGGTTAGGCTGGTCTCGAACTCCTGACCTCAAGTGGTCTGCCTGTCTTGCCCTCCCGAAGTGCTGGGATTACAGGCATGAGCCAGCTTGCCTGGCCCCCGTTTCCACCCCCCCTTTTTTTTTTGGGACCGAATCTTGTTCTGTTGCCCAGGCTGGAGTATAGTGGCACAATCTCGGTTCACTGCAACATCCGCCTCCTGGGTTCAAATGATTCTCCTGCCTTAGCCTCCCGGGTAGCTGGGACTACAGGTGCACGCCACCACACCAGACTACTTTTTGTATTTTTCAGTAGAGACAGGATTTCAGCATGTTGGCCAGGCTGGTCTCAAACTCCTGACCTCAGGTGATTGGCCAGCTTCAGCCTCTCAAAAGTGCTGGGATTAGAGGTGTGAGCCACCACGCCCTACCTGTTTCCACCTTTCTGTTTTCAATAGTGCTGTGAGCATGTGTGCACAGGTTTCCATTTGAACACTTTTTGGGCATATACCAAGGAGTGGAATTGCTGTGTTATATCATAGTTCTGTGTTTACCTTTTGAGGAATTGCCAAAGTATTTCAACAACAGCTGCACCATTTTACATTCCTACCAGATAGGTCAAAATGTACAGCCCCAATTCTTTGAGAATTGAGTCTGCGGCACTCTTTTGTACCAGCAATGGGGGCTGCTGTCTCCAAGGATGAGGTGTGTGAGCAGGTAAGTTCCTCTCCACAGCTCTCTCCTGCCCAAATCGAGCAGCTTTTTCATTAGGCGTTCTCTGCTTGTTAGAAGTTTTTTATTAGACTCCACAGTTCTGAAGAGTTGATTCTGACAGTTTTTGCAGCTTACTCATGCAGTGTTGGAAGGAGTGAGTTTTGGGGCTGTTTTCAGTGACATCCCCACCTGGTGTGTTTTGAGGTTTGTCCATGATGTGGTGCGTGTAGCTCCTGTGTGGTTTTTCTTACTGAGTAGCTTATATAGCTATGTGGGCTCTGCACTGCTGCCACAGCACTTAAGGGGAGATAGCATGAGGAACCCTAACAGCACCCATGGGAGCAGCTTGAGGAACCCTAGAAGCACCCAGGGAAGCAGCTTGAGGAACGCTAGAAGCACCCAGGGGAGCAGCTTGAGGAAGCCTAACAGCACCCAGGGGAGCAGCTTGAGGAACCCTAGAAGCACCCAGGGAAGCAGCTTGAGGAATGCTAGAAGCACCCAGGGGAGCAGCTTGAGGAACCCTAACAGCACCCAGGGGAGCAGCTTGAGGAACCCTAGAAGCACCCAGGGGAGCAGCTTGAGGAACCCTAGAAGCACCCAGGGGAGCAGCTTGAGGAACGCTAGAAGCACCCAGGGGAGCAGCTTGAGGAACCCTAACAGCACCCAGGGGAGCAGCTTGAGGAACCCTAGAAGCACCCAGGGGAGCAGCTTGAGGAACCCTAGAAACACTCAGGGGAGCAGCTTGAGGAACCCTAACAGCACCCAGGGGAGCAGCTTGAGGAACCCTAGAAGCACCCAGGGGAGCAGCTTGAGGAACCCTAGAAACACCCAGGGGAGCAGCTTGAGGAACCCTGGAAGCACCCAGGGGAGCAGCTTGAGGAACCCTAGAAGCACCCAGGGGAGCAGCTTGAGGAACCCTAGAAGCACCCAGGGGAGCAGCTTGAGGAACCCTGGAAGCACCCAGGGGAGCAGCTTGAGGAACCCTGGAAGCACCCAGGGGAGCAGCTTGAGGAACCCTGGAAGCACCCAGGGGAGCAGCTTGAGGAACCCTGGAAGCACCCAGGGGAGCAGCTTGAGGAACCGTAGCAGTGGTAGCTGCTGAGAGTCTGGCCTAGAGCCGCTTTCATAGTGGCTTGGTTTAAGACAGAGTTATAATTTGTGAAGGAGAAAATTGGCATTAATATATGAGCAGTGCTTATTAAAAATTAATTGCTTATATGAGTGTAGTATGATTGTTTTAGAAAGTTGCCTTTTCTTAGGGTTTTTTTACCCACTAGGTCAAGGATGTAAGATTTGCAACCTGCAGTAGAAGTCTTCTGTGCCCATGTGGGTCGGATCCTTGCTGTGGGACTCAGCGTAGGCCTCAGGTGCTCTCCTTATCTGCCCCTGTGTCCCAGGCAAGCCTGCAGAAGTTGTGGTCTGTGGCCTTGGTCTGTAAGCTACAGCTGCCCACACTTGCTGGGCAGTGACTGAGAGCAGCTCTTCAGGCTCTCTTGGTTGTGGCGCGGCTGTCGTTGTGTTGGCTGTGGTTGTGTTGGCTGTGGTGTGCCAGGGGGTGTTGTGAAGCACTCCCCCATGATGAGTTTAGAGTGTATGTCATTTGCATTGTGGAAGGATTATTGTGAAACATGTACTACCTGCCGGGTGCTCTTCTGTGTGCTCCATGTAGGTCCACTCAGACAGTCTTGGGAACTCCCGAGGTGCGGGTGCTCCTCTGCCCCTTGTGGCAGAGATAAGTCAGTTGAGGCACAAGGAAGTTGGGCCACTTGCCCAGGGAAGTTAGAAGTTGGGAGTGGACGCCAGCACTGGACCCTGGGCAGGCTGGCTCCAGAGTCCTGCCTCGAATTCACAAGTTCTGTCTCCAGTCATGTTTTACTTCCTGTTCTCCTTCATGTAATACTTCCTGTTCTTCTTCTTGGACAGGTCAGTGGCATCCGGTCTCTTTTGTTTGCCGCTGTGTCTTCAGCACATCACATTGTCCTGAGTGTCCTGTGCTTGTATTTTCCCATATGTTTTTTCGTGCTTGAACAGATGCTTTGTGCTTTTATTTAAATAACATCTGTCTTGCCTCCTTTCTGTTAGCCACACTTTTTAAAGTATGCAATACAAGTGATGGTCAGCTGGCAAGCAGCTTTGTCCTAGGGGACACCTTAGCAGGCAGGACGTGTTCCTGTGAAACGTGGTTTGGCTTGTAATAGTGTCTGGGAAGGAAGAGAATTCTGTCTTGTCCTACTTAAATTAGTACTTTAACTTAGTTGAAATTCCTATTAGAAATTTTGAGGAAACTTCCATAAGGAAATGTGTGTTCTCCAAGGGATTCCTCTTCCATTTTAAGTTGGAAGTTGTTATAAACATGGTTATTGACCTCGAACAATAATTTTCTTATTTCTGGGTTTTGAAACGTTGATGTAAGCAACTGAAACAAAATTTAATGTCAGAGAAGTAGTGAGTATCTAAGAAATGCACTTAATCCCTGAAGGGCAGGGCAATAAAAACAAAAAGGAGCCAAGATATTTATCTTGTTAAATACTATTATGAAAACGGCAACAACAACAACAAAAAAGAAATGTGCTTCAGATGTTCTGTGCAGCCGGGCGTGGTGGCTTACATCTGTCATCCCAGCACTTTGGGAGGCCGAGTCAGGAGGATTGTTTGAGCCCAGGAGTTTGACACCAGCCTGGGCAACATAAGGAGGCCCTGTCTCTATTTAGAAAATAAAATAAAAGATGGTATGTGTTTATCCACGCATGTGTGATTGTATGAAAAAGCGGGCGTGTGCAGTTTCTTTCAAGAAGACCATGTGAAAACAAGAATCTAAAAGTAGTGAGGGGAATAGGACCTCTTAACTTTCAAAGATACCATCAAAGTATTCTTTTTTTTTTTTTTTTTTTTTTGAGATAGAGTCTCTCTCTGTTGCCTAGGCTGGAGTGCAATGGCATGATCTCTGCTCACTGCAACCTCTGCCTCCCAGGTCTGGAGATTTTCCTGCCTCCTGCCTCAGCCTCCTGAGCTGAGATTACAGGCTCCCGCCACCACACTCGGCTAATTTTTGTATTTTTAGTAGAGATGAGGTTTCACCATGTTGGCCAGGCTGGTCTCAATCTCTTGACCTCAGGTGATCCACCCGCCTCAGCCTCCCAGAGTGCTGAGAGCAGCATTCTTGATTAAAAAAAAAGTAAACAGCTGTGTCCTCACCCGCTGTGGTTTCTAACAGAAAGGTGTTACTAGTTTTAATCACGCCCAGGGTGTGGGAGAGAACTTGGGGTTCCTGGAGCCATTGGTGGCAGGACACCAGGCATGGTTGGTCCTCCCTACCTTGCCCTCTTGGCTTGTGGCTCCAGGGGAGTGGGGTAAGGGGTGCACTTGGCTGTAATTCCTGTCTCTAAATTGCAAATGAGTTTTTTTTGTTTTATTTTGAGACAGAGTCTCACTCTGTTGCCCAGGCTGGAGTGCAGTGGTGTGATCTCGGCTTACTGCAACCTCCACCTCCCAGGTTCAAGCGATTCTCCTGCTGCAGCCTCCCGAGTAGCTGGGATTATAGGCGTGTGCCACCATGCCTGGTTAATTTTTGTATTTTAGTAGAGATGGGGTTTCACCGTGTTGTCCAGGCTGGTCTTGAACTCCTGAGGTCAGGTGATCCACCTGCCTCGGCCTCCCAAAGTTCTGGGATTATAGACGTGAGACACTGCACCCGGCGCAAATGAGCTATTTGATACCAGAGGTTAAATTTTGAACGTCTAGACACATGTTTTAAAGATTTTTTAGGATTTTATTTCAGCTTGTACCCTAAACTTTAGGTCTTAGATTACCAAAGTACAATTATACAGATAGTTGACTTTTCTTTTTCAGTTTTTAAGATTCACTGAAATACTTTTTCCGTCATAAATTGATGCATTGTAAGTATGCCGTTCAGTGATTTTTAGTTAAGTTTGCTTACTAAAAGTAATTTGTGAAATGGGCCAGGTGCGGTGGCTCTAGCCTGTAATCCCAGCACTTTGGGAGGCCGAGGCTTGCAGATCACCTGAGGTCAGGAGTTTGAGACCAGCCTGGCCAACACTGCGAAATTCTGTCTCTACTAAAAATACAAAAATTAACCAGTCTTGATGGCATGTGCCTTTAGTAATCTTAGCTACTTGGGAGGCTGAGGTGTGAGGATTGCTTGAAAACTCGGGAGGCGGAGTCTGCAGTGAGCTGAGATCACACAACTGCACTCCTGCCTGGGCCTCAGAGTGAGGCTTCGTCTCAAAAAAAAAAAAAAAAAAGTAATTTGTGAAATCATCACCATAATCCAATTTTAGAAAATTTTTGGCACTTCAGTAAGATCCCTCCTGTCAATTCACAGTTAATCTGTTCACACCCCAGGCAGCCACTAATCTACTATCTGTCTCCATTGATTTGTCTTTACAGATAATTAACTTTTAAAACAAAAACCCGAAACACCCTTAAAACTATTAGCACTTGACCCACTTGTTAGGCTAGTCTGTAGAGATGTAGTTAGAATTCTGACATAGGCCAGGCATTGGCAAACTTTTTCTACAGAGGACCAAGTGGTAAAGAACTTTGCCAGCCATAGGTTTCTCTGTTGAAACTACTTAACTTTGCCATTGAAGCAAAAGCATGGCTGTGTATGGCTGTGTTCCAATAAAACTAAAACTTTACAGAAACAGTGCTTTGCTCACCTCTGATCACCCCGATCACCTCTGATTTAGGCCATAACTCTTAGCTGGGTGGTGAGCCAGCTGGTCTTCCCATGGAAACCAGGATTGGGCCACGTGGTCATTTACATTTTCATTAGTCATTTTCATGGCTGATGGAAGGCATATTTAGTTTCTGTGTGATATTAAATTGAACAAAATAGAATTTAGAATGTCTTGACAGGCCAGGCATGGTGGCTCACGCCTGTAATCCCGCCAGTTTTGGAGGCTGGGGTAGGAGGATTGCTTGAGGCGAGGAGTTAGAGACCAGCCTGGACACCATAGTGAGACCCTGTCTCTCTCTGTAAAATAGAATGTTTTGAGAATTTGGAGAAAGTAGGAGTTTAGGAATGTATGCATAGCGAAAGAGAATTTGGGAATGATAATCACAAGAAAGGCTTAGAGCTTGGGATTGTCAGCCCTCTTCTGCAATCAGTACTAAAACAAAGCGGGTCTAGAAGTTAAAACGAACTTTATACTTGCAAGTATTTGTTGAGGGTCACAGGAAAGTCCTAACTCCTTGTACACCGTCGGAGGGAGGCACAAGTTTGTCTTGAGGGCCCATTAGGGTGTTGCTGTCACTGTAAAAGCTGTTCTTCCAGCCAGGTATACTTCGTTGTATTCTTACATTCTGTCTCTGAGTCTTATGTTTTTGTTTGCTTTTTTACAAAATGGGGGGTGAATGTCTTAGGTACTTGAATTTTAAGTGAGTAGAAAGAATTGATGGCATATTTTCAGACAGCATCTGGCTCCCCGGTCTGAGCCAGCTCCATGCACAGGTCTTGATTTGGGTATGGAGGTTAAGAGGAAGTCAGGGTCAGAGTCAGAATCATGTACTCTCATCACTCAGGTTCTTCCCTGCAGCTGGAGCAGAGTGTGACACATTCAGTAACACAATTGTTTGCAAATCCTGAAGTCACTGGGTCTCTGAGAAACTGAGGGGAAAGAATGCCTTTTCCTGTTGTGAGATAAAGTGCTCCCCAGTGCTTAGGCAGGGCTCCCCTTGCTTAGGAAGGGCTCCCTCAGGGTGCTCAGTGAAGCAGGAGCTGGGACCTGTAGCCAGGACTGCATTCTTCAGTGTGGCTCTGCCTGTCTATGACTTTGATCATGTCACCTGCTTTCTGTTGCCAGTATGTGAGCACCTTACCTAGCTCACCAGGTTGGTATGCACACTTTTCTTTTTTTTGAGATGGAGTTTCGCTTTTGTTGCCCAGGCTGGAGTGCAGTGACACAATCTCGGCTCACTGCAACCTCCACCTCCCAGGTTCAAGTGATTCTCCTGCCTCAGCCTCCCGAGTAGCTGGGATTACAGGCATGTACCACCACGCCCTGGTAATTTTGTATTTTTAGTAGAGACGGGGTTTCTCCATGTTGGTCAGGCTGGTCTCGAACTCTCGACCTCAGGTGATCTGCCTGCCTCGGCCTCCCAAAGTGCTCGGATTACAGGCATGAGCCACCACGCCCGGCCTGCACACCCCCTTTCTAAGTATAGAAGAATGTGGAAGGGGTGTGTGGGTATAATTTAAAAAAAAAATAACGCATTTCCAGAGATCCTGGTTTAAATTTGCCCCATGATAGCTGCCTTCTCTCTCCATGTCTGTGTTTCTTTTTTTCTGAGACAGGGTCTCATTCTGTCACCCAGGATGGAATGCAGTGGTGGGATCACGGCTCACTGTAGCCTCGACCACCCCACCTCGAGTGATCCTCCCACCTCAGCCTCCAAGTAGTTGGGACTACAGGCATGCACCAACATTCCTCATGCCTGCAAATTTTTCTTTTTTTTTTTTTTTTTGTAGAGACTGGGTTTCACTGTGTTGGTTAGGCAGGTCTTAAATTCCTGGGCTCAAGCAATCCTCCGGCCTCAGCCTCCCAACATGCTGGGATTACAGGTGTGAGCCACCACACCTGGCCCATTTCCATTTCTGTGTTTCTATTCTTGCATTTTCTTTTTCATGTGTGATTTGAAGTAGCAAAGAATAAAAGAAGCTGCTTTATGATGGTTGATGGCTGCTACCAAGAACTAAATACAATGGTGATATGGGCAAGTAAAACATGAACAGATGCCAGGTCCGGGGCACTGCTTTGCTTGTGCTCATGGAGTGAGCCAGAGGTGGGTGGGGATAGAAAGAGCTCTCCTGCCCTGCCCGCATGCCGGGACTCACGTGCGCTCCGGTGGACGGGGCGGTGCTGGTGAGGGTTTTTCTAGGACTGCTAGTCCAGCACCGTCTCGTCTTGGACTTTGAAAATGATTTTAGGGTACTGTAAGGCCTCAGAAGCAGTTTAACTTTACTTTTAAATGTTAAATTCATTAAATTTGTGCAATTAAATGCCTGCTTTTAATTAGGCGTATTTGAAGATTATTTGGAAGGTATTTTTGTGCTTATGTCCTTTATAAAATACTTCAATTTTTAGTTTCAACTTTTGGTTTGAGAGTTTTAATAATATAGTAGTAAGGCTAATTTAAGAAAAAAGAAAATGGAGATTTGTGTTTAGGTGCTGTAGTAGGTTTGCTTTGGCCAAGACTTTGAGTACTTTCGTGTGATTTGGAACTCATGGTGTGAATTCTGACAGATCAGGGAGAAGTTTTTCTTGAGCACTAATATAACTTGTCCTTTCAATTCAGATTTTTGAGAAAAGGTTTCACCATTGGACTGTTTATGCTCATTTTACAGTTGAGACTTTTTCTTTTTATATTACATGGAAATAATTTGCACATATATTCTCCCTAACTAAAAACATCACCTATCAGTCTTACTGAATTCCTGTGCCCAGTGTCTGCAAGGTGCCCACTGTCTGCAGGGTGCCCACTGTCTGCAAGGTGCCCAGTGTCTGCAAGGGTGCATGTGACAAAGTCATCCCTGCTTCAGTGAGAGAATAGATGGCCCAACTCTCCATGCCTGTAATCCCAGCACTTTGGGAGGCCAAGGTGGGCGGATCACCTGAGGTCAGGAGTTGGAGACCAGCCTGACCAATATGGTGAAACCCTGTCTCTACTAAAAATACAAAAATGAGCCAGGCGTGGTGGTGGGCGCCTGTAGTCCCAGCTACCTGGGAGGCTGAGACAGGACAATTGCTTGAACCTGGGAAGTGGAGGTTGCAGTGAGCTGAGATTGTGCCAGTGCACTCCAGCTTGGGTGACAGAGTGAGACTTTGTCTCCAAAAAAAAAAAAAAAAAGAAAAAGTTATTGTATTTTAGGAAAATATTAGATAAATGCTGGTACATGTAATAAATACATGATGTTGGGCCAGGCGCGGTGGCTCACGCCTGTAATCCCAGCACTTTGGGAGGCCGAGGGCCTGCGTGTCCGGATGCAGTGTTCTTAGGGCCAAAGGTGGCTGTGTAGGAGGAGTGAGAACAGGTGGAATGTGGACACTTAGGGTACGAGGCCAAGAGTGGAGCATTGTTGTAGGATTGTGGACCACAGCAGGGAGTGTGAGTGCACGGATGGGGATCACGAGGACCCTCTGATTCGTAGGATTGTGGACGACAGCCGGGATGTGGGTGCATGGATGGGATCATGAGGACCCTCTGATTTGGGTGTTAGCTGTGTGGTTGCTACACTCTAGATCGTGCTATGTGATGTTTCTTTGGCACCTCAGGCCCCCTTGTTGAGGTTCAGTGATATCTGATGGAGAGGAAAGGGTGTTGGGGTGTTTGTGATAAGTCGCTGGATAGGGAAGAGAGGGAGGCATCTAGGGACCACTGTCTTTAGGAGTTTAATGAGGGCAAGGAATGGGGTAGTAGGAGACAGGGCAGCAATAGTGATTAAACTTTTGGTACTAATGGGTTGCAAATATGCATTGGGGGTGAGGAGGCCACTGGTGTTGGACGTGGAGCTTTGTAGTTGGAACGATGGACGTGCCCTTTGTGTGGGGGTCATGCAGTCACGTGCTCGGTGGCTTTCATGCAGTGTCTTCGTAGGGTGGGGAGGGATGGCAGGCATTCAGTTGGTGGCAGGTTGTGTTGGGTCCTTTCCAAGCTTTGCTTCATTCAGGCTTTAAGCAGGACCTGGCCCGTGAGGCACTTGGTGCAGAGTGAGAACACCTCGGCTGTCCCTGGAACTGCAGGGACAGAGGGTGTGTGGCAGGGTGACAAGCGGAGAAGCAGCTGTGGGGGCTGGCGAGAGCCTCTGTGCCCCAGAGTGGAGGAGGAGAGAAGCGGATGCTCGAGGTTTGAGTGGGAGGCTGTGTGTGAGAAGGGCCCCTTGGTGCTCACTGGACAGGAAGCTGCTTGCTGGGCATGGCTGTGGCTGGTGGCACTGTCATTGTGTGTCCAGGGTCCTGCCACAAGGATCTCAGGGCTTCACTTCACAGCCCTTGATGGCCTGGCAGCCAGAATTGAGTCTGTGGGTTTTTTTTGGTTTTTGTTTTTGTTTGAGACGGGGGCTCGCTCTGTCACCCAGGCTGGAGTGCAGTGGCATGATCACAGCTCACTGCCACCTCTGCCTGTTGAGCTTAAGTGACCTTTCCTTCTTAGCCTCCCTGTCAGCTGGGAGTACAGATGCTTGCCACCACACCCGGATAAGTTTTGTGTTTTTTGTAGAGATGGGGTTTTGCTATGTTGACCAGGCTGGTCTCGAACTCCAGGGCTCAAGCGATCTGCCTGTCTGGGCCTCCCAAAGTGCTGGGATTAGGGGCGTGAGCCACTGCGCCCGTCCACCTCAGTGTTAAACTGTTTAGATGCAGCTGTCACAGAAGCTTTAGGAGAACCTCATCTGTTTTCATATTAGAAGCTGTTTTCTTGTTCTCGACACTCTGTATCCCAATAGCTCATTCATGGAAAACACACCCAATTAGGGACTGATCAAGGATTTTCTACCCACTGCCTTCATGAAATGCAATTGGAAGTCCTTTTTAAACAGTTTTTTTTTTTTAAAGATGGTGGTTCTAAGTGTGGATCCATCTGAAGAACAAAACAAAGCTTCATATTCTCTTAGGCAGGAACATATACTAGGCTGGTTTTTTTTTTTTTTTTTTTAACAAAAAATTTTTTTTTTTGTTTTTGTTTTTGAGACGGAGTTTCGCTCTTGTTGCCCAGGCCAGAGTGCAATGGCACGATCTCCGCTCACCACAATGTCTGCCTCTTGGGTTCAAGTGATTCTCCTGCCTCAGCCTCCTGAGTAGCTGGGATTACAGGCATGCACCACCTGGCTAATTTTGTATTTTTAGTAGAGACGGGGTTTCTCCATGTGGGTCAGGCTGGTCTCGAACTCCTGACCTCAGGTGATCTGCCTGCCTCAGCCTCCCAAAGTGCTGGGACTATAGGCGTGAGCCACAGTGCCCGGGCTCAAAATCGTTTTTTTAAAAAAATACAGTTATTTCCTGATTTTATTGAAGAGGATGTTGAGATATCAGAGTAAGAATTCAGGTGTCAGGCAGGACATTGTCCCTGTGCTTGTGGTTATTGCTGTCTTTGTTTCCTGCTTCAGAGTAGCCTGAGCATTTGGAGGACGGATCATCCTCAGCCTCTGTGGCTCCTTGGGGCTGGGGCACTGGTCCTAGGTATGTTTGCAGGTTGGGGTGGAGGATGATAGTGACGTCCATGAGAGGTGTGATGTTGCTTCAGGGGTAGCATCTTACGCCCCAAGGAGATGACCTCTTAGTTTACCTGAACCTCAGAGAGGCTGAATTTGCTCAGCCAGTGGTTCGAAACGGCTGAGCAGTGGTTGAACTAGGGTTGGACCTATATATATTAGTTAAAGAAAACAGCTTGCTCCCCTTCCCTTACTAATACATTGGTTAATGCCATGTCCAAACAGCCTGTTTTACTTTTGTAAACAAGCCACATGGATAAGGGCTTAGCTTTATGGGAAGAAATCAGCCGTTAACATTTGCCTCCTCTGAGGTGGGCCTGCCGTGGAGAGATGGGGACTTCAGTTGGTGAGTGCCTGGGCACCCTCACCCAAGGGGCCAGCACACCTGGATGCTGAGCCTCCAGGTGGGTGGTGCAAGGGCAGGTGCTGAACGGGTCTGTGTGGTAGGTTTGCAAGGGTGGCAGTGTGCCACTGTCTGGGTGGGAGCCTGCCTGCTCCTGTGGTGATGTCCTCTGAGGTCTCTGCCTCTCTCTTTAGGTGGTGGTTCCCTGAGCTTAAGCCCCTCATGCATTTCTCACACTGTAGGGTTACTTGGTTGTTACATCATAGTTGATCTTTATTTGGTAGAATTTCTCTTTTTTTTACATTTTATTTATTTATTTATAACAGAGACGGGATCTGGCTGTGTTATCCAGCCTGGTCTTGAGCTCATGGGCTCATGCCATCCTCCTTCCTGTTTTCCAAAGTGCTGGGATTACAAGCGTGAGCCACTATGCCTGGAGTAGAATTTCTAAAAGCAGTCTTGTATGCTGCTAGACCCTGAAGGGGCTCATGATAGCTTTTCTTTTCCTTGCTTTTGGAGAAGAAACAGTGGGCAAAGTTTGATGATTGGATTTCAGGTGATATCGAAGTCCAGGGCTGGACTAGCTCCAGGGTAACGCTGATGGCAAACCCTACACAACCCCCCTCCCTCCACTCCACCCCCCCGACCGCCCCGTTGCAAAAGTAGGCCGTTAGTGCTTTCTGGAGCCCAAAGAAAATGTTTAGTACGCACCTGCTCTTCCCAGCAAGTCTGTCATGTGCAAGGAGTTGCAGTGAGTGGCAGCCTGTTCAGAGTTGTGGTTCAGGGAGGAAGCATTGCTAGAGTGGGCTTTGGGCAGGAGCATTTATCTCATGGAGACAGTTTTCTGCTGACTGCATTTCCACCTGGAAGGGCATACAGAGTGTTGTTTCTTCTGCTTGTGATTTTAAAACTTGCATATCAGTATCTACCTGTTTTGAGTCTTACTAGTATTTTATGCAGGAACACAAAAAAAATACTTAACTACCTTTTTTGTAAAATACCGAAGTGAGTTGTTATTTATTTCAGATTTGAACTTTTCATTAACCTTTGTCCCAGCCTTGGTGAGTTACAGGGTACTATGGAAACTGTATTCTTGGTCTGCGGAGTTTCTGCCTCCCTGTTCAGCCTGACAGGCCGCTTTGTCTCTGCACACCTCTCCTTCGGTGTTGACGCCGGCCCGGCACGGCAGCTGTAGTTGGCACAGGCTTTGTTGGCACTTTCCTCCAAGACAAGCCCCTGCCCTCCCAGCAGGCTTGCTCTGCACTCACGGGCCTTGTTCCACCTTCCTGTGCAGATCTGTTTCTTAATGCATCTTGGTCATGGGTCATCACTGTTCACCCCTATTCAATTCATCCAGCTTGTGTATCTTTACATGTAATAAAGGGGTGTTCCCGCTCTTAAGAATTGCATTTCTCTTGCTTGCAAAAACTGGTTGAAAAGGCTTAACAGGTCTGGTAGCCTTCTGGGTGCGGAGGGTATTGCCTAAAGAATTTTCCATGCGTGGCAGGCAGCTAGTAGGTATGTGTCTGGCACCCTTCCATGTGGGTGGTGCTAATACTAGTGGTGCAGGGTGGTGCTTGCTGTGGGAATGGGAGCACCCTGTGTATCTCTTGTCTCTTACTGACTGGAAGGCATCTGATGCCTTGCAGAGCAGGTCCCAATCTGTGTGTGTTTTTTTTAAAGTATGGAATGCTTCACAAATTTGCATGTCATCATTGCACAGGGGCTATGGTAATCGTCTCTGTTGTTCGAATTTTTAGTACATGTGCTGGCCAAAGCAAGCATGCCATGCTTGCCTTGACTGTGAACAAGTTCGATTTGAAATACTTCACATTTGAGGCCGGGTGAGGTGGCTCACACCTGTAATCCCAGCACTTTGGAGGCCAGGGCGGGCAGATCACTTGAGGTCAGGGTGAAACCCTGTCTCTACTGAAAATATAAAAATTAGCTGGGCGTGGTGATGCATGCCTGTAATCCGAGCTACACGGGGGCTGAGGCAGGAGAATTGCTTGGGCCTGGGAGGCAGAGGTCGCAGTGAGCCAAGATTGCACCATTGCACTCCAGTCTGGATGACAGAGCGAGATTCTGTTTCAAAAAAATAAGAAGAAAAAAATGAAATACTTCACATTTGAAAAACTTCCTGGCTAGAGGAAAAATCCTTGCTTATGTCTAATGAAAGAGGCAGAGGCTGGGTGCTGTGGTGAGGTGTTGAGTGACAGTGTCAGGGCCCGTGGGAGGTGGTGGCCGGCTTGTGCTGTAAGGGGCAGGAGCGCCGGAGGCTCACCAGGCCGTGATGGGGTTGGAGTGAGAATAGGGCACACACCTTCCTGCCACCGGGGAGCAGGGTAAACAGCAGAACCTTGCTGTGCGTGTCTGGGTTCCAGCAACATTCCTGGTGGGTGGTGGGGAGGAAAGGACTAACCGTGTCAGCACCTGGCCTTTGTGGGACACAGGCCTCCTCCCTGGAGCTTCAGCTTTATCTGGAAATGAGTCTTTGATGCGTAAAACCGTTCCTGAATGATACTGTCCAGCTGGTGGAAACAGGTTTGTTTTGACCTAAAATCTAGGGGTATTGAGAGAGAGAGAAACAGAGACAAACAGCGTGTGGGGGAAGCTGTGCATAAAGGGGCGTTTGTGGGATTGTCTTTTACTCAGGATCCAGCTTGAGCCAAAATGGAGGAAGAGTCTTGGTCTCTACAAAACAGGTGGTTTTCTGAGACAGATTCAAAAGCATTTTCTAGAGAAGCTCTACTGCATCCCTCCATCACATTCAAAACATTGTTTCTAATTATGTTTTGAGAGTGTAGAGTTAGATTGTAGAATACTGAAATTAAATCCTTAGTGAGGAAAGCGTAGACATGACCTGGCATGTTCTCCAAAGCACTGGCACCAGTGGGCGTGCGTTGTCAGCTGGGGTGTCCTCCCTCTGCTGAGCCTCCTCCCCCTGCGGCCTTCGCCTTGGCCCTCGGTGCACTGCATCGGTGTGCCAACTGCTCACTGTGCACAGACCTTTTTCATACTGATGAATTCATGTTTATTACTTTTTAAAAAGTTTATTTCTTGGATCTTAGTCACAGCTAACCCTGATTTTGCTTTCAGTACAAGGATTTTTAATTTCTAGACCGGATTTGAGTTGTTTGAACGGAGGTCTGGTGGCTTTGGGAAAGGTCTTTGCATGGATGATGGGGGAAGGTGCCTTTTTGGTGAGTGCCATAGTCGGCTGCCACCTTGCCATCCAGAGAGATTCCTGCTTGTGGACACTGTTCAGTTATGCAGGGTATGTTTAATTTTTTAAGAGTCAGGTTTGCGTTTTTTTTTTTTTTTTTTTTTTTTTTGTAGGCGGAGTCTCGCTCTGTTGCCCAGGCTGGAGTGCAGTGGCACGATCTTGGCTCACTGCATAGTCCGCCTCCTGGGTTCATGCCATTCTCCTGCCTCAGCCTCCCGAGTAGCTGGGACTGCAGGTGCCCACCACCACACCCAGCTAATTTTTTGTATTTTTAGTAGAGGTGGGGTTTTACCATGTTAGCCAGGATGGTCTCCATCTGCTGACCTCGTGATCCGCCCGCCTTGGCCTCCCAAAGTGCTGGGATTACAGGCGTGAGCCACCGCGCCCGGCCAGGTTTGCGTATTTTTTAATAATTCTTTTTCTGAAGTTTTTTTCCTGACTGCTTTTGTTGCTGGGTGATGGAATATATTCTGACATTGGATGTGCAAGATCTTAAAAAAGTCTGTGTAATAGAGTCTGTGTAAGAGAGCCTGTGTTGAGAAGTTCTGTAGTCTCTTCAGAATGAAAATTCATTTAAATATTTTAGGACTTCACTCCAGAGGGTTTTAGCGCATGCATAGCGAGGAAACTTTTTTTTTTTTGAGACGGAGTCTCACTTTGTGGCCCAGGCTGGAGTGCAGTGGCTCGATCCTGGCTCACTGCGATCTCTGCCTCTCAGGTTCACGCCATTTTCCTGCCTCAGCCTCCCGAGTAGCTGGGACTACAGGCGCCCACCACCACGCCCGGCTAATTTTTGTATTTTTAGTAGAGACAGGGTTTCACGGTGTTAGCCAGGATGGTCTCGATCTCCTGACCTCATGATCTGCCCGCCTCGGCCTCCCAAAGTGCTGGGATTACAGGCGTGAGCCACTGTGTCTGGCCGCAAGGAAACTTATTTTTTATAAACCACGATGCGCTCTCTCTTTCCGTTTTGACTGTGACACACACCAGCCACACCAGGATTCATGCGCACTCACACGCATTGCCACACAGCCACAGATGTTCCTGTTGATGCCACATGGATTTATTTTCAGTCCCGGCAGGCTTGGAGGCAGGTGGCCCCCTTTCTGTAGCCCCTTGCTGGGTGGTGCCTGGATGTCCTCTGGCTTCTCCAGGGCTCTGCCCACGTTGCTGTGAGTTGGATTTTTTGGGGCCCTTAGTTTGTGCTTGATATTTTCTTATGCTTTCTTCCTTTCCCTCTTACCTCCTCCTCCCCCTCCTTTTGAGACAGAGTTTTGTCGTGTCATCCAGGTTGGAGTGCATTGGTACTCACAGCTCACTGTAGTGTTGACCTCCTGGTCTCAAGCAATTCTCCCACCTCAGCCTCCTGAGTGCCTGGGACTACAGGTGCACACCTCCATGCCCAGCTAAGTTTTTATTCTGTTTTTATTGTTACAAAGTTGAGGTTTCAGTGTGTTGCTCAGGCTGGTCTGAACTTCTGGCCTCATGTGATCCTCCCCCCTCAGCCTTCCAGAGTTCTGGGATTACAGGCCTGAGCCACCACGCTGGACCGAGACATTTTCTGGTGGTCTGCTTTTCCTAGTTCCACTGTTATTTATCCCTCCCCCCAGGGGAACATGTACATTTTACGTGAACATATTGATAAAATGTTCATTTCTAATTACAGCACACTGAATTCTTCCGGAGGAAGAATCCTGTGAACCCTGCCATTGTCCCCTTGAGGACTGGAGAAGTAGGAAGAGGCAGGGAAATGGTTGCGGGTGAGCACTGGGCTAGAGGTTCTGTGTTTTAGACCTCAGTCCTGAAAGGCTGTGATCTCCTCTGAGTCTCTGATTCTTTGTCAGCTTCCTCATAAGAGCCAAGTCACAGATTATGGAGTTAAGGTAGTGGGCTGCGGCTCAGACCCCACACCTGTGAGAGACACAGGCCTCTCCTGCTGTGGGTGTGTGCAGTAGAGCTGGAGTCTTTGACTTCTCCGGAGGCCGCCCATCAGTCTAGGTCAGCTGCACTGTGGGTAGTGTTAGAGTTGAGCTTACAGCTGGCTCTGTTGGTGATCATTGGGAATGAAAACGTTCCACAGAGTTCTGAGGGGGACGGAGTTGTGTTGAGAACACCTTTGGTGTTGTGTGTCAGTGGTGTAGATGAAGAATAGATCTGAGGTGGATGGAGGTGTGCTGAGAACACCTTTGGTGTTGTGTGTGAGTGGTGTAGATGAAGAATAGAACAAGCTTTTCTTTGCTGATTGTGTGGTTGTATTCACAGCCTCAATTGCTGAGGCGCTGTGGTGTGTTTCAGCTTTATCCTAAATATCACATTGCATTTTAGATGGGTTTTCTCACCCATATCCCTGGATCACTGTTTTACATGGAGAACTTTGACACTTGTTTTTTCTTTGGTGTAGTTTTTAGCACTGAAAGTGTATACAGATAGTCCCTGACTTAATGATGGTTCGACTTAGGATTTTTGACTTTACACTGGGTTTATTGGGAGGTAACCCCATTGCAAGTCAAGGAACATTTTATCTCCTTAAAAGTAAAATCATTAATTTAGTGTTGTCTGCTTTTAAATTTTTACATATTCAGAGGTCCTATATATTTGTGCTTAGGATTCAGTTGTCTATACTGGAAAACAGCATTTTCCAAAAAAGTTTTCAGTTTACTGAAAACAGTGGGACTTCCTTGAACCTTCAGTGCTGCGGGTAGGAAAGAAGACTCTGGGACTGTGCATGCATGTGGATTTGAACAACGTGCCACACAGAGGGAGTTTCCCATTGTGATGTTTATCTTCTATATGAATGGAAGAATACAGTTCTTTTTTTTTTTTGGTTTTGTTTTTTTTAAGAGAAAGGTTAAAATTTTTGTTTGTTTTTGTTTCTGTTTTTGTTTGAGGCAGGGTCTTGCTCTGTCGTTCAGGCTGGAGTGCAGTGGTATGATCACGAACTCATTGGCTCAAGCAGTCTCCCATCTCAGCCTCTCCAGCAGCTGGGATCACAGGCATGCAACCCCACACCTGGCTAGTTTATTTTAAAATTTTTTATAGAGATGCGGTCTCACATGTTGCTCTGGTTGGCCTTGAACTTCTGGGATCAAGCAGTCCTCCCACCTCGGCCTCCTAAATGCAGTAACATTTGATGACTTGAGATTTGAATACTTTAGCTTCGAAGGGACTGTGCTTGGTTCTTGGGGGCAATGCCTTCCAAACTGTCCATCATGACCCAGTATGTCTTTTTTTAGAAAATTTTCTTGGATGGGCACGGTGGCTCATACCTGTAATCCCAGCACTTTGGGAGGCCCAGGTGGGTGGATCACCTGAAGTCATAAGTTCAAGACCAGCCTGGCCCAACCTAGTGAAACCCTGTATCTACTAAAAATACGCACACACACACACAAATTAGCTGGATGTGGTAGCACACGCCAGTAGTCCCAGCTACTCGGGTGGGTGAGACAGGAGAATTGCTTGAACCCAGGAGGCGGAGGCTGCAGTGAGCTGAGATCGCACCACTGCACTCCAGCCTGGGCAACAGAGTGAGACTCTGTGTTGAAAAAAAAAAAATGTTCCCTATCCCAAGGCCATAAAGATAGCTTCCTACGCCTTCTGCACATTTTGTACTTTTGCCCTTTGCATTTATACCTTTAATGTATCCTAAATTGATGTTTGTGTATGGTGTGAGATAAGAAGCCAGCTGTTCCTAGTCTTCATGCAGACACCAGTTGTGCCAGCCTCCTGGGCTGCGCACGCGGTTCGTGGACCCATCTCCAGTGCCCCTGCTGTGTCCAAGCTTGCGGTGCCCTCCTGGCCAGCGGGCTCTCCTTGGGACACTGCCACTTGCCTTCATGGTGGACTCTGCCTGGTGTTGGTGTCTAGAAATACAATGGACTTGTGTATATTCATCTTATATTTTGTATCCAGGAATTTTTCTTTCTACAGATGAGGAAACTAAGAATGATTTTAACCATGGCTGCCCAACTCCACAGCCCCCGGGCCTAGTTTGCATTATGCATTGCCCTGCACTGACCCATAGGAGATTGAACTGGGCATAGCGTCGAGGTGCCCTGGAGGGTGGGTTGCTGGAGCTGGGAGTGGCATTAGGAGTAGTGGAGAGGCATGGCGGAGGAGCGGATGCATGGGAGGTGCAGAGGCCAGTGAGAAATGAGAGTGGCCAGGGCACCACAGCCTCCCTACCAGACAGGAAGAGCCGGAGAGAGCTGGTCTGAGGGACAGCGTCTCTAGCCTTGAATCCATGGCTTTCATAAACCCCTTGGACATCTGGTGAGTGGGCTCTTGGGAGAGATGTCAGGTTGGAGAGAGCTCTGGAGGACTGTCTCTGGAGGACTGTTTGCTCAGGGGAGATGGTGGCATGCTGGGAAGTGAGGGGCTGCTCAGTGAGAGAGTGGGAGGCACAGAAGAGCAGAAAGAAGAAGAGGTGAATGAGGAGAGAGGAAGTAGGGGTGTGGAGGAGTCAGTGGGAGGCGGGAAGAGCCAGCCTGTTTGCTGCACTGGTTTGGGAACATTAGAGTGAAGAAAACAGATGTTGGGGCAAACAATACAGTCTTTCACTTTTTGGTATTTTTTTGGTGGCTTTTTAAAAAATTCTCTGTCATATTAGCATATTAGCATCATGCTTGGTTCATGGAATGAGAGGCCACTGTTGTTGGCCCTCTTCATAAGTGGACGTTCCTTCTCCATTTCCAGGTTAGAAGGTGTGTGCTGCGCTTTCAGTGATGGATCTGTTCGCTTCGTTCCCTTCCCTGTTGTGAAAATGGTCACACACAGGCTGATGCCGTTTGGGTGTGTGTTGTCGTTTTCTTCTGTGACATCTCCTTCCTCGTATGTCACTTTTTAGGATATTGGGGACAAATGTTCTAAATTCATCAACTTTGACCATCTTTTGTTTAAAGGAAACTACTTTGAGTTTCCTACTTTTCTCTCTTTTTAAAAGATGTGGTTGATAAATGTATATTAAATTTTATTCAGTTAGCTTAAGAAAGTAGATAAGTTTATTGAAGAGCAAAACACAAAGCTTCGGCAATACCATTGTCCAACCTTCAGGGGTCTCTAACAGTTCTCTAGTTATTAATTCCCTCACAGTTACCTCAGGGGATTAGAATAACTTTATTAAAACAAAAATATAGTAAAAGTTTTTTGGTTTTTCGCGTGTCCTCCGTTGACTTGTCAGTGTTGAGAGTTACTTTTTATTTTGTATCTGAAGGAGCAGCTTAGAGGAATAGTTATTCCAGGAAGAAGAGCTCTGATGGCTGATGCCCCTGCGTCTTCATTTCCGCCTGCTTCAGTCCTGCTCTTGCGGAACAGCCGTCCTGTTTGCTATGTCCCAACACCCAAGGCAGACGTCGCTTGAGGCTCTTGTATAATACTTGCTGTTAGAGACAGTGGTCTTTTCTGCTTGAATCTCTTGTTGATGAATGTCATCTGTCAGGAGAAACTTGGATTATCTTTTTTTTTTTGAGACCGAGTCTCACTCTGTTGCCCAGGCTGGAGTGCAGTGGCATGATCTTGGCTCACTGTAACCTCCATCTCCTGGGTTTAAGCAATTCTCGTGCCTCAGCCTCCCACGTAGCTGGGACTACAGGTTCTGAGCCATCACGCCCAGCTCATTTTTGTATTGTTAGTACAGATAGGTTTCACCGAGTTGGCCAGGCTGGTCTCGAACTCCTGACCTCAGGTGATCCACCCATCTCCGTCTCCTAAAGTGCTGGGATTACAGGCATGAGCCACTGTGCCCGGCCGAATTATCATGTTTTAATAGAAGAAAATTTTAGTCTACTTTCCCAAATGGGGAATCTTTCCTTTTGCTGGGGGGTCTGCAGTCATATTGTTGGAAGAATGTGTGACCCTGCAAAACCCTCTGCTCTCAGCAGCACCTGCTGGGCTGGTGGGCGTGCTCAGCACAGCTCCAGGACACAACTGGCTGTTCTTGAAACTTGCGGTGATTTAGAGGTGATGGGCGGCACCAGCACATTGAACTGAATGCAGAAGTTGAAGTGAAAAAGGCTTCCTGTTCCTTGAGCGAACAGACCGAAAGCGTGTGTGTGTGTGTGTGTGTGTGTGTGTGTGTGTGTGTGAAGAGCTGGTGGCTGTGGGTGCGTCAGTTGGTCTGTTCCTTGAGTGGACAGTCAGTTGGTCTTGGACTCCCAGCAGGACAGAACGAAAGTACGTCTGCGTGTGAATGTGTCTGGAATTGGTTCCTTCCGGTGGGTTCTCGGTCTCGCTGACTTCAAGAATGAAGCTGTGGACCCTCGCGGTGAGTGTCACAGTTCTTAAAGATGGTGTGTCCGGAGTTTGTTCCTTCAGATTTTCAGATGTGTCTGGAGTGTTTTCCTTCTGGTGGGTTCGTGGTCTCGCTGACTTCAGGAGTGAAGCTGCAGACCTTCGCGCTGAGGGTTACAGCTCATAAAGGTAGTACAGACCCAAAGAGTGAGCAGCAGCAAGATTTATTGTGAAGAGTGAAAGAACACAGCTCCCACAGCATGGAAGGGGACCCCAGTGGGTTGCTGCTGCTGGCTCATGTGGCCAGCTTTTATTCCCTTATTCGGCCCTGCCCACGTACTGCTGATTGGTCCATTTACAGAGCGCTGATTGGGCCATTTTACAGAGTGCTGATTGGTCCATTTTTACAGAATGCTGATTGGTTAGTTTATAAACCTTTAGCTAGACACAGAGTGCTGATTGGTGCGTTTTTACAGAGTGCTGATTGGTGAGTTTAGAAACCTTTAGCTAGACAGCGCTGATTGATGCATTTGTACAGAGTGCTGATTGGTGCATTTACAGACCTTTAGCTAGACAGAAGAGTTTTCCAAGTCCCCACCCGACCCAGAAGCCCAGCTGGCTTCACCTCTCATGAAGAGCTGGTGGCTGTGGGTGTATCAGTTGGTCTTGGGCTCCCAGCAGTTGAGTGTTCACACCTGGGCCTGCGCCCTGCTTCACCTAGCCATCCGCATGGACACTTCAGTTTGTCGTGGGTTTTCTTGTGCCTTGGTGCAGTCTCACCAGTTAGAGCATAACTTCCTCAGGGCAAGGCTGCCCCAGACAGCCAGTGTCCTCGCCGCGTCTCCATCCAGTGCTTTCCTGTCTTTGTTATTAGATGCTCATCAAACATGAGGCCACTACAAACTAGAAGACCTTGGCTAGAGTCCTGAGACCTTGTGTGTGTGGTGTGGCTGTGTGAGTCTCTGCCCATCCCACACGCCACTCTTTAATAAGAGCAGATTTTGGACCTCAGGAGACATCTGTTGTGGAATTTATAGGCATGGATTGTCGGGCCAGCTTTCCTTCTGCTGATTAGCTGCTGACCAGCCGCATGCTTCTGCAGCCTTACTGTGACAGGTGGGGCTCAGGTGGCCTGGGCAGGGGTGAGGCACAGGACTGCGCGGTGCTGCTCCTCCTGGCTGCAGCGACTTCGCTGGATTCTCTCATTTTTATGGCTTTCTTTCTCAGACTAGGTCTTTCCGACTTGCGTGGAGAAGAAGAGTATGAGAATTCTCAAGTTAGAGAAGAATTGCTTTATGGTCATTATTTCGACAACTGTATGACTGGGAGTTTGGGTGAGGAAGGGCTAGATCAGTGATTTTTTTTTAAATTAGATTTACTTGGAAAACATTAAAAAAATTGCAGTTCACCCCCAGACACACAGAATCCATAGTGTCTTGAGGAGGTGAGTGTGTGTAGGGTGCACCATGGGTGAGTGGCATCTTGGAGGCACTGGGGTGCTGCTGCCGTATGGCCCTTCTCTTGGTCCTGTTTGCATTTGGGGCCTGTTGTTTATTTCTAGTGGGTGGTGCAGGCCAGGCAGGGTAGGTGGGCATCCTCCCTTCTCTGTAGGTGACACACTAGGGGCATCTTCTCAGAGTAACCAGCTGGGAGCTGGAAACTTCTGTATTTAGAAGCCAGTGTCCATGTCCCCTTCTCCCTTATAGTGTGGTTAAACAATCAAATGTTAATACCAGATGTCGATGTAGCTGTTTTCTCAGGAGTTCTTGGATTCTGAGGCAGAGAGCAGCCCCTTTTCTCTCCACAGTGGGGCTCTGGGGCTGGAGAAGGTGGCGTGCCCAGTCCCCGCGTCCAAGCCCGTTGCTTCTCTCTTACTCTCGTGAAGGTGGCGTGCCCAGCCCTGCTGCGTCCAAGCCCGTTCCTTCTCTCTTACTCTCGTGAAGGTGGCGTGCCCAGCCCTGCTGCGTCCAAGCCCGTTCCTTCTCTCTTACTCTCGTGAAGGTGGCGTGCCCAGCCCTGCTGCGTCCAAGCCCGTTCCTTCTCTCTTACTCTGGTGAAGGTGGTGTGCCCAGCCCCCACGTCCAACCCTGTTCTTCTCTGTTGCGCTCCTGCTGCTCCTTTAGGGAGGCCTTTTAGTGTTGCTGGAGCTGGGACTGGTGGCCAACGCCGTGTCTCTGTTCTGAATAGTATGTTTGAAAGCCTGTCGGTGGTAGTGAGGTGCAAAGAAAAAGGAGTCTGAACTTGGCATGCTGTTAGGTTCCTGTGCTGTCAGGAAGTGGAAAGTCTGCAGAGGAGACAACGGACACTTTCTTCCTAGAAATGGACTAATTAACTTGTAGGTTAGCAGACTGAAAGAGCCTGGAGGGATCCATATGTTAGGGCCAAAGGATCCGGCCAGTCATGGCCACTCAACTGGGCCTTGTCATGAAACCCTCTTGAAGGGGAGGCCTCCTTACTGTCTTCCTTTTTCATTTCCAAATTACTCTTGTCCATAAACTACATCTTATGGTGAATATCCATCTGTTCTAAAGAAGCTGAATGGATCAAAAGGGTAAAATGCTCAGAGGCCAAGGGAGAGCTGTTTTTATTATGGCAATGCTTGTATATAATGTGGCCTGTGTCCATATATTTCGTGTGTGTGTGTGTGTGTGTGAGAGAGAGGAGAGAGAGAGAGAGAGAGAGAGAGAGAGAGAGAGAGAGAGAGAGATAGGGTCTCTGTCACCCATGGCTGGAGTGTGGGGCTGTGATAAAGCCCCCTGCAGCCTCGACCTCACAGGCTCAAGTGATTCTCCTGAGTAGAGACTCAAGTGATTCTACTGAGTAGCTGGGACCACAGGCGTGTACCACCATGCCAAATTTTTTAATTTTTTATAGGGATGGGGTCCCATTGTGTTGCCCAGGCTGGTCTTGAACTCCTGGGCTCAAGATTATACCGTGATAGAATATGAATGGGGGTGAGTGTGTGACTGGTAAGGTCTCGGGTATGGTGGTGACATAGTATAAAAATATAAAAGCAATACATATCTCCGTAGAGAATTTGAAGAATATTGAGAAGTATAAGGAAGAAAGTCAAGACCTGAGCTTGACTTTGAAGAATGAATAGGAGTTTGCCAGCTGGACACAGTAGAAAAGGGCATTCTAGGAAGATGGAGAGGGACCCTCCTAAACTGGAAGGTGTTTGCGGTTGCTCAGAGGCTGGGGAGGCAGCCAGACAGCACCCCTCAACACAGTGCATGCCACGGGCTCTGGGAGGCGGCTGCCACGGCGATGGGTCCTGAGGTCACAAACAGCGGCTGCCAGCCTGGGGAAACACTGGAGTGTGTCCCATGTAGGAGTGGAAGCTTTCGTCCTGTGAAGCTTTTATTTTCCAGGGGTGTGTGTGTGTGTGTGTGTGTGTGTGTGTGTGTGTGTGTGTACTGCATCACGATGTACAACATGAATATATTCCTTGTTAGCCCAGTGACTTCTGCACACCAGACTGAGGTGTAAATAAGTGACCAGATGTGGCAAATTCTCCCCTTAGCACTGTGGGGAATAAGTTGATGGTGTGTGTGGCTGGAGGTGGAGATAATTAAGTTGTTATGATGATGTAGGTAAAGAAATACTGAGACACTCTTGAACTAGAAGTCAGAGCGGTTGCAGTAGGGAGGAGTGACAGTGATGGGGGGGAGCTGGAAATGGACAGGATTTATAAGTGGGCTTTTGATAGGGAGGAGGAGGCAGCTGGTTTCTGCCTTGGAGGGTTAGACAGTGGTGCCCTGCAGCAAGGCAGGGGATACAGGAAGGAGTGGGGTGAGGGCTCTGTATGTGCACAGCCTGTGTGAGGAGAGCCGAGTAAGGTGGGAACATTGTCTCTGATTGACAGTGTCTCTAGTTGGACATTGTTGCAGTGGGTTCAGTGGGTTCAACTCTGATTGGCAGAGCTGGGATTCAGCAGCACGTCGTTAAAGCCAGAGGCAGGTGAGAGTGCCCCTGCAGTGGCTGAAGACAACATTGAGGGAGGAGGTGGAGGAAGGAGATGTAGCAAGTGAAACAAAATGGAAACAAAGTTCACAAGAGAAACCGGGAATGGTGGGGTGGAAGCCTGGGAAGAGAGTGGTTTGTAGGTTCAGTGCTACTGCGAGACCATGCTAGATGAGTGCCAGTTATGTTCCATGTTTCTCACAAGAAACACAGAGGTGGCATCTGTTAAGGGCTGTCGTGGGGGTTGAATGAGGCGATGCGTGGAGAGCACAGAGTGGGTGTGCCTGGGTGTGTGATCATCATGGTGTGGCCAGTGGTGGTGATGGGAGGGGCAGCCACTCACCAGCTCGCTCTCTCTCCAGCCCGTGCAGCCTGCCAGGACTCTTCCAGACACGGGATTTGTCGGTGAACAACGCAGAGCTGATGCAGACATGTGGGTAAAGATGTTGTCCATCCAGTCGCACGCACCGGCCAGCTTGCTCTTATTTATCTTCTGTACTTTGCCTTTGCTGCTTGAGAGTTCTGTAAACAATTCTTAATAAACAAAGAGGCAGGTTTTATGTGGAAACTCCTGGGAGAGGAGAGGATTTCACTGAATGCAAACAGGAGGAAGGAGCAGATGTTAACCCTAGGCTTCTGGAAGCAGGGTTGAGTCAGCAGCGCCTTGGTCTTAGGAAGAGGCCGGGATGGATAGGTTGAGCCTGGAGTGGCCGTTTCTGTTTCTCCGCCTGCGCACCCACTTCCCAGGCTCACAGGGGTTTCCTTTGTGATGCAGGAGGAAGCACAGTGGGAAGAGGAGAGCACAGGCAGGGCTGACGAACATGATGATTCTCAGACAGAAACTGCGTAAGGTCATATGTGAGGAGCAAACTCCCTTTTGTCTTAAGAAAGAAACAATTCATTTTGGTGATGTTTCTTTTGTTACAGTGGCCGGCCATCAGGTTGCATTAATGAAATGGAAAAGTAGTGTTTCAAGATAGGGGACAAGTCTGCTGGGCGGGGACAGAGCCTGCAGTGTGGAATGCCTGCCAATCAGCCATTCATCCAAGGGGCGTTTGTTGACCTTTGTCCTTGTTAAAGGACAGCGCACCTGCTGTGTACTAGAACGTCTGAGCGTGAGAGTTGAGAATCCCTGCTGTGTACTAGAACGTCTGAGCGTGAGAGTTGAGAGTCCCTGCTGTGTACTAGAACGACTGAGCGTGAGAGTTGAGAGTCCCTGCTGTGTACTAGAACGACTGAGCGTGAGAGTTGAGAATCCCTGCTGTGTACTAGAACGACTGAGCGTGAGAGTTGAGAGTCCCTGCTGTGTACTAGAACGACTGAGCGTGAGAGTTGAGAGTCCCTGCTGTGTACTAGAACGTCTGAGCGCGAGAGTTGAGAGTCCCTGCTGTGTACTAGAACGACTGAGCCTGAGAGTTGAGAGTCCCTGCTGTGTACTAGAACGACTGAGCGCGAGAGTTGAGAGTCCCTGCTGTGTACTAGAACGTCTGAGCCTGAGAGTTGAGAGTCCCTGCTATGTACTAGAACGACTGAGCGCGAGAGTTGAGAGTCCCTGCTGTGTACTAGAACGTCTGAGCGTGAGAGTTGAGAGTCCCTGCTGTGTACTAGAACGTCTGAGCGTGAGAGTTGAGAGTCCCTGCTGTGTACTAGAACGACTGAGCGTGAGAGTTGAGAATCCCTGCTGTGTACTAGAACGACTGAGCGTGAGAGTTGAGAATCCCTGCTGTGTACTAGAACGTCTGAGCGCGAGAGTTGAGAGTCCCTGCTGTGTACTAGAACGTCTGAGCGCGAGAGTTGAGAGTACCTGCTGTGTACTAGAACGTCTGAGCGTGAGAGTTGAGAGTCCCTGCTGTGTACTAGAACGTCTGAGCGCGAGAGTTGAGAGTACCTGCTGTGTACTAGAACGACTGAGCGTGAGAGTTGAGAGTCCCTGCTGTGTACTAGAACGACTGAGCGTGAGAGTTGAGAGTCCCTGCTGTGTACTAGAACGACTGAGCGTGAGAGTTGAGAGTCCCTGCTGTGTACTAGAACGACTGAGCGCGAGAGTTGAGAGTCCCTGCTGTGTACTAGAACGACTGAGCCTGAGAGTTGAGAGTCCCTGCTGTGTACTAGAACGACTGAGCGCGAGAGTTGAGAGTCCCTGCTGTGTACTAGAACGTCTGAGCCTGAGAGTTGAGAGTCCCTGCTGTGTACTAGAACGACTGAGCGCGAGAGTTGAGAGTCCCTGCTGTGTACTAGAACGTCTGAGCGCGAGAGTTGAGAGTCCCTGCTGTGTACTAGAACGTCTGAGCGCGAGAGTTGAGAGTCCCTGCTGTGTACTAGAACGTCTGAGCGCGAGAGTTGAGAGTCCCTGCTGTGTACTAGAACGTCTGAGCGCGAGAGTTGAGAGTACCTGCTGTGTACTAGAACGTCTGAGCGTGAGAGTTGAGAGTCCCTGCTGTGTACTAGAACGTCTGAGCGTGAGAGTTGAGAGTCCCTGCTGTGTACTAGAACGTCTGAGCGTGAGAGTTGAGAATCCCTGCTGTGTACTAGAACGTCTGAGCGCGAGAGTTGAGAGTCCCTGCTGTGTACTAGAACGTCTGAGCGTGAGAGTTGAGAATCCCACGCTGCAGGGACGTTGCTGTTCTCTCAGAAGCTGTGTAGTCCCTTCCCTCCCCCCAACCCCCATTTACATTCTGTTCATTGCATCTTAGATGTTGGGCTGTACAAATCATTGTGGGCTCACATTCTAAATTAAAAGAACAGTGCACATTCAGGGACAGTGGTGTATTCTTATTTTTTTATTTTTATTTTTTGAGGTGGAGTCTTGCTCTGTTGCCCAGGCTATAATGCATTGGCACGATCTTGGCTTACTGCAAGCTCCGCCTCCTGGGTTCAAGTGATTCTCCTGCCTTAGCCTCCTGAGTAGCTGGGACTACAGGCGCCTGCCACCATGCCTGGCTAATTTTTGTATTTTTAGTGGAGACGGGGTTTCACTATGTTGGCCAGGCTGGTCTCGAACTCCTGACTTCGTGATCCATCCACTTCGGCCTCCCAAAGTGCTGGGATTACAGGCATGGGCCACCATGCCTGGCCTATGACAGTGGTGTATTTTTAAAGGAAATAATGTTATGTTGGTTATTGCAGAATTTTATTCATTCATTCATCATTCATTCTTTCATTTTGAGATGTAGTCTCGCTCTGTCACCCAGGCTGGAGTGTAGGGCGCAGTCTCGGCTCACTGCAAGCTCCGCCTCCCAGGTTCACAACATTTTCCTGCCTCAGCTTCCCCAGCAGCTGGGACTATAGGCGCCCGCCACCACGCTTGGCTAATTTTTTTGTATTTTTAGTAGAGACGGGGTTTCACCGTGTTGGCCAGGATGGTCTCGATCTCCTGACCTTCTGATCTGCCCGCCTTGGCCTCCCAAAGTGCTGGGATTATAGGCGTGAACCACCGTGCCCGGCCAAAGAATTTTATTTTAATTAATTAATCTATTTTTTTGAGATGGAGTCTTGCTCTGCTGCCTAGGCTGTAGTGCAGTGGCACGATCTTGGCTCACTGCAACCTCTGCCTCCTGGGTTCAAGTGATTCTCCCACCTCAGCCTCCCGAGTAGCTGGGATTACAGGCGCGCGCCACCATGTCTGGCTAATTTTTGTATTTTTATTAGAGATGGCGTTTCACCATGTTGGCCAGGCTGGTCTCAAACTGCTGACCTCAAGTGATCCATCTGCCTTGGCCTCCCAAAGTGCTGGGATTAGAGGCACTAGATTATTGAAGAATTTTAAACCTTTCAAACTAAAGAGTTTAAAAAAACTGTCAAATCAGTGCCCTTGTTTTATTTTGCCCCCTTAATAATTAAAAATAATCATTTTAGAAAAACCTGGCATCATACGATTACTAGACTTTTTTTTTTTTGAGGCATACTCTGTCTCCCAGGCTGGAATGTAGTGGCACGATCTCAGCTCACTGCAACCTCTGCCTCCTGGGTTCAAGCAGTTCTCCTGCCTCAGCCTCCCAAGTAGCTGGGATTACAGGCATGTGCCACCACACCCAGCTAATTTTTTTGTATTTATTGTAGAGATGGGGTTTCGCCATGTTGGCCAGGCTGGTCTCAAACTCCTGACATCAAGTGATCCTCCCGCCTCGGCCTCCTAAAGTGCTGTGATTACAGGCGTGAGCCACCACCCCGGCCCCTAGACATTTTAATTATGTCTTTTCTACTCTGAAAAAAGTTTTAAGAAAAAGTTGTATAGTTCTGTAAGTTGTAGTATGTAAGAGGTTTACAATTCCATCTAGATTTTTGGATCACTTTTGAAAAAAGGCCGTTGGAATTCTGATAGTTACTGCACTGAATCATCAGGTCACCCTGGGGGGTGTTGCTGTCGTAAAGACACTGTGTCTTTTGATCCATGAATATGGGATTTTTTCCCTCCACTTATTTAGGTCTTCGGTTTCTTTCAACAGTGTTTTGTGGTTACAGGGTGCAAGTTTTACACTTCTTTGGTTAAATTTGTTGCTAAATATTCTTTTTGATGCTGTTTTAAATGGAAATGTTTCCTTAATCTTTTTCAGATTGTTCATTGCTTGTGTATGATGATGATACAGCTGACTTTTGTATATTGATCTTGTATCATGCAGCTCTGCTGAATTGATTGACTGACTGACTGAAGACCTTGTTGCATACCAAGAGATGGTTCTTCATGGAGTTGTATCTCATTCTGAGGTTCCTACTTGGCAAAAGACAGGCTGGTAACAGGTGTCCTGATGTCTACTGCCACTTGGATTATTCATTTTGTAGAAACAGAACAGATGAGTGTTGTGAGAGGTCACAAATAACTAAGCGATTGTTGAGTAGGAGCTTCACACTGAAGTGAAACAGCCGCTTCCCGGATTTCTCCGTCTTTTCTGTTTCCCAGTGTCCATGACGCCGATCATAAAATGGTGAGGCCAACAGTGAGCTCAAGACAAGTAGATCACAGTATATTCATGTTTCCTTTTGAGTTTTGCCATTAGACTGTGATGCTGATTTGGAATTCTGTGGGTTTACTAAGAGCTAGAAATAAATTGGTCATCTATATGCGCCTGATTTAGGCTTTCTGAAAGGTTGGTCTTATGTCTTCATTGGTCAGGATTTCAGATTTGTGTGTGTGTGTGTGTGTGTGTGTGTGTGTGTGTGTGATGTTTAAGTGACCATCAGAGCCTCTTGTTCCCTTTCAAGGCTTGTTTTAGTGAAGCCACGCAGGGAGTTGGTGTTTGTTGCTCAGGGAGCTTGTGAACTCGGCCGGCGCTGGTTGGGGTCTTGTGGAGCCGGGCCTCCTGCGGGAGGGAGGCAGGTATTGCACAGTCCAGCACTGTCCTTCCTCCACCTTCTCCTGTGTGTTATTGGGGCTGTTTTCACTGTTGGCTTTTGTGTCACTTTCTCTAGTTTGATTTCATGCCTTTGTCCTCCTCTAATTTTCAGGTATTTCCCAGTTTCTGATCTACAGCTTCCTTTGTTTTTTTTGTTATAGCTGTGTATCTGTTTACTTTCAAACACGAATTGTTTTTGCCATTCCCCTGGATCCGGTGAGGAAGGGAAGGTTTTGGCAGGAGTCGGATGCCTCCTCTGAGGACTGAAGGTTCTCCTGCCTTCCATAGTTGGCTTTTGTTCTTTAGCAGAGGAGTTTGATTCCTATCAGGGCAGGCATTATGGAAAGGGAAGAACGGTTGTGTGAAATCGTTCCCCCTTGTTCTCGTTCTGCATTCATCCACTTTGCACCTTTTTCTGCTAAATGGTATAAAGAGAATTGTTTGGGAACATTCATTTTGTTTCCTGTTTCGTTTTTTCCTGTAGTAAAAAGAAACATTTGCACTGAAGAAGGAAGCCTGGTTTTCCTTCTAGTTCCTCCTCAGGCTCACCTCAGTTCTGAAGTTTGCGTAGTTGCCTTTATTCCCTGGAGCCTTCTCTTTCACTTTAAATCAGAGAAAACGAAATGAATAGCACCCCACCCTTAAAAAAGAAACACCAGAAACAGGAAACAAATAACTGCACCTTCTCTGCCCCCAGCCCGAAAAAATCGAAATAACCGGCCCACCTTGTCCGCCCCCAACCTGAAAAAACGAAGGAGACCGACCGAGGTCAGGAGAATGGTTTGATCAGAGTGGATAGGTGACCTGTCTGCACCAGCTGGCCTTGGGATTGTGGGGCTCCTGGCACCATTGTGGGAGTGGAATCCAATTGGCTGTGTCTTTTTTTGATTGAGAACTAAAATGAGATGAGGCTGGATGGTAGGTCTTTAGTGTTCCCTTTAAGTCCTCTAAAGTTACATTGTAAGATTTTTAAGCCATAATAATAGCAGATTCATGTCCATGTTTTCCATTTCCAGTTTCAAGACTGATCGTGGTGAAGAGTGTGGGCACTGGAGCCAGCCAGCCTGGTTTCAGGTCTTGGCCCCACCATTTAAAATGTGACCTTGACTAAATTTCTCACACTTCTAGGGCCTCAGTTTTCTCATGTGCAAAGGGGAGATAATAATGATACCTACTCTGTGGGATTATTGTGAGGATAAAGTGAGTTGGTGCTAGATAAAACCATATGAAATTGTCAATATTGGACTCTTTCTTTTTTGGACTTTTTTTTTTTTTTTAAATAGTTTGAGCTTGTGTTTTGTTGTAAGAAATCCTTGAGAGCCCTTTGTACACTTCGGCCAGTCTCCTCCTCTCTTCGAATGGTAACACATTGGAGAACTGTGGCCTTAATAGAACGTCACAGCCAGGATGTGGACACGGTATCGCTGACCGGTCTTACTCAGGTTGCCTGAAGTTTACTTGTACGTGTGTGTTAGAGAGAGAGATTGATTGATTTGAGTTCTGTGCGTGTTCACCACTGGGGGCCCCCGTCCCTGCCGTGTTGCGGTGCTGAATAGTTCCATAATCGCAAGGATCGGCCCTTTGCCCTTTTCTAGCCACATTTGCCCCTTCCAGCCCATCTCCCCACCCTGGTCCCTAACCCCTGAGAACCACTGATTTGTCCTCCATTTGAAAAATTTGTCATAAGAGTGTCATATAAATGGAGTCGTAGAAATGTAACCTTTTCGATTGGCCTTTTTGCTCAGCGTAATGTTCGCTCTGTTTTGTTGCTGAGTGGTCTCCGTGGTGTGGGTGGACTCAGCTTATTTATCCATGGTGAGAAACACACATTCACCCGTCCACACCCAAAGACTGGGCTTGGAGACACACAGAACAGCAGAAATGAGACTTTTTTCTTTCTCTCTCTTTTTTTTTTTTGAGACAGAGTTTTGCTCTTGTCACCCAGCCTGGAGTGCAGAGGTGTGATCTTGGCTTGCTGCAACCTCCGTCTCCTGGGTTCAAGTGATTCTCCTGCTTCAGTCTCCCGAGTAGCTGGGATTACAGGCATGCGCCACCACGCCTGGCTAATTTTGTATTTTTAGTACAGACGGGGTTTCTCCATGTTGGCCACGCTGGTCTCGAACTCCCAACCTCAGGTGATCTGCCTGACTCAAAGTGCTGGGATTATAGGTGTGAGCCACTGCGCCCAGCCAGGAAGCAAGATTTTTAATGGCAGTCTTGCAAGATCAGGTGCCTGGTAGGCAGGTACACCCGGGGCAGTCACAGCAGGTAGTTTATCTCCTCTAATGCAAGTCCCTCCCCCAGTTCCTCACTGGTCGAGTACTATGGGGTTACAATCTTCCCGGAGGTCGCCTGAGTTTCATTATCCCGTTGTACGCCGTCCCCTTACCCGCTTACAAGGTTGTACCCTGTCCTCTTACCCGCTTAAGTTTTGATTTCCCAATACTGAAACTTTCTTCCCATTTATGGGCTGACCCCTCTTCTACATTTTGTTCGCTTATTGTGACCTTCTAGGTGCACGAGCCGTGCGGTTTGTTACATCCGCAGGCTGGCTGCCATTGCGTAGATTTATCATGCCTGGAAAACGGACCATTTAAAACGTTTTCTTACACCATCGAAGCACATCTGGGCTGATTCCAGTTTCTGGTGCTTATGAATAAAACAGCTGTGAACAACTGAGTGGAGTTTATTGGACCATTTTTGACCTCTAGTAATGGTGGGCTCACATGTTTGAGTTGAGTTGGGTCAGGTGCTGAGTGCCTGCTGCTGCAGGCACCACCTTGTGCTTTCAGGTTAACTCTAACCACACATCTCATGCCTTCTCTGTGCATGTATTTGAAGTTACTGAAAAAGTATTTGTCAAGAAAGCCACAGCTCCGCACTAGTCTCTTAAAACCCATCCGTATGCTCCTGTACTCATGAAAGGAATGCACTGCGGGCCGTTCTGTGGGAAGCAGGGAAAAGACAGACCTGGCCCTGAGACAGGCTGGTGTGACTGCCGTTCGGAGCCCAGGGTTAATGGTGCTGGTTAGTCAGCCAGTGTCGGGGGCAGATGCCCATCGTCAGTGGCTCCCCTGTGGACCCTCCCACCCAGCCTAACGCGAATGAAAATCATTGTTTGCATAAGGTCATAGCTCTGGCTAGCAGCGTTTTGAGACCAAGGCCAGTGTAGGGACCTGTCTTTGCTAACATGGACTCCTGGGCTCTGAGGGTGTTGGGAAGGTGGCTCACGGGAGGGAGCTGAGGGGCCTGAGCTCACAGCTGTGAAACCACCGTGGCCCTTGGTTGTCTGAAGGAGCAGCGGTGTGGGGCAGCCACAGGCCTCGTGGTTTTTCTCTGCTGTCAGTTGGGGTTAGTCAGTGTGGACAGAAAGAATTGCTCATCTTAGCGGATTGAAGACTATGGTTAGCAAGCAGTTGTAGATCTCCTGATTGAAAAAAGTGATTATTGATGTGCTTTGATATAAAGAAAGAAAAAAAGAAAAAAGTGATTAAAGTGGGAGTGAATTAAACATTAATACAGTTGTGTCAGTCAGAGTCTCCTGAAACTTGTGATTCTCTTAGGGGAGAAAAGGGAGACTGTAATAAAAACATGAGCAATCTTGAACTTCCGTTCCTTTCCAAAAATAAGCATCAGGTCTGCCCAGCTTCCTTCCCAGGGAGGCTGTGATTCTGTTTCGGACGGTGCTCGTGGCTGTGACTGTTCGTCGAGAGCAGTGAGTAAAGCAGCTCTCATGCAACAAAGCGAGGGGAGAGCCCAGGGCGTTGAAAGAGGTGGGGTGCGATTGGGTCAGCGCGAATATCGTGTTATTACTTGACATATTGAAAAGTGTGTTTATTACTGACCCATAGTCGCACCTGTTAGTGGAGTCCGGTAGGATGCCTCAGTCCGTGGATGCCTTGTTTACCGATGAGACCAGGGTGGTTACTGTGTCCATCCCCTCAAATACCACTTCTTTTTGGTGATAACATCCAAGATCCTTTTTTTTAAAATTGCTTTTTTTAAAAGAAAAATTCTGTAAAAAAATTCTTTTAATGGTTTGGATATTCTTAGGGTCTCAGTCGCTCGCCCAGGTGGAGTGCAGTGGTGCCACCCTAACTGACTGCAGCCTTGAGCTTCTGTGCGGAAGTGATCCTCCCACCTCGGCCTCTTAAAGTTCTGGGATTATAGGTTTGGCCTAGAGCTCTTTCTTCTTAGGTAACTTTAACTTTTTACCCGTTGATTGTATTAAATAATTTTCTTTCCCTATCCCTAACGTGGCAAATAACCCACTTAAAGGGGTTGATGAGAGTAAGGAGTCCAGAGTGGTAAGAGCATTTAAAACCTCACATTGCTCCACCATTCAGAGAGAGCCGCCATTAGTACCTCCTGGGTTTCCTAACACAGAATGCGTGTAGCCGACTCCTTAGCACCTGGGTTATCATCTTGTCCTGTTGCCATTTCCATAGGTAGAAGCAACTCCCTGTTGTTTTAACTGGATTCTGGTTTTGGTTACCCCCACCCCTGCCCCAAGACATGGATGGGCAGTGGTCCTGTCATCACACACTGACCCTTCGTGTCTCACCCCCACCCCCAGACATGGACGGGTGATGGTCCCATCCCTGACTCCGTCATCACACACCGACCCTTCGTGTCTCACCCCCACCCCCAGACGTGGACGGGTGATGGTCCCATCCCTGACTCCGTCATCACACACCGACCCTTCGTGTCTCACCCCCGCCCCCAGACATGGACGGGTGATGGTCCCATCCCTGACTCCGTCATCACACACCGACCCTTCGTGTCTCACCCCCGCCCCCAGACATGGACGGGTGATGGTCCCATCCCTGACTCCGTCACCACACACCGACCCTTCGTGTCTCAGCCCCACCCCCAGACATGGACGGGTGATGGTCCCATCCCTGACTCCGTCATCACACACCGACCCTTCGTGTCTCACCCCCGCCCCCAGACATGGACGGGTGATGGTCCCATCCCTGACTCCGTCATCACACACCGACCCTTCGTGTCTCACCCCCACCCCCAGACATGGACGGGTGATGGTCCCATCCCTGACTCCGTCATCACACACCGACCCTTCGTGTCTCACCCCCACCCCCAGACATGGACGGGTGATGGTCCCATCCCTGACTCCGTCATCACACACCGACCCTTCGTGTCTCACCCCCACCCCCAGACATGGACGGGTGATGGTCCCATCCCTGACTCCGTCATCACACACTGACCCTTCGTGTCTCAGCCCCACCCCCAGACATGGATGGGTGATGGTCCCATCCCTGACTCCCTGACTCCGTCATCACACACTGACCCTTCATGTCTCCATGGTCTCTGTCTGCACTCAGCCTCCACAGGCCTGTTGATTCCTGAGTTGCTGTAGGCAGGAGCTGACAGTAAGAAGTGTAGCCTGGTGCTTTTCTGTTTGACAACATAGCTTGTTTATAGTCGTGGTGGTGGTTTTGATGTGAACATGTATTCTAAATGAAGCTTTTTTTCACACCTTAGAAAATGTCTTTACTTGGGAGGCTGAGGTGGGAGGACCCCTTGGGCCCAGGAGGTTGAGGCCGCAGTGAGCTGTGTTTGCACCACTCCATTCCCAGCCTTGGCAACACAGTGAGACCCTGTCTCTTAAGAAAAATCTGTAATGTTTATTCCAAATATTTTAGAGGCTCTGGATTGGTACTGTCTTCCAGAGATAATGGGATCAGTTACTGAGATTGTCTGTCAGTCAGAAAGAAAAGACCTTCAGACCAGAATTTTCTCTTCCCAACTTGCTTTCCATACCCTGTGGGACCCTAAGACAACAGAAAACTGAGTTTTGTTTCACTTTTAACTGATGTTTTTCACTTTCACCTGATTTGGGCCCAGTTTCTTCATACATGGGAAACAGCAGCTGCATTAAAGCAGCAGTTCTCACCGGCGTGTTTTGCCCTTTAGCGGACATCGTCTGGAGACATTTTTGGTTGCCAGGATTTGCTGGGTGGCCTTACTGGCATCTAGAAGACCGACGCTGCTCAACCCTGTTGGCGCGCTGAACCCAAATGCCAGTGGCAGTGAGCTTGCAAATCGTTGGACTCATGATGCTTTGAGTGCTCTCAGGACTCTGGAGGTCGATGCTGGGGTTCCTCGCTGGCTTCCTGCTGCTGATGCTCTTCCCCTCTCTGAGCTCTTTTACGGAAAGCTTCGTGGCACACTTGCTGCTTTTCACTGAAACCAGGCTGTGTGGTGACTAGAAGCTGCGTATTCACATTTATTTTTATTGATTGATGGATTGAGGCTGCTGTGCAGTGGTGTGAGTAGCTCCGGCTACAGGCGCACGCCACCATGCCCAGCTAATTTTTTGAATTTTTTGTAGAGATGGGGACTCGCCGTGTTGCCCAGGCTGGTCTCCAACTTCTGGGCTCAAGCAATCCGCCTGCCTCAGCCTCCTGAAGTGCTGGGATTACAGGCGTGAGCCAGCGCACCCATCACACACTTATTTTTAATGGTCCTTGAGGTTAATGGCAGCTTTGAACAATCCTGTCCAGGAGTGTAAGGAGGAAAAACCTCACTCCATCTTCCAGGAGTGTAAGGAGGAAAAACCTCACTCCATCTTTGCAAAACGCATGTGCCAGGAGTGTTGCTCAGGAAACACGCGATTCTCTCGGATGCTAAGTGCAGAGCCGGGGAACCCTGCACCAGCAAGCCCTGTCCTGGGAGCTGCCTTCAATCCTGTCTGTGCTTCCTTCCCTGGTTCTGCACACGGAAGTGTTTGGAGTTGGAGGAGAGCCTGATGTTTGGATGGGACTGAAGTAACATGGGTATAGATTTTTTTTCCCCCATTTAGACTGGTTTGTTTTATTCTTGGAGTCCCCAGAGCTCTTCAGGGAAATTATATAGTTTTATTCAGCTGCCTTTTTTTTTTTTTTTTAAGACGAGTTTCGCTCTGTCACCCAGGCTGGAGTGCAGTGGTGCAGTCTCAGCTCACTGCAACCTTTGCCTCGCAGATTCAAGTGATTCACCTGCCCCAGCCTCCCAAGTAGTTGGGGTTACAGGTACAAGCCACCACACCTGGTTAATTTTTTGTATTTTCAGTAGAGACGGGGTTTTGCCCTGTTGGCCAGGCTGGTCTTGAACTCATGACCTCAAGTGATCCGCCCACCTCGGCCTCCCAAAGTGCTGGGATTACAGGCGTGAGCCACCATGCATGGCTTTATTCAGCTTTTTAAAAAAATGGTACTGCAGTATAATCTTTTCCTCTTAAAATACTCAGTGGAAATGAAAACCACCTTATCTTTTTTTGCACCTTTTATGTAGTTTAAAACTTAATATGCTTCTTAAAGTTAAAATTAGCCTTTTAAGGCTGGGCATGGTGGCTGACGCCTGTAATCCTAACACTTTGGAAGGCCGAGGTGATTGGAACACCTGAGGTCAGGAGGTCCAGATCAGCCGGGGGTGGGTGGCGAGCGCCTGTAATCCCATCTACTCGGGAGGCTGAGGTAGGAGAATCGCTTGAACCCAGGAGGGGAGGTGGAGGTTGCAGTGAGCTGAGATCACGCCACTGCACTCCAGCCTGGGGGACAAGAGTGAAACTCTGTCTCCAAAAAAAAAAAAAAGGCCTTTTAAAAACTTAGCTTACTGGTAATGTTTTGTTTCTGTGGCGAGATTGCCCACTTGGGTTATTTGGTTTCTTACGTATAAAAAGCCCCAGAGCCTCTAAAATCTGGTTTTATGGTGATTTCACAAGATTGTATCAGTGTCATCTACTCTTTTTTGTGCTGGACTTTGGATTTACCTTTAAGTTGTTGCAATTGCTGCATTGTGACGTAAAGGTATTTGATGAATGAAGTTAAGTTTTGGCCTTGGCACAGTGACCAGGAGCTGAGCAGTGGGTCATGGGAGAGGAAGGGCGATGGAATAAACCGTGTGGACCAAATGGAGGGAGACGAGAGCGATGAAAGAACTGAGGCTGAAATTATTATTGACATGAGCTAATCTCACTCTCTTGTTTCAGAATATATACAGCCCTGCTCTGGGACACACCTCCATTGGATTTAAAAGACAGTCCTCGTCAGCACTGACTTTCAGCTATGGAATCGGTAAATACTCACTGCATTCTCTATCAATTTATGTTTTTGTCATTGATTTGTAAAAATAAGTATCAAAATAATGCGTGAGTGTCCAGGTTGGTTTTCTTGGACTTGATAGAGTTTTGTCGAAATGTTGTGAATTTTGTTCTGGATTTCACTTAGAGTGTATTCAGAGTGGTAACAGGTAAGCATTTTTGGATTAATGAATGGGATCCTTGGTGTCACAGTGAGAAGAAATCTGCTGAAAAATTAAATAGGTTGTTAATAGCCTATAAAAGAAGTTTATTTCCTCTTGTCCTCCTTTAATTTTCTTCATCCTCAGATGGTCTGGTGATGACTGAGACCCCCACCCTGTGCTGTGTGTTGTGTGCTCTGAGCATGTTGTGTTAACAGTTTGCGTGAGGATTCTGTATCCTGGGAGCTGTTCTGCTCGTTAGGATCCTGGTGGTCTTGCCTGGTTGTCCTTGGATGAGGATTCTGTATCCTGGGAGCTGTTCTGCTCGTTAGGATCCTGGTGGTCTTGCTGGGTTGTCCTTGGATGAGGATTCTGTATCCTGGGAGCTGTTGTGCTCTTGTTAGGTTCCTGGTGGTCTCGCCGGGCTGTCCTGTGCTTCTGGGCATAGTGCTGTTGCTGAACCCTCTAGATGGCTATTCTGGCTTTTCCTAGGAGCTGGAGACCAGTGTGTATGGTTGGCAGGTAAGGAGTGGGAGCCTGGTTCGCCAGCCCTGACTCCTTGCCTCCTCCTGGGAGTCACTGGCATGTTTTTTGAGAGGAGCGGCAGCAGTCTCCAAAAAGACTTTGGCCTTGGCTCTGAGCAAGCACGTGTCGCTGTAGGGCAGAGTCCTCCCTCCTTCCAGAGACGCATGGTGAACTGGCAGGTTATTTTCTCTGATATGTGGATTGACAGCAGTTGAAGAGAAAACTTGGCTAAATTAAATTTTCATATTTTGGCCAGGTGTGAGTCATGGTTTTAAAGTGAACATTCCAAAAATACATAATCTGTTTTGTGTTGTTACTCCCAGCAAACGTGAAAGAACCTTTCCTGCAGCTTCTTTCGGGAGCTTCATAGTTTGGTGTATCTGTTCCTTATCTCAGTCGCCTGGAGTCAGGCCACTTTAAAATACACCTGACTGCTTTCTTTCATATGACTGAATTCTTTCCTTGGAAATAGAGGTGAGGTTTGAAGGAAAGGGAATCTGAGATATCCTTGAAAATAGGTCTAGAATTGTCTTCTCTTAATCTGTGGGATGGTTTGTAGTTAGAATGAAGCCAGCCTGGGTAGTGGGCATGTTTGTGATCAGGTGAGACATTTTTCAAGATCTGGAGGTGGACTGAGCCTGGTTGTGATAAAAGGGGTGCCATGGAGGGGCCAGGTACATGGGAAAAGGGGGGCAGCGATGAGGGAGCACCCCACACCCCAGGGTCTGAGCTGTGCCTCTTTGTGAAAAGGATACTGCTGACCTTAATGTATGACAAGGAAAAGCAAAATGCTGCATTTTCTTTTTTTAATTTTTTTTTTTTTTTTGTAGAAACAGAGTCTTGTTACGTTGTCCAGGCCTGTCTTGAACCCCTGCTCTCAAGCAATCCTCCTGCCTCAGCCTCCCAAAGTGCTGGGATTACAGGTGTGAGCCACCACACCTGGCCAAAATGCTGCTTACTAGTGTGAAAAATAAAATTATTAATCAGCAATTAGTGGCCAGGCACAGTGGCTCACGCCTGTAATCCCAGCACTTTGAGATGTCAAGGTGGGTGGATCACTTGAGGCCAGGAGTTCCAGACCAGCCTGCCAACATGGTGAAACCCCATCTCTATTAAAAATGTAAATATTAACCGGACGTGGTGGCGAATGCCTGTGATCCCAGCTAGTTGGGAGGCTGAGGCAGGAGCGTTGCTTGAACTGGGAGGCGGAGGTTTCAGTGAGCCAAGATCACAACACCGCACTTGAGCCTGGGCGACAGAGCAAGACTCTGTCTCTGGGGAAAAAAAAAAATCGATGGATTCAAAATACAGGCTTCTCTGATTAAAGGGGAGCAAGCTATCAGCAACTCTGCTGACAGGACCTGGAATTGGCCTAAATGTCTAGCACTCTAGTGGATTGAGAACAATAGATGTACTGATACTTAGGTTTGATGACATAGGAAATGTTGGCATTTTTGACCATGCCACAGTAATAATCTAAGGTGTTTAATGCCATTTGTCACTTTTGTGAACTATAGATCCTCAGTATTGATTTTGTCTTTTGTTTGCCTGTGGTGGTTAGATTGAATACGAGGAAGGCCCTTAGCATGAGGTCTGTTGTGGCCTCCCATCAGGGAGACTGCAGTGTTGCTACAGAGAGGCCCTGCTGAGCAGAGGTTGGGCGCAGTGTGACCAGAGGCGCCGTGACCCACATGGGCATGTGAGGGCCTCCTGAGGACCTCACTGAGGCTGGTTCTCCATTGTTTTTTTTTTTTTTTTTTTTTGAGACAGAGTCTAGCTTTGTTGTGCAGGGCCTGGAGTGTAGTGGTGCAATCTCGGCTCACTGCAACCTCCACCTCCCAGATTCAAGAGTTTCTCCTGCCTCAGCCTCCCAACTAGCTGGGATTACAGGTACCCACCACCACACCCAGCTGATTTTTGTGTTTTTAGTAGAGATAGGGTTTCACTGTGTTGGCCAGGCTGGTCTTGAATGCCTGTTCTCCATTGTTTTATCTGGCATTAAAATGCAGGGTTTAAAAAAAGAATAGCTTGCCGGGCGCAGTGGCTCACACCTGTAATCCCAGCACTTTGGGAGGCCGAGGCGGGTGGATCATGAGGTCAGGAGATCAAGACCATCCTGGCTAACACGGTGAAACCCCGTCTCTACTAAAAATACAAAAAATTAGCCGGGCATGGTGGCAGGCGCCTGTAGTCCCAGCTACTCGGGAGGCTGAGGCAGGAGAATGGCGTGAACCTGGGAGGCGGAGCTTGCAGTAAACCGAGATCGCACCACTGCGCTCCAGCCTGGGCGACAGAGGGAGACTCCATCTCAAAAAAAAAAAAAAAAAAAAAGAATAGCTGGCCAGGTGCAGTGGCTCCCACCTGTAATCCCAGCACTTTGGGAGGAAGGGGTGGGTAGATCACTTGAGCTCAGGAGTGCGAGACCAGCCTGAGTAACATGACGAGACCGCATCTCTACAAAAAATAAAAAAATGAGCCAGGCATGGTGGCATGCATGCGCCTGTGGTCTCAGCTACTTGGGGAGGCTGAGCGGGGAGGAAGGATCACTTGAGCCCAGGAGGTTGAGGCTGCAGTGAGCTATGATCACACCACTGCACTCCAGCCTGGGCCGCAGGGTGAGACCCTGTCCCAAATAAAGAAGAATAAGAATGTTACAGGTGCTCTGATATTTTTCATGTTGGTATTTGTGTCATTCCCGTGTTTCACTTTGATTCCTTGGGGTGGAATGTGAGCCGTTGAGATGAGATCCACAGTCGCTTCTTCAGTACACGGTGCTGTGCTCTTCTCTCCCATCTGGGCGTGACTTAGGTGCCCAGCTTGGATGGATTCTAGGCTGGTCCTGCCCTGAGGTTGGGCCAGGTGTGGCCGCAGTGACATAGGGTCCCCGACAGCCTTGTGTGATGGGCTGACTGGTGCTAGCTCTGTGGCCCTGGCCCCTCCCTTCCACTCTCCGAGCCTCAGTCTCCTACCCAGGACAGTGGTCACGGTCGTATCTACTGTAAAGACTTCCTTGGAGATTAAATAACACTTTACAGAAACAAAACTGCATGAAAATAGAGGCTTTAAAACAATTTTAGTTTGTAAATTGTTTCTCCAGTATAAAAGTAGTTGAAGCTGACATCTTTCTTGGCAAAACAGAAGGGTTAGTCCTCTCAGGCGGTGCGGCTGCGTGACCCCCGATGACCCCAGCACGCGGTTCCCAGTGAGTGTGGCCGTGAGTGACAGCGGACTGCTGACCCTTGCAACATGTGGGTGTTCCATTTGTGCTTGCTGTGAAATGGGACTTTCAAATTACCTTTCCCAAAAATTGGGGGTTTTGAAAGTGGTTTGTTAATGATAACAAAGGCAGTGTTGTTCATATGAAAAGAGGCTTGGACTTAATGTTTTACATTTTTAATTGACATCTCCATTTAAGATGGAAAAGTAATCAGGTTCTGTCTTGCTGAAATGTTGAACTTGTAAGGCAGGTGCGATCGTGCGCCTCAGTGTCCCCGAGTGCGCAGTCCGAGCAGCTGTGCCTGTGGCATCCTGGAGGGTGTGCAGGCCCGTGGCGGAGGGTGTGCAGGCCCGTGGTGGTGGCTGGGCTGGAAGTCAGCTCAGCCAGAGCCGAGCCCCCTCCGCTTGCTGTTGCTGTGCTGGGGTCCCTGTCTGGGTGGCCAGGTTGGAGGTGGGGAGGGGAAGGGCTGCTGTTTTTGGTACCACCCTCCTGCCTCCCCCCAGTCTGGCCTTGAAAGCAGAGAGAGGCTCTTTCTGGGCAGGCCCCTCTGCATCCTAGGGCGTTGTGGGAGTGCAGAGTCTCCCTGGCACCCTCACCCCTGGGGAGCTTGTCGGCTGTTTCTGTGTCCTGCCGTAGAATGCTCCAGGGGTTCCTGGCGGCTGCTGACAGCCACAGGACTAGGTTTGCAGGTCTGTAAGGGATTTGTAGGTGCCACTGTGAGTTCACTTCCATTTCCTTTATTTTTTTCTTTTTTTGAGACAGTCTGGCTGTCGCCCAGGCTGGAGTGCAGTGGTGCGACCTCGGCTCACTGCAAGCTCCGCCTCCCGGGTTCACGCCATTCTCCTGCCTCAGCCTCCCAAGTAGCTGGGACTATAGGTGCCCGCCACCACGCCCGGCTAATTTTTTGTATCTTTAGTAGAGACGGGGTTTCCTCGTGTTAGCTAGGATGGTGTCGGTCTCCTGACCTCGTGATCTGCCCACCTCAGCCTCCCAAAGTGCTGGGATTACAGGCGTGAGCCACTGCGCCCAGTCCACTTCCATTTTCAACATAAGTTTTTGTTAAGATTTAGAAACAGGTAACACCATACTTCCATTATTATCAAAAAAATATGCGTAGTAATTATGCCAAGATAAATAACTCCATTGTTTAGTAGAATCAGTTTTTATTTTAGAGTTCTGAGGAATTATCTGTGGCTAGGCATCTTTAAACTGCAGTAACTTATAGAAGATGCTGTGTCATTTAAGTTAGACCTGTTCATGTGAAAATGGGCACTTGTGGCTGAGCGGCGCCCCCTCCTACTCCCTCCCCCTCCAGGCTCTGGTTGATGGGCAGAGAGTCCCAGGGCCTGGGGGAGGGTTTGGAACATTGGAGCTCCCCATTGGGAGCTCTGGCTGTCAGCTGTTTTCCCTCATGTGTGCTTTTAGCTGGAATCCGGCTCTGAGTGCTGGGACCTCTGCTGACCTGTGACCTCTGCTGTCCTCTGTCCTCTGCTGACCTGGGAGGCATGGAGAGGTCCTGCTGGGGGACTGAGAATGGCTTTTTGTTTGTAGGTTATAATATTGCGGTTACTGTATTTCTTTTGTTAACTACAGTGATTCTCATGGGGCCAGTGTTTTATTTTTTTAATACCATCATTTTTTACAGCTGGCTTAAGGGAATTTTTTCCTCTATGTTTTTGTATCTGAGGGTGAAAAACATTTTGCCTGGATCTAGCAAAAGAGTACTCAGTAAGTTCTATTTAAATTGAAGTGAACTTTATGGATGCAAAAACACCAATGTACCTTTTTCCTGTCCTGCTTGTTTCTTCCCAGATGTAATTGGGTTCCTGTAGCAAATGGGGTAAGGGCTCTGCGTGTCTTAATACATCATTGCCACCAGAAGGCCCATTTACAACTTGCTTAGATTTTGTTGAGAAGAAGAGGAAGGTAGGAGGAAGGAGATGGAGGGTCCGGTGTGGCCTGAGCACCCCAGTACCTGGCTGAGGGGAGGGATGGGGCACGGCCAGGAGACTCTGGGAGGCATCTCAGCCCAGTACCTGGCTGAGGGGAGGGATGGGGCACGGCCAGGAGACTCTGGGAGGCATCTCAGCCCAGTACCTGGCTGAGGGGAGGGATGGGGCACGGCCAGGAGACTCTGGGAGGCATCTCAGCCCAGTACCTGGCTGAGGGGAGGGATGGGGCACGGCCAGGAGACTCTGGGAGGCATCTCAGCCCAGTACCTGGCTGAGGGGAGGGATGGGGCACGGCCAGGAGACTCTGGGAGGCATCTCAGCCCAGTAGCTGGCTGAGGGGAGGGATGGGGCACGGCCAGGAGACTCTGGGAGACATCTCAGCCCAGTACCTGGCTGAGGGGAGGGATGGGGCACGGCCAGGAGACTCTGGGAGGCATCTCAGCCCAGTACCTGGCTGAGGGGAGGGATGGGGCACGGCCAGGAGACTCTGGGAGGCATCTCACCCCAGTACCTGGCTGAGGGGAGGGATGGAACATGGCCAGGAGACTCTGGGAGGCATCTTCGTTACTGGCCATTGGATTCCTCAAGTTCTGCTGAGAATTCTAGTCTCTTTTTTTCCCCACTCTAGAATAAGGATCTTAATTATTTATTTGTGTTGTCCATTGGGAAAAATGATTTGGGATGTGCTTACTGTCAACAAGGGGATAGTGGTGGGTTCCGAATGTAAACTGGCCGTAATCCCAGCACTCTGGGAGGCTGAGGTGGGAGGATTGCCTGAGGTCAGGAGTTCGAGACCAGCCTGGGCAACGTGGCAAGACCCCATCTCTCCAAAAAATACAAAAATTAGCCAGGCGTGGTTGTGTGTGCCTGTCGTCATGGTTACTCAGGAGGTTGAGGTAGGAGGATCTCTTGAGCTCGGGAGGCAGAGGTTGTAGTGAGCTATGATCACACCACTGCACTCCAGCTCTAGGTGACAGAAGGATTACAAGAAAAAGAAAAAAGGAAGAAATGTAGACCATCTCGACAGCAAGATGTGTAGCGTCTGGCCCAGCCAGGGCAGCCTGCTCCTCTTCCGGTGCAGTCAAGGTTTCCCACCGCTGTGTGCAGGGATTCTGAAGGCAGTGCTGGCTGCTGGCACAGGGCTGCAAGTTTGAAAGAGAAGTAGAGCAAAAAGGTCCCTGGGCCCCCGTGGTGGCACCAGCACACACGAGAGGGGATGTGGTGGAGGGCACCGTCATGGAGGCGTGGCCCTGGGTGTGGACAGCCAGCGTGGGCCCGAGCCCCTGTGCTGCTGCCTTCTGCCCTGGCCACCCTTCTCTCTGCAGGCAGCTTCAGGAACCTGCCTCCTGCACTGGCCGCCCCTCCCTCTGCAGGCAGCTTCAGGATCCTGCCTCCTGCCCTGGCCACCCTTCTCTCTGCAGGCAGCTTTCAGGAAAGCGCCTGTGGAGGCCGGGCAGCCTGAACATGTTGACTTTGGCAGCAGGAGCTGCCCAGCTCTGCTTATTCTGTGGCCCAGTACATAAGGCTCTGTGTAGAACACGTGTTCACGCACATGTGGTTTCTGTCTTGCCCTGGCCACAGTTGGCCACTCCCCACCCCCTTCTGTTAAGCTTCCCATGGGCTTAGAGGGCTCTCTGCCTGGGCATGGGAAAATAAGGGAAATGAGAAGCGAGGGTTCTTTGTAAATCCAAGGATGCTTTCATAGCTTTTGGTATCGTTGACGTTTTGCTAAATGGATGATTTATTTATTAGGAAAAATAAAACTGGGATTCTTGTTCATATCTGATGGTGTCAGCACGTCAGCAGGATAGCAACTGCTTTAGGGACCTGCTTGTGTCTGGAGGGCAGAACCAGAGCAGTAAGCAGAGGGCAGAGGGTGGCCTTTGTAGCCCGGGGGCAGGTGTTTCCCTTCCGTGGCTCTGCGTGGTTCCTGACAGCCTCAGCTCTGCAGGGTGTCTTAGTCTGGTCTGAGGGCTAAGACCATCACTCCCAACACCAGTGTCCATGAGTCTTTTTCTGTTTATTATCTCCATTTCCTTGGTACAGTCAGCCTTTGTTTAAAATTTATTCTTGCTTGTTTTTTGTTAGTGGGAAAAGTTTCTAAATATCAAATCCTGGTGGCTTACTAACTACAGCTTTTGGGGATGGGCTTGGTGATGATGTTATGAGGCTTTAGGTGACACTCAAAGGGCCGTACCCACCGGGTTGGCATCTGTGAGGTGCCTGCTCCGTGTGAAATTCTGCCCTGTAGCTGAACAGCAAACTGTGTTTTAAATTTAGATTGAGGCTGGACGCGGTGGCTCACGCCTGTAATCCCAGCACTTTGGGAGGCCGAGGCGGGCGGATCACGAGGTCAGGAGATCGAGACCATCCTGGCTCACACCGTGAAAACCCGTCTCTACTAAAAATACAAAAAATTAGCCGGGCGTGGTGGCGGGCGCCTGTAGTCCCAGCTACTCAGGAGGCTGAGGCAGGAGAATGGCGTGAACCCGGGAGGCGGAGCTTGCAGTGAGTTGAGATTGTGCCACTACACTCCAGCCTGGGCGACAGAGCGAGACTCCCATCTCAAAAAATAAATAAATAAATAAATAAATTTAGATTGAAATTGAGAAGTGAGCAGAAAGATGCCAGTTTAGATGTGATCAGATTTTGTTAAAGAAATCCTATAAAATGCCAGGATATTTTGGCCTAGTAATACTGTATTCTAAACTTCAGTGTTGTAATGGAAACTTTTAGTAACACGACAACCAGTTTTCGTGTGTGTGTGTGTTTTGGTACAACAGGATCTTGCTATGTTGCTCAGACTGGCCTGGAACTCCTGGCCTTAAGCAGTCCTTCCTCCTCTGCCTCCCAACGCTGTGTGATTACAGGCGTGAGTCGCAGCACCCAGCCTTTCCTGCTCTTGTGAAAAGCTAGCTGTCTTGCTCATCTCCCTCACACCTGTATGTTTTTATGCTGTGGGCAGGGCCGTGACGTGCACAAGACGACCCACAGGAAACCCTGGCTGCAACCCACGGAGGAAGAATGGCCTGAGGATGGGGACCGCCTTCCCACCCCACCCCTGTTGATAGGTGGATCTTGAACAGAGTTGTGTTGGTGGCTAGGAGTGCTAGAACCTGTGGGGGTTTGAGCTTTCTTGTAGCCTAGTGATTTATTCTAACACCAGGACTTGGTCTGAGTCCTGTGGAGGCGGGTGGAATTGCTGAGGGAAGCTGTCATCAGGTGTGTGAGCTCATCTCATTTCCTCAGACCGTCGGCTTCACCTAAAAAATCTGTTTTCTGCTCTTTGAGGGGCCTGATACCTGGCCCCAGGGCTCACTGGCCTGGGCCCCCAGCTTCCCTTGGCTGCTCTGGCCTTTTGTGCAGGTGGCTTTTCTGAATTCTCTGCTGTGGCTGTGGCTCTTTTTGGTTTTGCTCCCAGAGGCAGGGTTGGGGCCGCCTTTTCTGTATTCCTCCTACTTTTAGAAACCGCACTCCACAGCGGCCTGTTCACTTGTATTTCCCAGTAACTCCTAAGGTCTGTGAGAGGCACATGCTCTGCTAGATATCTTCACTTATGTTCTCTTTTTTTCCTACAAAATCCCAGAAAATTGCATTTTCCTTATTTTTATTACAAGAGGAATGTAGGCCTCAAAAGATGTTTAGGAAGTAGGGTTTGAATTCAGGATTCCACGGCTGATCAGTGAAGTGAGTGAGTGAGTCCCGGGGACTCTGAGGCCAGAGGTGGTTGTATTAGCGCTGGACTCTAGGGAGGGTGGCAGGGGGTGCGAGGAGGGGCTGCTGTAGCTGTGGGCACGGCTGGGACGTCTTTCATGCTCTTCCTGAGGGTCTGAGTGTGTGTGGGGCAGTGCTCACGCTCGTCAGCCTGGGCACTGGCTGTTACACTCCTGCCAGATGCAGCTGGCCTGCGGTGTGCCAGAGCAGGGTGAGGGAATCTGGGTCGGCCACTTGCCACCACGCTCAGGGTCAGGGTGAGGCCGTTTCTAACGGCCTGTGTACCTGCCATCCTCTTCCTCCTCTGCCCAGGCAACTGGGTGCTGATGCTGGCCTTTCTGTGCATCAAACCTGGTGGTTTTGCCAGCTTCACGCCTCTTTGTCCTGGTCACCATGTCTGTGGTAGCCCAAGGCTAAAGTGAATGTGGAAGGGCTGCCACTTCTCTAGGGTGGAGAACTGGGCTTCTGAGGGAACAGCGCTGGTGTGAGCTCTCTCAGGGAGTTTCTTGGCCGAGTATCTGTATGCATCCAGTGCTTGCCACATAGTGCAGCCTTCTGGGGCCATGCGCAAGTCCTTCGAGCTGTCTTGGCCTCTCTTTGCCTGGCCAGTGGTCACACATGTGCAGTGGCTTCCTGTTTGAGTCTGGGACCAGCTTGAGGGCAGGGGCACTACCACTGCATGGCAGCTGTAGCTGGGGAGTGACCACAGTGATTTTCCACACTTCGCTATAGATGTGTTTGTTCTTTACTTAAAAACTTATCAGTTTGGCTTTTTGAAGTTAATGGAAGACTGAGTTTTACTATGTGGACAAAGGAGTTAATATTTCTTCTTCTTCTTTTTTTTTTTTTTTTTTTTTGGAGGGAGACAGGATCTGACTCTCACTCAGGTGGGAGTGCAGTGGCCGGATCACGGCTCATTGCAGCCTCTGCCTCCTGGGCTCAAGCGATCCTCCTGCTTCAGCCTCTCAAGTAGCTGGGACTGCAGGGGCACACCACAATGCCTGGCTAATTCTGTGTGTGTCTATGTGTGTGTGTGTGTGTATGTGTGTTTGATAGAGACGGCGTCTCGCCGTGTTACTCAGGCTGGTCTTGAACTCCTGAACTCAAGCAATCCACCTGCCTCGGCCTCCCAAAGTGCTTGGATTGCAGGTGTGAGCCATGTTGCGCGGCCCAGAAGGAGTTTGTTTCTTAGGTGTGTGCGGCTGTCGTGCAACAGCCCTGACGAGGCGAACGTGGTTCCTTTTTGGCTTGGGGCAGGGGCCCTGCTGGCAGGAAATGCTGGGAAGGGCCTGGGGAGGCAGCCCAGTGTTGCTGGGGCTTCCTGCTTTTATCTCGTTGTCTCTTTCTTTAAACCTCTGGCCATATCATCTATTCATCTTTTCCTTTTAATTTTTTTTTCTTTTTCCCCCCGTGTTCCTTATATAAAAATATGAGTCTTTTTCTGTCAGTCCTTTGCTGATGTTCCTCGTGTGCCTTCTTAGGTCATTCTTTTCTGTCTGCGTGTTCTTTTTTTTTTATCTTTTTGAGACGGGGTTTCGCTCTTGTTGCCCAGGCTGGAGTGCAGTGGCACGTCTCAACTCACCGCCTCCTCCGCCTCCCGAGTACCTGGGCTTCACCAGCCTCAGCCTCCCGAGTACCTGGGGTTACAGATGCCTGCCACCATGTCCGGCTAATTTTTTGTGTTTTTAGTAGAGACAGGGTTTCACCATATTGTCCAGGCTGGTCTCAAACTCCTGACCTCAAGTGATCTGCTCCCCCTTCCCCTGGCCTCCCAAAGTGCTGGGATTATGGGCGTGAGCCACCACGTCCGGCCTGATGTTCTTAATGTTGCTGATTTGTCTCCTGTTCCCTTTTCCTTTTCCCCTTCCATATTCCACAGCTGTCCTTTCTGCTGCCTCCCGGAGGGCACCCTGTCCTGGACACAAGGCTTTGTCCTGTGCTGTGGGTCATGCTTGGTGGGATCGCTTATCAGCGTGAAGGAGGCACTGAGGTCCATCTTCTTCAGAAGTCTGTCCTTCCTTCCTCCAGGCAGATGCCGGCATCACAGTCCTGGTTAACTAAAACCCTGTGTCTGATGTCCTGCCCTGGGCCTTCCTTGTCTCTTTTCTGTCCCCACCCAGACCATAAGCACTGGGGAAGCACATCTGTCTTCCTCGCTGCAGCCTCTGGTGCCTGTGTGTCTGCGTGCTGACACCGGGCATGGCCAACGAACATGTTGTCTTGTCACGGTGCACGGTGGCTCCTTTGCCCGTGCGGCCTTCTCAGCAGCTGCTGCTTCTCCTCTAGGACTGACCGCAAGTCTCAGAGCGCGCCGGCTGGTGTTTTGTCGCCCTCAGGAGTGTGGCCGAGGCCCAGGTGTGGGTTTCCCGTGCCCGCCGTGACCTGGCAGTGAGGGTCTGTGCTTCTGTCAGTGCCGTTGGCCTGAGACATGTCTGTCCTGGAGACCAGCACGTGTGGGTGCCGACTCTCAGAGAGCCCCTTGCTCACAGCACCAAACCCCTTGCTGTGTTTTTATTATTAAGAAATAGAAAACAAAGGGCATAACCAGACTTAGGACTTTGGTGATTTTCTGGCTGAAGGTTTTTTTTTTTTTTTTTTTTGAGATGGAATCTCCCTTTGTCACCCAGGCTGGAGTGCAGTTATGCGATCTTGGTTCACTGCAGCCTCTGCCTTCGGGGTTCAGGTGATTCTCCCACCTCAGCCTCCTGAGTAGCCGAGATTGCAGGTGTGTGCCACCACGCCCGGTAAGTTTTTGTCTTTTTAGTAGAGACGGGGCTTTACCATGTTGGCCAGACTGCTCTCGAACTCCTGTCCTCAGGTGATCTGCCGGCGTTGGCTCCCAAAGTGCTGGGATTATTCTTGCTGGAGCTAAGTTGGGATTGACTGCAGTGCATCCTTTGTGAGGAGCGCTGGGGGAAGGTGTGAGGAATTTGACCCCTAAGCCCCAGGGTCTGGCTGGAAGGAGGAGCTTCGTGGACAGGCCTTGAGGACGCTTTGGTGCATTTCCTGAATTGTCCCTGTGAGAACATGCCTTATCTGCAGCAGTCAGGAAGGCTGATAGGAAAGTTACCTAGAAAGCCGGGCATGGCGGCTCAGGCCTGTAATCCCAGCACTTTGGGAGGCTGAGGCGGGAGGATTGCTGCAACCCAGGAGTTCGAGACCAGCCCGGACAACATAGTGAGAACCCTGTCTCTACCAAAAAAAAAAAAAAAAAAAAATGAGCCAGGTGTGGTGGCACGTGCCTGTAGTCACAGCTAGTTGGGGAAGCCGAGGTGGGAGGATCGCCTGAGCCCAGGAGGTCGAGGCTACGGTGAGCTCATATCACACCACTGCACTCTAGCCTGCGTGACAGAGCCAGAACTTGTCTCAAAAACAGTTACCTATGTGACTAGAGGAGCTGTTTTGCAAATGTGCCCTACAGAATACAGTCATGCCCCACGTAACGGCATTTTGTTCCACAACAGACCGCATATGTGGTACCTCCTTCCACAAGATTTTTTATTTATTTATTTTTTTGAGATGGAGTCTTGCTCTGTCGCCCAGGCTGGAGTGCAATGGCGTGATCTCCACTCACCGCAACCTCGCCTCCACCGTGACACCAGGTTAACTGGTGTGGGCAGTTGTCCTGTGAGAGCGTGTGACGGGGCGTCGGGCTGTGTTGTGGGCCATGGCTCTGGTGGGATGGGAGAGGAGAAGTTTTTAGATGTTTCTTTTTGGAAGTCTGATTTCAGTTTTATTTAAAACAACAAACTACATTTATGGTGGTCTGTGGACACGATGTTTGTCCACGAGTTCACTTTACTGTAAAGGAAAGAACATCAACCAAGCAAGAGTCAATAGTGTGATTTACAGTGGTTCTTTTATTGTGTAGTACATTCAGCGTCAAGGTGGCATTTGGATCCATGATGCCTTCATCCTCAGAATGACCTTGCGAGGTAGGCGTGGCTGAGCACATGGCCAGCTGGGCCTGTCCCTGCCTGTTCTCCAGGCTTCACCTCTGTGTGCTTGTAGGAAGGTTGAACATGCCACTTTGTGGCATCCAGAGTTTCTCGCCCTCAGGATCCATAGTAGTGACTGCGTCTGTCTTCTCCTGACCTAGGCATTAGCCTGATAGAGTGCTGGTAACTTTGCGAGTCAACAGTGTTTTCAAAAGCAGCTTTTCCTTCTCTTCTCTTTACCCCATACCCTTCAAACTGTTGGCTCATTTTCTGGAGGACACCAGAATAACAAAATAATATTTTGTGGCTATTAATCCTTTAAAAGCAGAGGAAAATTTTTCCTAGCAGGAGACATAATAGGGTTGTACCTTTTCAGTGTTTTCAGTGAAGGCAATTTTTTTCATGCCCTTTGATTACAAAAATGTATTCCTTCCTGCACTTCCATTTTCCTTAGTTACACAGATGTTGATGTTCTCAGAGTCTTTGCTGGTGATTTAGTGCCTTGGTGAGGGTGGATAGGAGACTAGAACAGGGTTCTACAGTCGGCCAAACTGGGCTTCCCCTCTCAACCCCATGCTGCCTGAGGCTGGTGGGTCGAGCCACCTGTGGGCTGTGTCCATGACTGTCTGTTGGTGCTGAGAGGACTCCTGATTCTTCACAATCATGTGCCGGGCTAGCAGCTTATGTGATGCAGCGTTTGCTCTGAGAGTTTCCTGTAGTTTGGAATTTTAGTTATAAGTTTGCCATAGTTCTGAGTCTCTTGCATTCTTTCACCCTATTTTAGTTTTATAATCTTGCTCCTTTCTGTGCCCTATAATATAAAGATGTGTTGTTGTTTTGCTTTTTTAAGAGACAAGTCTTGCTTTGTTGACCAGGCTGGAGTGCAGTCATGGCTTACTGCAGCCTCAACTCTTGGACTGAAATGATGCCCCTTCCTCAGCCTTCCGAGTAGCTGGGACTCCAGACGCATGTCACCACACCCGCCTAATTTTTTTATTTTTACTTTTTTAGAGGTGGGCTTGCTCTGTTGCCCAGATTGGCCTCAAACTTATGGCCTCAAGTCATCTTCCTGCCTCAGCCTCTTGAGTAGCTGTGATTAAAGGCACGTGCTGTCGTGCTCACCTAAAGAAGTGTTTTGAAATCCCTTCCCGGGGAGGCAGCAGGGCTTTTATGTAAGTGGTCTCTGGTCTTTGTCTGTTTGGTGGTGTACTTTTTTTTTTTAAGCTACTGTCATTGCCCAGTCGTAGTTGAGCGTGTGTCCAGTTGCTTTATGTGTGGGCTTCCTGGGGGTGCCCTCCCAGAGCGCGGGGCCTCGCTTACTGAGAAACTTCCTCGGGACTTGGGTTCCCCGCTCTGCCCTCACCTGCGTGTGCTCTGCTGCTTCCTATCCTCAGACAGATGAGCTCCTCCATGTTCTTCCACGCGGTGCTGGGGCCAGTCAGGAGGGGCCGGTCAGGAGGGGGGAGCAGGCCACACAGGATTGCTCACAACATGTGCGTGGCTGGTGTGAGTGAGTGCGCATCAGATACTTCCTGTCAGTGCCCGTAAAGCAGAAGAGAGGGAGCGGATCAGGCCCTAGGGAGTGCGGGGTCCACCTGCCAACAGGAAGTTTCTCTGTAGTGTTTTACCTGAAAGCACGAGGGCACGTCACGCTGAGAGGTTGATGATGTGTCCACGTGCAGTGATGACAGCAGCGTTCCAGGCCACCCGCCACCACGCAGTTGAGCGAGGCAGTGCCCATGTGGAGCCTGGTGTTTGATGGTGGGGCTGAGGTGACTGGCCTTGCTCTAGAGCTGGAGCCCAGGCGGAAAAGAGGTCTCCACTGGCAGGCTAGGTTGCCTGCTTTGTTGGGAGTGGCGCAGTGCTGGCCCTGATGGGGCTCCTTCCCCCGGGAGAGCCTGGAGGGTCTGCAGGCCCCACCCCGCCCACCTCCTCCCGCAGTGCCGCCCCCCCAACCTCATTCCGCAGAACCCCCACCTCACCTCATCCCACAGAGCTGTCCCCTCACCTCACCCTGCAGATACCCCCTATCTCACCCCACAGAGCCCCTGCCCCCTCTCCTAACCTCGCAGAGCCACCTCACCTCCTCCCGCAGAACCACCCCCTTCACCTCACCCTGCAGTGCTGCCCCCCCCACCCACAGCTCACTCAAGGCTTGAACTCCCAGGCTCAACCAATCCTCCCACCTCAGCCTCCCGAGTAGCTGGGACTCTGCTGGTGTGCGGCACCATACGCAGCAATTTTTAAATGTTTTTCTAGAGGCGGGGTCTCCCTGTCATTCCCAGGATGCTCTTGAACTCTTGGAGTCAACCGATCTTCCCGCCTCGGCTTCCTCATGTGTTAGGTACAGGCTGAGCTACTACCTAAATTTAAATTGATGTGCCTACCGATTTAAATAAGCGCTCAATCCCAGATACCTTATTGTGGCTGGCTAAGGTTAGGAGTTCATGTGAACTGTACATTAGTATCGCTGAGACAAGCCTCGTTCTTTCTACAAAGAACTGGCGTACGTCACGTGTAGGCACCCAGATATAATTGGTTCCACATTTCGCCTGCCTTTGTTGGAAGGGCTGTGCTTTCATGCAGTGAACTGTAGGTCGTCCTCCTTACTCTAAAAGTTACACAGATTCAGTGCCTTATGGAAAAGTCAGGATTTCCATTAAAGAGGTCCATGGACAGAGAGTGAAACTTGGTGTGGGGGTCTTTCGGGGCTGCCGTGATAAATCACCACAGACCAGGAGCTTTCACAGCAAGGATCTGTTCTCCCACGGCTCTGAGACCAAGCTGTCTGCAGGGCCGGTTCCTTCTGCGGTGCTGGAGGGGTGGGGGCGGGCATCTGCTCCAGGCCTCTCTCCAGGTTCTGGGGGATGGGGGAGTCTCTGGTGTGCCCGGCGGGTTCTGGGGGATGGGGGAGTCTCTGGTGCGCCCGGGCTTGTAGACGCATCACCACGATCTCCGCCTCCCTCTTCACCCAGCGTTCTCCCTGCGTGCACAGCTCAGTGTCCACGTCTGCCCTTTGTAGAAGGAAGCTAGTTCTGTGGGGTGAGGGCCCACCCTAGCGATCTCACCTGGATCATCTGCAAAGACCATGTTTCCCAGGAAGGCCATCGTCTGTGGTGTTGGGGGGCTAGGACTTCAACATACCATTCTTGGGGGACACATTTCAACTCATAACACCAGTAAATAAAGCATAGAGAAGAAAGTAAAAATCGCCTGTAATCCTTCCACCCAAGATAAAACATGTAAATCTAAAATGTTGAATATATCATGTACTTTTTACAAAATAAGGATTACTCTGGATATAAGGCTTCACATTCTGCATTTTAAAGCTTAGCATTAATTTCCCATTATCCCAGCGTGATATTTAGTGGCTGCATAATCAAGAGAGAAATTTAATGCCAGACGCAGTGGCTCGTGCTGTAATCCCAGCACTTTGGGAGGCCAAGGTGGGTGGATCACGAGGTCAGGAGTTCGAGACCAGCCTGGCTAACATGGCGAAACCCGGTCTCTACTAAAAATCCAAATGTTAGCCGGGCGTGGTGGCGGCCGTCTTGGAAGGCTGAGGCAGGAGAATTGCTTGAACTTGGGAGGCAGAGGTTGCAATGAGTCGAGATCACACCATTGCACTCCAGCCTGAGCAGCAGAACAAGACTCCCTCTGGGGAGGGGGAGGGCGGGTGGGGGGGAGAGAGAAATATATAACATTACTGAGACAACTTGAGGGCCAGCGTGTTGTGGATTTGTCCACCCACACGCGGGGCCTCCCTTTCCATCTTGGTCTTGGGTGCCATGCCAGGCAGCCCCGGGGCAGACGGGGGATGTGTCTGTGAACCCGAGCAGGGTGGAGCCTGTGAGAGGGTGTCTGCAGAGGGTGGAGGGCGACAGGCGTCCAAGGTGTGTGCAGCTGGTCCAGGTGGCTGCAGGGGTTCCCGTCAGATGACCAGCCTCCAGCGCAGGGAAGCCTGGGGCAGCAGATGACCGGCCCCCAGCGCAGGGAAGCCTGGGGCAGCAGATGACCATCCCCCAGCGCAGGGAAGCCTGGGGCAGCAGATGACCGGCCCCCAGCGCAGGGAAGCCTGGGGCAGCAGATGACCGGCCCCCAGCGCAGGGAAGCCTGGGGCAGCAGATGACCATCCCCCAGCGCAGGGAAGCCTGGGGCAGCAGATGACCGGCCCCCAGCGCAGGGAAGCCTGGGGCAGCAGATGACCGGCCCCCAGCGCAGGGAAGCCTGGGGCAGCAGATGACCATCCCCCAGCGCAGGGAAGCCTGGGGCAGCAGATGACCGGCCCCCAGCGCAGGGAAGCCTGGGGCAGCAGATGACCGTCCCCCAGCGCAGGGAAGCCTGGGGCAGCAGATGACCGTCCCCCAGCGCAGGGAAGCCTGGGGCAGCAGATGACCGTCCCCCAGCGCAGGGAAGCCTGGGGCAGCAGATGACCGTCCCCCAGCGCAGGGAAGCCTGGGGCAGCAGATGACCGTCCCCCAGCGCAGGGAAGCCTGGGGCAGCAGATGACCGTCCCCCAGCGCAGGGAAGCCTGGGGCAGCAGATGACCGTCCCCCAGCGCAGGGAAGCCTGGGGCAGCAGATGACCGTCCCCCAGCGCAGGGAAGCCTGGGGCAGCAGATGACCGTCCCCCAGCGCAGGGAAGCCTGGGGCAGCAGATGACCGTCCCCCAGCGCAGGGAAGCCTGGGGCAGCAGATGACCGGCCCCCAGCGCAGGGAAGCCTGGGGCAGCAGATGACCGGCCTCCAGCGCAGGGAAGCCTGGGGCAGCAGATGACCGGCCCCCAGCGCAGGAAGCCTGGGGCAGAGGCTGCCCTCTCTTGTGTCACTCGGCTTACTCTGCTTCTTGGTCCTGGTGCACTGGACCTTCCTGTGCTCTGGGAGCCGATTCTGTGCTGTGTGAATCCAAGCCCTGTGCTCTGGGACCATTTTGTCTTTCTGACAGGATGGTCACTTTAAAAAAAGTAGACTTTATTTTTTATATTAGCTTTAGGTTCACAGCAAAATAGAACATAAATTACAGAGGGTTCCCCCGCACCCCTGGGCTCAGCATCCCCACAAGAGCGGCCATTTGTTATAGTCGCGACCGCCCTGGAGACAGTGTCATCATCACCCACAGGCCGCACGACCTCAGGGTCCACCGGGTGCTGTGCAGTCTATGGTTGGATGAACGTATCCTGATGTGGACCCACCGTTGTGGTATCATACAGAGTAGTTTCACTGCCCCAGGTCCCCCGTGTTCCTGCTGCACATCCCTCCGTCCCTCCCTCTCCCCAGCCCCTGGCATTCGCTGATCTTTGTGCTGTCTGCACGGTTTTGCCCTTTCCTGGATGTCAGAGTCGGAACCGTACAGCGTGTAGTCCTTGGAGACGGGCTGCTTTCACTCAGCAGCATGCGTCTATGGTCCTTTTTTGTCTTTTCAGGGCCTGGTAATATTCTGTTGTCTGGATGGACGCCGGGTGTTTAATCCACTCACCTATGAGTGTCTTGGGTCACTTGTAGTTGTCTCTCTGGGCTTCTCTTACGGATAAATGAAGAATAAACAAAGCCAGCCACTGGCCCCTGAACTCGGTTCTGCCTCTGACTTGTCTTGATGAGGAGGTGTCCTTGCGTGGACTCGTGCTGTGTCATCATGCTCCTGCTCCGTGTTCGGAGCCACCTGGGCTGTGACAGGAGGTCAGTGTTCAGGGATGATGCAGTTTCTGTTGAGGCAACACTGAAAATGCCTTGCTTGGAAACTGCGTCTCACAGAGCATGGAGCTTGTTAACAATTTTAAAAAACTGATGATGCTGATGGGAGAGAGGGATGATGGGAGTCTGTCTGGGGTCTTTGAGGCCTTGTCCAGAGACTGCCCCAGGATCCTGGGTGGCTGTGCACAGCCAGCTGAGCCATGTGCCTGCCACTGCATCTGTACTCCTGGGCCAGAAAGCACCTTTGCTTAGCCCACCTGATTTTTCTGTCAGAGACTAGACGAGTAATTTCTAACCTGGGCTTGAGACACTAACAGTGTATTGGGATTTTTTTTTTTGGACACACAATCTCTCTCTGTCACTGAGGCTGGAGTGCAGTGGCACAGTCATATAGCTCACTGCAGCCTCAACCTCCCGGGCTCAAACCTTCCTCCTGCCTCAGCCCCCTGAGTATCTGAAACCACAGGCAGGTGCCAACACACCCAGCTATTTTTGTTTTTTTATTGTTTTGTTAAAAAAAAATTTTTTTTAAGAGATGGGGTCTCCCTGTGTTGCCCAGGCTGGTCTCACACTCCTGGGCTCAAGCAGTCCTCATGTCAGCCTTCCAGAGTGCTGAGGTTACAGGTAATCTTCAGCTGTTTCACAGTGTCCCTCTTGTCAGCCTCCCAGAGTGCTGAGATCACAGGTAATCTTCATCTGTTTCACAGCGTCCCTCATGTCAGCCTCCTAGAGTGCTGAGGTCACAGGTAGTCTTCAGCTGTTTCACAGTGTCCCTCATGTCAGCCTCCCAGAGTGCTGAGGTCACAGGTAATCTTCACCTGTTTCACAGTGTCCCTCATGTCAGCCTCCCAGAGTGCTGAGGTCACAGGTAATCTTCAGCTGTTTCACAGTGTCCCTCATGTCAGCCTCCCAGAGTGCTGAGGTCACAGGTAGTCTTCAGCTGTTTCACAGTGTCCCTCTTGTCAGCCTCCCAGAGCGCTGAGGTTACAGGTAATCTTCAGCTGTTTCACAGCGTCACCAGATTCTCCAAACACAATTTAATTTTATTCACATAGACAGTGCTACATTGTCACTGGTGACAGGCGCTTTGTGGTTGTTTTTGGTGGGTGAATATTGCACCGATTCAACAACAGGAGATCAGTGTCTGAGGGTCCTGTGTTGCCACCCGAGGCACCTGCTTTGACCAGGGATGGAGAGTCCCATGCCCAGGACGAAGGTTTGTGTGCTGGTGGTGAGCTAGCTGGGAGACGTGGCACGGGCCGCTTGTCCCTGGCCACCGCCTGCTGCCAAGGGCTCCACTCCAGTCCCTTGCCTGTCAATCAGAAGATGCTCAGAGGAGAGGCTTCTGCATCATCTTCATCTTGACATTCCAAGAGCAGTACCGGGTCAGCATCCACAAAAGCACACTGTAAAACTGGGAACTGTGTCTTACCCTTCCTGAGTGAAAAGGGAAAGTTTATGCCTCAGCCTGAGGCAGGTGGGCCCCTTGCCATGCACACCTTTGTCCTGCAGCCAGGGATCCACTTGGCTGGGCTCAACCCTTCCCCGTCAGGGACGACTGCACAGAAAGGAGCGCGGATAGCAGCAAGGCCCGCCACGGGGAAGGCCTGCTTCCTGTGGGTCCCCCTGTGTGGCTGGCAGGGAGTGGTACGGCGCTGGGAGTCCAGAATCACTGAGGACACGGAAAGCTTCAGCTTCTTTGAGAAAACTCAGATTTTGTAAATGCGCATCCAGTTGACAGCACTTACGGTGGAATCCGTGGAGTTGGACTTGTGAGAGGCCTTGCCCTGAGGGGGTTCTTGGCTGGTGTCTGTCCTGGAGGTGGATGCCTTGATGGCTGTGTCTCCCGTGCTCCCCTCACCCAGGTCCTCATCCTCAGGACTGTGAGACGCCGTTGGACGTGGAGGAGCCTGAGGAGCTCTGGCTCTGTGGGTATGTCTGCTGGCATTTGCCAGTTGAAACCTGAAGGATTGGAAAATGTCTGTATACCAATTCCAATTAACAACAGGAATAATAAGCCCATTGCATATAAGCAGCACATTCTTTAAAAAAAAAAAAATCCTGTATTTTCCAGTATAAAAAATTAGTGATCTGGTCAAGTCCCCTGGCTCATGCCTATAATCCCACCAGTGCTCTGGGAAACCGAGGCAGCTGGATCACCTGAGGTCAGGAGTTTGAGACCAGCCTGACCAACATGGTGAAACCCCGTCTTTACTAAAAATATAAAAATTAGCCGGGTGTGGTGGTGGACACCTGTAGTCCCAGCTACTCGGGAGGCTGAGGCAGGAGAACGGCGTGAACCTGGGAGGCGGAGGTTGCAGTGAGCCAAGATGGCGCCATTGCACTCCAGCCTGGGCGACAGAGTAAAACTCCGTCCCAAAAACAACAGCAACAACAACAAATAGCAATTAGAGGAGCATTTCCTTAAAATTGTACAAACCCCATTAATGTGTGGCTTCATAGAAGACAGCAGGGTTCTCCTCGCTGTTCCTGCATCAGTCTGTGGTAAATATGTTGTTCTAGTTGAAGTATACAAAAAAAAAATCTAGTGGGAAAATGGAAGCATATTTTTAATAAATAGCTTTTTGATATAATTATGGAGATTTTCATTGATACGACACCAAAACCCAGCAGGTGTTTGTGCTGTGAGCGTTTCCAGCAGCAGGGGAGTCTCAGGGCTTCCCTTTGGTCTCTCTTGCGGCGAGTGCGGCTCCGTCGCGTGTGTGTGGGAGTGTGCCTGTGTGTCCACATCTGGAGGTGACCCAGGTCAGCACACAGTGTGCACCCAAGGGCCGATTGGGTGCCCGGGACTCGTGTGCATCTCCCGACGTGGATCCACTTGATTTTACTACATCAGAAAGCAGCACCTGTCTCTTCCAGGGAGACTTTTAGTTCTTCAGAAGCTGTCTGCTCTTGGAGTTTTCCAAAATTCTTATCTTTGAAAGCTTGAATTTTCACATTGACAACAAGTTGTTGAGGTGTTCTGGCTGAACTTGCAGCTGTCTTTCCTTCATTTTTTAGAAATGATCTGCCAGTACTCATGTCCGAACAACCAGAGTTTGCATGTCGGTCGGTCATTCTTTGACTGAAGATTGGTGCTTCCTGTCCAGAGGCCGCTGTGTCTGGTGTGCGGCAGCAGTGCTTTGTGCATACTTGTTTTGTCATGAAGGATATGCACAAGATGAATGCTGCGTGCTCGGGACGTAGTGCGTTGAAACAGTCTTGCCGCACCACCCCAGCAGTCCTCCAGTGAACTGGCTCATCAGTGCGGTGTCACCCAGCTGAGAAGGCATTGTTATTAAGCAGGTAGTTTTACACCTGGGAAGCAAGTGTACCAAGCTATTCAGTCTGTGTGCTGGGTGAGAAAATGTTGTTGAATGAATCAGGTCAGTCTGTGTGCTTATTGACAACTTTTCAAACATTTCACACCCTTAGAAGAGTCTGTATCACTTACCTCCCCTGATACCTATGCTTGCAAATGTGTGTGCAGTTTCAGAGGGTTCCAATGTGATGGCCCATTGGTCCCCTCCTGGGATTCTCATGGACAAGTAAGATTCGGTTCCCCGTTCGGGTGGGTCTGTGCGTCTGTTCCTGGGCGCATGCTCACAGAAGCAGCACGTGTCCCAGCCGTGGGCTGGCATCCCAGCGCTGTCTCCTCTCTTTGATCTTTGCATGCCAGTAGCAAGCGGACCATGTCCCCGCAGTGCAGGACTGGGCTCTTATGTAACAGCTTGCCGTCAGGGTTCCTTCCACACCGACGCTGCTCCCAGGATTACGGAGCTGGAAAGAGTCCAGCCCATTCCTCTGGCAGTACGCAGCCCTTCCCTGGGGCTCAGCCAGTTTACTTGGCTTGCATAATTCTTTCTGTTAAGACGCTGCCTTAAAATTGACCAAGCCTCTAACTTTTTAGACCAGGAGTCTCTTGGATCGTTTGAGTGGTGGTGTTGCCTGTTCTTGGCCCTCTTTCATCTTGTCCTGTGCTTCAGCCTGGTCACTTGGTTTAATAATTTGTCTTTGTTTTTCCAAATCCTGCAGAACTTTTAAGATGATCTGGATTGCAGTGACTTAAAATCATACCGTGATGTATTTGCTGGTTTGGAGATCTTTTTAACAGGGGGTTCTCTCATCAGCTCTAAGTAGCCTTGGAAAAACTGTCGCCTCTGAATTGGCTGCAAACAAAGCTTTAGGCTTTCCAACAGTGCTACAGCCAACCTGCCTTAATTGGAAATGAGGAGTCTGGACGTTTGAAAAATAACTCAATAACCTCATGTGTGTAACTCTCGGGGCCATATATTATGGAGATGGCTGTGTGTAATTTTACAGCATCCTTGATGGAGCCTTTGTCATAAAACACGACTCCTGTATATGAAAGCAGTCTTCGCAGGTTTTATTGAGACGAGGAGTGGAAAATACACTCGTTTTTCCACAAAAGGTTGTTTGTTTTTTTTTTTTTGGAGACAGAGTTTTGCTTTTGTCGCCCAGGCTGGAGTGCAGTGGTGCGATACTGGCTCACTGCAACCTCCGCCTCCTGGGTTCAAGCGATTCTCCTGCCTCAGCCTCCCGAGTAGCTGGGATTACAGGTGCCTGCCACCACGCACAGCTAATTTTTGTATTTTAATAGAGACAGGGTTTCACCATGTTGGCCAGTCTGGTCTTGAACTCCCGACCTCAGGTGATCTGCCCGCCTTGGCCTCCCAAAGTGCTGGGATTACGGGCGGGAGCCACTGTGCCTGGCCCACGAGCTGTTTTTCTGATGAGAAGTTTCCTGATGAGTGAGAGCAGTGTGGCAGGTGTGGAGGAGAGGCGGACGGCTGCTTTCCAGGGACATGGGAGACCACTGTGGAACTGCAGTCCCAGAACGTGCCCATGTCGTGGAGGGAAGCAGGTCAGAGGCTCCTGCCACCTGCCCGTTGACCTCAGGAGGACATTGTGCTTGCAGCAGCTGAGTGGCCTGGGAAGCCTGCCTGGAACCTGGGACTGTGATGGGTGGAGTCTCCAGGAGGGCTAGGGAGGCGGGGAGGAGCACCCTGTGAGCTGCAGGCACCGCTGTGTTGCAGTCAGCAAACACTGGGGTCTGGGAACCCACTTTCATGTTTGGCACCTAGTGGTTTGAGCTTCACTTATTCGTAGCCCTCACAAGTAAACTAGTCTCTATTACAAGCACTTTCTTCGTGACTTTTTGGCTTTTGTTTTTTGACACATTTTCCTCATGCAGATCAGCATGATTATTCCCACTGTCTGACATGTCTCCTCCTATTCATTAAATACTTAGAGCCTGTTTCATGCGAGATGCCATGCAGAGCTCTGCCAGATTCCAGAATGAAGGGCAATAGGCCCAGCTGGGATAGTTCCTGCATGTTTCCATCGGCCCGGCTGCTTCCCCTTCTAACCCTTACAAATCCTCTGAGGTGGACGTGATTACTCCACCTAAGAGGAAACTAGGCCGGGCGCAGTGGCTTCCTCCTGTAATCCCACCACTTTGGGAGGCTGAGGCGGGCAAATCACTCTGAGGTCGGGAGTTCGAGACCAGCCTGGGCAACATGGTGAAACCCCGTCTCTATTTATTAAAAATACAAAAAAAAAAAAAAAAAAGCAGCTGGATATGGTGGCACACGCCTGTAATCCCAGCTACATGGGGGACTGAGGTGGGAGAATTGCTTGAACTCAGGAGGCAGAGGTTGCAGTGAGCCAATATTGCGCCACTGTACTCCACCTGCCTGAGTGGTCTCGCACTACAGAGCAAGCCTCCGTCTCAAAAAAAAAAAAAATAAAAATAAAAAAAGTAAAAAAAAGAGGAAACTAAAGTTTAATGTGTACAGTGGACTCTCTTGGTCCCAGGGTGGGAGCCATGTCACCTGTGGGAACAGGTGAATGAGGCTGGCGTCGTGCTCTCAAGGTATTTATGATGTAGCAAGAAGGTGCCAGGTCCTGAGGGAGACTTCCAGAGGCTCCTGTGAGAGAAGGTATGCAGGTGAAGAAGAGGGAGGGAGACCGTGTTTCCTGGGGACTGGGCTTGCCGGAGGCTCCACTGAGGGTTAGCATTTGCATAGGCCTTGAATAAGAAGTAGAATGTGAAGAAATAGGCTGGAGTTTAGAAAAGGAATTTTTGGGGAAACAGAAAGGGCCTTGGTGACTGTAGATCACTCACTCATTTCAGATGCAGGCAGGTCCCAAGGTGGTGATTAGACACAAGTTCACTCTCAAAGGTGCTTTCTTATGTAGTTGATGGAGTCGGTTAAATGTATTCCCAGTTTTCTTTTTTCCTAACCTAGTGTTTAGAGAAAAGCAGCCTTGGGGGACTTCCTATCCACGAGTTTGCTTAAGTGCAGGTTCTGGGTGTGCCGGACATCCTAGATACCGTTGTCTGTGAACTCAACCATGTTGATTGGGTCTGCTCTTGTAGGCTGACATCCGAAGTGCATTACAGATGCTGAGTTGATCGTTAACTTCTGTAGCTGGGATCTGAGGGACAACCAAGACAGGTCTGCTTCAACACATCACGACCATGTTCTTGAACTGCATGGACCCTGGAGCATCTCAGCGTGGCATCACAGTGCTGCTCATGGAAAACATGAACTGGCAGACCCATTGAGACATTTTCAAAACATAAACATTGTTTTTCTTATTTCCATCGTTTACCCATTGTAGAAAATGTAAGAAAACATGAAAAGGGTGAAAATCTAACTTAAACTCCCTTATACAGGTAATGAATTTTAGCTTCTTGTGATCCTTCAGGAATGGGCCATCAGTGTGTTTGAAATGCTTGCTCCCTGGTGCCGTAAAGAAATAGCACTTGAACGTAAATTTAATTTCCTCAGCAAGGCCATTTTTTATACCTTCTGCAGAAAGGGTACACTCGCCTGCAGTTTTGCCACGAGAGTACACCGAATGAAGGAGACCAGGGTCATTTATAACCTGACGCTGTGTCCGGTTTTTTTATACCAACTGCTGTGTCCGGTTTCCATTGGCTGGAACGGGACCTCACATTCTGTATTTGTCCCGATTGGCTAGCAACTTAGAACTTTTTAAAAGAGGCAAAGGCAGAGGAGAACAAAGGAAGGAGGAAGTAATTTGTGGAATGCTGAGAAAGGTAAAAACACCTTCAACTAAGGAAGAGGAACAGGCCGTGACCTAATGCTTGCTTCGACCAGTATAAGCATGCCAGGGCAGATATTTAGGCTAAATTGTGGGAGCTAAGAACATAAAGTACATTGATTTCTTTATTAAGGCTAGCAGATATTTAAGAATGTCAGTACAGGTCTTTGAATAAATGTTGCTTTTAAGAGAAGTTACTATTTATTTTTAGTTAGATGGGGAGGAAAGTCTTTGAAGAGGAACCTCTGCTTTACTTCTTACAAGTGTGCTTACTGATTCTCTGTCAGCTTGTCCTCTCAGTGATTGAGAACAGGGTATTAAAATCATTACTGAGTTTGTGGTTTTGTGTATCTGTCTGTGTAGCTTGACTTCATGTATTTCTAAGCTCAGTTAGTAGGGGTTCTGAGGGGGAAAACTCAGATTTTTCCTTTGCTCTCATGCCACAGCGACAGTCAACACAGAAAACGCAAAAGACGTCTGTGACCAGTTGTGTGGGCTTTCTGCCCAGCAGCAGGGAGGCAGTCAGTTCTGTGGCGGACACCAGCTGGGTGTCCCACAATCCCGTGCAGCCTGGACACTGTCTACCTGGAGACGGCACGGGGTCCACCAGGGAGAGGACTGAGTCCCGCAAGACTGCCAGCACTCCAGCACCCACCGCAAGCCCTGGGTTCCTGTGGCTGTGCTTCTCAGCGACCTGCCCTGAATCTGGGGTTCCGTGACCCCTCCTTGGGTTCAATCATTTTTTTTTTTTTTTTTTTTTGAGACAGAGTCTCGCTCTGTCGCCCAGGCTGGAGTTCAGTGGCGCGATCTCGGCTCACTGCAAGCTCCGCCTTCCGGGTTCACACCATTCTCCTGCTTCAGCCTCCCGAGTAGCTGGGACTACAGGCGCCCACCACCGCGCCCGGCTAATTTTTTGTATTTTTAGTAGAGATGGGGTTTCACCGTGTTAGCCAGGATGGTCTCGATCTCCTGACCTCGTGATCCACCCACCTCGGCCTCCCAAAATGCTGTGATTACAGGCGTGAGCCATGGCGCCCAGCCTGGTGCAATAATTTTATGAGAGTGGCTCACACAAATCAGGGTGACACTTACATGTTCACCAGTGTCGTGGAAAGGATTTTGCAAAGGATATGCACAGTCAGATGCGGAGGGCAGGGCATGTGGGGAGCAGCGCAGAGCTCCAGGAACCTCCTCCCCAGAGTTAGACAACCATTACCAGCAGCATTGTTTTTGAAAGATTTTCACAGGTGTTTTTCTGCAGGACTTACGGGTGCTGGCCCCTGGCTGTGTGCTCACTGTTTCCCCGAGAACCTGTCGTCCCTTTTGCCTGTTCTTCTTTACCTAGTTTCTCACCTTTGACTGCCTTTAAGATTTTCTTTTCACCTCTGTGATGTGCCTTGGTCAGGTTCTCCATGTTTTGTGATTGGGATTTGTTGAGCTTCTTGGATCACTAGAGTTTACAGTTTTCATCAAAATGTGGAAATGTTCAGGCTTTATTCCTTCACGTATTTTTTTCTGCCCTCCACCTCCTTTGGGAGCACCCCTTACCGTTGGTTAGGCTCCTGCACCTCACCCACGCCACACTCGGGGTTTGATCCAGTGATCTTCTCTCTCTCAGTGCTCCCCGCCACACTCGGTGTTCGCCCCAGTGATCTTCTCTGTCTGTGCTCCACGCCACACTCGGTGTTCGCCCCAGTGATCTTCTCTCTCGGTGCTCCCCGCCACACTCGGTGTTCGCCCCAGTGATCTTCTCTCTCGGTGCTCCCCGCCACACTCGGTGTTCGCCCCAGTGATCTTCTCTCTCGGTGCTCCCCGCCACACTCGGTGTTCGCCCCAGTGATCTTCTCTGTCTGTGCTCCACGCCACACTCGGTGTTCGCCCCAGTGATCTTCTCTGTCTGTGCTCCCCGCCACACTCGGTGTTCGCCCCAGTGATCTTCTTTCTCTCGGTGCTCCCCGTCACACTCGGTGTTCGCCCCAGTGATCTTCTCTCTCGGTGCTCCCCGCCACACTCGGTGTTCGCCCCAGTGATCTTCTCTCTCGGTGCTCCCCGCCACACTCGGTGTTCGCCCCAGTGATCTCTCTCGGTGCTCCCCGCCACACTCGGTGTTCGCCCCAGTGATCTTCTTTCTCTCGGTGCTCCCCGCCACACTCGGTGTTTGCCCTAGTGATCTTCTCTCTCGGTGCTCCCCGCCACACTCGGTGTTTGCCCCAGTGATCTTCTCTCTCGGTGCTCCCCGCCACACTCGGTGTTTGCCCCAGTGATCTTCTCTCTCGGTGCTCCCTGCCACACTCAGTGTTTTTGCTCATGTTTGAGTTGTTGACATGCCGTTTCTCTGAGTTCACAGATCTTCTGAATGCCTGTTCTTCTGTGAATCCCACCCAGTGTGATTTTCGTCTCACACAGCGTCATCTTCATCTCTAGAGGTTCATTCCAGTGTCTTTTCCTAGCTTCCGTGTTTTTAGTTTTTGACCGTGGGGAGGAACTGAGTTACACGATTTCATGTCTCCATCTACTAATTTTGCCTTCTGTGTCAATTCTGGGTAGCTTTTGATTGACTTTTTTTTCTCCTATGTAATCATATTTTCTTATTTACATGCCCAGGAATTTTTTTCAATATACTTTTTATTTTTGAAAAATTTTAGGTTTACAGCAAAGTTGTAGGTCGGGTGTGGTGGCTCACGCCTGTAATCCCAGCACTGTAGGAAGCCAAGGTGGGAAGATTGCTTGAGCCCAGGAGTTTGAGACCAGACTGGGCAACGTAAGGAGACCTCATCTCTACTAAAAGTAAAAAAAAAAAAATTAGCCAGACGTAGTGGCGTGTATCTGTCATCCCAGCCACTCAGAAGGCTGAGGTGGGAGGATTGCCTGAGCCCTGGAGGCTGTCGTACCACTGCACTCCAGCACTGTAATCCATTGCTGTCCTATTTATTTTTTGCTCAAATTGTTCCACCTTCCATGCCTGAGAATATTTGATGGGATGCTGGACATTGTGAATTTTACCTCATTATGTGCTGGATAATTGTATATTCCTGTAAGTCATCTTGGGCTTTGTTCTGGGATCCACATAGTTCCTTGGAACCTTTTTGTCCCTTTCAGCTGTTGCTTTTAGGATTTGTGAGACAGGCTGGAGCTTGGTTCAGTTTTGGGTTCATCATTCCCCGGGCTGTGGCAGTGCCTTCCAGAACCTTCTTCCCAGGGCTGCGGACAGGGATCTGGCTGGGCAGTGGCACCATTCCAGACCTGTGTGAGCCCGGGACCTGCCGGCTCTTCTTTGTGTGGATGACGTCCTGTCCGCTAAACCTCCAAGGGGGTCCCCGGCTCATCGCAGGGCTCCTGCTCTATGCAGCCTCCTTCAGCCCCATCTTCTCAGGTGCAAATATTTTCCAGTGATCCTTATTCCCAGTCAGAGACACACATGCAGCATTCAGGCTTTTTTGTCATCTCGTGGGCTTTTTTGTGACGTGTGTGCGTTCGACAGCACCACAGGGAAACGCAAATCTTGCTTATTTTCTATTCCGTGTCGATTTTCAAGACATTAAAAATCAACCTCATGGAGGCTGGGCGTGGTGGCTCACGCTTATAATCCCAGTACTTTGGGAGGCCAAGGCGGGCAGATCACGAGGTCAGGAGTTCAAGACCAGCCTGACCAACAGAGCAAGACTCCGTCTCAAAAAAAAAAAAAAAAAAAAAATCAGCCTCATGGAGAGAAGAGAGCACCCGGCACCACCCGCGTGGGCCCTGGAGCAGGGTGATTGCGTCGGAGTCAGGTCTTTGTGGTGGTGAATAGTCTGGTGTTAGTGCTGATTTTGGAATTAGATAATTTCACTGTGGTTATGTTTATGTATGATGTTAGCATTAGGGAAGCTGGGTAAGGCTGTACAGGGACTCTGAACTATTTTTGCAACTTTTTTGTAAGTCTGAAGTTTAAAAAAGGAACCTAACAGATGAGCACAGTCCTTTTTTTTTTTTTTTGAGATGGAGTCTTGCTCTGTTGCCCAGGCTGGAGTGCGGTGGCACCATCTCGGCTCACTGCAGCCTCTGCCTCCTGGGTTCAAGAAGCGATTCTCCTGCCTCAGTCTCCCCAGTAGTTGGGGAGACCCGACCACCACCCACCACCACGCCTGGCTAATTTTTTTGAATTTTTAGTAGAGACGGGGTTTCACCATGTTGGCCAGGCTGGTCTTGAACCCCTGACCTCAAATGATTCACCTGCCTCAGCCTCCCAAAGTGTTGGGATTACAGGCGCAAGCTACCGTGCCCGGCCAAGCACAGTCTTTTTTTTTTTTTTTTTTCTTTTTCTTTTTTTATTTTTGAGATGGAGTCTCGCTCTGTCGCCCAGGCTAGAGTGCAGTGGTGCAGTCTCGGCTCACTGCAAGCTCTGCCTCCCGGGTTCCCGCCATTCTCCTGCCTCAGTCTCCCGAGTAGCTGGGAGTACAGGCGCCCGCCACCACGCCTGGTTAATTTTTTTGTATTTTTAGTAGAGATGGGGTTTCACTGTGTTAGCCGGGATGGTCTCGGTCTCCTGACCTCGTGATCTGCCCGCCTCAGCCTCCCAAAGTGCTGGGATTACAGGAGTGAGCCACCGCGCCCGGCCCAAGCACAGTCTTAATAGAAACTTCACAGACCTGTGGTGCAGAGTGGGAGGCCTGACTATCCCTCTGCTGTCCCCTCACCACAGACGCAGCCCCTTCCTTCTGTTCGAGGGGCACTCCCACCATTCAGGCCTCTCCCTTGAGAGATGCTTTTTTTTTTTTTAACTTGGCACTCCAGATCTTCCTGTGTGTTTCCTTGCTGAGCAGTGTCCTTAGTGGGCCTTCTTCACCATTGTTTGGTGGTGGCTGTGTGACCTACCTCTCCCACCCTCGCTGCTCTTGGCAGGGCAGACACCTCCTCCATGTCACTGGGGCCTTCTGTGGCTCCTGCACCTTCCAGGAGGTCTGAAAGCAGCCCTGGCCTGTCACCACGGGCGGCCTCCAGAGCACCCAGTCGATACAGGGCTCCCAGGGTGGGGCCACCCTCCTGCCCTCACTGCCAAGCCCTTCATGCCCTTGACTCGGTGGTCGAGGCGTGGGGAGCTGGGGCAGGGTCTCTTGCTGGCACACTTCTCAGGGCTTGTCTGTTCGCACACAGCTCTGGCTGTGATAGGACTGAGTCTTCAGGCTTCTGCTTTATGGAGATGCTGTTTACAAGTCATTGTGCCATCTGGAAGGATTCTACAGTGCTATTTTGGATTGATGAAATCCAACAGTCAATGGTTTTAATAAAAAACTTGAGTAGCTTATAAGCGTGTCTGCTTTTCCACCTAGCAGAAGGTAAGGGAGTCAAGTTTCCTGGACGAGAAGAGATTTGTGATTCTGTCTTGACTCGTGTCCTGTAGGGTGCTTTTGGATACACTCCTCCCCGCGGGCATCTTGCAGGATGCAAGGTCGTTGCGGGCCACTGCCATCCTTCCAGAGAAGAGCCCCCTTTCCCCCACACCCTCATGCTGTGTGCCGGGTTCTATCCTCCACTGTCCCTGGTGAGAAAAGAGGGCCTCTTGCTAGGGACCAGTGGCTGGGTTTCTGGCGTCTCCTTGGGTAAAGGGTGGGGCAGCAGGGCAGTGTGGACGGTCCCTGGACACACGAGTAACGTTGGGAATTGGTCGTGCTGCCCTCAGAAGGGAGAATTAGTGCATTGTCTGTCTTAATAATCAAGCTTTAAAAAAAAAAAGTGACTGATTTTTAACATGGAGTCATTTTTTATTTGGTCATTATGTTAATGGAAAACTTGTAGTGTGGATTTCCATTTTGTTTTAAACTTACATTAAAAGATGAATTGTTCATTGGAAGCCGGTATTGTATTTTCTTAATCTGTAATGACTTTACTTAAAAACGAAAATCTGAGGAATAGGAGAAGCCCTGGCATCCCCTTTGCTTCTCTTGCAGACAAATTGGACCCAGTTTGCGGGCATGGCGGCGCACACCCGTGGTCCCAGCTACCTGGGAGGCTGAGCGGGAGGCCGGCTTGAGCCAGGGAGTTCTGGACTGCTGTCCGCTGTGTGCTAAGTTTGGCATCCGTGTGGTGACCTCCTGGGAGTGGGGACCACCGGGTTGCCTACGGAGGGAACGGTCACAAATGGAGCTCTTGGCGAGCCGCTGGTGTCTGGCCTAATCCCCGGCCTCTGGCTGCGCAGCGGCGGGGGTGAGGCAGGCAGGCTCTGGCACGGTCTCACTGCCACTCACGTTAGCCTTCTGTCGTCAGACGTGAAAGTGGTGCTGAGTGGGGTTTTCTTTGCAGACTGTACGTGATGGACTGTACCTAAAGTGAATTCGTAGTTTTGAAATCTTTAAAGCATTTGAGTGAAATGTGGAAATGCATCATCGTGAGTGTGTTGTGTTGGGAATATGGTGACTGTCTTCTTGCTCACTCAGTAGAGTTGGAGAATTGGTAGGGAGCAGCTTGAGGCTCTGACACAGGGATACCCACAGGGTCTCGGTGTCTCTGGCGCCCTTCCCTCTGCCCGGTGCTGGCTTGTGGACGGGCTCAGTCTGCTCTGCCATAGAAAACCATTTCTGTCTGCTGGGTCCGGTGGCTCACGCCTGTAATCCCAGCACTTTGGGAGGCTGAAGCGGGTGGATCACCTGAGGTCAGGAGTTCGAGACCAGCCCGGCCAACATGGCAAAACAGCGTCTCTACTAAAAATACACAAATTAGTTGGGCATGGTGGCAGACACCTGTGCAGTGAGCTGAGACGGGCCATTGCACTCCAGCCTGGGTGACAGAGGGAGACTCCATCTCAAACAAACAAACAAAAAAACACCATTTCTCAAGGCCGGGTACAGTGGCTCACGCCTGTAATCCCAGCACTTTGGGAGGTGGAGGACCTGAGGTCAAGAGTTCAAGACCAGCCTGGCCAACATGGTGAAATATCGTCTCTACTAAAAATACAAAAATTAGCCTGGCATGGTGGTGTGTGCCTGTAGTTCCAGCTACTTGGGAGGCTGAGTCAGGAGAATCACTTGAACCCAGGAGTCAGAGGTTGCAGTGAGCTGAGATTGTGCCACTGCACTCCAGCCTGGGCGACAGAAACGTAGTCTCAAAAAAAAAAAAAAAAAAAAAAAAAAAAGAAAACTATTTCTCATTGTGTGCTCCCACACACATGTTCTTACACACGTATGTTCTCACCTGCAGCGGTTCTGTTGTTGGGCTGTCTAGTGGGCCTGCTTTTTCTGTAGGTGCTAAATACAGGTTGCCAAAAATACAGTAAGACCAAAAGGCCACCTGATTGAGGTAAAAGGAGGGAAGAATTGAGTTCTATTCTTTCTGTAGTTTGTGTCTTCGCAGCTCCTTTGAAGCCGTCAGTGCCACTGCCAGTGCAGAGGCTCCTTCCTGCAGAAGCTGCCCTGCTCTGTCCTGCCCCATCCCGTCCCGTCCCATCCTGTCCCATTCCCATCCCATCCCATCCCAGTCCCATCCCATCCTGTTCCATGTCGTCCCATCCTGTCCCATTTCCATCTCGTCCCATTCCCATCTTGTCCTGTCCCATTTCATCCCATCCCGTTCTGCTCTGCCTCAGCCCCCCACATAGCTGGGATTACAGCCATGCACCACTACGCCTAGCTAATTTTTGTATTTTTCATAGAGATGGGGTTTCGCTATGTTGGACGGGCTGGTCTCGAACTCCTGACCTCAGGTGATCCACCCAACTCGGTCTCCCAAAGTGCTGGGATTACAGGCGTGAGCCACCGTGCCCAGCCTTGAGAAATGTTTGTTTTTGTTTGTTTTTGAGATGGAGTCTCGCTCTGTCACCCAGGCTGGAGTGCAGGAGCACATCTCAGCTCACTGCAACCTCCACCTTCTGGGTTCAAGCAACTCTCCCTGCCTCGGCCTCCTGAGTAGCTGGGATTACAAGCGCCTGCCACCACGCCCGGCTAATTTTTGTGTTTTTAATAGAGACAGGGTTTTGCCATGTTGGCCAGGCTGGTCTTGAACTGCTGAGCTCAGGTGACCTGCCTGCCTCAGCCTCCCAGTTTCAGATTCTTTATCTTGCTAGATGCTTTTGTGAAGCGCCTTCGTCAGTGGGAGGTGAGTTTGACAAGGCCCTAGCGGGTGTTTGTGAGACAGAGGTATGACTGGAGCTTGGAGGTGGTGTTTGGGAAAGGTGGGAGTGAGGGAGGAGTCTGCACCTTTGCCCTCTGGGTGCTATCATGATTGGGCTCTTGGCATTGGGCCTTCTTGGCTTTCCGTCTGCTGCTTTGCTGGTCCGAGTGCAGGGGCTGGACGTCTGCTGCGTTGCTGGTCCGAGGGCAGGGGCTGGACGTCTGCTGCGTTGCTGGTCCGAGGGTAGGGGCTCGACGTCTGCTGCGTTGCTGGTCCGAGGGCAGGGGCTCGACGTGACACCATGGGAGGCTCTTCGGCTTTGGCCATTCCTGGCCGTGCTTTGTTCCATGGGAACTTCATGGCTCTTCCTTCTTGCAGACACAGGAGGCAGCAGCGTCCACTGGACATGGCCCCGAGGTTTTGAATGAGACAGAAATGAGCCCATCAGGGAGGGTAGATACAGCGCCTTTCTGAACTCACATTCTCCCAGAGTGTGGGGACAGCCATGGCACAGATCTCCTCGTCTTGTTCTCTCAGGAGGTCAGCGTTGGTATGGGGCTGCTGCTGCCCCTCCAGAGCAGCCAGGCAGGCATGGCTAGGAGGGGTTCCCTGGAAATCCTAATGGCAGTGCTTCTGGCAGAGCCGGTTATCTTGAGCTTTCAGCCAGCTGAACACTTTGCTCTTGTGGCTCCTCCCTCTTCCTCCCTGAGGTGACCTCGCACCGCTCCCTTTACTCAGCAGCACAGGCGGCTGTTTGGCCTTAGGCTGTGGGTCCGCATGAGCCAGCACACCCAGCTTTTAAAACCTATATTACAGTGGTGTGAAAGTTGAATCCAGACGAGAGAGGTATATGACATGGCATAATTGAATAACTACCTTTATTAAAAGTTACGCTTTACAAGCCTGGCACGGTGGCTCACGCCTGTAATCCCAGCTCCTCGGGAGGCTGAGGCTGGAGAATTGCTTGAACCTGGGAGGCAGAGGTTGCAGTGAGCCGAGATCATGCTGCTGCACTCCAGCCTGGGCAACAAGAGTGAAACTCTGTCTCAAAAAATGGGCAAACAAAGGAAACTCTACTTTTGTTTCTTGGATATGATGTCAAGGTGGTGGTTAAACGTTTATTTCAGCTGAACACAGTTGACTCACACCTATAATCTCAGCACTTTGGGAGGCCGAGGCAGGAGGATTACTTGAGCCCAGGAGTTTGAGACCAACCTGGGCAACATAGTGAGACCCCATCTACTGGAGGGGGGGAATTGTTTATTTGTCGGCCAAGTGTGGTGGCTCAGGCCTGTAATCTCAGCACTTTGGGAGGCCGAAGTGGATGGATCAAGGTGGATCACTTGAGGTCAGGAGTTCGAGACCAGCCTGGCCAACATGGTGAAATCCCGTCTCTATTAAAAATACAAAAAATTAGCCAGGCTTGGTGGCACGCACCTGTGATCCCAGCTATTCAGGAGGCCGAGGCAGGAGAATTGCTTGAACCTGGGAGGCGGAGGTGGCAGTGAGCCGAGATTGCACCATTGCCCTCCAGCCTGGGTGACAGAACGAGACTCTGTCTTTAAAAAAATATATATATATATATTTCTAGACTTCGGGTGCCTGGCTGTCTAGTTTAAGATGCAGTTAGAGGCTCAAGGAATTTCTAGACACCTTTTAACTTTGCTTGGGTCACTCCTGCCCTGGTCAGTGGCCTTAAATCCATTTGATGGGTTCAAGGGCTCCAGGGGAAAGAGGAGATGGGTGGGAGCAGACTCTCTGTCCCCTGGGTGTGCCCAGCTGCTGGGAGGCCGCGTCCCCCTCGCCCGTTCTGGTGGCGCCTGCCTGGGCCCCATTCACTGGCTCCTTCCCATCACCTTCCCTGGGCCTGGACAGTCGTGCTGGCTGCTTGCACGGTTTGTAAAGCACTTTTAGTTAAACGATCTCAGACACACTACATTGAAGATAGAACTAGATACAGTCTGAGCCCCGTGGAGAGGTCACAGCCTGAGAGTGCAGTCGGCTGGACTGTGGTCACCACGTGAGTGGCCTGTGGCAGAGGCTGTAAGTTATGCCCTCCTGGGTCTCATCTGACCTCTACCTCTTCCCCCCATTCGCGTGGGGTCAATGTGCTCGGGGAACACTTGTTCACAAAGTGTATAAATTCGGTAAGGAGGGGTGTATATGCTGACAGGTATTCTCCAGTCTGAATGTGAGTAGCAGAGGGCATCTGTTTCCTGATGAGAGTTCTGAAGGTGGGTTTCTGTGATGCGCATTTGTGACAGGCATGTTGGGGGATGTTGACAGCTTTCATCGTTCTCCTCTTGTTGGAAAGCGTATCATCGCATGTAAGTTACTTGTTTGGATAATTAGAAAATCATAGTGCATGTTTTATAAACTAGAATGCTTACCCTCATTTTGCTTTTTATTGATGATTTAATGTTGGGGCTGTTACAATGTGAAAAGCTCTTGCTCCTTATACAATAACCCTAAACTGGTAGGTGTTGGTGTCTGGGAGTTTCTTGGTGTCTTGCTTCTAATAGTCTGAACTCTTGCTTGCCCTTCTCACCCCTTTTTTTTTTTTTTTTTTTTTTTGCAGCAGAGTCTCGCTCTGTAGCCCAGGCTGGAGTGCAGTGGCGCATTGTCGCCTCACTGCAACCTCCGCCTCCCGGGTTCAAGCAATTCTCCTGCCTCAGCCTCCCCAGTGGCTGGGATTACCGGTGCACACCACCATGCCCAGCTTATTATTTTTATTTTTTAATTTTCAGTAGAAATAGGGTTTCGCCATGTTGGCCGGGCTGGTCTCAAACTCCTGATCTCAAATGATCCACCTGCCTCGGCCTCCCAAAGTGCTGGGATGACAGGCCTGAGCCACCTCGCCCAGCCGCCCTTCTCATCCCTTTTTGGATCGATTGTTTACCGTGTGCTCAGGGGCTTCACTCGGAGCCCCTTAGAACCTTGCCCAGCAGAGTGGGCCCACACTGGGAAGCAGGGATGCGTGCTCCGTCTGCCTGCCTCAGCTGTCCTCTGCCCACGACCTCTGAGCTGCATTGCCCCGTGTAGGCCTGGTCACCTTTGGGGCCGGAACTGCACACACTCCTTCCTCCCATAAGCCCCAGTGCTCGTGGTGGTTACGCAGCCCTGCTGCCCGTGCAGGAGATGCCCCACGAGGCCTCCAGCTTCTTCTCTGCCTTTGCTCACTTCTCTTCCCTGGAAAGCAGGCAGGTACTCGTCAGGCTTTCCTTCATTTATTTCTAGAGTTTCTGCAGATCTAGAAGCCTGTCTCCTATTGGTTATTGTCTTTTAACAAAGACCTGTTTGGCATTACACAAAAAATGCTTTCACAAGTCCCAAGGCAGCGGGCAGGTCCTGGGGCTGCTCTTCGTGCCCTGTGTCCCGTTTCTTATGCAGGTGGAGACTGCTGGTCGTTCTCTGGAGTAGCCCCAAGGAAGCTATCTGAAGGCTCAGGGAGCTCTAATCCACTTAGGAGAAAAGGAGTTAAAATGGCATCATTGGGCTGGGCACAGTGGCTCACACCTGTAATCCCAGCACTTTGGGAGGCCGAGGTGGGTGGATCACCTGAGGTCAGGAGTTTGAGACCAGCTTGGCCAACATGGAGAAACCCCATCTCTACTAAAAATACAGAATTAGCCAGGCGTCGTGGCACATGCCTGTAATACCAACTACTCGGGGGGCAGAGACAGGAGAATTGCTTGAACCTGTGAAGTGGGTGTTGAAGTGAGCCGAGATCACGCCATCGCTCTCCAGCCTGGGTGACAGAATGAGACTCTGTCTCAAAAAGAAAAAAACAGGCATCATTGTTTTGCAACTGGGGTACCAGAAATAACATCTTTCCATAGTGAATTTCTGGTGGCAGAGGAGCTTCATATATACCCATTGATACTTGGACCTGGACTGAAGCTTGAGGGGTTTGGAGATGCAGAAAATAGTGTTTGGTAAATAGAGATGAAAGTGTGTGTTTTGAGAAATGATGATTGGAAAACTGAAAAGGTCAGTGTCTGCAGCCATGTATTTCTTTCTAAATTTTTTATTTTTCTGCATTTTCAAAAATTATATTTTTTGGGAAATTATTATGTATACTCTTCTTGCTGAACAGAATGTTAAAAATACAGCTGACATCTTCTTTGCCCGTTGTACTCAGTCCAAGTTCTTTGTGAATCACAAGAACCAACACGTTCTTCGCAAATCCGTGCACTGCACGGAGCTCTTCCGTGCTGCTTGGGGCGCTCGCGTCCCAGTCACCTGGAGGTGGGAGGCAGAGAGCAGTGGTGGAGCAGAAAACTGTAAGCTCAAGTTGGAGCCAGGAGGCTGAGGCAGAAGTGTCACTTGAGCCCAGGAGGTTGAGGCTGCAGTGAGCCGTGACTGAGCTCTGTCTGGGCGACAGAGCAAGACTTTGTCTCTTTAAAAAAATGTTCAAGTTGGACTCCTGGAAAGCAGAGTTACATGAGCTGGTTTTGGATGCCCTGACAGGGTGTGGAGCAGGAGGCCCCTGTGGGCCTGTTCCCCATGGTCAGCTTTCGACATATAATGAAAGCCCCGTTCACTGGTAACACTTGATTTGAGCCATTTAAAATTATTTTATAAAATTGTTGTTCCACTTAGGAACTGGCACAAGGTCTTTGTGAGAAAGCCCTAAGTTTTCAAGATAGGATTAAAAAAGCATGAGCCTGTGACGCACATACAGACGGTGTGCACCCCTTCTAGCCCGCCGGCTGCCAGCAGCTCCCAGAATGGCCGTGTGCCGGGGCAGGCATGGGGGCCGGCCCCACCTTCTAGAAGCCAGTGAGAAAGGCCTTCCTGGGGCTGGTCCGCACTGCCGACGTTCTGGGCATGGACGACCCTAAGTTTTCAGTTCTAAGCGACAGTGAATGCCTCAGCCCGGCTTGTCTACGACTGCAGGAGGCGTCTTGACGCTCCCCAGTGTGCCGTCAGAACCTTGACCCAAAAAGGTCTTCAGCCTTGGAAAGCCCTTCCCACCTCGCCCCACCCACCAACCCCTGAAGAGGTTTTCAGCCTTGGAAAGCCCTTCCCCACCTCGCCCCACCCATCAACCCCTTAAAACATGGATAAAAGAGTTTTAAACCACAGCGCCTGAAGTTTGAGACCAGCCTGGCCAACATGATGAAACCCCGTCTCTACTAAAATACACAGACAAAAAATTAGCCAGGCATGGTGGCACACACCTGTAATCCCAGCTACTCGGGAGGCTGAGACAGGAGAATTGCTTGAACCCAGGAGGCAGAAATCTTTGTGTACACCAGTGTCTTCAAACAAGAGAAGCTACTTGAGCACTTGCTAGTCATGCTGGCCAGTTGTGTGTTCTCAGCCAGACTATTTCCAGCCTGCTGTATCTGTAGCCTTATAGCACGTACATTTAGCTTAATATCTTTAAAGCTCTACGTTTTTGCTATTTTCTGAGGAGGTTTTTGTGGTTAGGCTTCAATGCCATGATTTGAAATTATTATCAAGAATTACAAATCAATATTGACCTAATCAATATGGTTGACATACACGTTGATGAAATCATTATATATGTTTGGTCCTTGAACAACTTGGGGATTAGTGGCACTGACCCCTGGTACAGTCAAGTCCACATATAACCTTTTATACCCCGAGTATTTAATTTTGTTGACCAGTGCCTTCCTGATCACATAAACAGTCAACACATTTTAATCCAACACTGACATATACAAAGCACTTTTTTTCCCGCTTCTTAAAGAGACAGAGTCTCGCTTGCCATGTTGCCCAGGCTGGTCTCAAACTGCTGGGCTCAAGTGATCCTTCCGCCTCGGCCTCCCAGTGCACTGGGATTATAAGTGTGAGCCACCATGCCCCTCATATTTTATATGTCGTATGTATTGTATACTGTATTCTTACAGTAAAGTAAGCTAGAGAAAAGAAGGTGTTGTTAAGAAAATCATAAGGAAGAGAAAATATGTTTACTTCTCATTAAGTGGAAGTGGGTCATCATGAAGGTCTTCATCCTCATCATTTCATTGAGTAGAAGGAGGAGGGGTGGTCATGCTGTTCTCATGGGGCGGGGGTGGAAGAGGTAGAAGGGGAGGCAGGAGAGGCAGGCGCATTTGGTGTAACTTACGAAGTGCTTTGTCATTTCTCTAGAAATGTTCCTGTATGGTCACAGTCCTCCCTCACTGTTGGCTTTAGTTTCAGTGCCCATGTCACAGACAGGTGTGTGTTGTACAAGAAGTTAAAAGCGGGTGGGAGTCGTGGGAACCCCTCCCCTCTGCAGGAGTGTCTGATGTCACTTTGTTTTCTGTCACTGCTGCTACCTCCTCCTCGTCACCTGGTGTGGGTCAGAAGCACTCATCACCACCAGGTTGTCTTCTAATTTCTCTGGTGTGGTATCTCTTAGCTCTTGAGTTTTGAAATGAAACCCTTCATCCCTCCCCGCCCCCCAGCCCTCCTGCCCCGGCCCACATGTCCGCAGTCTCTTCATGATCTCCTTGATTGGCTGTTGTAAACCCTGTGGAATCACACACAACCTCCAGACATAGTTTTCTCCAGCAGGAGTTCATTGTTTTGGGTTTGACAGCTTTCATGGCTTTCTCTATAACAATGATGGCATCTTTCATGGTGTCATCTTCCAGACACTCATGATGCTCTCTCTCTCTCTCTCCCATGTTGACAGTCCTTTCCATAGCATGCTGTGTGTAATGAGCCTTACAGGTCCTATGACCCCGATCTAGAGGCTGAATTAGATACGCTGTGTTTGGGGACAGGAAGACCACGTTGACGCCTCTGCTGTTGAACTCACGGGGTTCTGGGGGACCAAGGGCATTGTTCATTGTCAAAAGAACATTTAAGGCAGTTCCTTACTGGCAAGGCAAGGTACTTCCTGACTTCACGGACAAAGCATCAATGGAAGCAGTCCGGAAAAAGGGGTTCTTTCCAGCCTTGTTGCAAAACCAAATACCTGGCAGCTGGTGTTTATCTTTTCCCTTCAAGGTTCTGAGGTAGGCAGCTTTATAGATAAAGGCAGTCCTTATCATAAACCCTACTGCATTTGCACAAAACAGTAGCATTAGCTTATCCCTTCTTGCCTTCTATCCCAGTGCTCGCTTCTCTTTCTTACTAACAAATGTTCTTACAGGATTTTTTTCGCCAGAATAGGGGAGTTTCACCTGCATTCAAAACCTGTTCAGGCAGGGCCAGGCGTGGTGGCGCACGCCTGTAATCCCAGCACTTAGGGAGGCCAAGGTGGGTGGATCGCTTGAGGTCAGAAGTTTGAGACCAGCCTGGCCAACATGGTGAAACCCTCGTCTCTGCTAAAAATACAAAAATTAGCCGGGCATGGTGGTGGGCGCCTGTGGTCCCAGCTACTTGGGAGGCTGAGGCAGGAGAATAGCTTGAACCCAGCAGGTGGAAGTTGCAGTGAGCTGAGATCATGCCACTGCACTCCAGCCTGGGTGACGGAACAAGAGTCTGACTCAAAAAAACAAAAACAAAACCCTGTTCAGGCACATGTCCTTTTTCCTCGATGATATTCCTCATGGTGTCTGGGACCTCATCTGCTACCTCTTGGTTGGCAGAAGCTGCTTCTCCTGTTATCTTGACATTGTTAAAGCCAAACGTTCTAAAACTGTCAAACCATCCTTTGCTGGCATCCACTTCTCCAGCTGCTTCCCCTTCCTTTTACTTTCAGTTGTTGTATAATGGCTTCACTTTTCTGGAATCAGACTAGAGTCTATTGGTATTTGCCTTTCTTATAGCAATCCTGCACCCACACATTTTCATATATCCGTGCTGTTTGGGAATTAATTTTAAAGCTGCGTTTTCAGTGAGATAAAAAGGTATTTCACAAAAAAATTTTCAAGCCTGTTGCTGTAGCTGCGGTGATGGCTTCACGGATGTCCTGTTCTTTTTTTGTGATGGCCCTTCTGCTGGATTTATCGATTTTGAAAAGCATCCACAGCAGAGCACAGGCTGCGGCGTGTCACGCAAGTTTAGCTTTTCCTAAAGTCACAACTCCTGGGAGCTCTGCTTCTTGGGAGCACTGCCAGCATCGCTAGTGGCACTTTGTGTGGGTCTGTGGTGTCATTTAGGGTTTATGGTATTGAGTAAACACAATGAAAAAGACTTGAGAACTGCAAGAGGCTTTTTTTTTTTTTTTTTTTTTAAGAGACGGAGTCGGCTGGGTGCAGTGGCTCATGCTTGTAATCTCAGCACTTTGGGAGGCTGAGGCTGGGCGGATCACTTGAGGTCAGGAGCTTGAGACCAGCCTGGCCAACATGGTGAAACCCCTGTCTCTACTAAAAATTTAAAAATTAACTGGGCGTGGTGGCGGGCGCCTGTAATCACTCGGGAGGCTGAGACAGGAGAATCGCTTGGGCCTGGGAGGCAGAGGTTGCAGCGAGCCAAGATCGTGCCACTGCACTCCAGCCCGGGCGACAAGAGTGAAACTCCATCTCCAAAAAAAAAAAGAGATAGAGTCTTGCTGTGTTGCCTGGGCGGGAGCGCAGCGGCTTGTCACAGGCATGACCATAGTGCCCTGCAGTCTTGGACTCCCGGGCTCAAACGATCCATTTATCTCAGCCTTCTGAGTAGCTGGGACTCCAGGCCCATGCTACCGCAACTAGCTTAAGGCTTGAGATAATTTGTTTACTGTGATACACAATTTCTGGAGAGACCAGCTGCTCACGCGGAGACGATTAGTGTCACACGGTGTTTTAAGCGGATACCGACACACTTGAGCTCACCGCGGTAGCACAGGCTGTGGCTGTGAGATCATTACAGCGTGCAGTGTGGTATGTCCCGCACTGAGTTGTATACACTTCTGCTTGAGCCTGCGACGTTACGTTTGTTTACGTTTCCCTCTGCTGAACGATGCCATGTACAGTCTGTAAGTATTTATAAGCGTTTAATTTTTTATAATCTGTGTATAGTTTATGGTAGGAAATGATAGACTAATATCTACATATATTTTGTACATTCATGACATACTTTTTCTGACTTTTTTCGGTATTCCTGGGCTGTATGGTTTGTAATTCTTTCCAAATGGTCACAAATCTCTAATAAGTTTTTCAGTGTATTTGTTGAAAACAAATCGATGGGTGACTTGCCGTGTGCAGCCAAGCCGTGGTGTTCGGGGTCAGCTCTGTGCACACGTGTGTGTCCACGTTCATCATGGAGTTCTTCAGCTGGCATGTTTTAGTTCCTGTTTTTTTCTGGTCCTTACCTGAGCAGAGTTGAAGTGCTTTTCCCGATGCTCTCTGGAGGAGCTTTTCTCCTCTGATCGTAGCACGCGGGAGATGGCCCGAGCAGCTGTTCCCACAGCTCTCCTGAGGTTGCTCTGTAGATGGCGCATCCTGGAAGCATAGGACAGAGTGTAGCTCACACACACAGCGGCCGGCAGAGGCCATCGGCTCTGAATTCTCTCACAGAGCAGGGCTTGACAGGCTTTTTCTGTACTGGGCCGATTAGTGGTATTTTAGGCTTTTCTGGATGTACAGTTCCTGTTGTATCGTTCAGCTCTGCCCATGTAGAACAGAAGTAGTCATAGATTTTATGTAAACAGGTGAGTGTGATTATTATTATTATTATTTTTTTTACAAAAACACATGGTGAGCCATAACTCGCTGACCTCGGCTCTCTAGTAATATTTTTTAAGTGAAGAGAATTACTAGGTTCAATAAGCATAAAATCTCATTGATTTCTATGAAAATACTGTAAATCTTTGAAGTCTGATATTAATGTTTTTAAAAAGAATTGCCGTGAATAAAGGATCTCTTTAAGGGATGTCATGGGGAGAGGGGAGGGTGAAGAAAATCACCAGTAAAACTATTGATCATTTTTGTCTCGGGTTAACACCCCTCTCTGCGGGCCTCACACTTGCGTGTTGTCTCCACTCTGGCTTTGCAGAAGTGCGGAGCTCCTGTCCTGCAGGTATTGTGGTCGTCAGACCCTTCTGGAGATGTCGAGTGGGCCAGGGCCCCAGCCCGCTTGGTGGTCACTCCTGATGACCCTGTCCCGTGTGGACCGCCTGCCAAGACTCAGGCCCCACCTCTGTGTCAAGTGCAATTAATAGCAGCTCTAACTAAAAGTAAGAATAAGGTTCTACCAATCTTGTAACCCTACACAGGCGTCTGTCAGGTGTCCCTGGGTGCTGGGTTCTTGGGGGATCCCAGGTAGGTGTGGGAGGGGTGTCGTGTGCATGCCTCCCGCGTGGGGTTGTGTCTGCAGCGTTTCTGCAGGTCTTCCTTATGCATCAGCGAGAGTTACATGATGTTTTCATTTCGTGAAGTAAAGCAGCTCGTGGGAATGTGAACTTCCGACGTCAGCCTCAGTCACATGCCGATGTTTTCTCTCGAATCGCTGGTGTCTGGTACTGCTATGAGCCATATTTAGCCTCCCCTTGCAGCCGTCCACTCAGCAGAACTGGGCTTTTCCTGTGACTCAGGCCGTGCACGGCTCGAAGGAGCAGCTGGGTGGACGGCGGTGCTGGCGTGGCTGGAGAGGGTGGCCTGGCTCCCTGTTGGGGTTGCCCCCGGTGGAAGGCGTGTGTTTTGGAATTGAGCTTCCTGCGCATCTGTATCACTGTGTGGGTTATTCTAGCCAGGGGTCCGGTGTTGCTGTGTTGGATGCTGCCGCTTACCACAGCCTTACCACTTATCTGGGGATAATTTTGGAAATAGGTGTTTTTGTTCAAGTTCAGCTATTAAATTGCTTCACAATCTTGGGTAAACGTCTTAGTTTTCCAGTTGCATTGGATGATCTGTGAAGGCCTTTTCCATTGCTTCTGTCATTCCCACAGGGCATCCCTCAGAAGGGCTTTATTTGAACCCCGGTGATATGCAGCGGGAGAAGAGTTCTTTATGACAGCGACAATGGGGACAGAGGAACGGTGACTGGAAGATTCTTTCCTTGCAGTGAACGCACGTACTGTGGGTGCTGTGCCTTCCTCGGGGTGTATGTAGGTAGGCAGGCACACACCAGTCAGCTTGCATTCTGTGGGTGATACTCTCTGAGGTGGACTGGGTCACCCGGGAGCTTCCGGGGTCCGTAAACGGGGACCACTGATGAACGGGTGGTGCAGGAGCTGTAGGAAGTAACTTTCAGTGAGTCCCTGCCACAGGGTGGCTTTCTGACTCTCAACATTTGTTTAACTTTGCGTGGGGAATATCTTCAGTCACAAAATCTGAGAGAACAGTGTCCTGGGTCCCCGGGCTCAGCGTTTACTAGCATTTGACCAGCTCGGGTTGATCCATCTCCTCCTTGCACTTGTTCATGTTTTCAAAAAAATTTTTTTCTTTCTTTAAACATTTTTTAATTTCAGTATTTTAATTTTTAGTATTAATATCTTAATGTTAGTATTTTAGTAAATCTCCAACATCATCTTGTTTTATCAGCTCATGTTTCAGTGGCGTCTCTGTCAGCTGGAAACCTTCCCAAGCCTTGGCCTTCGCTCTTCTCACAGTGACTCAGTGGGCAGCTGGTGCCCTGAGCCGCCTCTCACTCCGCCTGCCACTGCCTTGTCGACCCCGTCCGTGCTGTGAGGGGCAGCATGGGGCTCCGTGACTCGGGCTCTCCACACCGGCGGCAGGCCCTGCAGTGGTGGCCGCATCCGTCGCTGGGCGCTGCCGCCGCCTCCGCCTGCCCCAGAGCCCCTCTTAATCTCAGTGAGAGGCTCGGGCTGCAGGAGGACGTGTGGCTCTTTCCCCAGCTCTGAGTGTCAGGATCCATCTTGCCGTGCGCTGCCGCTGCTTTTCCTCCTGGGAGTGGGCGCCGGTCCTTCTTCCCAGGCCAGGTTGTAAAGTTGCCCGTGTGTGCATGCGAGGGCCGGGTGCCCGCCGTGGTGGTCCTTGTGGTTCCTCAGTCCACCTGGGGACCCACTGGTTTCAGTGTGAGTGCTCAGTCCTGGCTTCACCATGTTCTTGGCCCGTGACAAACCGGTCCCATCTTTAGAGCCTCTGTGGGTTCTTTCTTCCAGCTGATTTCTATGGAGCAGCCTCCTGTTCTGTAACAGGCCAGTCAGTAGAGTTCCTCTTGATGCCAGTGGAGTCACACGGTCACCAGGTCTACCTCCCTTTCCTCCTGTGGAAGAGCTCGGTTTGCTCAGGAACATGATGGACATTGCTGGCCTGGGCAGAGGGCGTGGCCTTGATGGAGACCACCTCTCCTCTCCGTCATCCTGAGGGGGTGCAGGAGGGAGTCCGCATCGCCCTCCACACCCGAGACCACCTCTCATATCCATCTAGTCATCCTGAGGGGGTGCAGGGGGGAGTCTGCATCGCCCTCCACACCCCTCCTTGGGTGTCGTCATGTGGGCAGGGAGTGCACAGCACCCTTGAATGTGGGGAGCGGCGCCTGCCTGGACCTTCCTGCAGCATGGCGGAATCTGAGCTGGTCCTTGAGAGAACTCATCTGTGGGTGGTGCACAGACTACAGACCACATAGCCTGGGCACCAGAGAGAAGCTGCTGGCGTCAGCGGCCCCTTCTGTGGCTCTGGCCTCCATGCACCGAGCAGCTGGACACCTGTCTGTGCAGGGAATGACTTGATTTAAATGACATAAAACGACACCAAATGGTAGAATGGACACTGGCGGTGCTTGTCTGTCATCTCTTTCTTATTCTTTATTTGTTTCTGTTCTGTGAGAATTGCCTAGTGGTGTCATGCTGAACCTGCCTCTCTGTGTAGGTGGCCTTTCTTCAGTGAGTATTTGCGAAAGTGTTGGGAGGTAGTGAGAGTCGTTGCATCTTTTTCTGGCACTTCCTTGGTGGGACCAGCCACTTACGTGCACCCTGAAAGTCAAGACGCTCGTCCCGTCTTCCCCCTCGGCGGTTTTCAGTAAGCGAGCGCGCAGTTGAACGTTTCTCACCTGAACAAGTCCCCTTCGTCATGAGACGGGGCAGCTATAACATTGCCAAACACATTTTTCTCAACTAGGAGAGCTCAAGCAAGGGACGGAGCCCTAGGGTTGTCTCGTGGTGTCCGCAGGGCTTGGTTCTTGGGCGTCTCGTGGCGCCTGCAGGGTTCTGTTCTTGGGTGTGTTGAGTGCCGTGGGGTGAATGGAGGCTTGGCCTTTTGAGAGGCTGCTGTACTGAGCACTCAGGAGCCGGCCTGGGGGTCGTCTGGGGCTGACATCAGCAGGGAGGTTGCTGCCATCTTCGGCTGCCTCTGACCAGCATCATGGAAACCTTTCCCAGCACAGCAGTCACCGTGATGAAAGCTCCCTTCTGCTCTCGGGTCCTGCCGTGGAGGAACAAGGCCAGGTGGGTGCAGGTCAGGGGAGGATGCTGAGCTCACCTGGGCGTCCTAGGCTTCAGTCGGTCATTTGTCAAATGTGTGCGGTGACGCTGAGCTGCCTGGAAGGCCCTGTGGTCGCTGCTGGGCTGTTTCCATCAGCAGGAGGTGTGCTCCAGCCTCTGGTCTTCTCTTTGCTTGGTTGGGGGAATTTGCCTCAAGGCCCTGGGTGTCATCTTGCAGGAGCCATTTGCCATCTTTGCCCTGGATAACGGCAGGAGGGCTCAGGATCCTGTAGGATCCTAACTGGGCCCAGGGTGTGGCTGGGGCAGGTACCGGGCACGCCTGTCTCCCCTTCTGGACTGCACTGTGGCTCACAGCTCCTTCCAGAAACATCTTCTCATCCTCAGAGCTGCCACATAGTTGGGCACAGGCCCACACTAAAGTGCAGGCTGGCCACCCCTGGACATGGGCTCCCCTCGCCTGAGTCCTGAGAAGAAGCAGCTCCACCCCAGCTCCAGGGCAGGGAGGGGCGTGGGGAAGAATGCAAAGAGCATTTTACTGAGTCTGATCCTTTTCCAGTTGAACAGCAGTGTGTCTTCTTCCTGCCATGCCTGAGATTCTTCCTCAGTGAGAGCTCTGAAGCCAGAAGGTTTGCGTTCTCGTTACTGGATGGTCTTGGCCTGGCTCTTCCTGAAGGGGCCAGGCCCCCAGCCTCTCTGAGCTTCCATCCTGCAGCTGGGGTTTGAGGTGGGCTGGGCCCCCCGTGTTTGGTTTTTGTTTGTTTTCTTCTGAGATAACCATAGATGACATGAGATGTAAGAAAGAACAGGGAGCAGTCCCTTGTACACATTGCCAAGCTTCCCCAGTGGTGGCATTTTGCACACTGAACAGTATCACCCCTAGGGTGTATATCGGCATTGATGAAACCCTCTGGTCTTAGACAGCTGTTTCACCCTTACTTGGAAAGGGTATTGAGTTCTGTACAGTTGATCACAGATGCAGATGCCTGTGTCCCACAGTCGGGACCTTAAAACCCTTGCGTCACCACAAGGACCCCCCTGGTTGTCCTTCTGTGACCGCACCCCCTCCCTTTCCAGGATCCTCTTTCCACCCTGGCAACCACTAGTCTTGTTTTCTGTCTGTGGATTTATCTGCCTATTCCAGACGTTCATGTGAAGGACAATCTGTGGGCCTTTGTGTCTGATACGGCAGAGCTTTGTGCTGTTGCGGCGCACCCATGCTGCGGCAGAGCTTGGTGCCGTGGAGGCGCACCCTTGCTGCAGCAGGCATCAGAGCACAGCCCTCCCTGTGGCAGGGTCATGCGGGTCATGCACCCATCAGCTGATGGACACCTGAATGGTCTCTGTTTGGCCCTTTGCAGCGCTGCTGTGAACACAGACCTGCGAGTGTCGTGGAGACGTGTGGGCATTTCTCGGGCGTACCTAGGTGTAGGTCGCTGCACTGCCTTTTGTTTGGAGACCAGCCCTTTGAAGATTATTGTTTCATATTCTCTCTTGGGAAAACTTCTTGGGTTTGGGGTGCTTATGCTGTGATCTGGTGTGGTTGGTCCTTTCTAGGGTAGATTGTCAGGCCAGAGCTTGGTAGTGATGTGATCATTGTAGGGCAGCTGTGGGCTTGCTGTGGAGGAATGGGTGCCAGTGGGGGGTCTCTCAGTCTGCTGCTTACATCTTGGTTGACTCCCAAGTCTCTATGCAACCCTTGTTCCCTCCAGGCGAGCACGAAGACCTTCTCTTAGAGTCCCACTGCCTCTTTGTTCTGTGTGCCCATTTTTTAAATTTTTGGAAACAGAGTCTTTCTCCTCCCCTAGATTTGAGTGCAGTGGCTTGGTCAGGACTCACTGTGGCGTCAACCTCCTGGCTCAAGCGATCCCGCCTGCCTCTGGAGTAGCTGAAACCACAGGCGTGCACCACCACACCTGACTAATTTTTGTATTTTTTTAGAAACTGGTCTCACTGTGTTGCCTAGGCTGGTCTTGAGCTCCTGGGCTGAAGCAATTATAGCACTTCAGCCTCCCAAAATGTTGGGATTACAGATGTGAGCCATGGCACCCAGCCCTTTTTTTTTTTTTTTTAAGAGCTGCGTGTTTTTATTGCTGTCTTTTCCCTTAGAGCAAGAAATTAAATTGAGAGCAAGAGAAAATGCTGCACAAAAGAAGCTCTGGGCTGGGCGCGGTGGCTCATGCCTGTAATCCCAGCACTTCGGAGGCCGAGGCAGGTGGATCACGAGGTCAGGAGTTCGAGACCAGCCTGGCCAAGATGGTGAAACCCCATCTCTACTAAAAAAAAAAAAAAAAAAAAAAAAAAAAAAACACAAAAATTAGCCAGGCACGGCAGCAGGCACCTGTAATCCCAGCTATTCAGGAGGCTATGGCAGGAGAATCGCTTGTAACCTGGGAGGCGGAGGTTGCAGTGAGCCGAGATTGTGCCACTGCAGTCTGGCCTGGGCAACAGAGCAAGAATCTGTATCAAAAAAAAAAAGCTCGAAAACATGTTAAGAGTGGACAGAGTATGTTGGAATTGTTGGAATCTGGTTTGATGTAGGACTTATTTTTTAAACCAATGAGTAGCGTAGTGAGCACTGTGAACAGGACTAGAAATCAGATAAACAGGGTTTTCAGATAAACGGAGCACAGCAGTTGGTTGCAAGGACAATTTCTTTTTTTGTTTTTTGTTTTGAGAGAGTGAGTCTTGTTCTGTCACCCACACTGGAGTGCAGTGGTGCAGTCATGGCTCACTGCAGACTTGACCTCCTGGGCTCAAGTGATCCTCCCACCTCAGCCTCTGGAGTAGCCGGTACCACAAGCACACCACCGTGCCTGACTGATTTTTGTTTTTTGTAGAGACAGGGTTTCGCCATGTTGCCCAGGCTCCCCACCTGCTTTTGAACAAGTCATAGTTTGCAAGAGGCAGCAGCAGGTGGACATGCAGCCGCTGGGGGTAGTCAGGATGGGATGCGTGGAGCTGTACTCACCAATCTGCAAAAAACCTGCAGCTGTTGCTGCTTGGAGCCTTTGGGAGCTTTCCTGGTCAAGGGAGGTTTTGTGCCATGGAGGATTTATAGAGGCCCCCAAGCAATGTGGACTTGTCAGGCTGAGGAGGGACGGGTCAGGAACAGGGTAGAGGGGAGCAGGCGGCAGGGACTGGTGTGTGCCGTGGCCTAAGAGGGAGCGTGGGTGACCATGGCAGCTGTACACTCCGGGTTGTTTGAGAGCGTCGCTCCCCTGAGACTCCCGGTCGTTTGAGAGCGTCTCTCCCCTGAGTTGCCGGCTAAGGTTGCGTTGAGCATCCCCGGCCTTTCCCCAGTGGAAGCAGTGGTGGGAGGTCTGCCGCTCTGGGCGCCGCCACTGTGCTCAGGAGGAGGGGCTCCCGGTACTGCTGGGCCAGCACTGGCCCCTGCGGCAGGAGTCTGGAGCGGCGCTCTACCCACCCCTGAGAGAACGCTGAACTCCCACGTGGAGTGGACTGTTGTGTTTCGATGGGAAACACGAAGGGGGATGTATGGACTGTCCCCCTGAGGTGCCTGCTCTTCCTCACCGATGGGTGCGGGGTGGAGAGTTGAGGTAGTGAGTATCCGGTGAGTCTCGGGGTGGCATCTTGGAGTCTGTCATAGAGGAGAGGTCGTCCTAGCAGAAGGAGCCGTGGCTGGGCATCCAGCCTGCACACTGGCAAAGCTCCAGGCCAGGGGCTGGCAAACCACAATCAGCGGACCTAATCCAGCCTGTGGGTCTGTCTTTGTACAACCAGATTGCGAAGGATGGTCTTCACATTCTTAAAGGGTCGTTCACAGCAGCAACAGGATGATGTGACAGAGGCCGTGAGTGGCTTGCAAAGCCCAAAGTGTGTGTCATCTGGACCCTTCCAGAAAGCCTTTGCTGACCCCTGCCCTGGGTGCCCCCGGAAGTGGGACTTGGTGTACCCATAGCACACATTCAAGAGAGCTGCTTTGTTAGGGCCAAGTCATGGATGGTGTCCAGTTGACTGTGCCGCACCTCTGTCTAGACATGTCTCAGCACCCTCATGACAGATACAGGAAACAGCTCGGGTTAGCCAAGGCAAGATGGCAGCCTTTTCAACAAGAGTCTGCTGATTTCAGCGAGTGGAAACCAGCTGATCGTGAAAACTGGGTTTCTCACAGCGAGACACCATCTCACACCAGTCAGCATGGCTGTTACGAAAAGGTTAAAAAATAACAGATGCTGGCGAGTCTGTGGATTAAAGGGAGCACTTATACACTGTTGGCAGGAGTGTAAATTAGTTCAACCCTGTGGAAAGCAGTATGGCGATTCCTCTAAGAGCTAAAACCAGAACTACCATTTGACCCAGCAGTCTCATTACTGGGTATATACCCAGAGGAATAGAAACCATTCTACCATAAAGACACATGCGGGCGAATGTCCATTGCAGCACCATTCACAGAAGAAGACATGGAATCCACATGAGCATCTATCAGTGACGGATTGGATAAAGAAAATGTGGTGCATATACACCGTGGAATACTGTGCAGCCATGAAAAAGAATGAGATCATGTCTTTTTTTTTTTTTTTTTTTTTTGAGATGGAGTCTCACTTTGTCACCCAGGCTAGAGTGCAGTGGCGCCATTTTAGCTCACTGCAACCTCCACCTTCCAGGTTCAAGTGATCAGATCATGTCTTTTGTGGAACATGGATAGAGCCTGGAGGCCCTTATCCTTAACAAACCAATGCAGGGACAGAAAACCAAATACTGCGTGTTGTCACTTATGAATGGGAACGAAATGATGAGAACACGTGGACACAGAGAGGGACCAGCAGACACTGGGGTCTGCTTGAGGGTTGGGGGTGGAGGAGGGAGAGGAACAGAAAAAATAACTGTTGGGTACTGGGCTTAACACCTGGGTGATGAAATAGTCTGTTCAACAAACCCTGATGACACAAGTTTACCTACGTAACAAACCTGCAACCCGAACCTAAAACAAAGTTAAAAAAAACGTTGGGTTTCTGCGGAGAGACCACCTTCCACAGACACTGCCCAGGAAGAATTGCGGTAAAAGGCCCCCTACTTGGCTTACTGCTCTTCCCTTTCTTGAGTGAACATACCTCTTTTTCAATTATTAAGGCATACACAAGACATAAGAGCTTGGAAATATTTTGAAAGCGAGTTTCAGAAAATCCTGGAGCCATTTCTTGGGCAGAGTGTCTCAGCAGCACGGTAAGGCTGCACCCTGTGGGACCAAGCACAGGCCTCTCATCTGGGAGGCTCCCCTGCACCCTGGTTGGGCTCAGTGGCTCTCACTCTTGTGTGGCCAAGGATGTCTGTGTTCTGTGCTTTGCAGCCAGTGATTTGGCCTCATGCTCTTTAAGGTGAGAGCTCTGCCTCTGCTGATGGAAACGTCAGGAGGTGATGACACAAGGGTTTAGACTACGTGATAAGATGGCCTGGGATTGAAAGAATCTGAGGTTTTCTACAAAAACCAGCTCTGGAACTTCCCCTTCTGACCAGCCAACAAGATAGTCATCACTGGACAGGATTGTTGAAAGAATTGAGTTAATCATCTAGTAAAAAGGAAAGCAAACATGGTCTGTCATAAGGGAAGGAGAGTCTTGTCACTTTTGAGGCCATTTTATTAAATCTTGATTATTTTGGCTTCCAGACTTGTTACCTATAAAACAGAATTCATAGCATCCTCCAGAAAGCTTGGGAAGCGTCTTAGAATGTGATTTCCATGCCAAAATTTGAAAATTAACATAGTGTTGTTCATTTGGCTTTGTAAGAAATGATCTCACAGGTATTCAGCATTCGATGAGGCTTTTCCCTGGGCCATCTGCGTGCCAGGCTGTTGGAACATCTGCAGTGGGATCAGGTTGGCCGTGGTGCTGAGCAAGCTTCCACTTGGAGCCGAGATGAGATTGTGTGATTCTGAGTAGTGTTTACAGTCTGACAGGGAACAGTGTGAGATAGGGCAAGCTTGTCCAGCCCGCGGCCCATGGCAGCTTTGAATGTGGCCCAACACAAATTTGTAAACGTTATGAGATTTTTTTCTAAGCTTATCAGCTGTTGTTAGCATTGGTGTATTTTATGTGTGGCCCAAGCCAGTTCTTCTTCCAGTGTGGCCCAGGGAGGTCAAAAGATTGGACACCTCTGCTTTAGGGTCTGACTGCTGTGCTCAGCGCTGTTTTGAGGGCGAATAGGTTAAGAAAAATACATGGAAAGGCTCTGCTCTGGAGTTAAATCTGTGTTTAAGTAGCATCTCAAACAACTTTCCATATTTCAGCTTGTTCTTACCGTGAGTAGGATGTGTTTCAGTTACCTATTGCGGTGTAAGACAATACATGGTGTCTTAAGAAAATAATGATTTATGAGTTCTCTTAATTCTTGTGTTGCCTGGTGGTTTTCTGCTGGTCATACCTGGGATCACTCATGAAGCTGCATTAGGCTGATGGGGGCTGAATCCATTTCATACTTCAGTCTGTGTGGGCCCCCACATGTTGCCTGAGGGCACAGGTGGAAGTGGCAGGGTCCTCGTGGGCCCAGCAAGTCTGGGGTACACCCAGGCTCCAGGGCTGGAAAGAAAGGCTCCATGTCTTTTTTTTCTTCCTTTTCTTTTGCCTTCCATTGAGTGTGTGTGTGTGTGTGTTTTAAATCAGCGTGTCACTTGGTCGGCTGGGCAGGAATGCAGTGGCATGGCACAATGATAGCTCACCACACCCTCCAACTCCCGGGCTCAAGCTGTCCTCCTGCTCAGGCTCCTGAGTTGCTGGGACTGCAGGCATGTATGCCATCATACCTGGGTAATTTTTTTTTTCTTTTTTGTAGAGACAGGGTTTTGCCACGATGGCCAGGCTGGTCTCGAACTTTTTGCCTCAGTCAGTCCTCCTTGCCGCAGCCTCCTGAAGTGCTGTGCTCCAGGCATGAGTCACCGCATAGGGCTAGCACTCCACTTCCTGACTGGAACCTGCAGGCCCGTGTTCTTCCAGTCTACCACAGAGAGTGTGTTTGTTTCACAGGGGCCTGGGCCACATACACGGGAAGCAGCGTGTGGTGCTTGGTGGACATAAAGTGAGTGAGGCTTGGCACACAGAGTGCGTTTGAATTTGACAGAATGCAAAGAAAGTTTTGGTGGTTTCTCCTAGATTCTGGACTCAGAATTGTGAACTATGTAAGGTTTTTTTTCCCCCTTGAGAGATTTCAAAACTTTGCAAGACTGAATCTTTTTTTTTTTTAATTTTATTATTATTATACTTTTAGGGTACATGTGCACAACGTGCAGGTTTGTTACATATGTATACATGTGCCATGTTGGTGTGCTGCACCCATTAACTCGTCATTTAGCATTAGGTATATCTCCTAATGCAGACTGAATCTTACTCCTTGGCTGGCATTTAAGCATAAATAACAAATTCGCATGCACCGTCAAATACAGGGTGAATTTAGAGACTGCTTCAGAAGGCAGAGTATAGGAAAAAATTTTAAATGAAAACTTACCTATTTCTGATCAGAATTCTTTTATCTGGAAACATCGTATATTTTTTTTAACAGGGATAGGCGTGTTCCCAGCTGTTTGAAATGCTTGTGCCCTGGTGCCGTAAAGAAATAGCACTTGAACGTAAATTTAATTTCCTCAGCAAGGCCATTTTTTATACCTTCTGCAGAAAGGGTACACTCGCCAGCAGTTTTGCCACGAGAGTACACCGGATAAAGGAGACCAGGGTCATTTATAACCTGACGCTGTGTCCGGTTTTTTTATACCAACTGCTGTGTCCGGTTTCCATTGGCTGGAACGGGACCTCACATTCTGTATTTGTCCCGATTGGCTAGCAACTTAGAACTTTTTAAAAGAGGCAAAGGCAGAGGAGAACAAAGGAAGGAGGAAGTAATTTGTGGAATGCTGAGAAAGGTAAAAACACCTTCAACTAAGGAAGAGGAACAGGCCGTGACCTAATGCTTGCTTCGACCAGTATAAGCATGCCAGGGCAGATACTTAGGCTAAATTGTGGGAGCTAAGAACATAAAGTACATTGATTTCTTTATTAAGGCTAGCAGATATTTAGGAATGTCAGCACAGGTCTTTGAATAAATGTTGCTTTTAAGAGAAGTTACTATTTATTTTTAATTAGATGGGGAGGAAAGTCTTTGAAGAGGAACTTCTACTTTTTACACAGCTGAGATGTGTGCTCCGCCCAGTATCTCTGGTGCTGGACACATGGGTTCAGTCACGTGGGATTGAGTCTTGTCCCTTCCGGCTTCAGTGCTGTTCACTTCATTCTGTAGCTGTGCAATTTAGGTTTGGGTCTAGATGGAACTTTCGTGCACTCTCTCCAGCTCAGGTTTTGGTTCTGCTTCCAGTCAGCAAGGACTGCGGGCTGTGCAAGGTGTCGTGAGGTTTCACTCAGGCAGACAGAGGAGCACTCTTCATCCCTAGCAGTGGGAGCTGCTTACGCTGAGATCCCGAAAAGCATATGTGCCGTTCAGTTTGTCCAGTGGTTGTTTCAGAAGGGGAAGAAGAAGGCAGTTGGTATTTCAGAAGAATAAAACAAAAATCCCCTAATCCACTCACATTTGTTAAGCCACATGTCAGATTGGGTAAATAATTGTATCTCATGTTGAAACTTGCATCTTTTACAAAACTTTCAGTGCATTTAATGAAACGTATCTGAGGAGCACTTGAGGGTTAGTCTTGCCCCCTCCCATAAATTCAGGGTCCTCCTGCCTGGAGCCACTCTCACAAGCCCCTGGCCGCCCATCCAGGGTGTTGCAAGGCTGTGCCAGCTCATACCCCATTGCTGCCCCGTCTGACCTTTACTGTCCCTCTGACAGGCATGCTGTTTTGAAGGTCTTATCTAGAGTGCGGATTTTTTTTGTTTGTTTTGTTTTTAAATGTTTAGGGTTAATTTTCCCAAGCTTAAATCTTTTTACTTTGTACTTCTCCCTTAGTCCTTAGAGACATTTATCTTTGTAACTTGTGATCCTTAAGCTTGAAAGTGATATTTCTGGGTGGTGATCTTCTACTGATTGGTGTTTCAGCAGGAGTGGAAGGTCTCCCTGAGCCTGTGTCCTTTGCTGGCAGTCCCACTGCCCTCAGAGCGGCATTCTCCCAGCAGGATGGGCCTCAGTGCTGCCTGCAGAGCCTTCTGGTGATGCGGATGTTCCTCTGCTGATTCTGTAGCATCATAACCAAAGAAGAAAACACTTGTTAATGGCTTGGGATATGTAAGTATGGAACATAAACAGGTGGACTGGCACAAACCCTAAGTTTCAAAGTTGAATGATGATGAAGACAGTCACCTGGCCTGAATGAGGCAGCTCATGCTCAGTGGTCTGTGCTGGCCCCCAGAGAAGTGCACAGCTGGAATGTGTCCCTGCAGCACCCCCCGCCCCCGGCGCTGTGATGGTTCTGTGTGTGCTGAGGCCAAGGAAGGCCTGTGTCACCCCGTTTCCTGCTGCTTGGGGCAGGCCCTCTGCGGGAGGAAGAAGGGGGATGTGCTGCTGGGGTTTCCTAAGGGGTGCGCAGAGGTGGTGGTTTAGGGTAGCTGAGCAGGGTTTCAGGCTTACAGGAAGAAGTACGGGCCTAGCCAGGGTGTCTGTAATTGGGTTGACAGGTTTCCACAATGAGAGTAGGAGGTGCCATTGCAGCAGGGGCTGGGGTGGGCTGATCCTGGAGCCCAGGGCTGCCCAGGTTTGGAGTCGTTCACTGTGTGAGTTGGATCGGATCCATCTGGATGTGAGAGACAAGGAGCCTCTCACCTGATGCAGAGCAGTGGCCAAGTCCCGACACAGGCTCAGTGCAGGGGCAAGAGACCGTGGATTCTGTTGAGGTTTGCAGGTCTTAACCACATGCAGAGAGGCTTCATGCAGAGAGGCTGTGACTGACCAGGTATCTGATTACTTGGATCTTTCTTGGAGGCTTAACAGGAGTTTTTAGTGAATCGAAATCTTTTCTTCTCCTCTTCCTCTCCATAGCCACATGACAGACACACACACCTGGAGTTTTGAAAGGGAGTCCACGTATGACAGATGAAGCTGCCTAGTGTTGACCATCGACGTTCTAGGTTCCGAACATACCATGAATTTCATCTCAGGTGCACTGGCTTCTAGAATGCTGTCATTCCCGACTTCATGCTTTCGTGCCATTTTAGTGGTGAAAGTAAATATTGGAACCACTGACATTGGCTAATGCACATAACAATAATCCATGGTTTTTTAATCTTTTAAATTTTGTAGGATTTGTGGTATATAGTTTCTCAGAATTTTGCTATGTGTAATTTAATGTCATTCATTATAAATGTTTATCAAGTGATGAAGATGGAAAAGTGGGCATGGTGATGTTCACCTGTAGTCCCAGCTACTTGGGAGACCAATTCGAGAGGATTGCCTGAACCCAGGAGTTTCAGGCCAGCTTGGGCAACATAGTGAAGCCCCATCCCTAATACAAAATAAGATAAGATAACATAGCCATAAAAATGAACGAGATCATGTCTTTTATGGGAACATGGATGGAGCTGGAGGCTATTAGCCTCAGCAAACTAACTCAGGAACAGAAAACCAAATACTACATGTTCTGACTTTACAAGTGGGATCTAAATGATAAGAACTTAAAAACACAGGGAAGGAAACACCAGACACGGGGGTCTACTTGAGGGGAGAGGGCGGGAGGAGGGAGAGGAGCAGAAAAGATAACTGTTGGGTACTGGGCTTAGTACTGGGTGATAGAATAACACGTACAACCTCCCCCCCCGCCCACTGCCGACATGTGTTTACTTATGTAGTACACCCTCACATGTGCCCCCGAACCTAAAAGTTAAAAAACATATAAACTATGTGATGCTGATTTTGGCATCCATGGCACTCTCTGTTCTTAGGGTTTTGTAGCTTTTACACAAGAATTGAATAAAAACTATCTTATCTTTCTGCATCACATAGAATGTAGTGTAGACTAAAATGCAAACATCTTCTGCTGGCTGTTGAGACTCAGATATGAAGACCGTTGAAAATGCCTCTTGTACAGTTACCCAGTTCCTGCTTCAGTGTGGAGAGGCAGAGAGGTGAACAGCCGGCTACCTTCGTGGTAAAAGAAGCTGAAATGAGCAGCTCTGTGCCATTAATAACAGTTTCGGCCAGCAGCCAAGGCTCAGAGTGTGGGATTAGCCTGAAGAATCAAGACTGCAGGGCCGGAACAAGGAGGTAGGCACAGTGAGGTCACAGTGCTGCCATCTGCATCCCGAAGCAGTGGGGGCCGAGGGGCTGCAGCAGACGTGTGCGCTGCTCCTTGGCGCAGGCTGGAAGGTCTTCCTGCTCCTCTGCTGGGGCTGGCTCCAGGAGCTGGCTGCAGTTCCCTGGGAGTCTGCTTTTTAAAGGGCTGTACGTGCGATTGAGTTGTATGGGAAATGGCTGCTCTGGGATTTTCTGGAGTCTTTACTAAAAATAAAGAAGCATACTCAAGCAGTTTGCATCTAGCATTTGTTCTTTGGAGGCACCATTCATGTTAAAGATGGTGTGTGTGGGACAGATCGCATTTCCGTGATCTTGTTTCAGATTGATTTTTTTTTTCTTCCAGAATCAGTCTTTTAGATGAGGACAGTGACAATGATGTTTTATATATTTTGGAATATTAAAATTTGAAGCAGAGAAAGGCTTTGCTCTGTCAGTGTTTAATACTGACGATTTAGACATATATAAGAAATGTATAGCCTTGTCTTTACAAAAAATAGAAAATTAGCCAGGTGTGGTGGTGCATGCCTGTGGTCCCAGCTGCTCTGGAGGCTGAAGTGGGAGGATCACTTGAGCCCAGGAGGTCGAGGCTGTGGTGAGCCATGATCGCACCACTGCGCTCCAGCCTGGGCAGCAGAGGGAGACCCTATTCTCAAAAAAAAAACCTACAGGCAAAAAACAAACTATAACTGAAATGTGAGATGTGGGTTTTAGCGGCACAGGGGAAGTGGTTTGCACGTGGGGTTATCTAGGGCTGGGTGCAGATGTCCCGTCCTCAGCACACAGGGCCAGCGAGGGCAGCTTGTGGGTTGTCACTGAAATGAGCTGCAGGCAGCATCCTGGGTAAACAGTTGAAATCTTAGTCATTCTGTTTATTTATTAATTATTATTTTTAAAGTTTTTGTGAGTACATAGATGAATGTATTTATGGGGTCCATGAGATGTTTTGATATAGGCATGCAATGCGTAGTGATGATATCATGGAAAACGGGGTATCCATCTTCTCAACTAGTTATCCTTTGTGTTGTAAACAATCCAGTTACCAACCCAACCTGGAAATTGAGTACCAGTAATATAGGCAGTTATCCACGTGGCTCTTTGAAACGTGGTCGCTAAGCTGTGCATGTTTGCAAACGTGGAAGCTGTTGTGTAGATGATGTTCACTCCCGTGAATATGCAGCTGTGATGTGGCCAACAGAAGGGAAGGAACACGCCTGTGTGCTCTACGTCTTCTGCAAGCCGGCACAGCTCCATGCGGGACCAGTGCTGATGCCAGAGTGAGGTGTGGGGGCTGTGGCCTGTGTCTGCCCGCACGTGGTGGCATTCTAGCAAAGCCACGTGGGTGGGTGCAGCATCTCCAGCCACCCTGGTTGTTAACTGTCACAGCTTGACCTGTGTCCTTGGGTCAAAAGTTGCATCTGGTGCCTCACTCACTTCCTCCATTGTTCAAAGCAGTAAGAGGGTTCAGTCTTTGGAAAGGAAGCATTTACTGGCTATTTGAAGAGATTGATTTCAGAAATTGAGCATCATAACTAAATCTGATTGTTTTGAAAGGATTTACTACTTTTCATTACTTTCATCCCAGTGTTCAATAAAAATAGGAAAAGAAAGGAAAGGTGTCCCCAGAAAGGGGCAGCCAGCACCCTGGCTTCCAGTACCTTCAGCAGCGTTGTCCTGTGGCCATGGATTGGCTTGCCGATGAGCAGTGGTTCCTCCCAGACTCCTCCCTCAGGGCCCTTCCTCTTGTGCAGCTGCTGTTTGTCCCTGGACCCTGTGAGTGGAGTCCGCAGCATTGGCTGTGACAGGCATTCCTCGTTAGGGCTGAGTCGCGTTATGCTGTGTGCAGACGCATTCTGCTTCTCTGTCATCCGCCAGGGGACACTCGGGTTTGCTGTTGGGAACCATGCTGTGTGAACTGTGAACGTCGAAGTACAACTGTCTTTTGGGGGCCCTGCTTTCAGTTCTTTTGTATATCTACCCAGAAGGGGAACTGCTGGATCATATGCTTAGTCCTTTTGTAATTTGTTGAGGAATCGTCACACTGTTTTTTTTTGGCAGTTGCACCATTATATGTTCCCACCAGCAATGCACGAGGATTCCTGTTTCTCCACAAGCTCACCTGCCCCCTGGTTCCCTGTGAGGTGCTGGAGACTGGCAGCAAGTGTCCTGTCCCCGGGACACGTGGTGAGCACAGTCCCTGACTGCCCTTCCTTCATGGTGTGACTTTTATCAGCAGATTTGACAGATGAGAGGTGAATCCTGGGTGTGTTGAAGCTGACTCACCCCGCCCCCAACCCCACTCATCTTCGAAGGTGTGTTGTAGCTCTGGCCGAGCCTACCTCTGAGCAGTGCCCCTAGATGGCTCCACCTTCCTTACACTGTCCCTCCTACAGACTCATCCTCATCCCCACCACTGCCCTTTGGCTATTCTGTGGTAGATTTTTAGAATAAAAGATGTCAAGCCTGGCTGTTGAACCATTAGCATTGGGACATGCCCTGCTGACAAGGCAGCCACCAACCCCTCCAAGATGGTCACAGGTCACTTGGGAGCTGGCCCTTCCCAGCAGCAGGATGCCTGGGACTCCGGGAGATTACAGCCACAGGGCCTGGGAGAAGCCTCAGGCTTTTGTTGTTTATTATGTGCATTATCCTTTTGGGGTCCCCAAAATTGTACCATTACGTTCTTTTTTTTTCTTTTTTCTTTTTTTTTTTTTTTGAGACGGAGTCTTGCTGTGTCGCCCAGGCTAGAGTGCAGTGGTGCGATCTTGGCTCACTGCAAGCTCGGCCTCCCGGGTTCATACCATTCTCCTGCCTCAGCCTCCCAAGTAGCTGGGACTACAGGCACCCACCACCACGCCTGGCTAATTTTTTTTTTTTTTTTGTATTTTTAGTAGAGATGGGGTTTTACTGTGTTAGCCAGGATGGTCTCGATCTCCTGACCTCGTGATCCGCCCGCCTCGGCCTCCCAAAGAGCTGGGATTATAGGCGTGAGCCACCGCGCCTGGCCCTGTTACATTCTTTATAGAGCTGACATTGGAACAAGCAGTGTCTGCTTGAAAGCACTGTTCTGAATGTGTCCAGCTGCTCCATCTGGCTTCCGGAGCTGGTGTCATCATCTAGGCAGGGTTGGCTGATGGATCACATCCTTCTCACCTCAGCGGATGGCTTGCCACCGAGAACTGTGCGTGTCTCTGGAATTCTCCACTTTACTCCCTTGACAAAGATGTCTCCTTTGGACGTCCTGAAAGTCTGTAATCAGTTTTTAAAAACCCACAATAGTTCATTGTTTGTAACCTATAAATGTTATAAACAAAGATGATCAGAAACGTGAGAATTAAAAAATACTTGTGTTTTGTTAGTGAAAAGCACTAGTTCATAGTAACTAAGGTTTTCCAGATTCTTTCTTGTATTTGTTTTGAGACAAGTCTCACTCCAGTGCCCAGGCTGGAGTGCAGGGGCGCTATCTGGGCTCACTGTCGCCTCAGCCCCCAGGGCGGGGCTCATGTGATCCTCCCACCTCAGCCTCCCAACTCATTTCTGGTGGTCTTGGGCGAGTCACTTAGCGTTCCTGAGCCCTGGTCTCCCGAGCTGTGCTGGGGGGAGCACCCTGTTCCTGTGGTGTTTATCTCATCGGTCACTCTGCCTTTCCATTGGGCTGCGCACAGGAGAGCCACAGACCCTTGCCGTGAACCGCCGTGGCAGGGCCTCGGTGCAGATGCGATTGTCAGGCTGCGCTCAGTAACACAAGACCTGCCCTCGACGGGTGGATGCTCATAACAAGATGAAGTTCAAGTGAGCATCTTTGGGTTTTTTCTTGTTTTACTTATTAATGGAAGAAACCCTTTATTTTTAAGAGACCTTCTTTTGATCCTGGCGATACTGTGACATTTCAGTCTATTTTTGAGTTGGTTGTGATACTCGATGTCTGGGGCCGTCCCTGCTGGAAGAGAGAGCGTTCAGAGCAGAGCATGTGCCGGACATGGGGCCACGTTCACCCCTGAGGAGCACTTTGAAATGGCTTTGAATTCTTGTCAGCCTTGATTAGGTCTTTCAGGCAAACAGTCTGGCTGATGAAAAGTTTATGGTACAAGCAGCAGAAACTTAATCAGCTCTTCTGTTCTGCCATCGTCCTCCGTTTGTGTTGGAGTCCTGCACGTTCCTCTTTGGTCCTTGTGGGTCTGTGTGAGCCGTCCGCCCGCCTTCCGAGCCTCAGGGTGTGAGCCCTCTGCCCGCCTTCCGAGCCTCAGGGTGTGAGCCCTCCGCCCTCCCTCCGTGAGCCCTCTGCCCGCCTCCCGAGCATCACCAGCATAGGTTCGCCTGGGATGGGAGTATGTTGGGAGCAACTGGGTTGAGGCTCCTTGGCCAGACGGGAGACCACAGGGCAGCTGCCCAGGAAATGTCAGCAACATTTAGACTTTTTCTGATGTTTTTAGATGAAAGCAAACATGTTGTTCTGGCGTTTCCTTCCTGCATCTGGTGGGTCTTCAGCATGTGAATCTGTGCATTTCCTGGGACTTGGAAAGTCTGTTGCCCTCACTCCTTTGGGGGCATTTTCTTTGCCAAAGGAGCTAGAAGAACGAGCTTCCAGGCCACTCACAGCCTTTGTTTGTTTGAGAGTGTCTCACTCTGTCTCCCAGGCTGGAGTGCAGAGGTGTGATCTCGGCTCACTGCAACCTCCGCCTCCTGGGTTCAAGCGATTTCTCCTGCCTCAGCCTCCCTTATGAGTAGCTGGGATTACAGGTGCTCGCCACCATGCCCGGCTAATTTCTGTATTTTTAGTAGAGACGTGGTTTCACCGTGTTAGCCAGGCTGGTCTTGAACTCCTGACTTCAGGTGATTCACCTGCCTCGGCCTCCCAAAGTGCTGGGATTACAAGAGTGAGCCACCGTGCCCTGCCAGCTTTTGTATTTAAAGCATGCTTTGATGACACACAATCAAATCTCTTGAGTATTCCAGCCTAGAAGTGCCCTCCCTATCAAGAGCAGGTGCTGGGCACGCTGCCCTCTGCCCTCTGTGACATTTCCACTGGTGCAGGGAGGTGGGCTGGCTCTGCACTGCGCTGGCATAGTGGACCTCACTGCTGCAGTGTTGACTGTGTCAAGCACTTTTTATATTTGGGTATTTGTCTAATGTTAGTAAAATCATTTTTGAGACTTCAAAAAAGATTGACAGTGAGAAGGAAAAGGAGGCTTTTCAAATTCTAGGGTGAGATACAGTGTTTCAACATGAAGTTTTCTTTTTTTTTTTTTTTTTGGCTGAATGCAAAATTTAGTTATATATATGTAAAATTTGTGAAAATGCGTGCCTTGGAAGATTTGAATGGGTAAAGGTATACTTTCCTCCATCTGTGCAGTGCATTATTTAGAAGCAGTGGAGTGACCTTGCAGGCGGCACCTGAGGGAGTGCCAGGCATGGGACTGTTGGGCGGGCAGCTCCCGAGAGCCCTGCAGGGCTGGGTGCTCTGGCTCCCATCAATTATTTACAGACTTGGGGCATTCAGCTGGGCTGGTTCACAAGGCTGGAAGCCAGCTCCGCCTTTATGTCTCCATCTCTGCCCGCCGCCCCTCACCCTGTGGCAGACATGCCCCACGCTCCCTGCATGAGAGGCTGCAGAGGCTGCTCTGTCTTGTTTCGGGTGTCTCAGGGCTGATGTGTGTTGTGTTCCCATAGTGGCTGTTGATCATGAAAAACATTATGTTCCATAAGATATGTGACCAGTTCGGGCGTAGTGGCTCACGCCTGTAATCCCAGCACTTTGGGAGGCCCAGGCAGGCGGATCAGCTGAGGTCAGGAGTTCGAAACCAGCCTGGCCAACATGATGAAACCCTGTCTCTACTAAAAATACAAAGAAATTAGGCAAGCGTGGTTGTGCATGCCTGTAATCCCAGCTACTAGGGAGGCTGAGGCAGGAGAATTGCTTGAACCCGGAAGGCGGAGGTTGCAGTGAGCCGAGATTGCACCACTGTACTCCAGCCTGGGTGACACAGTAAGACTCTGTCTCAAAAAAATGAAAAAGTGACCAGTTCCTTGTAGTTGCCTTGGACTGGTGTTCCTCTTACTGCTGGTATTTCCAGCTCTACTTTTGAGATCCTCTGGAGAAATAAATAGAAACTTTGTTTACTTTCTCTCTCTCTCTCTCTCTCTCTTTTTTTTTGGAGTTGGAGTCTCACTCTGTCACCCAGGCTGGAGTGCAGTGGCGCCATCTTGGCTCACTGCAACCTCCGCCTCCTGAGTTGAAGCAATTCTCCTGCCTCAGCCTCCTGAGTAGCTGGGATTATAGGCGTCTGCCACCATGCACGGCTAATTTTTGTATTTTTAGTAGAGACGGGGTTTCACCATATTGGCCAGGCTGGTCTTGAACTCCTGACCTCATGATCCACCTGCCTTGGCCTCCCAAAGTGCTGGGATTAATTACAGGCGTGAGCCACCGCGCCCAGCCCTACTTTCTCTTGTTATAATTTTAACTCAGTGTTAGGGTGAAGTAAATGGATCCTGTAAAGTTAATATATTCAAGGTTTAATGTTTTCCATAAACTTTTCTGAAGTATGTTTGTTTTAAAATAATTTTGTTGTAGTGACCCCCTTTGCTTAAACATGCCGTGAAGTAGAACAAGCCGTGAGAGAAAAGAGGGAAAGGACAAGATGCTGACAAAGCAGGTAGGGGCCCTGCTTGGGGGCCCATGTGGTCATCTTGAAGGAGGGCAGCAGCACATAGGAAACGCACTCAAGAATCTGCCTGGCTGAGCACACACATTTTCAGAGGCAAGCGGGACTCACCCAGCTGAGGCTTCAATAAACTGGTGAATTGGGTGGAGAAGGGCCAGGCACAGAACACTTTGGTGCTGATGAGTGGAGCGGACAGAGCTTTTACCCTTCAAAGATCTACCACAGTGTGTGTGAGATCTGGATGGGCCAGGGCGAGAGGAAGTGGCCCTGACAGGGGCCTCACTCTTGGGGGCAGGGCTCGCTCACTGTGTTGAGCTTGCCAGAAGCTCTGAAGGGTGTGAGCCTTGAAGATCTGCCCTGACATTCCTCTGTGCCCAGCATCAGCAAGTGCCCTCCTGCCACTGACCTGAGAGCAGGAGGGCGTCACTGTGGCCTTCTGCTTGGTTTTCTTGGGGGGCTGCCTTGAGACATTGCGGTGCCTAGACCCCTGGCTTCTTGACTTGCCTTCCCCCAGGGCTCTGCACCGCGTGGCGTGATGCATACCTGGCCACTGTGAGATCCAGTCCTTAGGACAAGTCTTGTCTCGTGTCCAGCATTCCATCCCTAGGGAAACGTGTCTCATGCTTTTCAAAGAAGATAATCGGCCAGGTGCAATGGCTCACGCCTGTGATCCCAGCATTTGGGAGGCTGAGGCAGGCGGATCACTTGAGGTCAGGAGTTTGAGACCAATCTGACCAACATGTTGAAACCCCCGCCTCTACACAAATTACCTGGGCCTGGTGGCTTGTGCCTGTCATTTCAGCGGAGGCGTGAGAATTGCTTGAACCTGGGAGGCAGAGATTGCAGTGAGCCACGATCGCACCACTGCACTCCATCCTGGGCGACAGAGTGAGACTGTCTCCAAAAAAGAGATAATACCAGCTTGATTGAGAGGATTGACAGACCGTAGGCTTACCCAGATAAAGCGCACAGTTCAAAGGTTGTTAGTGTATTCACGGGTCTGTTCAACCACCAGGACTGTCAGTTCTAGAACATTGCTGTCACCTCAGAAAGAAACTTGGACCTTTAATCGTCACTCCTTGTTCCCCCTGCAGCCTCTGCGTCCTCTCTGAGTCTGCTGTTCTGGTCATTTTGTGTCCATGGAATTGCATGCTGTGTGGCATGACACGAACCTGCGCCCAGGTCACAGGGCCTATGTCTGCAGTGCCCACAGCAGCATTGCCTCAATGCCAAACACAGAGAGAAGCTTCGTCTCCATGCCTTAACTTACAGACCTGCCCGAGAGTCTGTATCCAGTGTTTTCTTGAAAAAGTTCGCTAGGATCCTCTTTGAATACGTATATTTATGAAATGAGAATCAGTTATTTGGTGTAGTGGGTAATGAATGCCTGGAGTGATTTGCGGAGGTAGTGGAGGGTGTGTGGTGAAGTCAGCCACCTGCTCAGTATCAAGGACAGCCTCATCCTGCTCCTGTTGGGATCTGGTCTTCCTTCCCTAGGGCCATGGATGCCATCCCCTTCAGGAATGTATTCTGCTTTTCCAGATGTGTTTGGCGGCCTGTGGGCGTGGGGTGATGGGCATTCAATTTCATTCTTTGCCGTGGAACCCCTCGCCCATGCCCACCACCAGCTGCCGCCGCCGCCTCTCTGCTTTTCTTCACAACAGTGCTCTTGACGAGCTCTTGTGCCCGCCATCGTCCACTCCCGTGCATTCTCTCTGAGAGCTTCTTTGAGGTACAGTTTAAATACTTTGGAATGCATCAATTTTAATAGCGGTCGGGGGATGCATCCTGAGAAATGCGTTGTTAGGTGATCTTGTCCTCTGAGCATCACAGAGTGTGCGTACCCAGATCCAGAAGGCAGAGCCTCCCACACACCTAAGCTACATGGTAGAGCCTGTTGCTGAGTCACCCTGCTGAATCGTGGAAAGAAATCGTAACACAGTGGTAGGTGTTTATGCCATGGGACCCGTTCCACTCCATTAGCATCTTATGGTAGCACATACCACCATCATGAATGTGGCCTGTTGACCACACTCAACATGAGCATCATGTTGCTCATGACTACAGATGTGAGAGTTTTAAGGAATCAGTTGGAACTGTCTTGTTCCCACCATCACAGTCATGATACAGAGTAGTATTTCCATCACCCCAAGAAAGTTCCCCCTTTCCTCTTTGCAGCAGCATGTCATCCTATTTCCTGGACCCAGGATGCTGATGTGCTTTCGGTCACTGTAGCTTTTGCTTTACTAGAATTTAATATGAATGGAATCATTGAGTGTGGACTCTTGTGTCTGGTGTGTTTCATCTTCCTTTTGAGATTGATCTGGGTTCTGTGGTGTATGTCAGTAGTTTACTGAGTAGCTTTTTAGGGGGTAGATATGTCGCATGTTCATCCAATAAGCAGTTATAGACATGTCCGTTGTTTCCTAGTTTTAGCTGTTGGGAGTCAAGCTGATATGAGTAGTTGCATGCAAAGCATCAGATGGCTGGATGTGGTACCTTTTCTGGGTCTGGGTTTCTCGGTCACATGTTACATGAATGTTTAACTTGTTAAGAACCTGCCAGACTCTTTTCCAAAGTGACCACTCAGTTTTGTGTTCCCACCAGCGTTGAATGGGAATTCCATCTGCTCTGTCCTTGCCGTTACATGGTGTAGTCCATCTTTTCCATTTTAGCCATTCTAGTGAATTGCGGTTTTAATTTCCAGTGCCCTAGTGACAAATGATGTTGCTTGTCTTTTCATGTGGCTTTTTTGGTGGGGGGAAGGGACTATCCATGTATTTGCTTTGGTGAAGCATGTGTCTTCACTTTCATATCTGCCATTTGCTCATTTCTAAAAATCGGGTTGTCTGCTGATTTTTGAGAGTTCTTTATGGATTCTAGACACAGGTCCTTTACCAGCTATTTGTTGTTTGAATATGTGTGTGTGTGTGTGTGTGTGTGTGTGTGTGTGTGTGTGTGTGTGTGTGTTTTAACAAGTATTTGGCCTGTATTTTTATTTCTTAATAGTGTCTTTAGAGCAGCTAAAGTTTTTAGTTTGATGAAGTCCAACTTCATAGTTTTGTCTTGGGTACTTTGTGCTTTTTGTGTCTTTAAGAAATCTCTCTAAGCCAGCATCGTAGAGCAAGTTTTCTTCTACAAGATACATAGTTTTCAGTCATATTTACTTCAATTATGAAATAATTTTTGTGTATGGCATAAGGTAAGGTTAGAGGTTTTTGTTTTTTGCATGAGGATATTCAATTATTTCCAGCATCATTTGTGGAAAAGATTATTTTGCCATTCAATTTCTTTACATTTGTTAAGAAATTAGTTGACTATATATTTATGTGGGTCTATTTTTGGTCTTTTTTGAGATGAGTCTCGCTCTGTCGCCCAGGCTGGAGTGCAGTGGCGCGATCTCAGCTCACTGTAAGCTCCGCCTCCCGGGTTCACGCCATTCTCCTGCCTCAGCCTTCCAAGTAGCTGGGACTACAGGCGCCCGCCACCACGCCCGGCTAATTTTTGGTATTTTGAGTAGAGATGGGGTTTCACCGTGTTCTCCCAAAGTGCTGGGATTACAGGCGTGAGCCACTGCGCCTGGCCTGTTTTTGGTCTTTTCTGTTCCATCATTCTATTTATCGATTCTTTTGCTAACACCACACTGTCTTGATTACTATAATTATTATTCTTTTTTTTTTTTTTTTTTTTTTTTTTTACTTTTTGAGACAGTGTTTTACTCTGTCCCCCAGGCTAGAGTGCAGTGGTGCCATCTAGACTCACTGTAACCTCCGCCTCCCAGGTTCAAGCGATTATCCTGCCTCAGCCTCCTGAGTAGCTGGGATTACAAGTGCGCTCTACTACTCCTGGCTAGTTTTTGTATTTTTAGTAGAAATGAGGCTTCACCATGTTGACGAGGCTGGTCTTGAACTCGTGATTTCAGGTGATATGCCCGGCTGGGTGTTTTTTTTTTTTTTTTAAAGACAATAAAACTGGTAGCCCCTTAGCCAAATGGATCAGGAGAAAAAGAAGCAACAAATTTTTAGTATGGACATGAGAAAAGGGACATTGCTGTGATCTTATAGCCATTCAAAGTACAATAAGGGAATTTGTTAACTTTATGCCAATAAATTAGACAGCTGAGATGAAATAGACAAATTCTTCAAAAGACTTAAACTAGTTCAGCTTACTGAAGAAGAAATAGATAGCTTAAATAGTCCTGTATCTATTAAAGAAATTGAAATTTTAGTTAACACCCTTCCCACAAAGAAACCTTCAGTCCCGGATGACTGACTTGGTCATTTGTACTATACATTTAAAGAATAAGGAAAGTCAGTTATATAGAAGCCCTTCCACAACAGAGGAGGGTACACATCCAGTCTTTCTATGAGTCAGGGACACCTTGATACCAAAATTAGAGAAACACCCACATTAATACTGATGTAAATTTAAGTTATAGGAGATAGAAAGGATAGCGATACCTCATGAGCAAGCGGGGTTTATCTCAGAAGTTCAAATTTGGTTTAGCATTTAAAAATCAATGTAGTGTACCATATTGACATAAGGAAAATGAAATGCCGTAAGATCATCTAAGAAGATTTTTTTAAAAAATGGTATTTGAGGCCAGATATGGTGGCTCATGCCTGTAATCCCAACATTTTGGGAGGCTGAGATGGGAGGACTGTTTGAGTCCAGGAGTTGCAGAGCAGCTTGGGCAACATGGTGAAACCCTATCTGTACAAAAAATACAAAAATGAGCTGGGCAGGGTGGCGCGCCTGTAGTCCCAGTTACCCTGGAGGCTGAGGTGGGAAGATCCATTGAGCCCAGGAGGTAGAGGCTGCAGTGAGCCGAGATCATGCCATTTCACTCCAGCCTGGGTGATGGAATGAGATGCTGTCAAAAAAAAAAAGACAAAATCCCATACCTATTCATGAGGAAAGTGCTCTGCAAAGTAAGAACAGAAGGGAGTTTCCTCAGTCTGATGGAGGACGTTCTGAGAAACACCCACTGACTGACACCATTCTTACTGGTGAAAAACTGAATATGTTTTTCCTAATGTTGGAGATGCCTAATGTTGGAGATGTTTGTGGTCATCTCTTTGTATTCTTTTTTAAAAAGTAACCTTTATTACTGAAGCAATACTCAACATTTTAGAAAATTAGGAAAAACCGATAAGGAGAAATAGAATGTAAAATAGTCACATTTTCACAACCTGGAGAACAGAACCTTTTTTTTTTTTTTTTTACGGAGTCTCGCTCTGTCGCCCAGGCTGGAATGCAGTGGCGTGATCTTGGCTCGCTGCAACCTCCATCTCCCAGGTTCACGCCATTCTCCTGCCTCAGCCTCCCTAGTAGCTGGGACTACCGGCGCCTGCCACCACGCCCGGCTAATTTTTTTGTATTTTTTAGTAGAGACGGGGTTTCACCGTGCTAGCCAGGATGGTCTTGATCTCCTGACCTCGTGATCCGCCTATCTTGGCCTCTCAAAGTGCTGGGATTACAGGCATGAGCCAGTGTGCCCGGCCGAACGGAACTCTTTTTATGTGTACATGTTCACGTACACACATACAGGTACACACATGTGCGACAGTCAGGCTTATGTGTCAGCTTGTCAAGGCTACACTGCCAGAGATTGAAAGAAGCCCTCACCCAGGTGCTGCTGTGGCAGTGTTTTCATTCACATTTCCATTTCAGCAAGCTGCTTGCTGCTTCCTCTGATGCCCGGACCAACGAGAGACACCTCCACGGGCCTAGGAGCCCAGCCCATGTGCTCAGTCACCCCCTTTAGCTGGCCTTTCGCCCAGCAGAGCCTTCTCTTCCTGCTACTGACCAACCTTGGGGATTGGGCCATTTGCTTCGCAGACAGTTCGCGCCTTCCTATTTTGTCTAGTTGCTTTCCTATTGTGTCGTGTAGCTTGTTCTCTATTTTATAGGTCATTTAAAATAAAACTCACCTTTGACTTTGTTTAGTCTCTGTTACATGTTTGCTTTTTGTTTCGTTTATGTTTGTACATTTCTCATGTTTTTCTTCTATTCTTTTGGTTGTATTCTAACTTTTAGAGTCTCTTTATTGGGATGTCTTCTAGCGATAAATATAAATACATTTCCCTCTAACAACCACTTTACCTGGATCTCCCACCTTGCTGTATAGCATCTCTGTCATTTCCAATTTTGAATATTCGAAATTCCTACTCTGGTTTCCCTCCTCCCTCATCCTTAGAAATGCATTTCTTAATTCCCAGATTGAAGGCTGTGTTTTCTGGTCACCATCCTCCCATCTGAACTGCACTGTCACTTCAGAAGGTGACTCTCACAGTTTTTAGGCGTGTGGTGTAGTTGTCTGTGTGATCAAGTTTGGATGACTGTTGTTCCCTGGGAGCTTGAAAAATGGATTGCGTGATTATTGTGTTATTTTCTATGTGATTATTGGATGATTTTATATGTTTAGCTCCAGCTTGGTCTTGCTTTCAGATCTTCTGTCTTGTAGTCTGGGTTAGGGTTGTCTCCTTGTCTGTTCTTTACTGAAAGGCACTTTAATATCTGCTCCGTGGCTGAGGCGCATTTTCTCTGTTGTGTTGATTCTTTTTTTTTTTTTTTTTTTTCCTGAGACGGGGTCTCCCTCTGTCGCCCAGGCTGGAGTGCCGTGGCGTGATCTTGGCTCATTACAACCTCACCTCCTGGGTTCAAGGGATTCTCCTGCCTCAGCCTCCCGAGTAGCTGGGATTACAAGCGCCCGGCACCACGCCCGGCTAATTTTTTTTTTTTGTGTTGTTAGTGGAGACAGGGTCATTCCATGTTGGCCAGCCTGGTCTCAAACTCTTGACCTCAAGTGATCCGCCTGCTTTGGCCTCCCAAAGTGCTGGGATTACAGGCATGAGCCTGTGTCTGGCCTGTTCTGTTGATTCTTGTTCTTTACTCAGAGGCTTTTATTTGCATAAATGTCGGACCGTCTTAGCTCTCTTGTGAAAGGAACTTTTTGCCATATTATAGTGGCTCACCTTACCTCCTGGAATGCATTCTGGCCTCAAGTCTGTACCTAGCATTGATAGAGGAAGCCCAGCCTGGTGTGCACAGCATGTACCTGGTGTGCACAGCATGCACCTGGTGTGTATTTTCTGAAATGTTTGTTCATGGATTAAACATCACTCAGCTCGTGCTGAGCCAGCTGGATTACTTTTTCCATTCCAATCTGACAAACTTGGTCTTGTATTTCTTAGTCCATTTACTTTTTTCCCTTAGCCTGTTTATGCCGCTGTAACAAAATGCCTGAGACTGGTTCATTTATAAAGAACAGAAATTTATTTCTCACAGTTCTGGAAGCTGGAAGTTGGAGAGCCTGGGGCCACTGGAGGGCCTGGTCTCTGCCTCCGTGCTTGGGGCTTCGTCCTTCCGTGGCTGCAGGGACAGAGGAATGGACGGGACTGCCTCCCAGTGCTAGCCCTTAATAGCAGCCAGCGTTCGTCCACCCACGAGGGCAGAGCCTCCCCAGATGGGGCACCAGGTGCCGGGGGGTGTCGGCACTGAGCTCTGTGGGGTCGAGTGCTTTCCATCCGTTTGTCGTGATGGGTCTTCTCTCTCTCCTTTTGCCGGGGGGTGGGGAGGGGGGGCTTGTAATATGTTTTTTTGCCGCTCCATTTTTTTTTTCCATCTTTACAGTTTGGAGATTGTACAGTGTCTTTTTGTGGTTATGTTGGGAGTTTGCCTTTTCCATTTCCTGGTGGATGCTCCCAGATTTTAGTGCCCTTTCAGGCCGTGAAGCAGTTTTTAAGCAGGGAGTGGTTGAGAAACCATCCGAGCTGGGCTTCCCTGGAGCACCGCTTGGCCTTGCCGTTCCTCCTGCCTCATCTGCGCCTGCTTCTGCTGTGTGCTGTGTTTGTGCTTTTTCCTGAGATTTTCAGTTCTGCCAACCATTCTTTTTCACTGGTATTTTCTACAAGGAGCCTGGTAATGAAACTAAGGAAAATACAGTTTGAGGTTCTCTTGAAGATGAAGAGAAAACTTGGAAGGTGGTTGAGAGTCTCACGCCTCGTCTGCTATTGGGTGGGAGCTGCTGCTCCAGCCGCCTCTGGCCTCACGTCTGGCCCTCCGCTGTGCTCCCGTGCCCTCCGCTGTGCTCCCGTGCCCTCGTGCTTGGGAGCTCTTTGTTCTTCCCAGTCTGAAGGTGTCGGCAGCTCCCAGCATGCATGAGGGTGCCCTCATTTCTGGCCCTCTTTCTTCCTGGGCCCCTCAGCCTGGAGTGTCCTCCCGGACGCTTGCATTGTGGGCTTATCCCTCAGACGCTGAGGCAGCGTTCAGACAAGGAGGAGCCTTTATTTGTGGGTCATTTTGGCAGATGGGATTATTTTATCCTCAAGAGGGTAAAATCTGTGTCACTCGCTTCAGACAGATGGATATTTTCTAGGAGTGTGTGGACAGCAGTGGCCCGTGTTGGCCCTGACGGGGTCTGGAGTTGCTGGTCCTGCCTGGAGGCCTGGCCAGGCATTCATAGCAAGGAGGTGTCTTTGGATGGTTGCAGCTCCTGTCTCTTTGTTTGCCATGTGGAAATAATACCATCTGTTAGCTGAGGCTCGTTAGAGGCTCCAAATAAAATAACGTATGAAAGTAAAGCACCGTGCAGATGTAATTTGAAATGGATCGTTAAGCCCTAGTGATGACTTAGGGGCTGGGAATCTGTCCTGAGCCAGGGTTGCCCGTGTGTGCTCCTCCCAGAGCACAGACTCCAGGGTTTGTTCCCAGCCTATAGATGAGGAGATTGAGGCCCGGGAAGTCCTGCACCAAAAGCTTCCGCTGGGAGCAGGAGGGGCGGGGCCGGGCTTGAGGAGTGGCTGGCCGCCTGCACCGATATTTATGTCTGTGATGTGCCCCTGGGTTCAGTCGGTCAGAGCTGGCCGTGAGTGTGGGTGGGTGGATTTCCCACACCCAAAACAGCCCGTGATCCGTAGTTTCCAACGTGCCTTCGTTTTCCCTACTCTGTTGGTCCATGGGAGTGAGGAGCGGAGCCTTACCGCCTGCGAAGCATAAACTGTGTCAGACATGGGCGACGCGGGGACCGCTGGAGGGAGGCGCGCCCTGACGCAGGCTGCACTGGTGACTGCTCAGTTGGAGACCCTTCCTTGAAAACATGAGCTGTGACTCATCTGTAATAAACCTGTTAGTCGTGGTCTGTGAAGGTAATTGGTGGTTTATGGATGTGACTGACCAAGTTCCGGCCAGTTGCTGCCTTGTGTTTTCTGACTGGGGTGAGGTTCTGAACGAGGTGAATTCTGGCAACTCCAAGAGGAGGCACTGTGTTTCGCGTGCACCCTCACATGCCTCCAGCCCACCTCGAGCTCTGTCTCATTTGCTCGCTCACTCACTCACACATACATTATGTGTTAGGAATACCTGTGTACCCTGGCTTTTAAGAGATTACACATAAAAACACAAATCTGAGCTGATTTTTACTTTGAAATAATTTGCCACAAATTCAGTTTAAGCAATTAAAGTGTTGGAGCTTATAACTAAATGTCAATTTTTCTGTTTTTGGGAACACAGGTATTGCTTTTTAAAAAATGCGCTCAGGCCCAGTGCGGTGGCTCACACCTGTAATCCCAGCACTTCGGGAGGCCGAGCTGGGTGGATCACTCTTGAGGTCAGGAGTTCGAGACCAGCCTGGCCAACATGGTGAAACCCCGTCTCCACTAAAAATACAAAAACATGAGCCAGGCGTGGTGGCACACACCTGTAATCCCAGCTACTCGGGAGGCTGAGGCTGCAGTGAGCCGAGATCGCACCACTGCACTCCAGCCTGGGTGACAACAGCAAGACTGCGTCTCAAATAAAAATTTAAAAAGCGCTTATATTTGCAAACAGACATGAGTACATAGTCTTTATTGGTTTGTGCATCCCAAATTCGGAATTATGAAGCATGTAAATGATGCCTGTTTTGGGCTCTGGGATATGAGCCTTCTTTTCATTCACCTCCGTCCCTTTCCCACTCCTTTGCCAGTTGGGCATAAACGATCACAGAAAGGCACTCTGAGGGAACAAAAGTTTGGTTATTCTGTAATAATGTTTTTCATGTTTTAACATGCAATTGTGTGTTTCCTTAGAGTATTTAGTATTTAATTTTAATGAGGACTATAGTGAGAAGTAATTCTGTAGGGCCCATAAATAGATTTTTACACCATGAAGTATCAAGTTTGTTTTTTCTCTTAAGAATGTCAGCTCATACTTGGGGATTTATTCACCCAGTTTTCCATATAATGCCTCAGAAAGATGATAGAGGGGAAATAAGGAAAAGGCATATCCTGCTCAGGCACGTGGTGTGCTAGGAGAGAGCCACGCAGGCCGCAGCGAGTTCACGCTGGCCTCTCCCTGCCCGTTCCTCCTCACGCTTTGCCTTGTTCCTGTTGGGCGAGTTCTTTGCAAACCTGGTCCAGAGTATTGCTGGTTTATCCTGGACCGAATGCTGTCTTCCCAAGGCCTCAACATCTCTGGGGAGTTCAACGTTTTCCGACTCTCAGGTGAAATGGGCTGCATCCTTCAAAGATAGAAGCTGGTTCTGAGGTCTGAGCCTGGGCTGCCGCTCTCATTCACCAGCAGCTCTTGATGTTCCACCTGGAACCTTTGCCCAGGCAGTTGACCTCATCTTTTTCTCTCTCATGGTGGAGACCTACCTGTCAGTACCTGTGTTGTGCTTTGAGGCCCAGACGCCAAGATCTAGAAGGGCCCTGAGAGAAGGGACCAAGTGCCCATGGTGGTGTGAGGTGGAGGGTGGGAAGCAGAGCTGTGGGCGGTGGAGGTGCAGCACTCCCGCCGTGGGCCGTGGCCGCTGTGGGCAGTGGAGGTGCAGCACTCCCGCCGTGGGCTGTGGCCGCTGTGGGTGGAGGTGCAGCACTCCTGCCATGGGCCGTGGCTGCTGTTCGTGGAGGAGGTGCAGCACTCCCGCCGTGGGCCGTGGCCGCTGTGGGTGGAGGTGCAGCACTCCTGCCGTGGGCCGTGGCCGCTGTGGGTGGAGGTGCAGCACTCCCGCCGTGGGCCGTGGCTGCTGTGGGCTGGTCCATCCGTGCCAGACTCTGCCATCTCTTGGCCACTTTTTGTTTGTGCACGTTTGTGCAGAGAGAGTTAACCCAAGGACCTTATTTTGCTTTTGTAGGTATATCATTATGCAGATGAATAGGTGTGTGAGGGGATTAAAGCCACGTTTGCATACGTGGCATTGCTCCCAGTGTTAACGGTGGGATTTATGGGCTGGATGGGGTGGGAGAGGAGGCAGTGGGTGGTCCTTTAATCTGGAATTTTTTTTATGCCATTATCCTCTATTTACAGCTTTCAGAAATCAGCTGGTGTCACTGCACATATGTTTAGAGCCGTTGCTAAGGTGACGAGCCCAGCAGCCCACACAGGCCTTCTGGAACCTTCTGGAAGGCTGGGAAGCTGCTTGGTGGGGTCTGTTCACGTTGGGGCCTTATCCCTCCAACCTGTGAGAATCTGCAGATTGCCCTGTTACAACTTAAATTGTCTGCTTCCTTTTGGTTTGATTGCCTGATTAATAATTTAAAACGAAAAATCCTGTGGTGTATTTAATGCAGAGAGAAATGGACCCACAGCATTGTTTCCAAACCGGGTCTGCTTGCCATGATGGCAGCAGAAGTCCAGTCTTCTCCGCGGATCTCACCCATCTCATTCACCTTAGAAACAGAGCTGTGGGTTTCAGGCTTTTCGCAGTGGAAACCTTGATTTCTTTTCTAATATTGCATATAAACAGTCCACATGACTTGGGTTATGACTTATTAATTTTTTCCTGGGCATATGTTAAAGGATTCTGAAGCCATTTATATTTTAAAAATGTTCTTTCTGGGTGTGTTGGTGAGTCTGGTCTGCTTTGGAAGGTAGAATGTCCGTCCAGGACTCTATTGGCTGATGTTCACTCCCACATCACTGCCCACATTTGGACATTGAAAAGGTGCCTTCCTAAACGTTTTTCAGGTCTGGACTCTCTGAGAATTGGGCAAAAGCTGTGCATCCTCTCCCCAGGACTGTCCACATACCTGTACATTTTCTGTGTGATTTCTGGGGTTTCAGAGCTCTCTGGGCCCTTGTGCCTCTTCCAAGATTTTGTTTTGCCAATGAACAGCCTCCTGTTAGCACTTGAGTTTATAGTTTTTATTTAAATGAAATTTGTTAATTATATTGTCTCTTTTTGTAGAATGTAATCATGTTAGAAAAAAAGATGATGTGCAAAGTACTGTTTCCCCTTGTCTAACCAAGATCTCTTGATAAAAGATTTACAACAGGACTGGGCGCTGTGGCTCATGCCTGTAATCCCAGCACTTTGGGAGGCCGAGGCAGGTGGATCGCCTGAAGTCAGGAGTTCAAGATCAGCCTGGACAACATTGTGAAACCCCATCTCTACTAAAAATACAAAAACTAGCCAGGCATGGTGGCGCATGCCTGTAATCTCAGCTACTCAGGGGGCTGCAGGAGAACCGCTTGAACCCGGGAGGTGGAGGTTGCAGTGAGCCGAGATGGTGCCACTGCACTTCAGCCTGGGCGACAGAGCGAGACTCCGTCTCAAAAACAACAACAACAAAAATTACAACAGAAGACATCTGCCCTAATCAAAAGTGAAAGATGACATGTTTGTGAATGACTATACAGTGTGACATTTCATCAGATATTTTACAAAGCATTTTACAGTTTCTTGCTAGAAATTCCATTTCTAGTTATAAACTTTAGATATGTAAAGAAACAGACAAATACTCATTTTAGTGTTGTTTGTATTCGCAAAAAGTTGGAAAAAACAAATGTTAGTCAACAGGAGAATGGATTTTTCAGACAACGAGGAGCGCACACTGCAGTTGTCATAAGAATAGTAGAACTGCCTGTATCCACACAGATAGACCCCAGAGCACAACTTGAAGGGAAAAGGTACGGCAGGAACCGTCCAATGCGTTACCTGCAAAGACAGCGGCCGGCTTTGGTGTAGGCTTGTGTGTAGCGTGAGTATCAAAGCGCCGAGAGGAATGCTTAGCCCCAAAATCAGATCGACGCTGAGGAGCAGCCACAGCAGGGTGGGGCTTATATAAGGGGCTTCAACCATTATGTAATTTGTAATTTTTAAATGTTAGAATTCTAAAGCAAATATGGCAAAATGAACAGATGGTGGATGTGTGTTTGTATTCTCCTTCATCCTTTTCTGTGTGCTTGAAAAATTTTAAAGGAAACATTAGCTATTGCTAATTTGTTATAAAATGATATGGTTAGAAAATATTTTCTGTGTAGAAATTATAAAATATAATAACCCATTCTAAATAAATTGAGGGTTCGTCTAAATTTCCGAAATGGTTTGTGAAAGAGCCACCTTTATATCTGACTCTTCACATGCGCTGCGTGCACTCAGGGCAGGATGGGCTCCTCGGACCATGGGGCTTTCAGATCTGACCTGTGTGATGCTACCGACCAGCTTTCCCAGTTCTTGGTTTCTCTTTGTTTGTTTGTTTGTTTGTTTGTTTGCTAGTGTAAGCCTTCAAGCAAACCTGGGCCTCTCTTACTCCTTTGGTTGTACTGAGGGGGAATTCAGACATCTCTAGGTCGTTCTATTGCCTAATGCATGATTTTGACCTAAACAGCAAAACTTCACCTTCATTGTGATAATGGACTGAAAAATGGACCTTTTGGCAGGCATCACAGGAAGAAGTTTCTAGATGGGATATGGATTCTGGTGTTGGTGTCCTTGAGAACCTATAATTACAGGGATCCTGGGGGTGCAACGCTCACCCATCAGCGGTTACCCAGGACGTCTGTCCTCCTGGTTTAGAGACTCAGGTCACGAGCAGATGGACTCATCATTCCTTCCTGGGTCCTAAGTCCAGTGAGGCCCTCGGTGGTGACTTTGAGGGAAAGGAGTTCCTCATGTGCTTTCATTATGGGTTTAAATTACGCATTTATATCTGGGTGATTTTTTTGTTACTAATTAGGCTTATTTTGCTCCAAGTATTCATTTGGCAAACCTTTTAGCTAAGAAAGGGAAATGATTGTTTTGCCTGGCTGATTTTCTAAATGCTGAAAAGAGCAGAGATTATTTTTTCTTTTAAACCTGTTTCTACAAAAGCTCGCTCTTTTTTTTTTTTTTTTTTTTTTTTGAGACTGAGTGTTGCTCTTTGCTGCCCAGGCTGGAGGGCAGTGGCGTGATCTTGGCTCACTGCAACCTCAGCTTCCCAGGTTCAAGCAATTCTCCTGTCTCAGCCTCCCAAGTAGCTGGGATTACAGTTGCATGCCACCACGCCCAGCTAATTTTTGTATTTTTAGTAGAGACAGTCATCATGTTGGCCAGGCTGGTCTTGAACTCCTGACCTCAGGTGATTGCCCGCCTCGGCCTCCCAAAGTGCTGGGATTACACAGGTGTGAGCCACAGCGCCTGGTCCTTTTTTTTTTTTTTTTTTTTAACAGAGTGTATGTTAAGTACAGGATTTCCACTCAGGCCCTTTTCAAACCCATGTTTCAATTTTGCAGGTAGTCAGTATTTGTCAGCACCCCTGTAAGCAGGTGGCTGTCCTGGCTTGGTAGGGGAGGGACTAACAGAGACCCACATCCTGGAGGACACAGTGTGGCGCTCATGGCAGCACATGGACACTGAGTGGACGTGCTGGGCTGCAGAGGTCCCACCCCCCGGCACAGTGAGAGTGCGTCTCGGGGCAGCACACCCACTGAAGCTGGGTGCTTGGGGCAGTGTCCTGGGAGCCTGACGGGCGGCGTCCTGGGATGGCCATAGTGGGGGCCCCTGGGGCTCCTGAGTGGCAGAGCGCGACACAGTGGTCCTGGTGTGTAGGGAGTCACCATGATACTGGCACCAGCTGATGTGGGAGGCAGGTCACTGTGTTGCTTGTCACCCGTGGGACAGTGAGCTTGGAAGCTGGACCCTCATGCTCAGCAGGTGCTTGCAGCCCAGGAGCTGTGGTCCCAATAGAGGGGGATTCCACACACAGTAGACTGAAGACCACACCATTAGAGAACAGAGGGAGAGGAACAGGCATTGCTGACTCCAGCCTTGCTCGTGCGACTTGGGCAAACTTGCTTTCCACCTAGGAAAGACCTGCACATTGTCTGCATGGTTAGAATTGCTTAGACCAGGCCGGGCACAGTGGCTTACGCCTGTAATCCCAGCACTTTGGGAGGCCGAGGCGGGTGGATCCCGAGGTCAGGAGATTGAGACCATCCTGGCTAACACGGTGAAACCCCATCTCTACTATAAAAAATACAAAAAAATTATCTGGGCATGGTGGCAGGCGCCTGTAGTCCCAGCTACTCGGGAGGTTGAGGCAGGAGAATGGCGTGAACCCGGGAGGCGGAGCTTGTAGTGAGCTGAGATCGCACCACTGCACTCCAGCCTGGGCGACAGAGGGAGACTGTCTCAAAAAAAAAAAAAAAAAAAAAAAAAAAGAATTGCTTAGACCATGTTCATGTATTGTGCAGTAGGGTTAACAGTGACAAAAACTGTGAGTGTCTGATGGCAAATCCAATGAGACCCAGTGCTCAGCTGGGCTTGGTCACGTGGCGGAGGATTCCGAGCCACCTGAAGTCCTCTCCTTTCTGACGTTTCCTTGGGAGCATTTGGGCATGGGGCTTCCTCCATTAATCTGTGCGTTTGGCGTTTTAATTTGCAGTTTTTTGTTTTTTGTTTTTTGAGACAGGGTCTCACTCTGTTGCCCAGGGTGGAGTAGAGTGGTGTGATCTCAACTCACTGCAGCCTGTGCCTGCCAGGTTCAAGCAATCCTCCCATCTCAGCCTCCCAAATAGCTGGGACTGCAGGTGTGCACCACCACACCTGGCTAATTTTTTTTTTTTTTTTTTTTTTTTTTTTTGGTAGAGCCAGGGTTTCACCATGTTGCCCAGGCTAGTCTCCACCTCCTGAGCTCAAGCAATCCACCTGTCTCGGCCTCCTAAAGTGCTAGGATTACAGGCATGAGCCACCGCACCCAGCCTCCCAGAGTGCTGGGATTACAGGCGTGAGCCACCGCGCCCGGCCTGCAGTTGTTTTCTAATGGAAAGACATTCCTTTATATTTAAAATGTTACACTTGTATTGAAACCCTTTTATCATCTCTCATGTAGTCAGAACATTAGAAGCAGATAGGTAGAGAGTGGGGACTCCTTGTAGGGCGTGCTTTTAGGACAGGCCGGGTCTCCTAGTGCCTGTGCTCCCTGTCGTGGCCCACCCGGGGGGTGTGGTGCCCACAGGTGGCTTTCCGTCCTTACAAAGCGTCACTTTAACCTTGTGTCTCATTGAAGTGCTGGGTTCCCACCAGTGCAGAAGGAACAGTGGTTGTGCTCTTAATTGTAGAGGACATTGTGAGAAATCTGGGCAATGTCCTGCTACAGGAGTCCTCCTGGACTCCGTCTGGCCCCTCCTTCAGTGTTCACCTGGTCCCTAGCACCACAGAAGCCCACAGCAAACAGACTCCTTCCTTCCTGGGTCTTTGAATCCAGTGTGCTGTCTGTGGACGCACACCCGCCTCTAGGTCTGACGACAATCTTGGAGGTGCGGGCAGTTGCGTGCCCTGGCGTGTGTGCATTTGGTGGCTGCTCCCCGGCACCTGCTCCCAGCCAGGCACCAGGTCCAGCTCTGTTGATGTGGCTCTTGCCTGAACCCCTCAAGTCTTGAGTAGCCCACAAGGACAGTGGCTCTGAGCTCCAGAGGTATCCTGGACAAGTGGCCAGAGGCCTGGGTTCTGTGGATTACATGGCAGAAAACCGTGTGGCTGAAAACGATCAGCAAATTAACAGTTAAAGCTTTTTCAAACCAACTGGCAGGAATAGTATCTAAGGTTTCCTGTGATGTTGGCCATCACTTCTTTATTTAGAAACTCTAATAAAAGACCCATCTGAGAGAGTCACAGGGCATCTTGAAGCATGTTGCACGGTCATGTTTGCGGCGGATGCCTCAGCACAGGCAGGGGTCTGGCCAGTCAGCTGCTGGCGTGTGGGGATCCTGCCCTGCGTTTCTCCTAGCCCTTTAGAAGCACCAGCTGTAGGGGAAACTCACAGGTACTCTCTGGGTCAAACCGTAAAACAAGCTTGTGAGAACCCACACTGGGGCCTCTCACTGTCACACACTGGGGCCTGTCACGGTCAGTGATGCCTTGGTCCTTGCTGTTTGCAGGCCCCTGGGCGCTCATGTGCTGTGTCCTGAGGGCTCAGCTGAGGTGCAGAGACACAGACTTGTCATCTTACCTCAGCTTGTGTGTGTGACGGGGCTTTGCAAACCAAAGGTTCCCTGCCAAAGCGACGTCACTCGCTGTTCTGCTACAGGGTCCTGAGGCAGCACGCACAGGCTTTCATGGGAGTGGTATAGCGTTCATAGGGAGAGGAGGGAGAGCACCTGCCCTAACCCACTGCGTACTGCGTGCTAGGTGGGAACCCACTCATCCTGAAGCTCAGGACGGCAGAGACCCCTGAATGCAGAGGCCTCAAGCTGCTCCCATGCTTCTGGGACCTGTGGGACTCACGGATGCCTCGGTGTGGATTTGTTCCTGTGCTGGAAGGAACTGGAGCCCTCTGTGCAGCCCTGTTGCAGCCCCTGCTTGGGGGTGCACTGGCCTCTTCTGGGAACAGGGGTGGTGTGAGGCTGTCACCCGCGTCTCCCAGCCTGCATGGAACGCCAGGACAATGGGGAAGGCACGCACTGAGCTCACTTCCTGTGCTTTCCACAGTGCCCCCACAGGCCGGACATGGGGCATCAGGGTGTGTCCTGATTAGTTATTTGGGGAGGTGGTCAGCAATCAGTGTTAGTCGTTTTTTATTGTTCTTTGCGGTATAACATCCGTGGAGGAAATGGCACACATCTTAGGTGCACATACGATAGAGCTCATGTCACATGTACCTGTGGGATCTCCTCCTGGACCTCCCCTCCACTCTGCTGCTTGACTGTCTGCCTGGCCCCCAGCACCATGGGGCCCTCATGCATGCAGAAGGCCACAGCAGACACACTCGTGTCTGGCTCTTCGAATCCAGTGTGCTGTCTATGGACACGTGCGCCCCGTGTGTTGTGGGCCACCTGGACTCATTTGCTCTTCTGCTGGTGGACACGTGGGTGGGCTTTTTGCAGTTTGAGGGTGTTTTGCACAAGTGAGTGTGGTATGACGTGGTTGGCGGCCTGTGCTGCTCATCCCTGGGGTGTGCCTGGGATGTTGCTCCTGGGCCCTCGTGGATGTGGCCCCTCATGGAGCGTGGCTGAGACTGCGCTGGGCTCTGCTTGCTCTGGGTCAGGGTCTGGCCTACCCACCTGGCTGCTTCTCATGGCCCCATAGCATGCCGCATGCCCACTGCCCACATGGGTGGGGTGTTTTCTCGTCACTTTGCCAGCCTGGAGTTGGACGTGGTGGGACACTCCCCCTTTGTGAGAGGAAGCAGAGCAGTGGAGGAAGAGAGGACTCCTCAGAGAATGGCAGGCTTGGAGGGGTAAGAAGAGCTGGACCCACTCAGAACCTGAGAGGAGGTTGTTTCTGTTCAGTCTTGGGGTACCCTCACATGTCACCAACTTCAGAAACTTGGCCGTATTGGCAGTACACTCACTGGGGGTTGACTCCCAGTCAGCAGGGATTGTGAAGGCCATTGATGAGGGCTAGGCCAGGCATCAGACATTGTCCTGAGCCCGCAGCTTGGGAACAGTGTTTTTTCTTTCTTTCTCTCTCTCTCTGTTTTTTTTTTTTTTTTTTTTTTTTTTTTTAAAACACAGGGTTTCATCATGTTACCCAGGCTGGTCTTGAACTGGGCTTAAGTGATCCACCCACCTCAGCCTTCCAAAGTGCTTGTTTTACAGGCTTGAGCCACTGCACCTGGCCTTATTTCTGTATTTTATAGATTGAGAAACTTAGATATATCTGACCACAGATTGAGGGCTCTTAACCAGTTAGGCCAGCATTTGAATTGTCCTGACTGCTTCCAGTGGTGAGAAAGTAGTTTATCTCTCTGTTCACAACACACGCCCACATACTGGGAACATACTCACAGAATAATACCGTCCCTTTCTGTGATGGTGTGCAGTGCCCCCTAATGTTTCCTGTTCTGTATTATTTCACTTTCACAAAATGGCTTTATTCATAATTGCCAAAACTTGGAAGCAGCCAAGATGTCCTGCAGAGGGTGAATGGATCAGTCAACCAAGGTCCATCCAGACGACAGACTATTACAAGGCCCTAAAAACAGACGAGCTGCCAGGCCTGAGTGAAAGCAGCCCGTCTCCAAGGACTACACACTGTAGGGTTCCGACTCTGACATCCAGGAAAGGGCAAAACTGTGCAGACAGCACAAAGATCAGTGACGCCAGGGGCTGGGGAGAGGGAGGGACGGAGGGTTGTGCAGCAGGAACACGGGGGACCTGGGGCAGTGAAACTACTCTGTATGATACCACAACGGTGGGTCCACATCAGGATACGTTCGTCCAACCATAGACTGCACAGCACCCGGTGGACCCTGAGGTCGTGCGGCCTGTGGGTGATGATGCTGTGTCCAGGGGGGTCTCAGCTGTAACAAACGGCCACTCTCGTGGGGATGCTGAGCCCGGGGGTGCAGGGGAACCCTCTGTACTTCATGCTCAATTTTGCTGTGAACCTAAAGCTGCTTTAAAAAATAAAATATGTTTTATTTTCAGTGTCTGTTTAACATGCTAAAATGATTCTGGAATTGACCTTAGGCATGACCCAAAAGTTGTGATGCATCTTTGACTGGAGTTCCCAGAGCATTGTTGAGCTTGGCCACTGAGTCTGTGACCTCACACCAGGGGGCAGGCGTTTTTCTGCATGCCCCACAGGGGCCCTTCTTCCCTGGGGGTTCCCTGTCACTCTGGGGGACCACGTGTGAAATTCCCCGGGTGCACAGGATGGGAAAATGGCTGAGAAGCGTGGAGCAGCCCCGCTGTTCTGTTGCAGCTCGTTTCTTGAGTTTGTAACTACGTTCTCAACTGTGGACCCTTGCGTTAAAAAACAAAGCAGCCCTAAGGAGTAATAAAACATTTGAGCATAAAGGAAAGAAATGGACGTTTCTAAGGGAATTGCTTGCTTTCTCAGTTGTACCAGGATAACCTCCTTGGAGGTGTGGAGGTGTGAAACTAGGGAGGTCAGGGCAGCGGGGCACTTTCCTCAGAGAGGGCAGTGCAGACCAGGCCCTGCCGGAGGAGAGCCCTGCCTGGTCTCAGCGCCTCTCTCGTTGTGTTTGTCGTTTGCTTTTTTCTAAAGCCATTACAGTGATGATAACTTGGATTTAGATAGTGCTTTTTCATTTAATCCCCACAAAATCCTTTAGGAGAATGGGTTCTTGTCCTCATTTTATAGAGGAAGTTGGTGAGAATCAGTGAGCAGACGAGGCTGTTTTCTTGCATTTGTCTTGGCCTGCAGGTGTCATTTCTCCCCAGAGCTGCGGGTACAGGTGCTGCCGTTGTGGAGGGACGTGTGGAGCTGTAAGGCATCTCTGTCCTCGGGGACTTGGGGGGCTCAGTGTTTCTTTCTGAAAAGGTACAGCCCACCAGAGGTGCTTGGGCCATCCCAGGACTTCACGGAGCTGAAGAGCGTTCACCAGGTGTTTCTCATGAGTTGGGTTTTTAGTTTTTTGTCTGTTTCAGTGTTTATAGTCTGCTTGTAAAATGATCCTTTATTGTGAGGATTCTTTAATACGTAAGGAAGTCATTTCTGTGACACATTCTGCAGCTTCTGGAATTGTGTCTTTTAAGATTATTATCTTTTTTTTTTAATATGGAGATGGAATCTTGCCATGTTGCCCAGTCTGGTCTCAAACTCCTGGGATCGAATGATCCCTTCCACCTCAGCCTCCCAAAGTTCTGGGATTAGAGGCATCAGCCACTGCATGCTACTGAGTTTTTAAATTTTTTTTGAATGTTTTGTGTGCCCTTCTTAAGAGAGAGTGTGGTGAACACAGTGGTGATGACGGTTCCCAGCATGTGGGGCCCACGTGCAGGAGCCACCCCAGCCCGTTAACCCGGAACCAAACCCGAGTCCACACCATTGCATCCGCCGAAAACATTCAAAACCATCACCGTATCTTAGACTAAATGAAAATAAAAATAGCACACAGGCTAGGTGTGGTGGTTCATGCCTGTAGCCCCAATATTTTGGGAGGCTGAGGCAGGAGGATCCCTTGAACCCAGGAGTTCGAGGCTGTAGGGAGCTGTGATTATTTAATTACACTGCAGCCTGGGCGACAGAGGAGACCCTGTACCTAAATACATATCTATAAATCTCTATCTCCTGAATCGCTGGGTGCCTTGAACTTTCTCAGTGTCACCACACACCCAGCGGTATCAAAAGGCTCTTTCCTAAATGTGCCATTTTCTTCAGCAGTTCTTTGTTTGAACTGGTTTCCAAACAGGGTCTACACACTAAGATTCTTTGATGTCTTTTAAGTCTTTAATCTGTAAATTCTCCCTTTGTTCTTTTCTCTGGGATTTTTGCCTGTTTGTCAGAGATCGGGGTCTTCTGTCCCATAGAGTTGTTCTGTCCATGAGATATATGATGTGAACTGTGCATCTAATTTTAAATTTTCTATTAGCCTCATTATAGAGTAAAAAGAAACACATGAAGTTAATATTAAGAATGTATTTCATCAGGCCGGGCGCAGTGGCTCATGCCTGTAATCCTAGCACTTTGGGAATCCAAAGCAGGCAGATCACCTGAGGTCAGGAGTTCGAGACCAGCCTGGCCAACATGGCGAAACCCCATCTCTCCTCAAAATAGAAAAATTAGCCGGGCATGGTGGCAGGCACCTGTAGTCCCAGCTACTCAGGAGGCTGAGGCAGGAGAATTGCTTGAACCTGGGAGGCAGAGGTTGCAGTGAGCCGAGATGGCACCATTGCACTCCAGCCTGGGCGACAAAGTGAGACTCCGTCTCAAGAAAAAGGAAGGTGTTTTGCTTATAATATTTTTCAAAATTTTAATTTTTGTCCTCAGGGCATATGGCACTAACTAGAACTGTACAGTCAAATTACCAGGTTTTAATCAAAAGCCACTGGGGGAAGTTTAAAGAGTGTCCACAGAATCTTTGATCTGCCTCCCTTCAGAAGTGGAGCACCGTTCTCTGCAGAGTGTGGGCTAGAGGTTGGAACTCGCCGAGGAGGAACAGGATGAGGTGGAAGTGAAGCCGTGGGACTTCCGATACAAGAGATGCTGCAGCTTCCTCCGCCCCCGCCCCCCCCCCCCCCCCCCAGTCACTGTACTGGGGAAACCTACTGCCGTGTCACGAGGACCCTCACGCAGCCCCTTGCTTCCGATACTAGGTCACAGAGGTGCCGTGGCTCCCCCCCACACCACCCCATCAATGACTGCACTGTGGAAACCCGCTGCCACGTCACGGGGACCCTCACGTAGCCCCACGGACATGTCCACACATCCGCAGCCGTGTCTGTGCACCAAGGAATTTGGGCCTTCTGCCAGAGCCAGCAGCAGCCCTCCCGGTGTGCGAGCGGCCACCTGGGAAGCAGCCCCTCCCTCTCCACTGGCTCCCCTAGCACCTGACTCACATCCTGAGCCAGGTCTCCCGAGCCTTCCCACCCACCCAGAAGCTGCGTGCTGTCAGGAATGCTCCTGGTGTGGTGGTGGCTGCATGGTCATTGTTGACAAATGCTTTGTGTCCTGCCCCTGACCGGACACACAGCTAAGTGTATTGCTTCCTCTTCCTTTTTGAAGTTGTAGAGATTGCTTTTTGTATTTTTATATTGAATGCTTTAAATCCTTTAAATGTTTAATGTCATTCAAGTATATTTAAATCATTTTAAACATTATTAAAATGTTTATATTTAATGTGAATACATAAACAAAATTTTATGTTTTTACATTTTATTTTATTTTATTTTATTTTATTTTATTTTTGAGACAAGGTCTCACTCTTGTCTGTCGCCCAGGCTGGAGTGCAGTGGTGTGATCTCTGCTCACGGCAGCCTCTGCCTCCCAGTGCCTCAGCCTCCCAAGTAGCTGGGATTACAGGCACGCACCACCATGCCCGGCTAATTTTTTGTATTTTCAGTAGAGAGTTTCACCATGTTGGCCAGGCTGGTTTCGAACTCCTGACCTCAAGTGATCTGCCTGCCTGGGCCTCCCAGACTGCTGGGATTCACTGCACCCAGTCTCATTTTATATTTAATGTTTTAAATGATGTAAAATGCATGATTCCAAAGCCAAATACACAAAACAAGGTTTATGAAAGGAAGCTTACCTCCTACCTCATACTGTTTTTTTACTTTATTCCTTCTTTCTATGGGAATTAAAATTTTTTTCTGTTTCTAGTTAATTTTTTAACAGCTTTATTGAATTACAATTGACATAAAATTCACTCATTTTAAATTTACAGCTCAGTGGGTTTTGGGAAACGTATACCGTTGGGGAAACACCATCACCTAAAAGTATAGACTATTCATCACCCATGGGAGTCTCCTTACACCCCTTGTGTTTTTTCTCCCTTTTTTTTCCTTTTTTCTGTGAAATCATTATAGACTCACAGGAAGTTGCAAAAATAGCAGCATCCCTTGTGCCCTTCCCCACCTTCGCCCAGTGGCCGGGAACATGACATTGGAAGACAGGGTGACCGCCCTGCAGACTTGATTCAGATCCCCCGTCTTATCCTGGATACCTGGTCCTAGAGCCTCCTCGACAGCCACCGACAGACATGAGCCCTCCTCACGGAGTCCCCGCCTGTTTCCCCGAGGTTGGTGGTTTTGTCCTGGAGGAAGCCGTGGGAGTAGAGTCCACAGGGAGTGACCTAAGAGGTGGGCTTTGTGCACTCACTCAGCAGGGGCCTCCGCTGATTCGCCCGTGCTCCTGGGTGCGTCCACTCACTCACCAGGGGCCTCTGCAGATTCGCCCGTGCGCCTGGGTATGTCCACTCACTCAGCAGGGGCCTCCACTGATTTCGCCCGTGCTCCTGGGTATGTCCACTCACTCAGCAGGGGCCTCCACTGATTTCGCCCGTGCTCCTGGGTATGTCCACTCACTCAGCAGGGGCCTCCACTGATTTCGCCCGTGCTCCTGGGTATGTCCACTCACTCAGCAGGGGCCTCCGCTGATTCGCCCGTGCGCCTGGGTGTGTCCACTCACTCAGCAGGGGCCTCCGCTGATTTCGCCCGTGCTCCTGGGTATGTCCACTCACTCAGCAGGGGCCTCCACTGATTTCGCCCGTGCTCCTGGGTGTGTCCACTCACTCAGCAGGGGCCTCCGCTGATTTCGCCCGTGCTCCTGGGTGTGTCCACTCACTCAGCAGGGGCCTCTGCAGATTCACCCGTACGCCTGGGTGTGTCCACTCACTCAGCAGGGGCCTCTGCAGATTCACCCATACGCTTGGGTGTATCCATAGCCATCCCTTTTACTGCTGAGGGGATGCCGTGATGTGAATGAAACCCAGTTTCGAGGACACCGCTGGGACACCTGTTGAAGGGTTTTCCCCATTGTCTATTATCAGTGAAAGTTCTGTGAACATTCGCAAACAGGTCTTTGTGTTCACATGAGGTTCCATTTTCTCAGATAAATGTCCTGGGGTGCAGTTGTTGAGTGGGGCAGCAAGCGCACACTTAGGTTCGTAAGGCTGCCTTGCTGTTCTCCAGAGCAGCAACACCACTTTGCGTTCCCACAGCAAGCGAGAGAGTTCCAGCTTTTCTACATCCTCTCCAGCATCCTTGAGTATTTTGTATTTTAGCTGTTCCGATTGGTGTGCAGTAATATCTCATTGCGGCTTTAAGTTGTGTTTCCCTAACGGCTTAGGATGTCGAGTGCCTTCATGGCTTGTTCACCACGTGCACCTCTTCTGAATGTCTGTGTGTTTTCTCTTATTTTCTAATTAATGTTTGTTGTTTGATACTTCTTTCTTCTACATACAAGCCTGCTATCTGACTTGTGATTTGCAGATATTTTTCCCTGTCTGCAGTTTGTCTTTTCACTCTTTAAACTAGGTCTTTCAAAGAGCAAAAGTTTTTAATTTTGTCGAGGTCGTTTATCAGTTTTTTCTTTTATGGATTGTGCTTTTGTTGCCATGTCTGACAACTCTTGGCCCTAGGTCCTAAAGATTTTCTCCTGTTTTTTCCTAAAATGTGTATAGGTTTTTCTAGTTTTGTTCCATATGAACCTAAGCATTTATTTTTATTTGGAGCACCTATAAATGGTACTGTCTTTATTTCATGTTTTTATTTGATTATTGCTAGCATGTAGAAATAGAATGGTACTGTGTATTTCTTGTTTTCATAGGATTATTGGTAGCATGCAGAAATAGGATGGTACTGTCTTTATTTCTTGTTTTCATAGGATTATTGCAGAAATAGGATAGGTGTTTGTGTGTTGATCTTGGATTCTGTGTCCTTGCTGAACTCTATTAAATAAAGTTTCTTGGAATTTTTGATAGATTCCTTGTGATTTTCGACATGGACACTTACACCATCTTCAGAGAGAGACAGTTTTATTCCATTTCTTCCTTTCTGCCCTGTATGCCATTCCATCTGCAGCCCTCAGCACGTCACTCTTGATCATGTCAGCCTTGAGTTCTTGGTAGTTGGCCTTTATCGTGTTGAGGATGTTTCTCCACACTCCTGTTTTCCTAGGAATTTTTATCGTGAGTTTTGAATTTTATCAAATGATTTTCTGTACCAGTTGTGATTATGTGGTGTTTCTTCTTTAGCTTGTTGGCATGCTGGGTGACGTTGACTGATTGATGGTTGAGCCAGCCTTACATATTTCGCTGTCATCAGAAGTGTAGGTGCCCTCTGCATTTCCAACCTCTGCATTCCCCACCTCTGCATTTCCAACCTCTGCATTCCCCACCTCTGCATTTCCCACCTCTGCATTCCCCACCTCTGCATTCCCCACCTCTGCATTCCCCCTCTGCATTCCCCACCTCTGCATTGCCCAGTGGACTTCTTGCTGTACCTGCTTTTCTCTGCGTCTCCGCCTGGTCGTGTGTCTGTGGAACCTCCTTAGTCCTGTCAGCCCCACGTGCAGATGTGCCCGGATGCCACCAGCAGCCCCTGGCGGGCAGGCTTTGTGTTAAGCCCCTTTCTTAGGAGATGCTTTGGGGCACTGCTCTGGGCCAAGCACTTTTTCATGCCCCGGTTGTGTTTTTTTGGTTTGGGGTTTGGGTTTTTTTCACACAGGGTCTTGCTCTGTCACCAAGGTTGGAGTGCAGTGGTGCAATCTTAGCTCACTGCAGCCTCGACCTCCTGGGCCCAAGGGGTCTTCCTGCCTCAGGCTCCCAAGGAGCTGGGATTACAGGTGCGTGCCACCTCGACTGATTAATTTTTTGATATTTTTGTAAAGATGAGGTTTCCCTACATTGCCCGGGTCTCAAACTCTTGGGCCCAAATGACCCCCCTGCCTTGGCCTCCTGAGTAGCTGGGACCACAGGGGTGAGCCACCGTGCCTGGCCCTATTTGTGTAATTTGGGGGTAGATTGAGCAGTGGGTGGGTGGTTGCTGAGTGGTGTGCACCTTCTGCAGCGGGGTGGGGGGGGCGGTGGCTGCGTCCCCTTCTGCAGACCGTCCTCCTCTGCATTCCCAGCAACGGTGCGTGACACCCCAGACCTTTCTAACCTTCCTCTTCCCTGCGTGTTTCTCTCTGCTGGTCACTTCCGTGTGTTTATTTCCACCCTCGCAAGCCTTGGAGGAAATCTGCTGAGTCACCCTCCATCTGCCGTCCCTGCCTTACGGCCATGATTATTTTTAGCTGTGCAATTGTACCTTTAACACACACGCCTGCTTTTCTTTGTCTTCATCACATTTAGTTTGTATCTTGGCGCCTTCTGTGTAAAAGAAGCATTTTCCTTGCTCCTCCTCCCCTTCGTCTTCACAGAGCTGTGTGTCTCCTTGTCAGGCTCCAAGCTCCCTGTTGCACTCTGCAGTGGGTGCCCTGCAGTGTGTATTGGGCATGGCTAGGCCTGCCCGACATGCTGGGAAGCCTGAAGCTGCTCCGTCGTCATGCTCATGCCCTTGAGGGTCCCAGTAGGGCCTAGCAGGGCGATGGGGCCCTCCTTCCTCTAGGAGGCCAAGACCCCTGAGAAGAACAGGTCCTGCAGCAAAAGGTCAGTGACACCTCTGAGGCCTTGCAAGGACATAGTGTGGCCTTTATCTCTGTCACCTTCTGAAAGACTGCTTCAGCTGAGAACCCAAACGTCCACCCAGTAAAAATGTACAACTTAGCAGACCACAAAGCAAACGCCTCCGCAGCCTTCACTTAGAACCCGTTTCACCGTCCCTTCCAATTCCATCCGCCAGGCAGCCATTTTCCACGCTTCGCGGATGTCTTGTCAACTAAGTATGCATCCCTAAGTACTGTAGTTGCTATTTTCAGAAATTTATGTAAATGTATCATGTATTTTGTCCCCAACATTATTACTCTGTGTGTGTGTGTGTGTGTGTGTGTGAGAGAGAGAGAGAGAGAGAGGAGAGGGGAGAGGGGAGAGGGTCTGGCTCTGACGCCCGGGCTGGAGTACAGTGGCATGATCTTGGCTTACCGCAGCCTCGACCTCCTGGGCTCAAGTGATCCTCCTGCCTTAGCCTCCCTGGTAGCTGAGACCGCCAGCATGCACCACAGTGCCCGGCTAATTTTTAAACTTTTCGTAGAGACAGGGTTCCTCAACATTATTTGTGAGATTGACTTACGTTGTGATGTGTTTGCCTCCTCTGCTGTGTAGTGTTCCACCCTCACATCCTAGTGGCACGCCGCAAACCCCACTGCTATGAAGCACTTCACGCGTGTCTCTTGTGTCTGTGCACCTGCTTTTCTTTTGGACGTGTATGTCCAGAATGGCATTGCTGGGCTATAGGGCATACTTGTGTTCAGTATGAGTAGAGATTGCCAGGTGCGTGAGTTGGCCCTGATGAGAGTGGACTAGTTTCCTTTGCTCCACCCCTTCACCAGTACTTGTGTGTACGAGTCAGGGTTCTCTAGAGGGACAGCACTAATAGGATAAATGTATATATGGAGGGGAGTTTATTGGGAGTATTGACTCACACAGTCATGAGGTGAAGTCCCACAATAGGCTGTTGGCAAGCTGAGGAGCCAGGAAGCCAGTCCGAGTCCCCAAACCTCAAAAGTCGGGAAGCCAACAGCGCAGCTTTCAGTCTGTGGCCGAAGGCCCAAGAACCCCTGGCAAACCACTGGTGTAGGTCCAAGAACCCAAAAGCTGAAGCACTTGGAGTCTGATGTTCGAGGGCAGGAAGTATCCAGCATGGAAGAAAGATGGAGGCTGGAAGACTCAGCCAGTCCAGTGCTTCCGCAGATCTGCCGTGCTGGCAGCTGATGAGATCATGCCCCCCCAGATGGAGGGTTCGTCGGCCTCTCCCCGTCCACTGACTCAATGTGAATCTCCTTTGGCAGCTTCCTCAAGATGCTCCCAGGAACAGTTACACATCCTTTAGTCCAGTCAAGTTGAAACTCAGTAGTAACCCTCACACTTACCTTGGTTTTAGTTTGCATTTTCTTGATGACTAACGAAGCTGAGAACTTTGCGCCCACGTGCCGCCCTCCTGGCTTTTTCCCTCTTCTGTGAGGCACCCACGTCGCCCCGACTGCTGTGTCCGTGCTCCTGTCGGGTGGTCCGTGTTCCGGAGCACGGGGCTCCTGTATGTTCCACAGCCCAGTGACCAAGCATGTGTCTGAGGGGCAAAGCAGAGGCCAGTAATGCTGAACGCGCTCTCGGTGCTGCCACCCCCCGCCGTGATAACAGAAAATGTGAGTGGAAACAGGGCTGCAGTAGAGAGCGTTGTGCCGTGGGGCACTTTGGGAGGCCGAGGCCGGCAGATCATGAGGTCAAGAGATGGAGACCACCCTGGCCAACATGGTGAAACCCTGTCTCTACCAAAAATACAAAAAGTAGCTGGGCACACTGGGGGTTTGGTTTGAACCTGTGAATTTTGGGGTGCAGGGGAGGGGCCGACACAAACATTCAAACCGTAGCAAAGAGATTCTACCTCGCGATGTGTGGTGCCTGCCTGGCCTTGGCCAGTGTGGCTTATGGGGTGAGACGGAGGACACCCATGTTAGGAGTCCTTTGCACAGAGTGATAGCTGGAACCCCACAGTTGGTGTGGCCCTGAGGAGGGGAAGGAGAGAGAGCTGGTGCGGCCCTGAGGAGGAAGGAGAGAGAGTTGGACTCTTGGGGAGGGCTCTTCAGAACGTGCAGGGGTGTGTGGAGGCTGGACAGAGACGCTGACGTGGACTGTCAGGCGGTGTGCGGGAGGGCCTGGTTCCTGTGAGGGCCTCTGTCCCTCGGCTCTTCCCCTGCCCCGGGCTCAGCCCCCCTGCCCTGGGCTTAGCCCCCGTGCCCTTAGCTCAGACCCCCTGCCCTCGGCTCAGCCCCCCTGCCCTCGGCTCAGCCCCCCTGCCCTGGGCTCTGCCCCCCTGCCCTGGGCTCTGCCCCCCTGCCCTCGGCTCTGCCCCCCTGCCCTCGGCTCAGCCCCCCTGCCCTCGGCTCAGCCCCCCTGCCCTGGGCTGCTTGCTCTCCCCTTGCCCACTGAGATGGTGAGAGGTGAGAGGCCAGTGGTGCTTCTCTTCCATACCTGGGATTGCCACAGTGCTGTGGGTCATAGGGTGTGTCACTCAAGGGCTTTGCACACAGTAGGCCTGCCAGGTATGCAGCTCTTTTTCCTTTTCTCCTTTTTTCTTTTTTCCTCCGCTCAGTCCGTTGGAGACTTCTCTCCCTGTGAGGTGTGCACAAGGCACCACTCCTGACGCAGCCGCTGGAGACCGTGCTTCTCCCTTTCCACGGAGCGCACAACAGCCGGCAGGGCTCAGCTGGAAAAGGCAGGGGTTGCCGTAAAGCATCCTTCAGACACCAGCCTCGGAAGCATGGCGAAACCCGACTCCACAGAAAGTACAGAAATTAGCCGGGCATGGTGCCACGGGCCTGTACTCCCAGCTACTTGGGAGGCTCAAGTGAGCGGATAGCTTGAGCCCAGGAGGCGGAGGCTACAGTGAGCTGTGATCACACCGCTGCACTCCAGCCTGGGCAACACAGCTGTCTCAAACAAACAAACAAACAAACAAAAGAACTCTTCAGATAAAGCTAAGGTATCTGGAGCATGGCCGTGTGCTGCAGGCAGGCCACACCTCATCACCATGCGGGGCTGTGCCCAGGGCCGACGTGGGAGCAAGCCCCTGGTGCCACACAGGACTGCTGCTTCCAGCTCCTCCTCACTCCCCCTTCCCCACCCTCCCCAGTGTCCCCCTCAAGGCAAACAGGCCTTTGGTGTTTGATCCTGTCAGTCATGAGTGTGTTCCTGTCTTTGGAATTGGAGCTGGGATTGAAGGTTCTGGGAGAGCTTCCCTTGAAGGGCTTCCCTCCCCTTTTCCACCCTGCTGCTGACTTCCTGTCTTCCTCCTCCTGGGCCTCTGAGGCCACGTGCCTGCGTGAGGGGAGGGGCTGAATCACATCCCTTCTCAGGGGCCTTGGGCACCATTCGATATTTAAATGGTCATTACACAAACTAGTGGTTGGTGGAGTTATTAACTTACATAAGGAGAGGAGCATTTGCCCAGGACGTACGTAAAGGCCTGTTCTATCAACATACTGTGGAAGACAAATCTGAATTTGAAGTGTTCTCTTTCTCTCTGGGAGTCTTCGGAGGGTAATGTTGTCACATCTGTTCAGGGAGAGAGACTCACCCAGGTGTAAGGGGGCTTGGTGTTTTAATACAAATTACAGCAAACCCTTGAACAATACAGGGGTTGGGGGCGCCAGCCTCCTGTGCAGTTGAAAATTTGTGTAGAACTTTTAACTTTCCCCAAACTTAACTAACAGCCTTCTGTTGACCAGAGCCTTCCTGACCACATAAAGCCAGTCACACACATTTTGTATGTTATGTGTGTTCTGCTCTTACTGTTAGGGTAGAGCAAACTAGAGACGTGAAAATACTGAGATCATGAGGAGAAAATAGACTTAAGCCTCGCGCAGCAGCAGCGGGTCTCCACGAATGGCTTTCGTCCTCCGGGTTTTCACGTTGAGGAGGCTGAAGAGGAAGAGGAGAGATGGGTCTTGCTGTCTCAGGAGAGGCAGAGGTGGAAGAAAATCTGCGTGTAAGTGAACCCACGCAGTGCAAACCCAGACCCAGGTTGTTCATGGTCAGCTCTGCTTACATTCCATCCCTTTATTGAAGGTGAATTTCAACCCCAAAGAAGTCTTTTTTTTTTTCTGTGAGTTTTAAGATTAGTTGTGTCATTACAAGTTTTTTCTTATACGGTCCTTCTCAGGTGTTAGTGTGCAGAACAGAACATGCTTAAAATGCAGGTTTGGGTTCAGAAGGCCCGAGGGGACCCGTGAGTCTCCATGGTCCACGGACTCCCTGGTGATGCCAAGGCCTCTGGCAAGGAGTGCTCCTGGGCAGCCCCTGCCCCGCAGCTGCGGCTCCCCACCCGGCCCCACAGTCCCCGCCCCGCAGCTCCCGCCCCACACCCTGCCCTGCAGGCCCCGCCCCACAGTCCCCTCCCCACAGTCCCGCCCTGCAGCCCCAGTCCTGCCCCGCCCGACAGGTGTCTCAGGGTTGTCCTGGCCCAGCTCAGATCCTAGAAGCCGGGGAGAGGCAGCGCCGGATTCCCCACCAGTGCCTGCTCTTGTCAGCTGAAGAGACCAGATAGGCTGAAATTCCTGGGGGTTTTGCCAAACTGACCTTGCCGTAGTCAGTGTAACCACTTCTGCATCAGGCTTAATCCTGGAGGAAGGCTCTTTGGTGCTCGCTGCATCTCCTGTGGAGCAGAGGGAATCGCAGCTGGGCTCCTGTGTGTGCGGAGGGGGAGGGCGCGGTGCCTGGATGGTTCAGGCGAAGGCTCTGTGCTCGCTGGCGCGTGGTGGGTGCTGGGAAACCTGCCCTGTGCCTTCCCTGGGCCGGTCTTGACAGCATCTGTCACCTCCTGAGTGCTCTTGAAGCCACCTTCCGGGAGGAGCAGGCCATCGTTGTTCCTGTCACGTCTGTCCTGCCAGCCCCGTAGAAGGATTGTCTTTTGAGCCCCATTGCAGGGGAGGTGGAGCCCCTCTGGGCTGCAGGGGCTCTCGCAGTGTGGAGAGGCACAGGGCAAGGACGGCTGTTCCCAGCATCAGCTGGCCCTGGATCCCAGAGCTGGCCGCAGACACTGTCCACTCCGCTGGGCTGAGTTGTGTCTTATTTTGGCACAGATGCGGGGCTGCCAGGTAATGGGCAAGTTCCCTGAGCCCACAGCTTTGGCGCCGTGGCTTCTGCTTCAGGGAGTGTGCCAGTGGCTCGTGTGGGGGACTCCCACCACCCTGGACTCTCGGTGACCCTGACAGTCCACGAAGCTGGGACGGTTGCCATCCGCCAGGAGGTGAAGTAACAAGGAATGCGTGGCCTGGGGGCGGTCAGGGCCAGGTGCTGGCCGGCCCCTCGGCTCTGCGTTTACCTTCCCGCGGCTGTGCCTTGCCGCTCAGCACAGGGCGTGAGTCAGCCCCAGTGGCCTGAGGCGTGTTTCAGTTTCCTGCTGATTCAAGGGTCGTGAGTTTAAAATAGACTTTGCCTGATAACTTGGAAATGAGGGAGATTTAGGCTGCACTTAAAATGAGTCTAGGCAGGGACAGCCAAGTCACCTTCCAGGGAAGAGTCTCCCCCGGGAGTGAGACCCGGTGCCTTCTGTTGTGTGGTCGGCTGTGCAGCATCGTGATGAGAAGGCACAGGGGCTGCGGAACTGTCTAAAGAGGGGACTCCCAGCTTCAAGGACTGTTTTATGTGACAGCCCTGCCAGGGAGGCCTGGGGACATCATCACAGCCCCCACCCTCAGACAACACCCATGAGTCAGCAGAGCCTGTTGGCCTGACTCCTGAGTGCCGTGCAGCCCCTGGTAGAAGTCACTGACACGGCTGAGTAACGGTTCCTCGGCCCTCGGCTGGCTCTGCCATTTCACGGCAAGGGGTGAGGCTGACCAGCCCTGAGCCTGGTGGAGGGAACACAGGGCAGTGTGGGGGCCAAAGGTGCCAGAGGCATCACCAGGGCAGCTTCTGGGAGGACTGGGATGGCAAGTCTTGGAACAGAACAAAAGCAACTGGAGCCTCTGTCCTCATCTGGTCTCTCATTGAAAAAGACTCTAGAGTGGGCCGCGTGCTGCACGCCTGGTGCCTGCAGGCGGGTCCTGGGAGGTGTAGCCTGGGCTAGATGGCAGCTACATCCAAACCAGCTTCATCCACATCCAGCAGATGCTTCAGCAGGACATCTCAGCTGTCACCATCTCCATGACTGTGATGAGGGTGGTGGTTCATGGAGAGGCGGGGGCTGGGGTTGCAGGGCCTCGAGCACATCGCTGCCATCGGTAACATGTTGTAGCCAAGGCCAGGCGGACACGAGGGTCCTGGAAGGGCCACGGCCTGGATGGTCTTAGCTGTCATCGTGCAGGTGGCTGGAGAAACGTCTCCAGAAAACACAGCGTACACCTGGGACAACACTCCCGAGTCCCCGGAGTGTTCGCTGTGATGCAGGCCGTGAAAAGTATTTTGCCTGGTGGGTGCGACCCACTTCCTCCACCTCCTGAGTGGACTCCCAGATCCCTGGTCCATTGGGGAAGGTGCCTGGGCAAAGCACCAAGCTAGGGACATGAAGAGAATCAGGTGTCTCAGGAGTGAAGTGATAAGCCCCGCACTGTCGGGGCCCAGACACCGTCCGGAGGCCGTGGGGTCTGCGCCCTGACCACGCCAGAGCTGTTGAGTGTGTCCGTGGGCCACAGACTCACATCTGGGATCAGGACGGTGGACTCTACATGGTGAAGGCCCCGTTTTTCCGTCCTGAGAGCAGACAGTCTGGATTTTTTAAAATGTTAATTCCAGATAATCCTTAAACTTGTAAACATTACCACTGAGTTTCTAGACAGCCATGAGCTTGAACAGCCTTCCGAGTCAGGTGCTGAGATGCCCTTTCTCCAGGCTGAGACATTCCGGTTTTGTGGTGGAAAATTGGAAGAGAATGTAAAATTCATTGGTTCAGGTAGAGAGAGAAAATATGTCTGGCCTCAGGCATCAGGGATGGTGGATGGAAACACCTGCTCACCTGCACCGCGGGTGGAGGTGTCAGGCAGTGAATACGTTGACCCGACCTGTCCCTCTCTCCAGAATAACTTCACCTGTGTTCTTGTACCAGTTAAATACCAAGACAGCAGTTGGTGGGATTTTATCATTTATTTTAGAAAGACAAAGCAGGTCATGAGATGGTGTTGGAGGAGAAGCATCTTGTGGTCTCAGCCAAGCCTGCGTCCAGGGGCAGGTGGCATGCAACGTATCCTTTAGCTGACGGGGTGGAGGTGGGAGAGGCTCACAGTGGAGCTGCCACTCACAGATGGGTCTGCACATCGTGTTTCAAAAGCCATACTTCGTGCATGAGCGAGATGGGTAAATGCAGGGGAGCGAGTTGCAGAAGCTGCTTCTCCCGGCATGGTCGCGCACAGAGGTGCTGCTGTGGCGGAAAGGGCAGAGACGTGCACACAGTTCCATTTGTATGAAATGTTTTCTAACTGACGGTGCGGCGAGGACATGATGGGGGGACAGTGGCTTTGGGTGTGGGTGTGTAGGTGTGTCCCCCATTCCTCTCGTGAGTGCACCCGGGAGGCCTGGCTGTGATGGTGAACAAACCTAGAAGGCCCACAGGCAGGGAGGAGGCCCATGCTCCGAGAGTGTCCATGCCAGGCGTGGCGTGGGGAAGTTGGCATCGCCACAGAAGAGACCAGGACGAGGCTGGGAAGGAAGAAGTGCGCTCGCACCGTGTGTCGCAGAGGGGCAGCCTCACACCACGGGGGTGGGAGTCGGAAGCAGGGGCTCGGGGAAGGCCTCCCCCAACTGCCTGTTGGGTTTCCTGCAGAAAGAGAGGGACGGGGCAGAGCAAATAGTTCGGGAGTGGCTGCTTCGGAAAGTTCTTGCAGGCTTTGTGCTGTAGGGACACTTTCTAGTTTCCTTTACCTGGCTCTGCGCTGGTTTCAGGCAGGGCTTGGCCTGGGCGTGAACTTGGGTAAGAAGGTGATTGGGTTGCATGGGAGCCCTTGGCTATCTAGGAATTTGCCAGCCCTGAGAGAGGGGCAGTCTCTCCCTGGCCAGAAACTTGTTAAGATGGCAAAATTTCCTAAAATAAAACATGATTAATAAATAAAAATAATATACAATTAATACAGTATGTGTCCTCGGATTTCCTGGGAAACCCAGGAGCTGGAGCCTGAGGCCCGAGGGGGCGTCTGCTTCCATGGGCGTGGAGTTGGGACCTCGGAGCTGCTGGGACTCGCTCAGAGACACCCCTTGCCTACCAAGTTAGGGAACTGGGTGTGCAAAAAGCACAGGCCTGGTGGGGACAGGAGCTCCTTCCCAGGTGGTGAGTGGGGCGTGAGGCTGGGGCTGTGGACATGACCTGCCAGACCTGAGGGCTGGGGTACTGCGCTGCGTGTTGTGACCTTGCCTGTAATGCGGGGAAGGGACTGCCTTGTGGTGCCTGACCGTTTTGGGTGTAGCCTGTACCAGGTGGGACCCAGGATCCAGGTGCTGCTGACTGCCACCCAGAACACAGCCACACCCTAGGCCATGCGTCCCTTTCTGCCACTACAAAGTGCTTGACCCTTCTCTGTTCTCCTTCCTGCTCAAAGCTGCCATTCCTGTTGCTGGTGACCCCTTTATGGGAGGCGTATCCTGAGAAGTCCCTTCCTGGGCCTGGCCCGGGCCCCAGCCCTGATCAGAGCAGCTGCCTGCCTTGACTAGTTACTGAGTCTGTTGAGTGCGGTGTGAGAGTGGATGAGTTTTGAGCTGCCTCTGAATTCAGTGAATTGTGTGTCTTCTCTTTTGAAGCAGACGGTTGATGATGAAGCGCCGGCCGTGTAAATGAAGATCGGGTGAGGAGCAGGACGATGCCCAAGGGTGGGTGCCCTAAAGCACCACAGCAGGAAGAGCTTCCCCTCAGCAGCGACATGGTGGAGAAGCAGACTGGGAAAAAGGTAATGCTGCCCCCTCCCAGCCCTGCATGCTCACCGCACCCAGATGGGGATGAGGTGGGAATGGGGTGCTGCCCGCCTGTGGCCTGTTCTCCGCCCTCCGGCCCTTTCCTCGTGCCTCTGTCTGCAGCCAGGAGTGGAGAGGGTGGTGAGGAGTGATCTTTCCCAAAGTGGCCTTGCTTTTTTTGTATTTGTTATTTGGGGACCGAAGTCAAGCGTTAAATAATAGCTTTATGTACAGAAGTTGGCCTGAGCCTCAATGTGGCTGCACGTTTCTACCCCCAGAAGTCCAGGATTTCTGTCCTGGCTCCTGTTAGGCCTGTCAGGCATTCAGATATCCTGACTGCAAGCAATGCTGGGCCACGTTACTTCCAACTGTGGTTTATTCTAAATGTGAATAGGAAAATGGGATGCCAATCAAAACCACTGCATTTTATTAATGTGCGGTTAACGCTGATTCCTGGTGTGCAGACTTCCTGCCTTGCAGTGTGGGGGGTGATGCAGTTTCCTGGGGTGCAGACTTCCTGTCCTGCAGTATTGGCGGGTGCTGCTGGGTTCTGGGGTGTTAGGAAGTACAGACTTCCTGTCCTGCACTGTGAGGGGAGACGCCGAGTTCTGGGGTGTGCCCAGCGAATGTGAACTTGGACAGATCCAGGTTCAAGTTCAGGCTTTGCCATGTGTTATCTTTGTGACCGTCAACAAGTCAGGTGTCTCCTGAGTCAGCTTCCTGTCTCTGCAGCAGGCACAGTATCGTGTCTGGTGGAGTGAATGGTGAGGCAGGGCCTTGCTGTGCAGGATGTGTGTCAGCTCCTGCCATCCTGTCGCTGTCGTCCTTTGATCCTCGTGCCTCCTTGCTCCTCCTAACTTCTTGGCCAGTGTGGCAGGCCGTTCATCTGTGACCTGTCTGACCCTCGGTGGTCCCTGGTGGGCAGGGTCCCCTCAGTGTGTTCCTGGTTGCCGGTTGCTCTGGGCCGCCTTCTGGTCCCCAGGTCACTACCTGTGAGGCCTCTTGCTGCTTCCTGTGCTGCTGTGCTGCAGCCTCTCTGCTCATGTTGTGGGTTTGGTGTGGTGTGAGCTCAGCAGGGGTTCCACACGCGAACATAACCAGCAAGACGGCCTTCCCCTCAGCAGCAACATGATGGCGACTCAGTCCACTTCTTTTTGGTGAATCGTGAAGCATTTTGTGAATACGGACACGTGCAGGTGCTAAACGACAGCAGCTCTGAGACCCTTGATGTCTGGGCAGCATCCAAGTGTCTGCTCCCACTTGCTCTGTCCCAAGCTCCTCGTGCCGTGTGCAGGGCTGGGTGGGTTCCATGGCTTGCAGCCACCAGCGAAGGATGAGCTGAAGCCAGTGCTTGGTCAGCACCACACCGCCGAGCTCACAGGCGGGGACACACGTGTGTGTGAAGCCTACGGAGAGTCAGGGTTTGGTGGTCGTGATGGGCGTGTCCTGCTGAGCTCCTGAGGAGGTGGGTGGTCAGGGTGCTGATGTGCGGCCTTCAGCAGTGAGGCAGAAAGGCGCAAGGGCAGGTCACGCTTCCCGGTGGTCCCTGCTCTTCTGTGGCTAAGCAGTCAGAGTGTTGGGATAGCTTCACGTCGCCGCCCTGGCCTCATCTTCCTCATCTCGTGGGGTTGGGTCCTGGGACTCAGCATTCACGGGGAGCAGCCAGCTCTGCAAGGGTGCAGAATACTTTGCATACAGCTCAGGCCTCGCCCCCATCCTCTTGAGCTCCTGCCACTGCCACCAAGCTTCGGCTTCAGCATGCTCCATGCCTCCACTGAGCATTGGCTCCCAAAGAGGTCGTGTATGGTGTGGTTTCACCCCGAGAGTGTGGAGGCGTGAGCTGTGTGTTTGGATCAAAAACCTGTCATGTTCACACGGGTGATGTGGGTGGGGGTCCCAGGACCTCAGAACGTCTGTGAAAGGGCTGCTTGGCTTCTGCACCTGGGGTGTGCTCTAGGAACAAAGAGATTTGGGTTGTGCCCTTGAGGGTCTGATGCTGGAGTTCTGGAGCAGCTGTGTGAACAGACTGCTGAGTGAACCTGGCCTGCGCTTCACAGAGGATCCCAGCCTCTGTGCCCGCAGGTTTTAGGGTAAGGGTGGTAGTGGTGGCCTGGGTAGGATGCAGAAGGAATGTGGGGAAAGGAGATCCTGGCCCTGGCATTGATGGCGAGGTGGCACCTGTCACTCCTGTTCTCTGTGCCTGGTCTGATGAAGATCAGTAAGCAGTGGAGGAAAGAGGGAGCTCTCCTGGCTCAGGTCTCAGATATGCTTATTGAGGAGGTGGTTCTCTGAGCCGCTTGACACACCAGCAGGCTGGGCGTGGTGGAGCCCTGTGTCAGTGGACTTGCAGGGAAGGCAGTCTCGGCAGGGTAGCACGAGACGAGAAAGGCCGGAAGAGCCACAGAGAGCAGGTCGTGTTGGCGCAGGAGGCAGGGTGTCCTGATTTGCCGGCAGCCCCAGCGCTGATGTGTGCGCTCAGCTGCTTTGAGTTGTTCTCTTGTTTAAGGAGAAGAGAGACTTGATGAACTGGCCTGATAATGTCGATGCGAGCTCTGTTCACACGTGTGCTGTGAGGGATGTGTGGATTTCACTCTGGGCTTTTCCAGTAAGGTAGCTGTGTTATGGGTTCAGTTGTATGTGTGGTTTTTTGTTGTTGTTGTTTGTTTGTTTGTTTTGAGACAGGGTCTGACTCTGTCACCCAGGGTGGAGTGCAGTGGTAGAGTCTCAGCTCACTGCAACTTCTGCACCCTCCATAACCCCCCACCCTGCCCCACTGCCCCAGGCTCAAGCAGTCCTCCTACTTCAGCCTCCCTTGCAGCTGGGACCACAGGAGCAGACCGCTACACCCGGCTCATTTTTGTATCTTTTGTAGAGACGAGATCTTACCATGTTGCCAAGGCTGGTCTCAAGCTTCTGAGCTCAAGTGATCCTTCAGCTTCCGCATCACAGGCGTGAACTACCACACCCAGCCTGTCCTGTTTTGTTTGTTTGTTTGTTTTTCCAACTACTCACAGTAAAGCCAGGCATTTTCCTCATGGAGGCAGACAAATTTTAAACGCATTACAGGGAGTAGGGAGCTCTCAGGCCTGGTGGAGCTTTCTTAGCTTGAACAGTAGCTTGAAATAGAATGCCTGGGAAGACGCACTCCTGGTTGCAGCTGCTGTTAGAAGAGGCTGTATTCCTTAGGGAGGAAGTGAGCCCCAAGTGCCAGAACTCAGGTGCACACATCTGACCTGCCTTCTCCTGGTACAGGCTGAAATGGTTTCTGCTCAGTCTTCTACCATAAACTCCCTTTTCTCCAGATATAGCTTTATGTTATCAAAAACAATATATTTTTAGATTTTTCCAAAAGAATCGTGATCTCAGTGACATATACGTGGAAGATGGAAATGGAGCCCACAACTCTGCAGTGCATCCTGATGCCGCGCTGACCTGACGGCTTGTGCGTGTCCCTTTGGCTGCACCAGTGAGCACAGTGGCAGGCGTGTCAGAGAAAGGGCCCCTTCTGCAGACGGTCTCTCACCATTGCCGACCACGGAATCCCAGAACCGCTGAGCTGCCTCGGGAAGAACCAGCAGGTGTCTGCATCGTTGAGTGTGTTCTGATCCAAAGGTGTGCAGGGCTACAGAGAACAGTGTCGTCCCCACCCCATGGGTCCCCTGTCGTCCCCACCCCATGGCACAGTCACCCTGTCTCATTGTGCTCCATGCACGCCACTCAGAGCACAGGCAGCCTCACAGCCCCCTGAGCTTCACTTGGTGGTTCTCAAAGTGTGTCCTCCGACGAGCAGTCACCTGAGCTGCTGGAGCTTGTTAGGAACCCACATTCACAGCCCCACTGAGACCTGGCGAGCTGTGTGGAGGCCGAGAGGCTGGAGATGGCGTCCATGGGCATGGAGGCTGCAGTTGAGAACTGAGCATGTGAGCCCTCCAGCGAGTCTCAGCAGAAACCCCCCCAGTCTGTGCCAGTTACAGACTCACATCTGGTCTGAGGCCCCTCCCCGAAGATAGCTTTGTCAGTGCTGCAGGTGGGGAGCTGGGAGCTACGTCCCTCAAGATAAGTATTCCAGAGTGACCTTAGCTGAGAAGCTGGGAGGCGCATGGCTGGGCCTCGGCGTGTCCCACCTCAGGCTGTGGTTTCACGAGCCAGTCTGGCATGGGGTCTGTACTCAGAACAGAGCCCAGAACTCCCCCGCATGCTTCGGGAGGAGCAGGAGGCCGTGTCTGATGGCGAGAGCACAGGAGGGCGAAGCTGGGCTCACACACCCCTGAGACCGCTGTGGGCCCACATGGGCTCGTGGAGAGGGTGATTTCTGTCCATCTTTTCACTAAGGCAGAAAAGGACATAGAGCAGCATCACAGAGGAAGCCAGACTTGCTGGGCTTGCTGGACTTGGATCCGCTTCTCTTCCCAGTCTTAGGGCTCAGAGCACACGGCCTGTGGCCCGCCAGCTCCTACCATTTCTGCTTACCTGACAGTTGGGCTTCCCCCACCACCCAGTTCACATGCCTGCATGCTGCCTCCGCCCTGCCCCGCCCCTCCCCTGCGTGATTCCTCTCTGTAGAACACACTGTCCTCATCTCCTCCCACTGGAGGTTTAGCTCTGAAGCAGCGAATTTGCATTCTGTGCATTCTCAGCTCTGCCACATGCCGTCTGCACTGAGGCTTACCTGATGCTGTGAACGCCGAGCTCCTCAGGTTCTCACATCACGTTTAAGAAGTGGAAGTTCCTGGCCAGGTGCGGTGGCTCACACCTGTCATCCCAGCACTTTGGGAGGCCGAGGCATGAGGATCACCCGAGGTCGGGAGTTCGAGACCAGCCTGGCCAACATGGCAAAACCCCATCTCTACTAAAAATACAAAAATTATCTGGGCATGGTGTTGCATGCCTGTAATCCCAGCTACTCAGGAGTCTGAGGCAGGAGAATTGCTTGAACCCGGGAGGCATGGGCTGCAGTGAGCTGAGATCGCATCACCGCACTCCAGCCTGGGTGACAGAGTGAGAATCTGTGTCGGGGAAGAAAAAAGAAGTGGAAGTCCTTCCCTGTGTTCCTGATTTTCATTATTAGAATAAAGCAAAAACTTCCCACTTTAAGAAAGAAAAAGCCAAGAAAATCCCCTTGGCTCTGGGTCCTTAGACAGTGTTGTATAGGGTGCTCTGAGCAGCCTCCATGTCTTCACTCTTGCCCAACTCCCAAGATAGAGGTCCATTCTATTTAATATTTTCTTCTAGAACTCGTGCTCTCTTTTAAAATCCTATCTTTGGCAAACGAAGGTCACAGAAGTTTTTCCTGTGTTCTGTAAGTTTGATAGTTTTAGTTCTTAGATGTAGGTCTATGATCCATTTCTAGTTAATTTTTGTATGTGGTGTGAGGTAAGCATAGATTTTCATGTTTTGTATGTGGTGTGAGGTAAGCATAGAGGTTCATGTTTTGTATATGGTGTGAGGTAAGCGTAGAGGTTCATGTTTTGTATGTGGTGTGAGGTAAACATAGAGGTTCTTGTTTTCTATCTAGATAGACAGTTGTTGTGTTAGTACTATACTGATACCAAAGCCAGACAAAGGTACTACAGGATAAGAAAACTACAGACCAATGGCCCTCATGAACACAAACATACAAATTTTAAAAAGAATTTTAGCAAATTGAATTCATCAGCTTATAAAATAAAATGAATAATGTACCATGACCAACCAAGTAGGGTTGATTCCAAGAATTCAAGGTTGAACCTCCAATATCAATCAGTTCAAGTTGTTATAAGACTGAAAACACCATGTGATCATACCAACTAATGCAGCAAAAACATTTGACAAAAGTTAACACACATTCATTATTTTAAAAAAAATTCTGCAAACTAGGAATAGAGAGGAATTTCCTCAACCTGACAGAGAGCATCTGTGAAAACCTGCAACTGACATCATATTTAATGTCAAAGACTGAATTCTTTCCACCTAAAATTGAGAACAGACAAAGAAACACTGGCCATCTCCACTGCAGTCAGCATCGTCCTGCAGACTCCAGGCAGCACGAAAGTCAGACTGAAGAGGAAAGAGGAACACTGTCTTTATTCACAGACATTGATGGAGGAAAGCCCAAGACATCTGCACAAAAGCTACAAGAATCAGTGAGCGTAGCATGGTGTTCCAGTGCAAACCCATTATGCAGAAGTGTATTTCTAAATACTCGTAAATAATAGAGGGCTGAAATTGTAAAAATGTTTGCAGTAGTATAAAAAATACGGATTATTTTGGGGTAAATTTGACCGAAGATGTGCTGCAAAACCTGTACCCTGAAAGCTGCAAAATATTCCTGAGAACTGAGAGAAATTCAGAAACACCTAAATGCAGAGTTATACAATATTCATAGATCAGGAAACCCTCAAAACTGGATGCCATCTCTCTCCACATTGATGTACAGATTCAGTGTAATGCCAGCCAAAATCCCTGTGGGCTTTTTTGGGTAGAAATTCATAAGACGATTCCAAAGTTAATAGGGAAATTGAAAAGACCTAGAATAACCAAAGCCACCTTGAGAAAGAACAGAATTGGAGGATGCAGACAGTGTAGTTTCATTGCTTCCTCTAAAGCTACAGGCATGAGGTAGTGTGCTTCCTCTTGGTAGCAGGACAGACCCATGGGTGAGTGGAACAGAAGAGAGCTCACAGGCAGACCCTGCATGCCACATACAGGCGGACCCCGCACCCCACACACAGGCGGACCCCGCACATAGACAGTTTGGATACCAAGGCAGCTGAGCTGGTGATGGAACTGGAAGGACCGGATGGCACCTCTGTGCTGCAGTCAGTGGACAACACGACTCTCATTCTTACCAGAAAGATTGAGCTCCAGGGGGAGGGTGTCAACTGGACGTGGCCATTTTTCAGTTACTACAACTTTCTCTTTCCTCTGTGTGTGCTTCCCATGAGTGGAAGTCGTGATGTGATAGGGAATCTGCATATGACATGTGCAGAGCCTACCTCGTGTCATAAGGAGGAGAAGCCAGGTGGCCGGCAGGCTGGTGGGGCCCGGCAGGGTCATTGTGCCATGGCTGTCACTATCTGGTGGTCCTTGGGGCATAGTGGGGCCTTACAGGAGGTGCCTGGTAAGGATTGGATTTAATGTTGGAGATATTTGCATTTAGGAAATGAGAACATTCTGTAGCATGTGCACGTGGTTCCTGCTGACAGTCCTCTTGTGCTGGTGAGGAAAGGTTAGAGGGGCCGAAACAGGGCCTGTCCCACCCCAGCTGCCCAGCAGGCTCTGAGCCCAGGTGGATGGGAGCCGCCTTCCTGGTGGCTGTGCCACGCTCCCTGTTGTAGGCAGCTCGGGGCAAGCCTCGTGTCACACAGGCGCCTTGCCCATGTGTGCTTTTCCTTGCGCAGCTCGTTGAGGTGTAAGGAGCTGGGAAGCGAAAAAGAAATTTGTGAACTTTTAAAGTGAACTATAGATAGACATTATAGCTGGCATTTCATCTGTAAAACCAGGGATAATCACCACCCAGATGAGAATACACAACATTCCGGAGTGCTAGGGGCCTTCAGTAATGTTCCCCATTCGAAAAGTCACCTCTGCCCTGACTTCTGTCTCCACTGGTAGGTTTTGGCTGTTGAGATTTCCGTGGGAGACATCAGTTGCTCCACAGTGTCTGACTTGCAGGATTTTGCTCCTGTTGGCATTCTCTCCCTTCGTGGCTGTGGCCATGCCCAGCATTTGTGGGCTCTTCTGTCGATGAGCCAGTGTGCCCCAAGAACCACCAGGGAATCCACATCCCTGCCAGGGCTCAGTGTGTGGGCCTGACGTCTGTGTGGTTGGGCGTGTGGTGGCGTCACATGGTGGTGTGGTGTGTGTTCTCTTGTCTTCTGGTGGTGAACATGTCCTCCTGTGCTGTCTTCTAGAAGCTTCCATGTGTGAAGAAAGGGATTGAGCCCAGTCTTATTCCAGAGGAGGGCTGATCTTTGGGGTACAGATGTTCCCACCTTGGTTGCCCGCTGCATCTGCCACTGCATGCACGGGGCTCCTCCACGAGGCTGCGCGCACCTCCTGTGTTTACTGCGCGCACCCCATTTTCATGGCGCTCACCCTCAGTGTTGATGCTGCACGTCCCCGTTCTCATGGTGTGCACCCGTTTCTCACGGCGCGCACCCCCTGCGGTATTCCATTTGTATTCTAGAATTGTTCATTTGCCTTTGGACGGGCAGTTTAGTTGTGTCATTTTTTTTGTATTACGAACAAAACTGCCTTGAACATCCTTGTGCTTGTTTGTGAACACGTCATGGGAAACGCACCTGCAGCTCTCCCTCAAAGCCTCCCGGGCGTTTGCTGGGGTCTGCAGGGCCTGTCTTCTCCCAACTGTCCTGGTGGGGGTGCTGGTGTGCATCTCCTCGTGGCTGTCATTTGCATTTTCCTGATGAGAATCACCTTTTCAGGTGTTCGTTGTCTTATTTGGATATTTTCTTTTGTGAAGTGCCTGTTGGGTGGTGCCTGTAGGCAGTCTTGCCTTGACCGTGGACCTGGGGACAGTGTTCCTTCTGTCCAGGCTCCCTGGAGGCCTTGATCAGTGTGGGGCTTTCCTCCCACATCACAAACAGTGTGGAATTTTATCCCAGGCCTTTTCTGTAGCTGTTGACATGAGCACGTGGTTTTCTTTTCTTTATTTTCTTAATGTGGTGAATTACATTGCTTTTTAAATGTCTTGCATTCTCGAATCTATTCTTATTCCTATCATTTGTGTTGTCTTTTTTTATATATCCTGTCTATGTTCATAAGGTATGTTGGTTTATCATTTTCTTTTCATAGAATGCCCTCATCAGGTTCTGAGATGAGGGTGATGGTGGCCTCTTCACATGTTTGGTAGAACCTTCCCCTCATCAGGTTCTGAGATGAAGGTGATGGTGGCCTCTTCACATGTTGGGTAGAACCTTCACATGTTTGGTAGAACCTTCCCCTCATCAGGTTCTGAGATGAAGGTGATGGTGGCCTCTTCACATGTTTGGTAGAACCTTCACATGTTTGGTAGAAACTTTCCCTCATCAGGTTCTGAGATTAGGGTGATGGTGGCCTCTCTTCAGATGTCTGGTGGAACCCACCCCCTGGGCCAGGAGTGTTCTTGGAGGAAGGAGTTTAAGATTGGAGCTTCTTGCTGGTGTGTGCCATTCTTTCCTGGCGTTCCCCGACCCCAAGGAAGATGCCTATCTCATTCCAGGTGGGGACTGCACTCCGAGGGGGCCATAGAAAAGCTCAGTGGAGCTGCAGCCAGGCGGCGGGGGAGCTGCATCTGGGCACCCAGGCCGAGGGCCGGGAGGACCTGCACTGCTGGGGTGGGTGTTAACCCTCCGGAGGCCCGGGAGGGACCTGCACTGCTGGGGTGGGTGTTACGTTCCTGAGGCCCCGTCTCCCCAGAGACCCGTCTGGCACCCTCCTCCTGTCCCCGTGTCTCACTGGAGAGGTGGGCTCCGGTCTGCTTGGCAGCTTCTCTTTGACTCCAGTTGCACTCTGAGCTTGCAGCATGTTCTGGAAAGCTCTTTCATGGTCACTCAGGGATGTCTCAGATTAACTGTCAGGTTTGGTGGATGCAGGTTGGGTGGATGCACGTTTGGTGGATGCAGAGTGACTGAGCTGGAAGATGTATCAGGGTCCCAGGAGGCAGGACCGTGGCTGGGGATGCTTGGGCTTCTCCCAGGAACAGTTGGGCATCTCAGCCCTGGAGCAGCTGAGGCCTCCGGTGCTCTGAAGGCTTCGCTGACCACTGCACGGTATTTGCCGGCAGCTTACCTAGGGAAAGTTACAGAAAGAAGGCTTACTGATGGGGAAAGGCAGTGTGTGTGTCGCACCGTCCCCCTCCCCACGTCCCGAGTGCTGTGTGTGTCGCACTGTCCCCCTCCCCACGTCCCGAGCGCTGTGTGTGTCACACTGCCCCCTCCCCACGTCCCGAGCGCTGTGTGTGTCGCACCGTCCCCCTCCCCACGTCCCAAGCGCTGTGTGTGTCGCACCGTCTCCCTCCTGGGAGGTAGCGCACGTGTCTGCGGAGTGGGAGGTAGGTGGCGCGTGTCTGTGGAGTGGGAGGTGGCGCGTGTCTGCGGAGTGGGAGGTAAGTGGCGCGTGTCTGTGGAATGGGAGGTGGCGCGTGTCTGCGGAGTGGGAGGTAGGTGGCGCGTGTCTGCGGAGTGGGAGGTAAGTGGCGCGTGTCTGCGGAGTGGGAGGTGGGTGGCGCGTGTCTGCGGAGTGGGAGGTGGCACGTGTCTGCGGAGTGGGAGGTGGCACGTGTCTGCACAGTGGGAGGTGGTGCGTGTCTGCGGAGTGGGAGGTAGGTGGCGCGTGTCTGCGGAGTGGGAGGTGGCGCGTGTCTGCGGAGTGGGAGGTGGCGCGTGTCTGCGGAGTGGGAGGTAAGTGGCGCGTGTCTGCGGAGTGGGAGGTGGGTGGCGCGTGTCTGCGGAGTGGGAGGTGGCGCGTGTCTGCGGAGTGGGAGGTGGGTGGCGCGTGTCTGCGGAGTGGGAGGTGGCGCGTGTCTGCAGAGTGGGAGGTAGGTGGCGCGTGTCTGCGGAGTGGGAGGTAAGTGGCGCGTGTCTGCGGAGTGGGAGGTAGGTGGCGCGTGTCTGCGGAGTGGGAGGTGGCACGTGTCTGCGGAGGGGGAGGTAGGTGGCGTGTGTCTGCGGAGGGGGAGGTAAGTGGCGCGTGTCTGCGGAGTGGGAGGTGGCGCGTGTCTGCGGAGTGGGAGGTAGGTGGCGCGTGTCTGCGGAGTGGGAGGTAGGTGGCGCGTGTCTGCGGAGTGGGAGGTGGTGCGTGTCTGCGGAGTGGGAGGTAAGTGGCGTGTCTGCGGAGTGGGAGGTGGCGCGTGTCTGCGGAGTGGGAGGTAGATGGCGCGTGTCTGCGGAGTGGGAGGTGGGTGGCGCGTGTCTGCGGAGTGGGAGGTGGGTGGCGCGTGTCTGCGGAGTGGGAGGTGGGTGGCGCGTGTCTGCGGAGTGGGAGGTGGGTGGCGCGTGTCTGCGGAGTGGGAGGTGGGTGGCGCGTGTCTGCGGAGTGGGAGGTGGGTGGCACGTGTCTGCGGAGTGGGAGGTGGGTGGTGCGTGTCTGCGGAGTGGGAGGTGGTGCGTGTCTGCGGAGTGGGAGGTAAGTGGCGCATGTCTGCGGAGTGGGAGGTGGCGCGTGTCTGCGGAGTGGGAGGTGGCGCGTGTCTGCGGAGTGGGAGGTAGGTGGCGCGTGTCTGCGGAGTGGGAGGTGGCGCGTGTCTGCGGAGTGGGAGGTGGCGCGTGTCTGCGGAGTGGGAGGTAGCGCGTGTCTGCGGAGTGAGAGGTAGCGCGTGTGTGTCTCCTCTGCTTTCTCCACACACACCAGCGATTTCCTGAGCGTCCCTCCGGTGCGCAGGATGAGAAATGGGCCAGAGTCAGGGCTGAGCCACAGCCCGACCCCGGGCTTCTGGGTGAAGGTTCTGCGGTCGGTGACCAGCCTCACACAGCCACGCCCTGGGGTGCAGGGAGGGTGTTCATTGCCCAAATAAGAGATGCGCTTCTCCTGGCATATGAAACAAAATCTTGAGAGCTTGAGAATGTAATTTGGACATCACGACTGAAAGCATCCCTTTCTTTTCTAGGATAAAGATAAAGTTTCTCTAACCAAGACCCCAAAACTGGAGCGTGGCGATGGCGGGAAGGAGGTGAGGGAGCGAGCCAGCAAGCGGAAGCTGCCCTTCACCGCGGGCGCCAATGGGGAGCAGAAGGACTCGGACACAGGTACCAGCCCGCGGCCCCTCCTGCAGTCAGCCCTCCACAGGCAGCCCGGAGCAGCCCAGGCAGGGCGTCCCTGGCCCCCGCACCTCCGGCTTTGCACTGGGACGCACTCTAGCACCCTGCACGCCGTCCAGGCAAGAGGCAGCAGGGGCGGAGCACAGGCCCCCACATGCCACCTCCTTTGCACCCGAGGCTCAGGCCCATGGGGCCGATTGGAGAGCTTCACTCTTGGGTCCCACACACGTGGAGATGCACCCGGTGCATGTCCAGCCCTGGGCGAGGTATGGGGCTGCTCACCTGTGGGTCTTCTGACAGCTGGACACGGGAGGGAGACAGTGGTTCCCCTCAGGGCCACAAAGGCACAGGAAGAAACTCCATTGCTTGTAGTAAAAACCAAAGGGAGCCCTAAAAGTGAGCAGGAGGCAGGGAGGTCTTCCCAAGCACAGGCGGGGTCTGAGGCTGCAGAGCAGGAATGTGTGTGCTGTGTGCCTGTGCCAGAGTGTGTGCCCAAGTGTGTATGCCTGTGTGTATGTGTGCCCATGTGCACATGCCCGTGTATCTGTGTGCATGCCCTCATGTGTGTGCCTGTATGTATGCCCGTGTGTGTGCCCGTGTGTGTATGTACTTGTATGTACCCATGTATGTGTGTGCCCGTGTATGTGCTTGTGTGTACCCATGTGTGTGCCTGTATGTGTGCCTGTGTATGCGTGCCCGTCTATGCCCGTGTATGTGTGCCCATGTGTGCCTGAGTATGTGTATGCTTTTGTGTGCCTGTGTGTGCCTGTATATATGTGCGCTCATGTGTGTATGCCCATGTGTGCGTTTGCATGTGTGTGCATGTGCATGCCTGTGTATGCGCCCGTGTGTGTGTGCATGCCTGTGTGTGCCCATGTGTACGTGTGTGCCTGTGTGCCCATGTGTGCATGCCTGTGTGCCCGTGTGCAAGCCCATGTGTGTTCATGTGCACACGCTCCTGGTGGGGTCAGCGCCTTCTGCAGTGACACCTTCCCAGTGGATTCTGTCTTGAGCTGCTTGCAGGGAGCCCAGAGGCCTCTGCGCTGGCCGTGCTTGCTCTTTGGTGATTCTTGTGTCCAGAGGCCTCCTTGTCCTCCTGGTCATCCAGCTTCTCTACAGCCCTGCTGGGGAAGGTTGGAGGCAGTAGAGCACTAAGCTGGCCACAAAGCCTGGAGTGAACCGGGAGAGTGCTGAGTCAGGCCCTCGGCTCTGTCCCTGGCTTCCTGAGACTTCTTGAATGCAGCCATAGCACAAGGCGTAGAGGCTGTGCCAGGATGCGGGCTTGAGAGCAGATGGGGGAAGTGGTCCAGGTGAGAAGAGCTCGTGATACGAAGGAGATTGTTGAAGAGGAACGGCAGCAGGCACAGCCAGTAAAGAGGATCCACACCCCAGCTTTTGTCAGCACAGCTCAGCAAGCTTCAGCCTTTATGATTGTGTGGCTGCCGCAGGCCTGTGGCCCCTCCTGTCCTATGTGGGGTGCTCCAGGGATGTGCTCACAGTAGCCAGGTGGAGACTCTGCTGAGTGAAAGGCCAGCAGAGAGGGCTGGTTTTCCCAGATGGGAAGTGAGGGGCAGGTGCAGTGCCAGGCACATGGCTCCTGTCTCTGGGCCAGCACATCTGGGGACAGGAAGGCTGCAGGGACACCAGCACAGGCCCAGGAGGACTCCTCTTCCCAGCAGCGGACAGCTCCGAGGAAGAACACTGGGAGACACGGGGAAGTGAGTGGACAGAATGTGTGGATGGGTTGTGTAAGGGACCTCAGCCCCCAGAAGGGAGGGCCTGGGTGACTCCCTGGAGCTCCCAGCGGTGCTGTGTACTCTCGGGCTTTAGGCCTAGAGAAAGTCAGTCCAGGCCTGAAACCCTGTGTTTGCCGTCTTTGGTCCCCATGCTGGTTTTGGTTGTAGAAGGCCGTCATGTTGATACGTAGCTGTTAGCTCTTTGCACAGTGGCCATGCGGGAGTTGGCCTCAGACCTTTGAGGTGTTTCTGTGATGTCTCTGGAGGTGTTGCTGAAAGGGTTAATGAGACAAGCATCTGCTTCTGCTTCCTGGGAGAATGATCCCACTTGGTAAGGTGGCGTTCCCAGGGCTACCTGGTGCCCACCCCATCTGGCTGCTCAGGTCTCTTTGTGGTGGCCGTTTCATCATGGTGCAGAGAAGCTCTCACCCAGGGCCCTGTTGTGTTGTCAGAAGCTTCCGGGGTCTGTCTGTTGATGGTTAGCGCCTGCGTGGTGCCAGCCGTGCTGGCCCACTGAGGCCATTCTCGCTCTCTGTGGGTCTCTGGGATATTTTCTGCCACAGCCCTGGGTGCTCCTGGAACTGCGTGTTGAACACCATGTCCTTACTCTGTGAGGGGCAGGCCTAGGTGAGGACAGGGTAGGTGAGAATCCCTGTGAGGTGGGAAAACAGTAAAGAACATTTTGAAAATAGAATTTTCCAGGCAAGGATTGTAACAAAAAGACCTAAGAAACGTAGTATTTGTCCTCCTGTGTTTATCACCCTTTCGGGGCCAATTTTAATAACTTCTTGTTTAATGTTGCAAAACTAGATTTCCTAGGAAGATTGTTCTGATGTATGAGTGTGGAGCGTTGCTTATCCTAGAAGCTTGCATTTTAACCAGGACCCTCTTAAAGTAGCAAGTCCACAGCCAGGCGCGGTGGCTCACGGCTGTAATCCCAGTACTTTGGGAGGCCGAGGCGGGCAGATCACAAGGTCAGGAGTTCGAGACCAGCCTGACCAACATGAAGAAACCCTGTCGCTACTAAAAATACAAAAATTAGCCAGGTGTGGCGGCGGGTGCCTGTAATCCCAGCTACTCGGGAGGCTGAGGCAGGAGAATTGCGTGAACCCAATAGGTGGAGGTTGCAGTGAGCCAAGATTGCGCCATTGCACTCCAGCCTGGCAACAGAGCAAGACTCCGTCTCTAAATAAATAAATAGTAGCGAGTCCAACTCCAGTGCGTTCAGCCCCACCCTGGGCCGGGAGGCTGCTGGGCGCTGTGGCTCTCACACACGCCGCGTCCCCTCCTTCCCCCAGAGGAGCCGTTCTTGCTCAGAAATGAGTGGGGTGGAGGGAGAGGCGCACACCAGCAGGGATGAGAAGAGAAACATTGGTGCAGGGTTAACTGACACGTGACAGACAAGAGACTCTTCTCTGGTCCCCAGCAGTCAGGCCTCTCTGGAGGGGTGTGGGTGCCCCTTGCTATGGTGGGAGGGATGCAGGGTCACCACCGTGCCGGATGCCTTGGCTGTGTCCAAGTGGCAGAGGCTGGCACGTCTCCCTCAGAGACCTCCATGTTGCTGTGGGGATGGCTTCCCGCCTCCCAGATGCAGGGTTGAGTCGGCCCTGCCCGCGGTCCAGTGCCATGGAGATGTGGCCTCTGCGGTGCTTAGTCAGGGCTGGGGGCCGCCTGCCAAGAACAATGTGATTCTGTCTGTTGTGAATCAGCCCAGTTTAAAGCAGTCCCCGAGGCTGTGCATCCGCGTGGTCCCTGCACAGCAGCCTGGAGGCTGTCCAGGCAGACGTGAGCATGTGACAGCATCACCTCTGTGTCTTCCAGAGCGCTGGGCAAGAGCCCGTCCTAGGACCAGGCCTCTGTAAGGGCTGTGGGTGCAGCAAGGAGTGGGAAGGCACCTGCCATGTCCCGGCCCCAAGACAGCTCTGCCCACCGAGCCCTCTCAGACCAGCTTGCCCTGGGACTTCTAGCCCATCTTGCCTGCCCTGCTCTGCCTGCCCTGTCTGCCCGGGGCCTCTTGTATCTGCTTTTGAAGTCTGTCCTCTACCACCTCAAGGGTGGTCTCAGTTTAAAAAGCCTTATCACTGAAAGCATTCATATTAAATTATATGATATCTGGGATTTGCTTCAAATGATACTACTTTGTCTACTTTTTTATATGTGTAAGGTTTCCCAAAACTTAAAAAATCTAAAAGTAGCCAGGCACAGTGGCTCACACCCTTCACCCTTCCAGCACTTTGGCGGGAGGATCCCTTGAGGCTAGGAGGTCAAGGCTGCAGTGAGCCGTGATTGCGCCACTGCCCTCCAGCCTGGGCGACAGAGTGAGACCCTGTCCATAAAAAATAAAATAGATAAATAAATAATCAGTCAACCAGCGAATGTTTTTGAGGTTGCTGTGCATCATTGCCTGGCCTCCCTGGGGTTCTGGGGAGCCTCCTGCCCCGCTGTTTCTCCTGCGCCTTCGTCTGTGACCCTGAGTCTCGCTTCTCCCTGCCTAGGACCGCCGGGGTCCTGCTTGTCCTGGGGCAGCCACGAGGGAGCCCTCGTCAGGAGCGCCATGGGCCGAAGCTGCCTGCCCTCTGCACGTGGATGTTTCTTTGGAACAAGGGGAAAAATTATGATTTTCTTATTTTGCTTTGACCTGTGAATGACACCCTGGTCTCTGGTGCCTGGGGTGTGCTCTCTGCAGTGCTGCCAGGCACATGCTGGTTCCTTCAGCGTTAGGTGCTTGGCACCTTCAGTCTTTTCCTGACGTCATGTTTGTTCCTGGTGCCTCAGATAGGAGACGGCTGTTCTGACGGCTCCTGCTTCCCCATTCCTGGAGGGAAGACAGACTTAGCCACTGGTATCTGTGGGACTTCTTGGAACTCTGAATGCCAGACCTTGCCCAGTGCTAGAGGCGACAAGTGTGTGAAGTTGAAGAGGCTTCTCCCACCCGCTCAGCTGCAGTGGACCCGAGCGGGCAGAGAGAGCAGAGTGCAGCAGGGGCCAGGCTGTGCTCGCAGGCGGGGCAGGTGCCTGGAGAGCATGGCGCCCCTGGGAGCCTCTGGCCAGGAAGGGCATGTGCACTGCAGTGTGCCGTGGACCAGTGGCCTCAGCTCAGTGTGTTGACGAGGGTCCCAAGGCACTCACGTGTGTGGGGATGTTAGCAACACACGGCGGGAAGCCCTGATGCAGTTTCTCACCAAGCGTGTAGCAGACCCCACGCACCCCACACAGGTCAGGCACCCCACACAGGGCACAGACCCCACACACCCCACACAGGGCAGGCACCCCACACAGGGCACAGACCCCACGCACCCCACACAGGGCAGGCACCCCACACAGGGCACAGACCGCACGCACCCCACACAGGGCAGGCACCCCACACAGGGCACAGACCCCACGCACCCCACACAGGGCAGGCACCTCACACAGGGCACAGACCCCACGCATCCCACACAGGGCAGGCACCCCACACAGGGCACAGACCCCACACACCCCACACAGGGCAGGCACCTCACACAGGGCACAGACCCCATGCACCACACACAGGGCAGGCACCCCACACAGGGCACAGACCCCACGCACCCCACACAGGGTACAGACCCCACACACCCCACACAGGGCAGGCACCCCACACAGGGCACAGACCCCACGCAGCCCACACAGGGCAGGTACCCCACACAGGGCACAGACCCCACGCACCCCACACAGGGCAGGCACCCCACACAAGGCACAGACCCCACGCATCCCACACAGGGCAGGCACCCCACACAGGGCAGGCATCCCACACAGGGCACAGACCCCACGCACCCCACACAGGGCAGGCACCTCACACAGGGCACAGACCCCATGCATCCCACACAGGGCAGGCACCCCACACAGGGCACAGACCCCACGCACCCCACACGGGGCAGGCAGCTCACACAGGGCACAGACCCCAAGCACCCCACACAGGGCACAGACCCCACGCACCCCACACAGGGCACAGACCCCACACACCCCACACAGGGCAGGCACCTCACACAGGGCACAGACCCCATGCATCCCACACAGGGCAGGCACCCCACACAGGGCACAGACCCCACACACCCCACACAGGGCAGGCACCCCACACAGGGCACAGACCCCACGCACCCCACACAGGGCAGGGATCCCACGCAGGGCACAGATCCCACGCAGGGCAGGGCCAGCCCAAGGCCAGGCCCCTCCCCTGTAGATCTCCTCCCAGGCAGGACCAGAGCCACAGTCACTTCCACACTATCTCCTTCCCTAGAAACCTCTGCAGACTCTTCCTCCTCTCCTCGATACACAGGGGCCCCTGCCACAGCCTGACTCTCTGCCACCTCGTGAGTCTCTGGAAAGCAGGGTCGGCCTCTGAATACAGAGGACTTGGGTCCTGCCGGAGGATGCTTGGCCAGTGGGTGCTGGCACGTGAGCAGCCCCCGGGGAGTCAGAGTGGGGCTGCAGCGAAGGCCGTGGTGGTCGAGGTGAGGGTGGTGGCCAGGTCTTGTTGCCGCAGTGAGGATTCTGGGGTTACCCTAAGAGCCACCACATTCAGGCACTCAAGAAAAAGCACGTCAAAATAAAATATTTTCACATGATTAAGAACTCCGCGTGATTGGTCTCTGGTCCTCCTATTTCTCAACCATTTTTCCTCTCTAGACGTAAGCAGTTTCTCATACAAAGGGAAGCTTGGACTAGCAAAGGGAAGGTTCTTGCTGTTTAAAATTCTGTAATCCCCAAGCCGCAGCAAAGGCTTCCCTGACACCCCTCAGAAGTGCACTTAGGCCGGTAGCCAGGCCCATGTTGTCAACACAACACAGACAAGCTGGGGTCCACAAGACCACCCGAGGCTCAGCGATTTGATGGAGGACCCCGGGACTCAGGATAAAGGTGGTGGCTGCCGTGGGAGCAGTCAGCCAAGTGAGGGGGGCGGGCAGGGGCCGTCTGCTACCTCCTGGCTCCATGCTGTGGGACTTTGGGCCCATTTCTCAGCCTGTCTGTGCCTCTCAGCCCTTTCATCCATAAAGCTCTGCTGTGTGAGGAGCTGTGGCCCCTCGACAGAGGGGTCCCCCCAGCCCTGTGCTCTCACCGCCCATGCATTCGGCCAGGCAGGCCTGTGCCCTGCAGGAGTGACGGACACAGCTCAGGCCTCAGCGCAGGTTTGGACGTTGATCTTGTTTATTTTAAAATACCCACGATGCTGTGTGTGTGGAAAGGAGGCCCAGGGTGGGAAACCGTTCTGTTTGGTTGTCATCTGAGCCCTTTTGCCGACATTGCTTCCTTCCTTCCTGGCTTCTTGTTCACCATGGTGACCGCTGGATGCTGGTGAAACCACCATGGGGCTCAGGCCCTGCTCCTTCCCACCCTTGCCACATAACCCTGTTTGCCTCCACAGGCTTCCTGTGGAACTGGTCCTTCCGCCCCACCCCACCCTACCCCTACCCCACCCCGGCCTGGAGATGGGGAAGGCATGGAGGTTGTGCAGGCAAGGGCTGGACGCACAGCCTTACCTCTGTGTGACCCCTTCACATACACTGCGGAAGAAGCCAAAGCTGAAAGGCGTAAGAGATGACCCAGCTCCCATCGGCAGGCGGGAGGGCTGAGGTCACGCAGCAGACAGGGGTAGGCCCTGTCTTTCTTTAAGTGATCAATGACGGTAACTGACAGAAAGAAGGCAGAAAGAGAGAGAAACCTGGAGATTGGAAGGAGAAGCCAGTCTCACCACAAGATGGCTCACAGTGCTCAGCGGGCGCCCGCCAGCTTCTCTTGTTGGCCCAGGACAGGCTGTTCGGAGCTTGTCTTGCTGCCCCAAGGAGGATGTCAGTGGGAATATGGTTGCGCCCTCGTTTGGAGTTGTGCGAGCGTTGAGCTCAGTGCCCGGGTAGGAACTTGGCGTTGTGGACCATCCGCCTCGTGTAGATCGGCTGTGATTTAGACTTCTTGGCCAGAAGTGCTGTATTTCATGGCTTTGAACATCCGGATGAGGCCAGATGTTTGGTGTGGACAGCATGGTTTTTAGTCAAATGGAAGAGAATCTGTGAGCAGCAGCCGTGCTACAAAGCTGCACCCGGCCCTGCCCATCAGTTCCATGAGCTGTAACCGCCATCGGCCGTGAACTTTCTGTTGTTTGAAAATATCGCCATGGAAACATCCCTTTGTGGAGCAGAATCAAGAATGTATTTTGACGTCTTCGAGTTTTACGGTGGGACGCAGGAGTTGCACATTTTCCTATGTTGACAGTATCGTGGCCTGTGTCTCCTAAAAGACTCTTGCTAGAAAAGCCTAGAAATTAGAGGTGCTAAATGATTGATACAAAAGGCATTTGTTCAGATGAGCAGCTGAGGCCACACACCTCCACGTCCCTGGGGCCCAACCTCAGGGTCTCTGCCTTGGAGCCCAGCTTCAGACCTCCCAGGGAGGTAGAGGAAGGGGCTTTGGGCCCAGACCCCACGGAAAGCTTGTCCCCTCGAGAGGGCCACACTTCCTGGACACTGGGCTATCAGGGTAGACACTGTCCCCCCAGCTAAGAGGGACAGGTGCTGAGGAGGGATGAGGGGCTTTGAGAGGTCACCAATGAGACTTCTGACCCATTCCTGCCCTCTGGTGGGGCTGGCATTTGGATTTGTGCTGTTTTATGCTGCTGGAAGTGCCCCACACTCCCTGGGGCCCCCACCACAGCAAAAGCAAACCCTCCCTGGAGAGACACACCTTCCTCATCCCGGCCTTCCGGCTCCCAGAGTGTAGACAGACGAAGAGCCTGGTTGGAATTACAAGACGTTGAGGAAGAAAGCTGTTCTGAGAGGGTCAGCAGGGGTCAGCCCCAGGGACCTCACGTGCTGGGATGGTTAAATGCACAGTATTCATCAGGGGAGTTAAAACCATGGAGTATCATGCAGATGTTTTTAAGGCATATGGAATATCTGGAAATGAAAACTATAATCACTGAAATAAAAAACCCAGTGAGCAGATGATGTAGCTTATTAGACACAACATAAGAAAGTATTGGTGAATTGGAAGTTCTAACAAAAGAGATTGCCTAGACTCTGGAGCACAGAAAGAAAGTGAGACAGGAAGCCTGCAGGAAGCGGGGAGCTGTGGAGGAGAGAATGCAGCTTAACAGGCACCTCGGCAGAGGAGAGAGCAGGGCAGGGAGACGGTGGCTCCAGAGGCCGGCAGCAGAGGGCTTTTCAAGGTTCATAAAAACACAAGCCTCAAATTCAAAAAGTATAATGAATTATAAGCAGGAGAAAGAGCAGTAATTACACATTTAAATATGACTCTGACGTGAAGTTTTCAGAACAGCAAAGGGAGGATGTTAAAAGCAGCCAGAGGCACACCCACCTGTGGTCCCAGCTACTCCTGAGGCTGAAGTGGGAGGGTCGCTTGAGCCTGGGAGGTGGAGGCTGCGGTGAGCTGAGATTGCGCCACTGTGCTCCATCCTTGGCTACAGAGCAAGACCTTGTCTCAAAAAAAAAAAAAAAAAAAAAGGCAGCCAGATAGAGAAGACACTCCCTGCAGAGCACCCCCAGGCGGTTCACAGCCCCCCCCAATCCCACCTGCACAGAGCACCCCCAGGAAGGTTGCAGGCCCCCCACATCACATCCCACCTGCACAGAGCACCCCAAGGAAGGTCGCATCCCCCCTCCGATCCCACCTGCACAGAGCACCCCTCGGGAAGGTCACAGCCCCCGCTCCGATCCCACCAGCACAGGGCACCCCCAGGCGCGTCACATCCCCCCCATCCCACCTGCACAGAGCCAGGTGCCACCGCCGTTTGCCTCGGGACGCTCGCCTCCAGTCTCTGCTGCCTCAGAAAGGCCATGGCTGGATGCAGGGGCAGGAAGTGGGCTCCAGCTCCCAAAAGCATTGTCCACTGTGGCCCCTGCTGCCCCAGGCCAAGGCCGTGCTCCAGCAGCACCAGCACCAGGAAGGGGCATGGGGCTCATGGAGGGGTCTCAGCTCTGTGCTGAGGAGGAGAGGGTTCCGTGGAATCTTCCACTGGCCAGCTGGGTAGTGAGGTGTGCTGCCAGCCTCAGAGGGCTGGCGAGGTGGATGTGGTTTGAAGAAAGGCCCTACGGGCCTTGTTTCTTAAAGATGAGGTGGGTGGCCGCCCAGGCTCAGGTCAGCGGACACAGGTGCCACCGCCAACATGCTTGACTTGGGAAGACACAGCCTCTCCTGGCACCCTCCACCGCTCTCCCTGGACCTCTGCCCTCAGCCCCAGGCTGCCTGAGCCCACAAAGCCCTCAGAGCCTGCAGGCCGTGTTCCGACTGCAGGGCAGGGGTGGAAGGGGGCTTCTGAGTGCTGTGGAGTGGCTCCCACCCCCACCCCGGGGTCAGAGGCACCCAGGGCCACATCTGTCTGTGGTGCTGTAGCCGCACTTAGTCCCTAGACTTGCCAGTTTTCCACTTTGCAACTTGGTGAATACCATTTGGAATTCATAGAAATTGTATTTGGCTTCCATTTGGACGGTAGAAACAGGAAATTTGCAGAATGCTACAGGAACTTGCTGGCTGTCCTAGGGGTAGCTCCAGATGCTCTCACCCTTTTCTTACCTGCAGACAACACCCCGCGCCTCCTGCGCTCTGCACTGTGTGGAGGGCAGGGAGCAGGTTTTGCAGCCTCTCCTCTCAGAGGAGCGTTTCTCAGGGGCACACGGCTCCAGGTCATCCCAGGCCTGGGGTAGGAGGGGCAGGCAGGCAGGCAGTGCGGGACCCACTTGTGTGGTGCCTGACAGTGCAGGTACAGGTACGGGCTGTGTGTGTGCACGTCAAGGACCCGCTCAGCTGCTCTCAGACCATGGTGTCGCTGGGTTGGAATGGAGAGCAGGCATTGTTGAGCCATGGGCTGTGGCACATGGGGGTCTCGCTCCGTGGGTGGGGCTTTCCCTCTACCCCAGAAGCCACTGGAGTGGCCAGTGTCTCAGAGCTGACAGACGTGCAAGTTTGCTGGGCTCCGGAGCTTGGGTGGTGTCTGGCGCGTGTTGTGGGCGTTGTAGATGCTCGTAGCTGCAGGTGCTTGTTTCACAGTGGAGAGATTGGCATCCTGGGAGATCTGGTTTCATATTGGACTTTTTTGGTGTCAGGACAAGTAAAAAGTCCTGTTTCAGGACAGGGAGAGCTGGGTGAAAAGTTGCTGCTTCCTGGGAGCAAGCTTTTCCTGAGTGTGGGGCAGAGCAAGGTCCCTGTGGTGGCTCCAGGCACCAGAATTCACCAGGAGGTTGGCAGCACCTTCCATGCGAATTGCTGGGAGCCAGCCCTGTAAAGCTGTCCTGGCCGCGTAAGGGAAGCCAACTCAGGCTTTCTTCACCAAAGCTCAGAGCAGAAGCAGAGGGAGGGCCTGGTGGGGAGCGGGAGGGATGTGGCCCTGACCCTGAGGCTCAGGCCCTGGAGCCCACCCAGGAAGTCTCTGGGGGCACCGAGTCCTGCCCATTCTGCACATGTTGGGTGTGAGCTGCACCTGAGATGGCCGCCCTGCAGGAGTGGGACATGTTCTGTTTGCCACAAAGCAGCTCTTTGCTGCCCCTCAGAGCGGGGACGCAGCGTGGGCTCCTGGCCTGCCAGCCTAAAGACTGACTTCTAAGGAACGCCTTTGCCTCTGCCTGTTCCTCTGACACACGCCTCCTAGGGTCCTTTGATAACTTAAGAGCATGGCAACGCCTGCACTTCGGGATGTAAACATACTGCAGCCCCAACACCGCCCCAGCTCCTCCCAACACCGCCCCAGCTCCTCCCTCCGCAGCCCCACCTCTGCCCCAGCTCCTCCCTCCGCAGCCCCAACTCTGCCCCAGCTCCTCCCTCTGCAGCCCCAATACCACCCCGCCTCCTCCCCTCCGCAGCCCCAACACCGCCCCAGCTCCTCCCTCCGCAGCCCCAACTCTGCCCCAGCTCCTCCCTCCGCAGCCCCAATACCGCCCCAGCTCCTCCCTCCGCAGCCCCAACACCACCCCGCCTCCTCGCTCTGCAGCCCCAACTCTGCCCCAGCTCCTCCCTCCGCAGCCACAACTCTGCCCCAGCTCCTCCCTCCGCAACCCCAACTCTGCCCCAGCTCCTCCCTCCGCAACCCCAACTCTGCCCCAGCTCCTCCCTGTGTCCACCCCTAGTGGCCACATGCAGCACAGAAGTGGGGCCCACTCGCTTTTCACTTCTGATGGTCAATGGAATAAGGAGATGCCGTCTGCTCCCAGGAGTCTCCTGTGCTGTGTGCAGCTTTGCAAAGTCTGTGTATCTCGGGGATTCTGCTTTCCTCGTGTTCTCAGGGGGCTTCGTGTCTCCAAAACATTAACCCCCCTGCTCTGGGTGACGGAGGGAGCAGGCCTCTGAATGTGCGTGGCTAGGTCTTGGGGATCAGGGCCCTGCAGAGGTTCTCAGCTGCTTCTCCAGGCGACTGTGGGCAGACCAGCTGCTCGGTGAGTGTGGGCCCCTCCTGGAGAGAGGAGGACTTGAGGGCTATCGGTGGGGGAGCTGGGGTTTCTCCAGCAGCTTCGTCGCCTCTTTCCTAGAGGGAGGCAGCCGCAGGCCTGCTTCTGTTGTTTAGAGGTGGCTATGAGAAGCAAGCCTGGGGAGGGCCGGCCCCCGGGCAGCATGGAGGGTGCAGGGAAAGCATGGGGCGCACGCAGAGACCCACAGCCAAGCGCCTGTGACCCAAGCTCACTGCTAAGGTGTGGCTACGCCAATGATGGCTGTAGGCTGGGGCTCATTGGCCGGTGGCGAGGCTGCCTCCCCAACCACCGTGTTTGCCAGGTTCTATGAGGGGCTGGGGCCAAAGCTCAAGTGCTTTCTCAGATCTGTGCGTTGAGGACTGTTTACAGACTAGCTGGTGGTGGCGATGGCAGCCTGCAGTACTTGGGGTTTTGCCCATGAGTGTGACGCAGGTCGATGTGGCCAGGTGTGTGCCTTCCTGCAGGCTTGTCCCATAGGACATACGAATCCACATTCTCAGCATGCCCCAGACCGAATTCCTAAGAAATCAGCCTCAGATACCTTGGAAAGAACTAGAGTGGGTGGGCAGCGTCCTCTTAGGAAATCGACGGGCACATTCACGGGGACCATGGTGGTGAACAGCAAGAGAGTCGGGCCCTGGGAGCTGAGCTGAGAGACTAGTTAAGACCGTTCTGTGTTCCAGTGACCGGGCAGGTGTGGGATCCAGTTAGTCCGTTGTTAGAGATGTCTCCCACCTCTGTAGGATCAAACACCAGCCGAGGGAGAAGTCCTGAAGAGAGGCTTCTTGGGAGTGCTGAATGGAAGGGAAGGGAGGTGCCTCAGAGGAGAGCTTCAGAGGCCCACGTCTTCCTGGTGGCCCTTCTTCCCCGAGTCAGGCCTTGGCAGAGCCTTGCCTCTGCGCTGCACCTCTGCAGTTTCACCCCATGACCTAGAAAACCCCAGAACCCGCAGGGCAGCTGGAGGAGGATTCAGAGGTGTCTGGCCCCTGATTTCCATCCACAGGAGGGCACTGGTCAGGCAGAGGAGGAGGCATCTTCTGTGCCCCCGACTCTTGGTGCTTGGGGTCTTCTCTTCCCCGCCCCTGCCTCCTGCCTCTTTTAAAAGACACAGCACGTGAGTTGCGTTAGACGCCAGCCGAGTGTTCTGTAACGGGTCAGATGAGTGCAGGGTGTGCTTGTTACGAGGAGGCTGAGGTGGAAACAGCCGAGCTCTCACACCGTGTCTTGTTAGTGCTCTGTGTTGATGCCTTCAGATGCCTCCAGCCCAGTCCCTGTTGTGGTGCTGCAAGGCTGGTACGCTCCTCGAAGCACCATGGCATGAGATGGAGGTTCCTAGAAGCAAGAAGAAAGGTACAGTACTGACCAGTTGGCCTTGATTTACTGATGTGTTTTAAACTGTGTCTGCCATTTTATATCTGCACTGTTTGGAGGAGGGACGGGGAAGGTGGAATTGAATTACAGACACGTGTATTGAACAGAGACCTGTCCTGTGTGAGCCAGGTCACCGGTGCTAAGCTGTCCCACCGCATTCATGTGTGGTACGAGGTCTGGGGAGGCCCAGGAGAGGTGCCTGGAGTGAGTGGATGCTCGGTGGAGGCCCAGGCTTAGCAGACTTGAGGGGCTGGTAACGAGGTGTTTAAATGGTCTCACAGTCACTGCTGAGAGGTGAGGTGGGCGGCACCAATGCTCCCAGCACCGCTGTGCTTTCCCCATACACAGACCTTCCTTTCTGCTCTGTCAGCTGTCAGGTGGACGCAGGGGGCTCCGTAACATTAGGTAAGGACCTAGCTTTGGAGGACACCATGGCATGAAATCTCTCCTCCCTCTCTCCCTCGCCCGCCTCACAGAGAAGCAGGGCCCTGAGCGGAAGAGGATTAAGAAGGAGCCTGTCACCCGGAAGGCCGGGCTGCTGTTTGGCATGGGGCTGTCTGGAATCCGAGCCGGCTACCCCCTCTCCGAGCGCCAGCAGGTGGCCCTTCTCATGCAGATGACGGCCGAGGAGTCTGCCAACAGCCCAGGTGAGCCCGGCCTGTGGGTGGTCCCTGGCGCAGGGAAGGGGCTCTGCCTGGTCGCAGCCTCATGGCTGTGCTGAGGACAAGCCCTGTGCAAAGGGACCTCGTGATGGTGGCCTGGGCTCTTGAAGATTGGACAAAGCAGGACCACCCCACAGTAATGCCCATCTGTCCCCTCCTTGGCCTGCAGTGGACACAACACCAAAGCACCCCTCCCAGTCTACAGTGTGTCAGAAGGGAACGCCCAACTCTGCCTCAAAAACCAAAGATAAAGTGAACAAGAGAAACGAGCGTGGAGAGACCCGCCTGCACCGAGCCGCCATCCGCGGGGACGCCCGGCGCATCAAAGAGCTCATCAGCGAGGGGGCAGACGTCAACGTCAAGGACTTCGCAGGTGGGCACCCTGTGCCTGGCAAGGGCCAGAGAGCCCCACTGGAGCCCTGAGCCTCCCCCAGTGGAGTCCTGAGCCTCCCCCCATTGGAGCCCTGAGCCTCCCCCCATTGGAGCCCTGAGCCTCCCCCCATTGGAGCCCTGAGCCTCCCCCGCTGGAGCCCTGAGCCTCACCCCATTGGAGCCCTGAGCCTCCCCCCATTGGAGCCCTGAGCCTCCCCCAATTGGAGCCCTGAGCCTCCCCCGCTGGAGCCCTGAGCCTCCCCCCATTGGAGCCCTGAGCCTCCCCCGCTGGAGCCCTGAGCCTCCCCCCATTGGAGCCCTGAGCCTCCCCCGGCTGGAGCCCTGAGCCTACCCCCATTGGAGCCCTGAGCCTACCCCCCGCTGGAGCCCTGAGCCTCCCCCATTGGAGCCGTGAGCCTCCCATCGGGTTGGATGGGCTGTGGCCTCGTGGGGTGCGCGTCTGCTCTGCAGGGCTCGGGGTGTTCACAGCCACACTCACTCCAGTGGGGTTCCCTGTTGCTGAGAAGAAATCAGTGTTTCTTGGAAAGTATTTCAAAGTAAACTTGTTTGCTGGGTTTTATTGTTATTTTTATTTTTAGATAGGGTCTCGCTCTGTTGCTCAGGCTGGAGTGCAGTGGCGTGATCACGACTCACTGAAGCTTTGAACTCCTGGGCTCAAGCGATGTTCCCAACTCAGCCTTCCGGGTGCAGGCGCACGCCACCATGCCTGGCTAATTTTTTTATTTTTTGTAGAGACGGGGTCTTACTAAGTTGCCCAGGCTGGTTTGAACTCATGGCCTCAAGCAGTCCTCACGCCTTGGCTTCCCAAAGTGCTGGGATTATAGCTGTGAGCCCCCATGCCTGGCCTATCTGTAAGAGAACTGAGGAATTTTAAATTTTACTCTGCTGTGTTCCATAAACCTCACTCCAGGCCCCTGGAGGGACCTGTCCCTGGTGTGTCTAGCACATGGCTGCATTCTCCAGCAGAGGGCACCTCTGAGCCGGGAGGCCGGCTGGGTCGACACCCTGGACTGGACTCCCTCACTTCACAGGGCTGGGTCCTGGGGCTTGCCTGGGACCCGGAGAGAACTGAGCGAGCCTCCCCAGACCTGATACGGCCCAGGGGCTTAAGAGCTCCATGATTAGAGTTTAATATTCCCTTTCTTTACATAAAATACCCCCATCAAACCATGAGTGGTCCACATATCCCAGGACTGTCTGTCCACAGTGTAAGGGGAACAGATGAGCAAAATCGTGTGTGTAGAATCCTTCTAGATTTCTCCAACTGCCCTGGTTTATAGCTGTCTGACCCAAACCTAATTTAGCACCTTTTTTTTTTAAAGCATTTTTCTAAAAGAAACTTCTCTAGAGCAGTGCCGTGTGCTTCCGTGGGGCCGAGCTCTGTTTCCACGGATGCGTGCGGCCACACCGTCCGATGGTGGACTCCAAGCTCCCCAGCCAGGAGCTGCCTGCCCGGGGTGGCCTTCGTCGTGCAGCCCGAGCCTGGGCGCCCCTGGAGCTCCTGCTGTAGCAGCTCTTCAGCCTTCAGGAGGCTCTCAGCCTTGGTTTCCGTTTCCGACACGGGAGGTTTCCCCTCCGTGTTTTGCAAAGGCACATACGCCTCCAGATCGGTGAGGATGAGGCTGCTGTTTACTACACTGTGTGTTCACTGATTTCCTACCCTTTTAGGGTGATTGCCGCAGATTAGCCCTGCAGGTTGTCAGTCCGTAGGGTTAATAAGCTAGATATGGATCGTGCTAACGAGGTGCCACAGTAAAGAGAATTTAGGGGTTCTCTGGGCCAGCACCTGCTTCCCTAAACTGCAGCCCTCACTACAGGGCAGCTCCCCACCTGGCTTGTCCCCGCACTGTAGCACATCCTCAGGGCGCTGCCTCCAGAGACAGGAGGGAAGTTCTGAGGATTAAATAACGTACGTCCTGAGTGTCTGTTTCCAGGCTGGACGGCGCTGCACGAGGCCTGTAACCGGGGCTACTACGACGTCGCGAAGCAGCTGCTGGCTGCAGGTGCGGAGGTGAACACCAAGGGCCTAGATGACGACACGCCTTTGCACGACGCTGCCAACAACGGGCACTACAAGGTTGGCATCCCCCCGTTCTTCACACATCCGGCCTGTCCTGGCATCTGGGTGGTTCTGTAGCTTTGTTTCCCCGTAGCTAGCCGGTTCCATGATGTGGGGCACAGGAAAGCGAGTTTTCGCCTTGCCCACCCTCAAGGCCGAGCTGTGCCCTCTGTCTGCCCCCAGCTTTCCCCTTCTGGGTCAGCCTGGACGGCCTCTCACAGGTTTCCCAGCAAGTGCCATCTATGAAAGGCTCGTATCCGCTAGCCGTGTAGGTCTGGTTGGATTTGAGCAGGTGAAGGATTACACCAAGTGGAAGGAGGCCTGCAGGAGTTGCTGCCGGTCCCCGTCACCACTGTGGGACTGTTAGACCTGCAAGGCAGACCCACCCTCGTCTGGAATGAGGTAACACCAAGAGGTGTGGCCAGTGCACAGAACCATAGACTCAAGCTTTAGAAAGTGGCCATTGTGGCCGGCCCAGGAGCAGTGGGCACTGAGAGGTCTCAGCCTCTGTGGGGGTCGAGAGAGGTCGTGGTGTGCCTGACAGCCCCGTCCTGCCGGAAAGCAGGGGTGCTGCCTGGAGATGCGGCGGGTCTCACTGATGTCTTCATCAGAGCTCCGTGGAGAGCCCCTGGTTGCAGGCAGGACAGCAAGGCTGAGGGGTCACACGGGGCCACATCTGCTGGTGCCCGTCGTGCTCCTCTGCAGCAAGCCCAGCCTGGCCATTGCTGGAGGTCCTGGAGCCCACAGTGCCTTGGCCTTAAAGAGCTCACTTGAGAAACGGCTTGTTCCGGTGGGGTGGGGGGTGGATTGAAGACTCTGAGACGAGCAGGGAACTCAGAACACTGAGTCCCTATTTGATGTTAAAATATGACCGTTAAACTTCTGGGTAAGATAATGAATGGCACTATGGTTTATACTGTTTCTGTTTTATGGGCTCTTCCAGAGACGTGAACTGGAAAAGGCTCTGCAGTGTCTGGGATTCGCTCAGTGCTGCAGGGGAGGGCAGGTGTGAGGGGAATGGCCCTGGAGGGTGATGGGGCTGGGGCATCCGATGCAGCTTTATAGTTCTGTAATTACCACTTTTAAACTTTTTATTACGAAAAATGTCAAGGACCCTGGAATTACGGTGAGGTAGGCAGGATAATGGCCCCCAAGATGCCCGTGTTGTGACCCCCAGACCTTGTGAGTGCCTCACATGGGGAGATTGTCCTAGGTCATCTTGCAGGCCCAGGGCAGCCCCATGGGCCCTTAAAGCTTGAGAGCCTTTCCTGCTGAGTCTGAGAGATGCCAGAAGCAGGAGAGGTTAGAACCCGAGGAGGGCCGCACCTGCGCTGCTGGCCTTAGAGGAGGGCCGAGGAGTGTGGTGGCCCCTAAGCAGCTGGGACTGGGGACCTCCGTCCCAGCCCTGCAAGAAACTGAATTCTGCCAGCAGCCCCCATGATGGAGGAAAGGAAGGATCCTGCCCTGCCAGCACCTTGACCTCTGACCTCCACAATTGTAAGCCTGAGGTTTTGTGTAGTCACCATAGAAAACTCACACACATAAGAACTCTGTACTGATTCAACAATAGAACATGTCACACACGAACTGGAAACTGATTCTGTGGGCGACAAGAGTCTATAGTAAACGTTATGACAGATTCTTTGAATGCGCTAATCTCAGACTGGACTAAAGTTGGGATTAAATTTAATTTGTACTTGAGTTCAGTGCATTGCTGTTCTGGGCATAGGAAATCCAGGTTGCTGGTGATGAACAGCTGAAAAGAGCTGTGTCACCATGGTTGTCTCTGTCAGTCATGTGACCACCCTTACCCTTGTAAAATCAAGCAAGGGAGAGATTATTTTCTAATGTAAATGAAAATAAAAAATAAAGCAGCTTGCAGAAACTTGGTCTTTGTTTCCTCTATTCTGTCCCCCCAACCCTTTCCATAACACTCTTCTCCCTAACCTCTTGCCTGAGCCCTCCACGACCACTCCGGCACCACTCTGCTGAGGAGCTCACTGTTGGCGGGAGGGGAGAGCCTTCGTGAGAAGATTCCTGGGAAGTCGTCTACTTGCGGCAACGGAGAAATGGTGGAAAAAAATCCAAAGGAGGCAGAGCCCTTCTGAAGGAGAGCACAGGAGGGGTGCGGGAGCCCCCGCGGCTGCAGCCCTTCCCACAGAGGAGCCACAGCCTCGCCCACCACACCCAGAGCCTCGCCAGGCAGTCCCTGGGCGCTCGGCTCCCACACCCTCAGACCGTGAGGGGCTGCTCTCGGGTCGAACCCCAGGGTTCTCGGAAGGGGCTGCCGTGTTATGCGGAACGGTAGAGGAGTTGTGCTTCTCCAGCAGTCCCTGACGCGGGTGTTACTGTCTTGTAGGTGGTGAAGCTGCTGCTGCGGTACGGAGGGAACCCGCAGCAGAGCAACAGGAAAGGCGAGACGCCGCTGAAAGTGGCCAACTCCCCCACGATGGTGAACCTCCTGTTAGGCAAAGGCACTTACACTTCCAGCGAGGAGAGCTCGACGGGTAAGTCACGGCCACCTGAGCTGCCTGTTCTTTTATGCAGGGATGGTAGGAGCTGCCCTGTGGTGTTTGCACAGTGTTGCCCCTCTGATCAGCTCCTCCTCGGATGCTGGGGGCTTACAGGAGCTTCTGGACTGCGGGAGACCCCGCCCAGGTGTGTCACTGCCGAGAAGCCTGCAGTCTTCATTCTAAGATGCCAGCCCTGTCTGTCAGCTGAGCTCTGTCTGGTTTCCTCCTGCCTGTGGCTGGTTTCCATGAGTCGAGCAAAGTGTCTCTGCAGAGGCAGGGTGGGAACCTTCCCGCAGACACATCTGCAGAGCCTCCCTCCTCTGCCATTCTGGGGAGAGCTGTTTTGAGCCTGCCTGTGACCTCTCGCTTCCTACCTCCAACAGAGAGCTCAGAAGAGGAAGACGCACCATCCTTCGCACCTTCCAGTTCAGTCGACGGCAACAACACGGACTCCGAGTTCGAAAAAGGCCTCAAGCACAAGGCCAAGAACCCAGAGCCACAGAAGGCCACGGCCCCCGTCAAGGACGAGTATGAGTTTGATGAGGACGACGAGCAGGACAGGGTTCCTCCGGTGGACGACAAGCACCTATTGAAAAAGGACTACAGAAAAGAAACGAAATCCAATAGTTTTATCTCTATACCCAAAATGGAGGTTAAAAGTTACACTAAAAATAACACGATTGCACCAAAGAAAGCGTCCCATCGTATCCTGTCAGACACGTCGGACGAGGAGGACGCGAGTGTCACCGTGGGGACAGGAGAGAAGCTGAGACTCTCGGCACATACGATATTGCCTGGTAGTAAGACACGAGAGCCTTCTAATGCCAAGCAGCAGAAGGAAAAAAATAAAGTGAAAAAGAAGCGAAAGAAAGAAACAAAAGGCAGAGAGGTTCGCTTCGGAAAGCGGAGCGACAAGTTCTGCTCCTCGGAGTCGGAGAGCGAGTCCTCAGAGAGTGGGGAGGATGACAGGGACTCTCTGGGGAGCTCTGGCTGCCTCAAGGGGTCCCCGCTGGTGCTGAAGGACCCCTCCCTGTTCAGCTCCCTCTCTGCCTCCTCCACCTCGTCTCACGGGAGCTCTGCCGCCCAGAAGCAGAACCCCAGCCACACAGACCAGCACACCAAGCACTGGCGGACAGACAATTGGAAAACCATTTCTTCCCCGGCTTGGTCAGAGGTCAGTTCTTTATCAGACTCCACAAGGACGAGACTGACAAGCGAGTCTGACTACTCCTCTGAGGGCTCCAGTGTGGAATCGCTGAAGCCAGTGAGGAAGAGGCAGGAGCACAGGAAGCGAGCCTCCCTGTCGGAGAAGAAGAGCCCCTTCCTGTCCAGCGCGGAGGGCGCTGTCCCCAAACTGGACAAGGAGGGGAAAGTTGTCAAAAAACATAAAACAAAACACAAACACAAAAACAAGGAGAAGGGACAGTGTTCCATCAGCCAAGAGCTGAAGTTGAAAAGTTTTACTTACGAATATGAGGACTCCAAGCAGAAGTCAGATAAGGCTATACTGTTAGAGAATGATCTTTCCACTGAAAACAAGCTAAAAGTGTTAAAGCACGATCGCGACCACTTTAAAAAAGAAGAGAAACTTAGCAAAATGAAATTAGAAGAAAAAGAATGGCTCTTTAAAGATGAAAAATCACTGAAGAGAATCAAAGACACAAACAAAGACATCAGCAGGTCTTTCCGAGAAGAGAAAGACCGTTCGAATAAAGCAGAAAAGGAGAGATCGCTGAAGGAAAAGTCTCCGAAAGAAGAAAAACTGAGACTGTACAAAGAGGAGAGAAAGAAGAAATCAAAAGACCGGCCCTCAAAATTAGAGAAGAAGAATGATTTAAAAGAGGACAAAATTTCAAAAGAGAAGGAGAAGATTTTTAAAGAAGATAAAGAAAAACTCAAAAAAGAAAAGGTTTATAGGGAAGATTCTGCTTTTGACGAATATTGTAACAAAAATCAGTTTCTGGAGAATGAAGACACCAAATTTAGCCTTTCTGACGATCAGCGAGATCGGTGGTTTTCTGACTTGTCCGATTCATCCTTTGATTTCAAAGGGGAGGACAGCTGGGACTCGCCAGTGACAGACTACAGGGACATGAAGAGCGACTCTGTGGCCAAGCTCATCTTGGAGACGGTGAAGGAGGACAGCAAGGAGAGGAGGCGGGACAGCCGGGCCCGGGAGAAGCGAGACTACAGAGAGCCCTTCTTCCGAAAGAAGGACAGGGACTATTTGGATAAAAACTCTGAGAAGAGGAAAGAGCAGACCGAAAAGCATAAAAGTGTCCCTGGCTACCTTTCGGAAAAGGACAAGAAGAGGAGAGAGTCCGCAGAGGCCGGGCGGGACAGAAAGGACGCCCTGGAGAGCTGCAAGGAGCGCAGGGACGGCAGGGCCAAGCCCGAGGAGGCGCACCGGGAGGAGCTGAAGGAGTGTGGCTGCGAGAGTGGCTTCAAGGACAAGTCCGACGGCGACTTTGGGAAGGGCCTGGAGCCGTGGGAACGGCACCACCCAGCACGAGAGAAGGAGAAGAAGGATGGCCCCGATAAGGAAAGGAAGGAGAAGACAAAACCAGAAAGATACAAAGAGAAATCCAGTGACAAGGACAAAAGTGAGAAATCAATCCTGGAAAAATGTCAGAAGGACAAAGAATTTGATAAATGTTTTAAAGAGAAAAAAGATACCAAGGAAAAACATAAAGACACACATGGCAAAGACAAAGAAAGGAAAGCGTCTCTCGACCAAGGGAAAGAGAAGAAGGAGAAGGCTTTCCCTGGGATCATCTCAGAAGACTTCTCTGAAAAAAAAGATGACAAGAAAGGCAAAGAGAAAAGCTGGTACATCGCAGACATCTTCACAGATGAGAGTGAGGACGACAGAGACAGCTGCATGGGGAGCGGGTTCAAGATGGGAGAGGCCAGCGACTTGCCGAGGACGGACGGCCTCCAGGAGAAGGAGGAAGGACGGGAGGCCTATGCCTCCGACAGACACAGGAAGTCTTCTGACAAGCAGCACCCTGAGAGGCAGAAGGACAAGGAGCCCAGAGACAGGAGAAAGGACCGAGGGGCTGCCGACGCGGGGAGAGACAAAAAAGAGAAAGTCTTTGAAAAGCACAAGGAGAAGAAGGATAAAGAGTCCACAGAAAAGTACAAGGACAGGAAGGACAGAGCCTCAGTGGACTCCACGCAAGATAAGAAAAATAAACAGAAGCTCCCCGAGAAGGCTGAAAAGAAGCACGCTGCCGAAGACAAGGCTAAAAGCAAACACAAAGAGAAGTCGGACAAAGAACATTCCAAGGAGAGGAAGTCCTCGAGAAGTGCCGACGCGGAAAAAAGCCTGCTTGAAAAGTTGGAAGAAGAGGCTCTCCATGAGTACAGAGAAGACTCCAACGATAAAATCAGCGAGGTCTCCTCTGACAGCTTCACGGACCGAGGGCAGGAGCCGGGGCTGACTGCCTTCCTGGAGGTCTCTTTCACGGAGCCACCTGGAGACGACAAGCCGAGGGAGAGCGCCTGCCTCCCTGAGAAGCTGAAAGAGAAGGAGAGGCACAGACACTCCTCATCTTCATCCAAGAAGAGCCACGACCGAGAGCGAGCCAAGAAAGAGAAGGCCGAGAAGAAAGAGAAGGGCGAAGATTACAAGGAGGGCGGTAGCAGGAAGGACTCCGGCCAGTACGAAAAGGACTTCCTGGAGGCGGATGCTTACGGAGTTTCTTACAACATGAAAGCTGACATAGAAGATGAGCTAGATAAAACCATTGAATTGTTTTCTACCGAAAAGAAAGATAAAAATGATTCCGAGAGAGAACCTTCCAAGAAAATAGAAAAGGAACTAAAGCCTTATGGATCTAGTGCCATCAACATCCTAAAAGAGAAGAAGAAGAGAGAGAAACACAGGGAGAAATGGAGAGACGAGAAGGAGAGGCACCGGGACAGGCATGCGGATGGGCTGCTGCGGCATCACAGGGACGAGCTCCTGCGGCATCACAGGGACGAGCAGAAGCCCGCCACCAGGGACAAGGACAGCCCGCCCCGCGTGCTCAAAGACAAGTCCAGGGACGAGGGCCCGAGGCTCGGCGATGCCAAACTGAAGGAGAAATTCAAGGACGGTGCAGAGAAAGAAAAGGGCGACCCAGTGAAGATGAGCAACGGGAATGATAAGGTAGCGCCATCCAAAGACCCAGGCAAGAAAGACGCCAGGCCCAGGGAGAAGCTCCTGGGGGACGGCGACCTGATGATGACCAGCTTCGAGAGGATGCTGTCCCAGAAGGACCTGGAGATCGAGGAGCGCCACAAGCGGCACAAGGAGAGGATGAAGCAAATGGAGAAGCTGAGGCACCGGTCCGGAGACCCCAAGCTCAAGGAGAAGGCGAAGCCGGCAGACGACGGGCGGAAGAAGGGTCTGGACATTCCTGCTAAGAAACCGCCGGGGCTGGACCCTCCATTTAAAGACAAAAAGCTCAAAGAGTCGACTCCTATTCCACCTGCCGCGGAAAATAAGCTACACCCAGCATCAGGTGCAGACTCCAAAGACTGGCTGGCAGGCCCTCACATGAAAGAGGTCCTGCCTGCGTCCCCCAGGCCTGACCAGAGCCGGCCCACTGGCGTGCCCACCCCTACGTCGGTGCTATCCTGCCCCAGCTACGAGGAGGTGATGCACACGCCCAGGACCCCGTCCTGCAGCGCCGATGACTACGCGGACCTCGTGTTCGACTGCGCCGACTCGCAGCACTCCACGCCCGTGCCCACCGCTCCCACCAGCGCCTGCTCCCCCTCCTTTTTCGACAGGTTCTCCGTGGCTTCAAGTGGGCTTTCGGAAAACGCCAGCCAGGCTCCTGCCAGGCCTCTCTCCACAAACCTTTACCGCTCGGTCTCTGTCGACATTAGGAGGACCCCCGAGGAAGAATTCAGCGTCGGAGACAAGCTCTTCAGGCAGCAGAGCGTTCCTGCTGCCTCCAGCTACGACTCTCCCATGCCACCCTCGATGGAAGACAGGGCGCCCCTGCCCCCGGTTCCCGCGGAGAAGTTTGCCTGCTTGTCGCCAGGGTACTACTCCCCAGACTATGGCCTCCCGTCGCCCAAAGTCGACGCTTTGCACTGCCCACCGGCTGCCGTTGTCACTGTCACCCCGTCTCCAGAGGGCGTCTTCTCAAGTTTACAAGCAAAACCTTCCCCTTCCCCCAGAGCCGAGCTGCTGGTTCCTTCCCTCGAAGGGGCCCTTCCCCCGGACCTGGACACCTCCGAGGACCAGCAGGCGACGGCCGCCATCATCCCCCCGGAGCCCAGCTACCTGGAGCCGCTGGACGAGGGTCCCTTCAGCGCCGTCATCACCGAGGAGCCCGTTGAGTGGGCCCACCCCTCCGAGCAGGCGCTTGCCTCTAGCCTGATCGGGGGCACCTCTGAAAACCCTGTGAGCTGGCCTGTGGGCTCGGACCTCCTGCTGAAGTCTCCACAGAGATTCCCCGAGTCCCCAAAGCGTTTCTGCCCCGCGGACCCCCTCCACTCTGCCGCCCCAGGGCCCTTCAGCGCCTCGGAGGCGCCGTACCCCGCCCCTCCCGCCTCTCCTGCCCCGTACGCTCTGCCCGTCGCTGAGCCGGGGCTGGAGGACGTCAAGGACGGAGTGGACGCCGTCCCCGCCGCCATCTCCACCTCAGAGGCGGCTCCCTACGCCCCTCCCTCCGGGCTGGAGTCCTTCTTCAGCAACTGCAAGTCACTTCCGGAAGCCCCGCTGGACGTGGCCCCCGAGCCCGCCTGTGTAGCCGCTGTGGCTCAGGTGGAGGCTCTGGGGCCCCTGGAAAATAGCTTCCTGGACGGCAGCCGCGGCCTGTCTCACCTCGGCCAGGTGGAGCCGGTGCCCTGGGCGGACGCCTTCGCCGGCCCCGAGGACGACCTGGACCTGGGGCCCTTCTCCCTGCCGGAGCTTCCCCTGCAGACTAAAGATGCCGCAGATGGTGAAGCGGAACCCGTGGAAGAAAGTCTTGCTCCTCCAGAAGAGATGCCTCCAGGGGCCCCCGGGGTCATAAACGGTGGGGATGTTTCCACCGTAGTGGCTGAGGAGCCGCCGGCACTGCCTCCTGACCAGGCCTCCACCCGGCTCCCTGCAGAGCTCGAGCCTGAGCCCTCAGGGGAGCCAAAGCTGGACGTGGCTCTAGAAGCTGCGGTGGAGGCGGAGACGGTGCCGGAAGAGAGGGCCCGTGGGGATCCGGACTCCAGCGTGGAGCCCGCGCCCGTTCCCCCAGAACAGCGCCCACTGGGGAGCGGAGACCAGGGGGCTGAGGCTGAAGGCCCCCCCGCCGCGTCCCTCTGTGCCCCTGACGGCCCCGCCCCGAACACTGTGGCACAAGCTCAGGCCGCAGACGGTGCCGGCCCCGAGGACGACACTGAGGCCTCCCGTGCCGCCGCCCCAGCCGAAGGCCCTCCTGGCGGCATCCAGCCGGAAGCCGCAGAACCAAAACCCACGGCCGAAGCCCCGAAGGCCCCCCGAGTGGAGGAGATCCCTCAGCGCATGACCAGGAACCGGGCGCAGATGCTCGCGAACCAGAGCAAGCAGGGCCCGCCCCCCTCCGAGAAGGAGTGCGCCCCCACCCCTGCCCCGGTCACCAGGGCCAAGGCCCGCGGCTCCGAGGACGACGACGCCCAGGCCCAGCATCCGCGCAAACGCCGCTTTCAGCGCTCCACCCAGCAGCTGCAGCAGCAGCTGAACACGTCCACGCAGCAGACGCGGGAGGTGATCCAGCAGACGCTGGCCGCCATCGTGGACGCCATCAAGCTGGATGCCATCGAGCCCTACCACAGCGACAGGGCCAACCCCTACTTCGAATACCTGCAGATCAGGAAGAAGATCGAGGAGAAGCGCAAGATCCTGTGCTGTATCACGCCGCAGGCGCCCCAGTGCTACGCCGAGTACGTCACCTACACGGGCTCCTACCTCCTGGACGGCAAGCCGCTCAGCAAGCTCCACATCCCCGTGGTGAGTGCGGGGCCCGGGAGAGCCACTGCCTTCTCTCTCTGGGATGCGTCTGGGGCCCCTAGTCACGGCTTCCTCCAGCCCGTCTTGTCCCACTCATGGCCCTTGACCTCTCTCGACCTTCTGCCACCTGAGGAGACACAGCCCCACTTCTGCTGTGGAGGCAAAAGCCGGAAGCTGCCCAGCTGTTCTGCAGACCCGAGGTCCTTCCTCCAGCTGGTCCGTGCCAGGCCTCGGTCTCCTGACCTCCCCCTCACCCTGGGTGCACCCCGGTCCCACTCGTGTGGGGCTCCCCCTTCACGCCGCTCACTCTCCCCTCTCCACTCCCCGTCCACCAGGACGGCCTCACGAGAGCCACCCCCTGTGTCTCCTGCCCCTGCCCCGCCCCCTTCTCCCTTGGACCCGCGTGGGTTCCCTGAGCCTCCATACCTGCACGATGAGTCCCTTCCCCCACCTCCTCCCTTGGGCTTCTGGGACAGCAGAGCTGCAGCTCCCTTGGGGCAGCTTGGTCCTCGGCCCCCAGCCTCACCTTGTTCCACCTGACCCTGTCAGCCCAGTTCCCCAGGCATCATCCCTACCTCTGCAGGCTCAGGTGAAACATCTCGGAATCACCCCCACTCCCCCAGCTCCTTGCGCTACGTCTGGGCCCAAAATAGATCCCTCCAAATGGGGCCCTGCTCTGAGCACATTCCCATGAGGGCTGCCTGCCCTGTGCACTCTCTGCCCTGGGCCGCGGGGCCTGACTGGGTTCCCACCTCCTCCTACCCACTGGGGTCTTTCCCAGCAGGCACAGGGATTCCTCATGGGGGAGGCAGAGCCCACCCGTCTGTCCTCGGTGACGGCCTGAGCTGTGCACGGCCTCCCCTGCCCTCCTGTTCTCAGGCCCCCCAGGGTCCATCCAGCCCCAGCGTGTGGCGTTCTGGCTCTTCCCTGGAGTCTCCTCCCAGACCACGCGACTCCACTCACACTGTGCCTAGCGGACTGTGTGGTTGATGCAGCCGTCTCGCTTGAGTGTGTTGTGTTATGCCCAGAACAGGCTTGCCGTCACCAATGGCCATTTCCTTCTGGGGATTCCTGGGCACTGAAACTCGCAGGTGGCGTGAGGTACAGCCAGGGGCCCTCCACACGCGTTGGCTCTGTGGGCCCAGGCCGCCTGAGGCCCCTCGCCGTGCTGGCCCTGACCTGGCTCAGCTACCCAGCACCCCCCTGGTGAGGATGACGGGGTCTGCTGAGCTTGCCCTGAGGGTGAGGCTGGGTCTGTGCTGCTGGCCGACATGTCAGGGACGTTGTGCAGGATCCAGGAGCGGGCGCCCTCGGGCCCCACCCTGCCAAGCTCTGAGCTCTGCTCCCAGGGAGCACGAGGGGCACTGCACCCACGGTGACCTCTGCGGTCTTTCCCTTCCCCGCGAGCCTGACCCCAGCCGTCCCCGGGGAGGCTCATCCACAGAAGACAGAGACGGCAGTTGGGTCATGACATTCAGAAAAACCTGCCCCAGGATCTCTCCTCAGTAAGACCTTCTGATCTTCTGACCTTCTGTGCTTTTTGTTGTTTTGTTTTCTCGTTTAATGGATCATAACACTAGTCTGACTGCTGTAGAAAATTTGGAAAATACAGGGGAAAAAAGTCACTAGAATCCTGCCAATCTGAGTAGTCCTGGGAATGTTCTGTGCACCTCCCGCCTGGTCTTTTGAGTACCCCCCAGACCTAGACCCAGGCAGGCCCAGGTGCCAGGTGCTGCCTGAGGCCCAAGGCACAGCTCCTGCTGTAGCTGCCGGCCCTGGGGCTGAGCCAGAGGAAGGGGTGGTGCCGGGTCCTGGGCTGTGCATTCGCTTGAGCTCGCATCAGTCCCACCTTGGAGGTGGCCCACAGAATCCCTGCCACCGACGGGCCCCATCTCAGCAGAACCCTCACTGGGGGGCTGGGCTCGTCGAGGCAGGGTGGATGTGGTGCTGAACAGAGTGAGGTCTGTGGACTAGAGGGACTTTGCTACATTTTTTAATCCATTTTTTTTTTTTTTTAAGACAGAGTCTCACTCTGTCACCCAGGCTGGAGTGCAGTGGCGTGATGTCGGCTCACTGCAAGCTCCACCTCCCCGGTTCAAGCAATTCTCCTGCCTCAGCCTCCTGAGTAGCTGGGATTACAGGCGCCCACCACCACGTCCGGCTAATTTTTGCATTTTCTGTAGAGACAGGGTTTCACCATGTTGGTCAGGCTGGTCTCAAACTCCTGACCTTGTGATCCGCCTGCCTCAGCCTCCCAAAGTGCTGGGATTACAGGTGTGAGCCACTGCGCTCGGCCTAAATCATTAATTTTGAACTGATTTTAGATGGGCAGAAAAGTTCAGAAACAGCAGAGATAGGTTTATGCACCTGCTGCACGCCCAGCCTCCCCTGAATGTGCCTTAGGAGCCGTGGAGGTGACGAGACCCTGCCGTGCGTCCACGCTGTGGCAGGCCCTCCCGTGCCCTGTCTCCTGGCTGGGAGCTTCTGGGCAGTGTCGGTCAGCAGTGTGGTCAGAGGCCCCAGGCCTGGCCTGCGATGATGCTTCTTAGGCAGGAGCCTATAGGCGTGAGGCGGGGCCTTCTGCTCCTGGTGTCATAGGTGACGTGACCTGGAGGCCTGGTCAGGCCCGTCCACCATGAGTTGAAGTCTCTCCCTCTGTGGTGTGTGTGTGTGTCTTGGAAGAGACGTGGAGACTGCGTGAGGCTGTTTCTCTCAGCCCATTGTCCATGCGCATCGCTGTCCACGGCTCTCGTCTGCAGCAGTCACTCCTGTGCGCTGGGCCTGTCTCCCTCTCCTGTGTCCGCTAACTGGAGCTGTGCTGTCAGGAGCCACCCCTTCCGCCTGCAGGTGCCCGGCATCGCCAGCGTTGGTCTCATGCCATGAGTCGCCCCAGCCTTGGCTGTCAGGAGCTCTTCCTGGTCTCCCTCTTGTGCGTCCACCTGCCCATCTGCCCCGTGCGCTCCTGTTGCTGACTGGCCCCTCGATGTTCCAGCTGGTCTTGGCCACCCGGCTCCGCCTTGCCATTACCGTGTGGGTCCACCTGTGGGGAGTGGTGGCCCTGGTACGACTGCTGTGGCCCCGAGCACACGGCCATGCTTTCTGGGTCTGCTTTGGAAACCTGACTCCCTGTGGGCCTGAGGTCTCTGCTGCACTGCGGGGCTCAGCCTGGCTCCCCGCTCCTGTGTGGGCCTTGTTTCTCCAAGAGTGTGAGGCCTCATCCTGATGGTCTCGGCTGTCTTTACTTCCTCATTCACTTCCAGCATGCATGTAGTTTCAGAATGGCCGACCCACCTCTGTGAGAACCCTTCTGCTGGTGGGAGTGCAGTGCCTGCGCTTCCGGCCCACAGTCCCCCAGCCCCCACGGGGACCTGGGCCAGTGCGTGCTTCCCTCCCCCGAGCCACTGCAAGACCACCGGCTCGGTTGTCAGCTTTCATATTCCACTGTGCACGTTACAGCCTGGTTGAAAGGCTGATTTGGGGTGCATGGGCCCTCCCTGTGAACACAGGAAGCTCAGCCTACCCCCAGCCCCCTCCTGCTGTCTCGCTGTATCTCCTCTGCACAGTTGGGTGCTCATGCCGGTGTTTCAGGCCCTCCTTGGCACACGATGGCCCACAGATACTGTCCCGCGCCTCTCCCTGCACTATCTCCTCACTGCGTGGTGCTGTACGGGGCACCGTGGAGGTGTCCGCTCTCCCGCGTCCAGCACATAGTGGTTTCTAGAAGCTTCCTGGTGTGTCTGTTGCTGGGACTGGAGGAGGCCTCCAGGGCAGGCTCCTAGGAGTGGGGAGGCTGAGTCGGGACCCCCGTGAACTCCAGACTATATCCTTCGTGCAGTTCCACAGCCCCAGCTGACCCCCCACACTCACCTTTTGCCTGTAGATCGCACCCCCTCCCTCCCTGGCGGAGCCCCTGAAGGAGCTGTTCAGGCAGCAGGAGGCCGTCCGGGGAAAGCTGCGTCTACAGCACAGCATCGAGCGGGTAAGTGGGCTGGCACAGGCAGGGGGGCGCCACGGCCAGGGCTTTTCACGGCGCAGGCCCCAGGGGCTGTCGTGTTGACAGTGGGGCCTGGAGCGTGGCTGTGTCCCAGCTCACTCTACTCCTCTCCTCCTTCAGGAGAAGCTGATCGTATCCTGTGAGCAGGAGATTCTGCGGGTTCACTGCCGGGCGGCCAGGACCATCGCCAACCAGGCAGTGCCATTCAGCGCCTGCACGATGCTGCTGGACTCCGAGGTCTACAACATGCCCCTGGAGAGCCAGGTAGGGCCCGTCTGCATGCCAGGCCCATGAGTCCAAGTGCCTGCACCCTGCCCGCCTCCCCTCCCCTTGATAGATTCTGCACTTTGACCAGGAGCTTCCCGGGTGCTCAGCACCTTGCAGGGGCTACAGAGTCCTTTGCATGCCTCTAGCCTTGGGCGAGCCTCAGAAAGGAGCCAAGAAGGCTGCAGCAGACAGCAGACAGCTCCCCGCACGGGCAAGGCCCTCAGGCCACTGGGCTGGGCCTCAGCAGCTCAGTCCCTCCGTAACACTTGTCCATGCAGTTGGAGCACCTGCCCCTACCTACCTCTCACGGGTGTCAGCGCTGGCATTATTTTCTGTTTAAACTGCTGGGCTCCACCTGCTGCTCTCAGGCACCCCAGGGCTGCCACATCGAGGGCTTTCACAGCACAGGCCCCAGGGGCTGTCATACGGGGACAGCAGGGACACTGGGTGGCTAAGGGAACACGGGCACCCAGGTGTGCCGCTCATCTGGGCCAGGGCGGGCCGGACTCAGGGTTCCAGAACTACAGTCACTGTCCTGCCCATCTGCTGTGGGGCTCCCGCCCACCCCTGCAGCTCCCGTGCCTTTGACCTGCTCTGTCCACTGGGACATAGGATGTGGGCGGCCAGGGCCCCGTGGCTCTCCCTGGGGCAGCTCTTCCTGTCTGCCTTCAAGCAGCCCATGTGCCAGGGACTCCTGCCTCAGAAATCATCCTCCAGCCACCACTGACCTGTCCATGTGGGACCCCTGGCTCTCCCGTTGCCTCGCCTGCATCAGCCCCTCCCTCCTCCTCGGAGCCCACTGCGCTCAGGTTGTGGGCTCCCTGGACCCCAGGCCCCACATCCTGTGCAGTGGGACGTGCCTGGAACACATTCCTGCCTTGGTGTCCAGATCTCGCACCGAGAGCCCTCGTAATATGTGCCCCCCTTGACGCCACCCCAGCCCTGGGCACTCTGAGCAGTGCACTAGGCTTTGCTGTGTGGTGACAGCCAGGGGCTCCCAGATGTTTAGTTGAAAACATCTCTTTGTGCATTAAAGATCTTCCTTTCTTTGGGGATGTATTTTATCAATGTCTCTCATATACACAATGACAAATTTTATTTTCCTTTTTTTTTTTGTGACGGAGTCTCGCTCTGTTGCCAGGCTGGAGTGTGGTGGTGTGATCTTGGCTCACTGCAACCTCTGGCTTCCGGGTTCAAGCGATTCTCCTGCCTCAGCCTCCCGAGTAGCTGGGATCACAGGCATGCGCTACCATGCCCGGCTGATTTTTGTATTTTTAGTGGAGACGGGGTGTCACCATGTCCAGGATGGTCTCGATCTCTTGACCTTATGATCCACCCGCCTCAGCCTCCCAAAGTGCGGGAGTTACAGGCGTGAGCCACCGCACCCAGCCGACAGATTTTCTTTAAAGAAAACATGAGTTGGACCAAATGGTGCTTTGGGGGCTGGATGCTGATAAGTTTGCATTCTTGTACCGCAGGTGAGAGGCTGTGATGGACAGGCAGTCAGGACAGCTCTGTACAGAGCAAAAATGAGGAGGACCAGCTCGTGCCTCTAACACCTTCCAAGGAAGCATTACTTCCCTCTTTATTTCTCCAATGGGTGTCCATCCCCTCAAGCATTTAGCCCTTGAGTTACAAACAATCCAGTTAACGCTCTTATATGTTATTTTAAAATACACAATGCAGTTACTATTGACTACAGTTACCCTATTGTGCTGTCAGATAGATAGTAGGTCTTATCCATTCTTTTTTTTTTTTTTTTTTTTGGTACCCATTAACCACTTCTACCTCCCTGCCAGCCCCCCACAACCCTTCCCAGCCTCTGGTAACCGTCGTTCTACTCTGTGTCCATGAGCTCAATTGTTCTGATTTTTAGATCCCACAAGTGAGAGAGAACATGTGATGTTTGTCTTTGTATGCTTATTTCACTTAACATCATGACCCCAGTTCCATCCACGTGTTTGCAAATGACAGGATCTCATTCTTTTTTGTGGCTGAATAGTACTCCGTTGTGTATGTAGCACATATTCTTTATCCATTCATCTGTTGATGGACACAAGCCTTAGCTATAGTAAATGGGGTTGCGTTAAATATGGGAGTGTGGACACCGTTTCAATATACTGATTCCTTTTCCTTTTTGTGATTCTGAGTCTTCCTCTGTCACCCAGGCTGGAGAGCAGTGGCACGATCTCAGCTCACTGCAGCCACTGCCTCCCGGGTAGCTGGGATCACAGGCGCGCACCACCACACCTGGCTAATTTTTGTATTTTTAGTAGAGATGGGGTTTCACCATGTTGGCAAGGCTAGTCTGAAACTCTTGACCTCAGGTGATCTGCCCGCCTCAGCCTCCCAAAGTGCTGGGATTACAGGCGTGAGCCACCGTGCCTGGCCCCCAGTTTCTTTCTTTTGGGTCTATACCCGGCAGTGGGATTGCTGGATCCTATGGTAGCTCAATTTTTAGTTTTTTGAGGAAACGCCAAACTGTTCTCCACGGCGGCTGTTTTAATTTACATTCCCACCAACGGGGTACGAGGGTTCCCTTTTCCCCACATCCTCGCGAGCAATTGTGATTGTCTGTCTTTTGGATAAAGGCTATTTTAACCGGGGTGAAGTGATGTCTCACGGTAGTTTTGAATTGCATTTCTCTGACGATCAATGATGTTGAGCTCCTCTTCAGATGCCTGTTGGCCATTTGTGTGTCTCCTTTGAGAAACGTCTATTCAGATCTTTTGCCCGTTTTTTTGATGGGATTATTAGATTTTTTCATATCGAGTTAATTGCATGCCTTCTATGTTCTGCTTGAGAATCTGTGTGACAGGAGCGGTTTGCAGGCGTTTCCTCCCATTCTGTGCGTGTCTTTTCACCCTGTTGACTGTGTCCTTTGCTGGACAGAAGCTTTTGAACTTGATGTGATCCCATTTGTCCATTTTTGCTTTGGTTGCCTGTGCTTCGGGGTATTGCTTGAGAAATGTTTGCCCAGGCCAATGTCCTGGAGATTTTCCCCAGTGTTTTCTTGTAGTGGTTTCATCGTTTAAGGTCTTGGATTCCAGACTTTGATCCATTTTGGTTTGATGTTTGTATGTGGCGAGAGCTAGGGTCTCGTTTCACTCTTCTGCGATGCGTAGCCAGTTTTCCCAGCACCGTTTACGGAAGAGACTGTCCTTTCCCTGTGATCGTTATTCTGTTCTTGGCACCTTTGTGGAAAGTGAGTTCCCTGCAGGTGTGTGGGTTTCTGTCGGTGCTCCACATGTTCTGAGAAACAGACGGCATTGTCAGCTTCACCATGAACCCGTGAAAAAGGGGAGGAGCCTGGACATCTTATCCGTGTCCACCCTTCAGGACACAGGACGGTGACATATCTAGAAAGTCTCGCCCAGGAGAAACCCCGTCTCTACTAAAAATACAAAATTAGCTGGGCGTGGTGGCTGCCTGTAATCCCAGCTACTCAGGAAGGCTGAAGCAGGAGAATCGCTTGAACCCTGGAGGTGGAGGCTGCGGTGAGCCAGGATCGCGCCATTGCACTCCAGCCTGGGCAACAAGCGAAACTCTGTCTCTTAAAAAAAAAAAAAAAAGTCTCTCCCAGGAGTTGGCAGTGGGCTGAGCTCTGACTGTCCCCTGGGGGCAGGGCTGGGGACCGGCTCACAGGTGGGGCCTGCGGGCACCCGGTGCCCAGGAGACAAAGGCCCAGCTGCCTCCACGCGCATTTTAGGGAGGCTGTTTAGGGAGATGGGCAGGGTGCGCCTGCCATGCCTTGAACATGATTCAGTGTGTGCGCGGTGGAATGAGGCTCCCCCTGTGGTTGTCCCTTGAGAACGGTCACTGCAGCATCGCCCAGGCTGGCATGCCTTCCCGTAGCGGTCTCTGGGGCTCCTGATGAAACTCCCGTGTTTGGTTTCCACAGGGTGACGAGAACAAGTCAGTGCGCGACCGTTTCAACGCCCGCCAGTTCATCTCCTGGCTCCAGGACGTGGATGACAAGTATGACCGCATGAAGGTCGGTGTTGCGCGTCCCCTCAGTTCTGCCTGGGGGAGGCTGCTGCCCAGTTCTGTGATGGGTGGTGACAACCCCCTTTGCGCTGCCTGGGGGGAGGCCGCTGCCCAGTTCTGTGATGGGCGGTGACAATTTCAGATTCTCTTAATCTGGCCGATGCTTTCGGGGAGGTGAGGTCCTGTCCCTGCGTGTGGCCTCCTCAGTCTTCCCTTCTGTCCCGGTGTGCAGGGAGCGGCTCCTGTCGCCAGCTCAACAGGACCCTAGGCTTGATGGTCAGAACTCCTGGGACTGCCCTGTGAGCCCCCTCTAAGGTCCCAGCATTCACCCTCCACTGCTCTGGAAGTGCTGGCCAGGGCGGTGGGCAGGGGCGGGGGAGGTGCCGGGAAGGGCAGCACACCCTTATCCCGGTCGCGAGGGCTGCTCACCGGGACACCCTGGAGGATCCACCAGGAGGCAACGGAAGGCGGAAACTTGCCAAAAGTTACAGAACTTTACAGTCAGCGTCACCCTGTACAGTCACCAGCCAGGCCTGGGAGCAGGCGGCCCCGGCTACCTGCAGTATCAGGCTCAGCACCACCCAGGTCCCTGAACCAAGCACCCGTGTGTCATACTGCAGCTCTCAGAAAGGTGCTGATGTGGGCACAGATGAGAACCACCAGCCCTACCCGGTGGGAGCTGTGGGTATTTGGGGAGCGTGGCCCCTGGGGGCTTGTGCTGAGGAACTCAGGTCTGAGGCGTAGCTGAGTGTGCATTTCTGGCCAGCCCTAAGATGATGGTGCAGGAAGTCACTCACACCACACCCTCCCCAGGCCACTAGGCCCTTCCTAACCAGAGCCGTGAGAAAAAACTGAAAGCTTCATAAAGACACATGGAAGACTTTCCTGTAAGAAGATAAATGTTTGACTACATTAAAATGGGACTTTGGGCGGGGTGCGGTTGCTCACACCTGTAATCCCAGCACTTCGGGAGGCTGAGGTGGGTGGTTCACCTGAGGTCAGGAGTTCGAGACCAGCCTGGCCAACATGGTGAAACCTCGTCTCTAGTAAAAATACAAAAATTAGCTGGGCATGGTGGTGCGTGCCTGTAATTCCGGGAGACTGAGGCATGAGAATCATTTGAACCCGGGAGACAGAGGTTGCAGTAAGCCAAGATTGCACCACTGCACTCCAGCCTGGGGACAAAATTTAAAAAAAAACCTTAGGGATATGTATAAAAATATTCACTGGAACAAAACTGGAAACTCACTCAGAGGCCCATCAGTAATTCAGTGACTCACCGGAGTTTGGAACATCCAAAGGGTATTATATGATTCCATGTAACAATTTACACTGGTGATGTCTGAGCTGCCGAGTAAAAGCTATGAGGCCCATTGAGGAGGATTGTGAATCCATCCTGAGCTTCGAAAACGATTTCATACATATATATATGTTGAGAAAAATTTAGAGACAGACATGATCACACTGCAGCTCGCCAACATCGCAAAACCCCATCTCTACAAAAATCAGCTAGGCGTGGTAGCACTTGTAGTCCCAGCTACTCGGGAGGTTGAGGAGGGAGGATCCCTTGAGCCCCAGAGGTCAAGGCTGCAGTGAGTCATGATTGCACCACTGCACTCCAGCCTTGAGACGGTATCTAAAAAAGATTCTCTACACGGTTGCTTGTGACATACCAGTACTCCCTGGCCACGCTTCCATTTCTCCATTAGTTTCCAAAATATGTGCTACCCCAGTCCAGTCCCCTTATGTGCACTTTTAAATGGCATAGTTTCTACTAGAAATACAAGTGAAACTATCACTGGCCGTAAGTAATTGTAAAATGACAAAAGCAAAGCTGTTCGATTCTAATAAGCTGCAGTGGCTGCTGGAGGTGAGTCCCAGGCCCACCCAGAGCAGGGCAGGGCCCCCGGGCCAGGGTGAGCCCCAGGCCAGGGTAGAGGTGGCATAGACAGCGGTTATGGGGACAGACATGTAGCACAGCTGGCGCTACCGCCACGTGTAGTAACTAGATGCCAGGAGCGGGTACAGCTGGGCCTGGCCCATACCAGGGTAGGTTCACGGCCGTATCACGCCCTTGGCCCTGCTGGCAGCTGAGGTCGGCAGAGTCTGGGGCTCTCCCTTCACTCCTCCTCCCTCCTCTCCCCGCTGTGTGTCCCGCAGACTTGCCTCCTCATGCGGCAGCAGCACGAGGCCGCGGCCCTGAACGCCGTGCAGAGGATGGAGTGGCAGCTGAAGGTGCAGGAACTGGACCCCGCCGGGCACAAGTCCCTGTGCGTGAACGAGGTGCCCTCCTTCTACGTGCCCATGGTCGACGTCAACGACGACTTTGTATTGTTGCCGGCATGACACCGCGGGACGGCCGCAGGACGCAGGCGAGGGCCGCACGGCTGCCCAGGACTGCTGCTGAGCCCCAGGGGCGGAGGAGGGAGCGCCCTGTCCACCCGGGCGGGGAGAGACCCCGAGAGAGACTGCACTTGGCCACAGCGCCTCCATCCCTTCCAGACTGGTCCAGACGTCGGGGAGGTGAAACACGTCTCTTCTCTACCAGCTGCCGCGGCGGGGGCAAAGCCCCCAGAGCCTCACTGGCCCCGGCGGGATGAGGAGACCATGCCGGGCGCGCACACACGGCAGCTTCTGTTTGAAAACGGCGACCTTCGGGCCCTTTTCTCCAGCAACTGCAGAGGCATTTCAGGAGTTGGAGAACGGAGTACATTTTTAAAATTTTTTGTTCCATTCTGATCAACTAAAGAAAATTAAGGTGTCCACCTCTCACAAACAGTGACCTGCAGGTCGGAGGGGCAGGAGCCCCATCCCAGCCGTGGTTCTGTTGCCGCCGAGCTGCGACGGCCTCAGACTGGGCTTCAGACCTGGTGCGGAGCCAGGCGGAGGGACACAGAGCCAGGACTCCCAGCCGTATTGAAATGGAGTCAAATCCGCGTGGTTTGTATCTTCTTTCCTTTAATCTTGGGCATTTTGTTTCTCTTTCTGAGAACGTAACTTGAAACACTACAGAGCCAATAATCATATAAAAAGTGTATCCGTAAACGCTGTACAGTTTTATATACCTTCACAATGTACTTTTGCTGCCTTCTAGATAATTTATTTTGCAACACATTACTGCACAGTTGTAAATAACTTATGTACTGTAACATCACTTTCAGTTATGTGTAAAGAAATAAATAAATTAATTAAAATGCTCTTTGTACAGTGCGTCCCTCCAGGAGAGGGGCTGTGTGTGGGACTGACACAGTGTCGCCCCTCTCGACGACCTTCTTACTCCCAGGACAGACGTGGTGGCTCACGCCTGTAATCCCAGCACTGTGGGAGGCCGAGGCGGGAGTCTGAGACCAGCCTGCCCAACATGGCAAAATCCCCTCTCTACTAAAAATACCAAAAATTAGCTGGGTGTGGTGGCGCGCGCCTGTAGTCCCAGCTACTCCGGAGGCTGAGGCAGGAGAATCGTTTGAACCCAGGAGGTGGAGGCTGCTGTGAGCTGAGATCACGCCACCCTACTCCACAGCAGACTCTGTCTGAAAAAAAAGAAAACCTTTTTCCTACCAAGTTGTTAGCTTTTAATTTTGAAACAAATTATCTGTTCCCCTCGTCCTCTGCCTTTGCACAGACCGGGAATGCTGTGGAATTACTGCCTCTTGTAGGAGCTGGAGAGAAACAGGAGCATCACTCCCCACGGATCTGAGCACTGCAGCCGTGGCCAGACCCCGTGGCCAGCTGTGCACGCCCCTGAGCTTCAGCTTGTGGCTGGCTGGCTTGTGCCCCTGCCCACAGTTCCCTGGCAGCTGCAGCTGGTGAGGGTCCGCGCTTTGAGAGCCCTGTCCTGGCTGGAAGGCAGCTCAGGCAAGCATGGAGATGCGAGGCCTCTGCTCAGAGGATCTTGGCACAGAGGATGCCTGCCAGGACCCTCCAGCCAGTGTGGCTCCAGGAGACTGTTGGCCCCCGGCGTGACAGGAGGGTGAGCTGATGGAGGCGCCTCACCCTTTTCCTTCTGAGCTGTCTGTCCCCTGTACCTGGGTGCTGGGGAGGGAGTGGCAGCTACAGAAACAACCCCCACAGAAGAGCAGACACTGCCCGTGCATCAGAATCAACAGGGTCCTGGTCACTGGGTCCCCTGCGGAGGAGCCCGACCTGGGAGGGTCCCTGAGCCCTGCCAGGCTGAGCCAGTGGCGGGGGCAGTGGCTTCATTCCCCCAAAGGCTGCTGTGAGCTCCCTCGCCAGCTGGGCCCCTGCGTGGGGTTGGGGGTAGGCGTGGGGCCATGCCCCCTCTCCTGTCTTCGATCTGTGAACAGAACTTTTGTGGATTCCCTCCTGTTCCCTTCAGGGCTGAGCCTGAGCAAAGGCAGGGTTGTCCACCTCATTTACGGGCTTGGGGTGGGGGTGTGGAGAAGCCAGAAGGTTCCAGTCTATTTTTCTGGGTTCGGATTAGCTGTGGTTTGTTTTGGGGGCTTCGTGGGTTTTTGGGGGTTTTTTGCTTGCTTTTGAGATGGAGTCTTGCTCTGACCCCCAGGCTGGATGGAGCACAGTGGCGCAATCTCAGCTCACTGCAGCCTCCACCTCCTGGGTTCAATTCTCCTGCCTCAGCCTCCCGAGTAGCTGGGACTACAGGCGCCTGCCACCACACCCGGCTAGTTTTTGTATTTTTAGTAGAGACGGGGTTTCACCATCTTGGCCAGGCTTTTTGTTTTCTCCACACCCCCTCAATCACAGAACTTTGGTCACAGTAAAACTTCCTTTAAGCCCTGCCTTAAAAGAAAAACCTGAGTCAGCCTGTGTCACACAGAGCACGCTGCAGTTCCAGCCCACAGTGGTGACGACGTCCCGGCCACCATGCTGTGCCTCCCTGTCTCGGGTGCCCACGAGGGGTGTCAGGCGAGAGCAGCTCCCTTCCGGCCCCCACCCTGGTCTGCTGGAGTCTCGGCTCCCGTGCACCTGCCAGAGATGCCGCACATGCGACTCCCAAACAGCCTCCTGCCATAGGGGACGAGAGACAGCCTGCCGCCCCTCAGAGAGACTTGTGAATAAACACTGAGAAACGTCAGAGTACCCAGAACCGCAGGAGCCTGCGTGCCAGCCTGGAGACCCTGCTGCCCGGGGCCACCCATGTGGGCTTCAGACCGCTCTCGGGAGTCTCTGGCTGGAGCTGGAGGAAGATGGCGTAACCCCACTCGCTCAACTACATCCATGGACCCCAGCGCTACCCAGCTCCTGCCTGGGAGCCCGGGCTCTGGAGCAGGCTGGCTCTGAGGGTCCACCACCTGTAACTCAAGCCTTCCTGATGCCTTCCCTTCCGGAGGCTCTGAGGACTGCCATTAGCAAAAAAAAAAACAAAAAACAAACAAACCCAAAGCACAGAGCAGGTGAGTGCTCGGACCCTAGGCACTTCAGGGAAGCCAGCACCCCTCCCTGGCACAGGGTCCCCCTCTCAGGGAAGCTGGCGCCCCTCCCCGACACAGGGTTCCCCCTCAGGGAAGCCGGTGCCCCTCCCCAGCCGAGGGTCCCCCTCTTAGGGAAGCTGGCACCCCTTTCTGGCACAGGGTCCCCCTCTCAGGGAAGCTGACACCTTGCCAAGGCGTAAGGCCCCAGGCTTCAACAGAAAAAGGAAAGAAATATGGCGGCTTTTGCTGCTGTAGAAGAGAAGCTGGTGGCTTTTGTAAAACCTGGAAGGAGGTGAGAGGTTTTTGTGGAAAGCCCGTGAGCCGTCAGCTCCCCGCACAGAGAGCGCCTGCTCTGCCCAGGAGACCGTGCAGCATCTGGCAAGACAGGTCTCCATTCAGGGGTCGCCATTTCCAAGCGGCAGCTGGGCCTGGGCCTGAGCCTGGCAGGAGGGGAAGGGCCCCAGCACGTGGAGCCGCACACAACCTCCACCCACCTCCCCCCACACCAGGGAGCTGCTTTCCTCCTTCCCGCTGGGGGACAGCGAAGACAGTCTCACAGGAGAGTAGAAGGAACTGGGCCCAGCTTGGCTCTGTTGGAAAGCAGAATGAAATACTGAAGCTAGAGAGAGGGACCCACAGGCAGTGAGAAGGCAGCCGTGGCATCAGCAAGAGCTCAGCTGTGGCATCAGCAAGAGCTCAGGGACGAGGTGCAAGTTGTACACCACAGCTGGGGGAGTGCAGTGGTATAAACCCCAAAAGCCCCATTACTGGGCACAGAACGTCACTCACATCTGAAATTACCTGTGATAAACTGGAAACATGGCTCACACCTGTGGTCCCAGCTGCTTGGGAGGCTGCAGCAGGAGGATCACTTGAGTCCAGGAGCTCACGGCGGTAGTGCACCGTGAGTGAGCCTGCGAACAGCCATTGCCTTCCCACCTGGGCAGCTCAGCAAGATCCTGTCTCTAAAACCAAAAATCAGGCTGGGTGTAGTATTTCACACCTATAATCACAACAGGAAGCCAAGGCAGGAGGATGCTTGAGCCCAGGAGTTCATGTCCAGCCTGGACAACATAATGAGACCCTGTCTCAACAACAACAACAAAGAACAGGCATGGTGGAGCGCGTCTGCGGTCCCAGGTACTCGGGAGGCTGAGGCGGGAGGATCGCCTGAGCCCAGGAGGCTGAGGCTGCGGTGAGCTGTGATGGTTGCTCCAGCCTGGGGGACAGAGCAAGACTCTGTCTTCAAAAAAAAAAAAAAAAAAAAGATACCAGCCGGGTGTGGTGGCTCACGCCTGTAATCCCAGCACTTTGGGAGGCTGAGGCAGGTGGATCACGAGGTCAGGAGTTCAAGACCAGCCTGGCCAACATGGAGAAACCCTGTCTGTACTAAAAATATAAAATTAGCTGGGTGTGGTGGCACAAGTCTGTAATGCCAGCTACTCAGGAGGCTGAGGCAGGAGAATCGCTTGAACCCGGGAGGCGGGGAGGGAGGTTGCAGTGAGCCGAGTTCGTGCCACTGGACTCCAGGCTGGGCCAGAAGAGCGAAACTCCGTCTCCAAAAAGAAAGAAAAAGGAAAGATACCAAGTTAAAATCGCAGCAGCCAGAGCCATTTACCCTGCAGTCAAGACCCCCACAATTAAGAAAAGGGGAAATAAATGACAATTCAAAGCAGCTACATAGAGACTGATTATGTCCCAGGTCAGAACCTCTGAGGGGGTGAGCTGATATGACAGAAAGGACGCAGGACTTCCAGGGTAGCAAGTCCCTCTGAAAATCCCTCCTCGAGAAAAGCAATGACACCACTAGGGAAAAAATTGTCAAAATTAACTTTTTCAGAACTCTGGAAATTATTAACTAAGGCTTGTAATAATTTAATGAATGTTTATTAAAGAAAAACAGCCGAGGCTTGGCATGGTGGCTCATGCCTGTAATCCCAGCACTTTGGGAGGCCGAGGTGGGTGGATCACCTGAGGTCAGGAGTTCAAGACCAGCCTGGCCAACATGGTAAAACCTCGTCTCTACTACAAATACAAACAGTAGCTGGGCATGATGGCACATGCCTGTAATCCCAACTACTTGGGAGGTTGAGGCAGGAGAATTGCTTGAACCTGGGAGGCGGAGGTTGCAGTGAGCCAAGATTGCACCAGTACACTCCAGCCTGGCTGACAGAGCAAGACTCCGTCTCCAAAAAGAAAAAGTAAAAAGAAAAACAGCTGAATATTGGTACAGAGAGCTTTGTCATTTTAACTTGCCGTGTTTCATTCTCCTTACTCCAACTCTCTGGTGCTTTGAAAACTAGCAGCCCAGAGAGGCAGGCTCAGTATGAGCCCCCAAAAGTCCCACCCCAGAGAGAGCTGTTGCCATCTTGATGGGGACAGGAGGTAGAGAAATTCTAGGCAGACAGGGGCAGGTTCCTGGTGAAGCCCCACCCTCAAGCTGAAATGCCTGAGACCATGGCCCACCTTGAGAACTGCCATCCCTGCTTTCCTGCCCTCATGTTGCCTGTTCCTAAACCACCATGGTCCCACCCTGCCCCCCGCCATCCTGTGTCTATAAAGGCCCCAGACTCAGCCAGCAGAGAGGAGAAGCAGCTGGATGTTAAGGGACAGCTTGACGGTGTCACTTCAGAGAAGAATCCATCTGCAGACACAGATGTGGCCAGACTTCAGGGGAAGATTACCTTCCCGCCCCATCCCCTTTCCAGCTCCCCTTCCTGCTGACAGCCACTTTCATCAGCAATAAAATCCCCCACATTTACCATCCTTCAATTCGTTTGCGTAACCTCATTTTTCCTGGATGCCAGACGAGCTCTAGAGCCACAGGTGGATACAAAAGGCGGTCACACCGGCCCTTTGCCTCTCACCGGCAGCCTCACGCGAAAAGGCAGAGGGTCCACTGAGCTGTTAACACTTCAGCTGTCTGTGGACGGCAGAGCTAAAGGAGCCCCGTAACACGCCCTCTGGGGCTTTGGGGGGCACAGGTACCCCGGCCCTGGATGCTGCACGGGGCCTGCACAGAGTTCACTGCTGCCGGCACCCAAAAGCACCTGCTCCAGCTCCTGCACCTGCTCACCCTCCTGCAAGGGGTGGAGCACAGAGGGTCCAAGTGAGTGGAGTTTGAACCCACCGGTGCCTAAACAGCCGGCCAGTTCCAGCGATCCTGCACTCCAGTCCTGCCTCATTGGCCCACACACTCCCTCCGCGAGGGGTTGAGGGCGGCAGGCTGAGTAAACCAGGCACCCCATTACGACTCCGGTGAAACAGCCTGCTTCAATCTCACCTCTGGCAGCTCCCTGGAAAGCATTCATAGGCCTGTGATATCTGGCCTGCCCTGCAGTTCGCTCAGTGAGAAAAGCCCCCTTTCCACAGCATTGGTCAGAAACAATCAGTGGCACCGTTTAACCACACAGCTGTCCAAGGCACTACCCACTGGGGCAGCCGGCACCTGCCCAGAAAGGACGAGGTGAGGAACGAGGCGCCTGTGGGGACCCGGGCAGCACTGACATTTTCCTGGGGACACGGAAAGCCCTGGGCACGTGTGGGTCTGTACGCACGGCCAGGAAGGGACAGAACATTCTCTGATCTCCCCTTGGCTGATTGAGGCCTTGTGCAAACAGAAAGCGAAAGCTACAGCAGAGCTGGAAACTGCTGGAAAAGCCTCCCAGCCAGGGAAAAAAGACTCACTGAATCGAGGCATTTAAGGAAACTGTACAGTACAGAGCGTTCACTGGTCACACAGCAAAGGGAGTAGAGAATTAGTCCAGAAAAGTCACTAAACACACAGAAGCAGCAACCAAACCACAAAGTAACAAAACCTGGGGGATAAGAACAACTGGTCTCATCATGTTGCTTTAAATGTCTACTTTTCAGCAAAAAAAAGCAGAGAAACAAAATATCACCCATAAATGGGGGGAAAAGCCATCAATAGATACCATCCTTGGGGAAGCCCAGATGCTGAACTTACTAAAGACTTTTTTTCTTTTTTTGAGATGGAGTCTCACTCTGTTACCCAGGCTGGAGTGCAATGGTGCAGTCTCAGCTCACTGCAACCTCCACTCCCCAGGTTCAAGCGATTCTCCTGCCTCAGCCGCCTGAGTAGCTGGACTACAGGCGCGTGCCACCACGCCCGGCTAATTTTGTATTTTTAGTAGAGACAGGGTTTCACTACATTGGCCAGGATGGTCTAGAATTCCTGACCTCGTAATCCGCCCGCCTCAGCCTCCCAAAGTGCTGGAATTACAGGCATGAGCCACCGCACCCGGCCGACTTTTCTTTTTTTTGAGAGAGAGTGTCGCTCTGTTGCCCAGGCTGGAGTGCAATGGCACAATCTCGGCTCACTGCAACCTCCACCTCCCAGATTCAGGCGATTCTCCTGCCTCAGCCTACAGACACACACCACCACCATGCCCAGCTAATTTTTGTATTTTTAGTAGAGACAGGGTTTCACTATGTTGGCCAGACTGGTCTTGAACTCCTGACCTCGTGATCCACCCACCTCAGCCTCCCAAAGTGCTGGGATTACAGGTGTGAACCACTGTGCCTGGCCTTTTTTGCTTTTTTTTTTTTTTTTTTGAGACGGAGTCTCACTCTGCCGCCCAGGCTGGAGTGCAGTGGCGCTATCTCAGCTCACTGCAACCTCTGCCTCCCAGGTTCGAGCAATTGTTCTGCCTCAGCCTCCCGAGTAGCTGGGATTACAAGTGCCCACCATCAGGCCTGACTAATTTTGTTTGTGTTTTTAGTAGAGATGGGGTTTCACCATGTTGGCCAGGCTGGTCTCAAACTCTTGACCTCAGGTGATCCACCGGCCTCAGCCTCCCAGAGTGCTGGGATTACAGGCATGAGCCACCGTGCCTGGCCCTTTTTTTCCTTTTAATAAGGTCTTGCTCTGTCACCCAGGCTGGAGTGCAGTGGCATGAACACAGCTCATTGTGGCCACGACCTCCTGGTCTCAAGCAGTCCTCCCAACCTCAATCTCCTGAGTAGCTGGGATGACAGGCACGCATCACCACACCTGGCTTTTTTTTTTTTTTTGAGACGGAATCTCTCTCTGTGGCCCAGGCTGGAGTGCAGTGGCGCAATCTCGGCTCACTGCAAGCTCCGCCTCCCGGGTTCACGCCATTCTCCTGCCTCAGCCTCCCAAGGAGCTGGGACTATAGGTGCCCGCCACCATGCCCAGCTAATTTCTTTTTTTAGTAGAGACAGGGTTTCACCGTGTTAGCCCAGATGGTCTCGATCTCCTGACCTCCGTGATCCGCCCGCCTCGGCCTGCCACTGTTGGGATTACAGGCGTGAGCCACCGTGCCCAGCCAACTTTTTTATTTTTTGTAGAGATGAGGCCTCACTATGTTGCCCAGGCTGGTCTTGAACTCCTGGGCTCAAGTGATCCGCCCACCTGCGCCTCCCAAAGAGCTGGGATTACAGGCGTGATCCACCACTCAGCTTAAATAAAGACAAAGTCAGCTGTTACGAATAATGTTCAAAGCACTAAAAGAAATTATGTTTAAAGAACTAAAATGGTAGTATGAAAATTGTCATTGTCTCACCAAATAGAAAATACAATACAGAGATAAATTATTCAAAAAGAATTAAATGGAAATTCTGTAGTTGTAAAGTAATTGAATTTGAGTTGGTAGAAGCAAGTATCAGCAAACTTGAAGATAGGTCAATTGACATAATGAAATGTGGCCAGGCGCCGTGGCTCATGCCTGTAACCCCAACGTTGTGCTAGGCTGAGGCGGGCAGATCGCTTGAGCCCAGGGATTTGAGACCAGCCTGGGCAACAGGGCAAAACCCCATCTCTACAAAAACAATTAGCCAGGTGTGGTGGCATGCACCTATAGTCTCAGCCATTTGCAAGGCTAAAGCGGGAGGTTCATTTGAGACCAGGAGTTCGAGGCTGCAGTGAGCTGTGACTGCACCACTGCTCCAGTCTGGGCGACAGAGTGAGACCACCCTGTCTCAATTAAAAAAAAAAAACTATTGATGGGTTTTTAATGTATGAGGGTATAATTTACATATACTTTGCAGCACACAGGAGGAGAAGACAGTGTTGGAGCTCATGGTTTGTATCCTGTTGAAATTTACCTACTATCTGGCCGGGTGCGGTGGCTCACACCTGTAATCCCAGCACTTTGGGAGGCTGAGGCAGGTGGATCACAAGGTCAGGAGTTCAAGACCAGCCTGGCCAACATGGTAAAACCCCATCTCTACTGAAAATACAAAAATTAGCTGGTTGCGGTAGCGGGCGCCTGTAGTCCCAGCTACTTGGGAAGCTGCGGCAGGAGAATCACTTGAACCCGGGAGACGGAGGTTGCAGGGAGCCGAGAATGCGCCACTGCACTCCGGCCTGGGCAACACAGCCAGACTCCGTCTCAAAAAAAAAAAAAAAAAAATTCACCTACTATCAATTGAAACTAGATTTTAGTTCATTATAATCCCAACAGCAATCCTTTTTTTTTTTTTTTTAACTCAGAAATGTCGTAAAAGAAACAAGGGAATGTAAATGGAATACTAGAAAATATTTGTTTAACACGAGAAGGCAGTAAGTAAGAAGAGGCGAGAAAGAAGTGATACAACAGCCGGGCGCGGTGGCTCACGCCTGTAATCCCGGCACTTTGGGAGGCCGAGGTGGGCGGATCACAAGGTCAGGAGATCAAGACCATCCTGGCTAACACGGCGAAACCCCGTCTCTACTAAAAATACAAAAAATTAGCCGGGCGTGGTGGCGGGCGCCTGTAGTCCCAGCTACTCGGGAGGCTGAGGCAGGAGAATGGCGTGAACCCGGGAGGCGGAGCTTGCAGTGAGCCGAGATCCCGCCACTGCACTCCAGCCTGGGCGACAGAGCGAGACTCCATCTCAAAAAAAAAAAAAAAAAAAATAGACAGCAAAATAGCAGAACTCCTTAACAGCAATTAACCGCAAATGGATTACACCTTCCAATTAAAAGGCAGAGATCGGCAGAATGGATTATAAAAGGATAACCATTCCGGAAAACCCAGACTCAATAAAAAAATAAAAATAAAGAGGATAACTGGACAGTTCAACAATAATGGCTGGAGACTTCAGTGCCTTCACTTTCCATCGTGGATCTAACAACAGGAAGAAAACACACCGGGAAACAGAAGACCTGAATAGCACTAACTGCTCCTGAGATGCCTCCAGACCACTCCACCTGGTGACAGAAAAACAGACTTTCCTCCCAGTGCACAGGATTCTTCTCCAAAAAGACTCTATGTTAGGCCACAGATCACACGTTGGAGAATTAAAACGGACGGCAATAATACAAAGCGTGCTCTCCAACCACAGCAGAATGAAGTTAGGAATCAGTAACAGGAGAGAATTTGGAAAAATCAAAAACATGAAAATTAAGTACCACACTCTTAAATAACCAATCAGTCAAGAAAGAGATCACGAGGGAGGCGGGCACGTTGGCTCACGCCTGTGATCCCAGCAGTCTGGGGGGCCGAGGCAGGAGGATCACTTGAGTCCAGGAGTTCGAGACCAGCCTGGGCAACACAGCAAGACCCAGTCTCTACAGAAAATACAAAAAATAGCCGGGGCGTGGTGGTGATACGAGAGGGGGGCAGGGAAGTGCTGGGTAGAGAAAGGAGGGTCCCCGGCCTCGGTGAGGACAGGCTCTCCTGCTCTCCTGCCCAAATGTTGCATTTTCCAAGACCACCCTGGCCCGCCATGCCCCCATCCTGGTACTATAAAAACCCAAGACCCTAGCAGGCCGACAAGGCAGCCGGACGTGGAGAGGAGCAGATCAGTGGAAGAAGACGCCAGCGGCTGCTCGGCAGGAAGACGGCGAGGGAGCAGCAGCCACCGGCGGCGGGACCAGGCGGGGTTTGGCCGGTTGGAGGAGAGCCGGGGCCGCCGAGCAGCCCGCGTCCAGGGCAGAACCGTCTCCCTTCCGGCTCCCCCAGCGGCTGAGAGCTCCTTCCAGGCAATACGACCCTGGGCGCATTCTCCAGGCCACGCGTGATCAGATTCTGCCGGTACACCGAAGCAGGAACCCGGGATACGGAAAGCGTCGGTCCTTGCGGCGAGGCGGGGGTCCCAGCACAAACCACCCCCAGACGGCAAACCAGCCGTGCAGCCTGGAACCCACGCCCACCGGGGCCTCAGGCGCCGCGAGACGCTGCCGCGGGGTCGGAGCCCCGCAGCCCGCCCGTCCCCGGAGGCGGCCACCCCCCACCACACCCCCGCGAGGCGCGCGAGGGGCTCTGCGGCTTCTGCGCTCACGCCCGTCGTCCCAGCTGCTCCGTGAGCCCGAGCGCGGGCGAGGCCTGAGTCACACTGAGTCACTGCGCCCCAGCGCGGGCGACGAGAGCCCGTCCCAACAGCAACGACGAGAGGGCGAGGAAGGGGAGGGCGGTGAGGGCACCCGGGACCTCGTGGTGTATTTTGACGACGGAATGCGCTTTCGGAGGCGACAGTGGTGACGACGCAGATGAGGTGACGTGCGCTGGAAGCGCCCCGAGCGCCACCCTGGGCCCGCACACGACTCGGTTTTGCACAGAGCGCGCCTGCCCTGCTGTCTGGCTTGGCGGACAACGAACCATTTGGTCAGGGCCCAGGCGACCTGTGTGGTCCCGGGGAGGGGCATGGAGATGGTGACAGGGTATCTTCTCCACGCCTCCCTCCCTTCCCCCACTGCCACCTCCGGTTTCCTGGGCATGGGGCGAAGGGCGACATCCGAGTCACTGAAGCAGGAAGCAGAGTTGGAAGAGGAGCCGGGATGGAGAGGCTGGCGTGAGCACAGTGACCAGGACTGATGCCAGGTTTTCTTTTGTTGTTTTGTTTAATTAGTTCGTTTTGTTTTGTTTTGAGACGGAGTCTCGCTCTGTCGCCCGGGCTGGAGTGGCGCCATCTCGGCTCACTGCAAGCCCCGTCTCCCGGGTTCACACCATGCTCCTGCCTCAGCCTCCCGAGTGTCTGGGACTACAGGTGCCCACCACCACGCCTGGCTCATTTTTGTATTTTTAGTAGAGACGGGGTTTCACCATGTTAGCCAGGATGGTCTCGATCTCCTGACCTTGTGATCCGCCTGCCTCAGCCTCCCAAAGTGCTGGGATTACAGGCGAGAGCCATGGCGCCCGGCCCTAGTTAGTTTGTTTTTTGAGATGGAGTCTTGCTCTGTCGCCCAGGCTGGAGTGCAGTGGTGCAATCTCGGCTCACTACAAGCTCCACCTCCCGGGTTCACGTGACTCTCCAGCCTCAGCCTCCCGAGTGTCTGGGATTACAGGCGCCCACCACCATGCCTGGCTCATTTTTGTATTTTTAGTAGAGACACGGTTTCACCACGTTGCCAGGATGGTCTTGAACTCCTGACCTCAGGTGATCCGCCCGCCTCAGCCTCCCAAAGTGCTGGGATAATAGGCGTGAGCCACCCCGCCTGGACTTGTTTTATTTTTTAAATTTTATTTCTCTTGTCCCGCCAGTTTCATATTTTCAAATAAAGTGTTATTATGTCAGAAAAAAAAAAAAAAAGACTAGACCCTCAGGTAGCTGCAGAACAACAAAAGGCCTGACATTCCCGTCTTTGGAATTTCAGGAGAGGAGAAAGATGATGGTGTTAAGGAAACGTGTGGACCCCAGGTCTCCAGCAGGTAGGAAGTTTGGAACTGGCCATATTCTATCCCAACAAGTAAAAGGCTAAACAGGCTGGAAAATATCGACGGTCCTTCTTAGGTCTGTGAGAGAGGAAAGGCCACAGGGCAAACCGCTGCCCCAGATCAGGAGACAGACTCAGCAGACTGGGGCTGACACCTCCACAGGATCCAGGGCTGGAAAACCTGAACCAGATGACGAAGTGCTGGGGCTGGGTGTGTGTGACCTGGTGCGATGCCTGCGTTGCTGAACTTCTACCCTTTGCCAACTGTGTTTAAGAAACAGGACACCCGGCTGGGCGCGGTGGCTCATGCCCATAATCCCAGCACTTTGGGAGGCCGAAGCGGGCGGATCACGAGGTCAGGAGATCGAGACCATCCTGGCTAACACGTTGAAACCCCGTCTCTACTAAAAATGCAAAAAAATTAGCCGGGCGTGGTGGCGGGCGCCTGTAGTCCCAGCTACTCGGGAGGCTGAGGCAGGAGAATGGCGTGAACCCAGGAGACGGAGCCTGCAGTGAGCCGAGATGGCGCCACTTTGCTCCAGCCTGGGCGACAGAGCGAGACTCCGTCTCAAAAAAAAAAAAAAAAAAGAAAAAAAGAAACAGGACGGCTGTGATAAAAAGTTCCTCTTTTTACCCGAACAGTTGAGACTGGTTAGAGCCACGACAACTGACAAAAGCAGCCAAGGAAAGGAAGACAGCGGGAAGTTCACCGCCCATTTCCAGAAGACATGAATATTCTTCCCCTCGCTGTTCACCTCCAGCCCCTTCAGTACAGAAACCCTACATTTAGCCCCTGCCCGCTCACCTGTTGAGAAGTTGAACTGTGGGCCAAGCTCCTGCTTCTCAGTCCGTGGTCACTGAATAAAGTCGGCTTCGGTTTCATGTATCGGCTTCGTGACACCAAACAGGGAAGGACCCCATCTTTTGGGCAACCGGCTTTCTCAGTAGCATGTGGACAAGTCTGAGAGCTAAGGACTCCCGGGAAGACCCACTCACAGGAGGTCTCCATGCTCTTGTGAATTTTACTTCCTGGAATGCTGCCAGGTTCTCACAGCGAAAATCAGAGAAAACCCCCTCAGGGCTCTAGCAGAGACAGGGGAGAAGGGACCATTTTGAAATACGCCAGAGTGCTCTGCCCTCTTTAGGAAAAGAATGGGTTCATGTCCTTCGCAGGGACAGGGATGAAGCTGGAAACCATCATTCTCAGCAAACCAACACAGGAACAGGAAACCAAACACCCCATTTTCTCACTCATAAGTGGGAGTTGAACAATGAAAGCACATGGACACAGGGAGGGGAACATCACACACCGGGGCCTGTCGGTGGGTGGGGGCAAGGGGAGGGCGAGCATGAGAACAAACACCTAATGCGTCCGGGGCTTAAAACCTAGATGACAGGTTGAGAGGGGCAGCAAACCAGCATGGCACGTGTACACCTAGGTAACAAACCTGCACGTTCTGCACATGTGTCCCAGAACTTAAAAAAAGAAAAAAGAAATCCGCCCTCAGGAGAACCAGTTTAACCAGAGTCTAAGCTATTGGGGTCTTGAGGGCCTAACTAACCTAGGGGAGGGAAATACAGCAAAGTCCACTGTAGCCATTCTCCGCCTCTAAGGGTGGTGGCGGGGGACAGCTGAGAGCTTGTGAAGGGCAAAGGCTCATCAAAGATGGAGGCCTGATCACAGGGCTACAGAACACCTCTCCTCCCCAGACCTCACCACTTCCTCATTATGGGAGACAGGGACTCGCTCTGTTGCCCAGGCTGGAGTACAGTGCTTCCATCATGGCTCATCGTAACCACCAACTCCTAGGCGTAAGCAATCCTCCTGCCTCAGCCTCCTGAGTAGCTAGGACTAGAGGTGCACACCACCATGCCTGGCTAATTTTGTTATTTTTTGTAGAGATGGGGTCTCACTATTTAAGACGGGCTAGTCATGAACCCCTGGGCTCAAGCAATCGGCCCCCCAGAATGCTAGGAATTTACAGGTGTGAGCCATCACACCCGGTCCAGCTGATTTTTTTCTAGAGACAGGGTCTTGCTATGTTGCCCAGTCTGGTCTCAAACTCAAAATCCTGGGCTCTAATGATCCTCCCACTTCGGCCTCCCAAAGTGCTGAGATTACAGGCATGAGCCACTGCACCCAGCCTCGCCACCTCCTTATTAAAGACCTGTTTACAACAGCTTTTTTTTTTTTTTTTTTTGAGAGATGGAGTCTCACTCTGTTGCCCAGGCTGGAGTGCAGTGGTGCAATCTCAGCTCACTGCAAGCTCCGCCTCCTGGGTTCACGCCATTCTCCTGCCTCAGCCTCCCGAGTAGCTGGGAATACAGGCGCCCCCCACCACGCCCAGCTAATTTTTTGTATTTTTAGTAGAGACGGGGTTTCACCTCAATCTCCTGACCTCGTGACCCACCCGCCTCAGCCTCCCAAAGTGCTGGGATCACAGGCGTGAGCCACCTCGCCTGGCCGAAATGAGGGAAATATTTAAAGTGCTTGGACAAGATAACCACCAGCCCAGGAATCTATACCCTGAAAAATTATCTGTCAAAACTAAAGGACAAATAAAGACTTTCTCAGACATAAATTTAAGAAATTTGTTACCAGTAGGCCTGTGTTGCATGACGTGTTAGAAGAACTTGTTTAGAGAGAGAGCTATGGGGAGAAACAGATGAATTCACTGTTATAGTTGGCGTCTGTGCCCCTCTATCAAAAATGGGTGGATCCAACAGGCAGAAATTCAGTAAGAACATGTTGAACTCAACAGGACCATCCATCAACTGGATATAATGGACACCTACAGACCGCTTCATCCAATGACAGAATACCTGTTCTTCTTAAGCCCACCTGGAACAGTCACCCACATAGGCCACATTCTGGGCTGTAAAAACGCACCTTAACAAATTTAAAACAATAGAAATCATGCAATGTCCATTCTCAGACCACAACGGAATTACACTAGCAATCAATAAGAGAAAGATAGCTGGAGAATGCCAGAATACTTAGAGATTGAATAACACACCTCTAAATAACACATGGGTCAAATAAGAAATCTCAAGAGAACTTTAAAAATATTTTAAATGAGGCCGGGTGCAGTGGCTCACGCCTGTAATCCCAGCACTGGGAGGTAGAGGCCGGCGGATCACCTGAGGTTGGGAGTTCGCGACAAGCCTGACCAACATGGTGAAACCCCGTCTCTACTAAAAATACAAAAAATTAGCTGGGCGTGGTGGCGCATGCCTGTAATCCCAGCTACTTGGGAGGCTGAGGAAGGCGAATCACTTGAACCCAGGAGGTGGAGGTTGCAGTGAGCCAAGATCATGCCCTTGCATTCCAGCCTGGGCAACAAGAGCAAAACTGTGTCTCAAAAAAAAAAAAAAAATGTGTGTGTGTGTGTGTATGTATGTATGTATATAAATATATATATATATTTCTGGCTGGGCGCGGTGGCTCACGCCTGTAATCCCAGCCCTTTGGGAGGCCGAGGTGGGTGGATCACGAGGTCAGGAGATCGAGACCATCCTGGCTAACACGGTGAAACCCCATCTGTACTAAAAATACAAAAAATATTAGCCAGGCGTGGTGGTGGGCGCCTGCAGTCCCAGCTATTCGGGAGGCTGAGGCAGAAGAATGGCATGAACCCAGGAGGCAGAGCTTGCAGTGAGCTGAGAACACACCACTGCACTCCAGCCTGGGTGACAGAGCGAGACTCCATCTCAAAATAATAAATATATATATATATATATATATATTTTAAATGAAAATAAAACACAACTTATCAAAACTCGTGGGATGCAGCAAAAGCAATGCATAGTGGCCAACTGATAGCACGGAATGTATGTATTAGAGAAGAGGCGAGATCTACAATCAGTCATCCAAACTTTCACCTTGGGAAGCAAGAAGAAGAGCAAATTAACCCAATGAAAGCAGGAAGAAGAAAAGATAAATAACTAAATGAAAATTAGAAGAGAAATCAATGAAATTGAAAACAGGAAATCAATAGAAAAAAAATCGGGCGGTGGCCAGGCGCGGTGGCTCACGCCTGTAATCCCAACACTTTGGGTGGCTGAGGCAGGCAGATCACGAGGTCAAGAGATTGAGAGCATCCTGGCCGACATGGTGAAACCCCGTCTCTACTAAAAATACAAAAATTAGCTGCGTGTGGTGGTGGGAGCCTGTAATCCCAGCTACTCAGGAGGCTGACGCAGGAGAGTCACTTGAACCCAGGAGGCAGAGGTTGCAGTGAGCTGAGATTGTGCCACTGCACTCCAACTTGGGAGTCAGAGCGAGACTCCATCTCAAAAAGAAAAAAGAAAAACAGACATTTAGAGACATATAGACCAGTGGAATAGCATGGAGAGCGCAGAGAGTAACAACCTTTGTGAGGATGTACAGATGCTGCGGGTGGGATGTAAAATGGTGCAGCTGCTGTCCAAAACCCCGTGGTGATTCCAAATTAAAAATGGAACTACTACATGATCCAGCAATTTCATATACAAACTGAAAAGAACTCAAAGCAGGGTCTAAGAGATGTTTCTATACTCATGTTCATAATAGGATCACTTGAGGTCAAGAGTTCAAGACCAGCCTGGCCAACATGGTGAAACCCCATCTCTACTAAAAATACAAAAATTAGCCAGGCGTGGTGGCATGTGCCTGTAATCCCAGCTACTAGGGAGGCTGAGGCAGGAGAATCGCTTGAATCCGGGAAATGGAGGTTGCAGTGAGCTGAGATCGTGCCCTTGCACTCCAGCCTGGGCGATACAGTGAGACTCCATCTCAAAAAACAAAAAAGGAAAAAAGGAGACGGGGTTGATAGTTGCACAAGATGACATATTATGTATTTAATACCACTGAACTGCACACTTAAAATCGCTTACATAATAAGTTTTATGTTACATGTATTTTACTACAATAAAATGTAAGAAAACATTTTAAATGGTCCTTTTTTTTTTTTTTTTTTTTTTGAGACGGAGTCTCGCTCTGTTGCTCAGGCTGGAGTGCAGAGGTGGGATCTTGACTCACTGCAAGCTCCGCCTCCCGGGTTCACGCCATTCTCCTGCCTCAGCCTCCTGGAGTGCAGAGGTGCGATCTCGGCTCACTGCGAGCTCCGCCTGTTCCTCAAGTCTCCGAGTCTATTCCTTGGGTTTGGACGGGTGAATGTATGTTTCTCAAATAAAATCACTGAAAATGAGAGGTAAGCGACGGCAAGGCTGTGGGGAAACCGCGCCCCCTGTACTGCTCATGGGAATGTAAAGAGCAGCCACCTCGGAAACCCATTTGGAGGTTCCTCTGACTGTTACTCAGAGTCACCCCATGACCTCAACCACCTAAAATTAGGGGTTTTTAGCAGGGAAGAAATGCATCTGTGTGTGAGAAAATGGGAATTAGGGAGGGTAAGGAAGAGCTGGTCAATGGGAGCAGGTGGCCAGCTGGGCAATCATGAAGGGTGAGGTGTCTCTCATCTCATTGTCCAGATGCTGTGATCTGGTGGATTTCAGCTTCTTGGTGCGATCTGGAGGCCCAGTGGTTGGTTTCCTGAGAAAGGAACTCAGATAGGACAAATGTAACTTTCTCAAGTTCTAAGATTCAGAGGGCCAATTTCTAGGTTTATTTAAAAGAAACCATAAACATCACTTCTATGGGACAATTGGGCCAGTTTCAATATTCATAAAATGGAACCAATTATGGAAAGAGGCTGCAACACAGATGAATGAACCTTGAGAACATGAGGCTAGGCGAAGGACAAATATTGCAATATTCCACTTACACAAGGTCTTCACAGGAGGCAAGTTCAGAGACAGAGAGAAGAGAGGTTAACCAGGAGTGGGTGCATGGGGGGAATGGGGAGTTACTGCTTAAATGCATGCTTTTTTTTTTTTTTTTTTTTTTTTTGAGACAGAGTCTTGCTCTGTTTCCCAGACTGGAGCGCAGTGACGTGATCTTGGCTCACTGCAAGCTCCGCCTCCCTGGTTCACACCATTCTCCTGCCTCAGCCTACCGAGTAGCTGGGACTACAGGCGCCCACCACCACACGCGGCTAATTTTTTGTATTTTTAGTAGAGATGGGGTTTCACCATGTTAGCCAGGATGGTCTCGATCTCCTGACCTCGTGATCCGCCCACCTCGGCCTTCCAAAGTGCTGGGATTACAGGAGTGAGCCACCGCGCCCGGCCTCGTGCTTTCTTTTTGGGAAGAAAAAATTTGGAAATAGACCACCATGATGGTTACGTAAGTTCAATGCCACTGAATTGTTCAGCTAAAAATGGTTTAAATGGTAGGTTTTATGTTATGTATATTTTTCCATCATTTAAAATATTAAAATTTAAAAGTACTTTAAAAGAAAAAGTAAAGGGTACAAAGATTTAAACACAGAATTACCATAGGACCTCCTGATTTGAACCGTAGGTTTATACCCTAAAGAACTGAAAATAGGAACTCAATGTTCCTCGTGGCACCCTCAGAGAAGGCAGAGTGGAAACCACCCACGCGTCCATCCAGAGAGAAAGGGACAAGCGAAATCAGTCTCCATGCTGTTACTGCTGCAGGTTCTTACCTTGCCAAGCAACAGAAACCGACAAGAGGCCCGACAAACTTCTCCCAGATAACGTCTATTAAGGCCGGCGTGGTGCTCATGCCTGTAATCCCAGCACTTTGGGAGGCCAACGCGGGCGGATCACCTGAGGTCAGGAGTTCGAGACCAGCTTGGGCAACATGGTGAAACCCCATCTCTACCAAAAAAAAAAAAAAAAAAAATTTGCAGGATGTGGTGGCGGGCACCTGTAGTCCCGGCTACTAGGGAGGCTGAGGCGGGAGAATTGCCTGAACCCGAGAGGCGGAGTTTGCAGTGAGCCTGGGCAAAAGAGCGAGGCTCCATCACACACATACAAAGTTTATTAAGACTGGCGCCCGGGAAGGAGGCTCTCGGGCTCCCGAAGACGGGTCCTGCGTGGCTTCCCAGGAGGGTACTGCTGTCAGCGAGCGTCAGCGCAGGTGCAGGCGGTGCTGGCTGCGCAGGCGCACTAGAAAGGATGCCGACACGTGCAGTGCGCGCGCGGAAGACACCGGCGAGTTCCGCCCTGGGTGCAGATTTCCGCATTAGGAGACGGCGCAGGCTGCGGCCGGCACCTCCCGGCCCCGCGCATGCGTCCAGACTCTGCTCATCTCCACTTTCTCACGGCACCTGCGAGGTCTCCGTGGGGCTGGCGCCAGTGAAGGGGTGGGCGGGAAATAATCAGAGGGGGTGGCCCAGGTCCTATCTCAGCGCAGTCTCCATACCAGGGAATATTATTCACTCCTGAAAAGGAACACGGGCCTGATCCCCGCTCCACCGCGGACGAACCTTTAAGACGCGATTCTAAGCGAAAGGCGCCGGAACACAGAAGCCACAGCACGTAGGGCTCCATGGAACGGAGGTCAGAACAGGCTGCTCCGCGGAGCAGGGCGGGGGCTGCAGGGCCCGGGAGGGGCGCGGAGAGCGGCCGCCGACGGGCCGGGCTCTGCGCGGGTAGAAGCTGTTCCGGAGCTCGAGAAGGTGCTGGTCCCGCAACACTGTGGGGGGGCCCCGCTGAGCTGAGCCTTGCGACCCGGTTTATGTGACGTGAGTTCCACCTCAATCTAAGTGTGAGGAAGCGAACAGCGTTCTTAAACTCAGAAACGTGCCCATTCGAATTGTTAACGCGAGCGCAGAGCCCACTGACAAAGCAAAATAAGACAAACCGGGAGTCAGAAAACTCAGCGACCCACAGGATCCACCGTGATGTTTCTCACAAATGTTACCGCGAAAACAGTCGGACTTGAAAATAAACGCGACCTACCTGGTTCTCGGAAGGGGAGAAGGATCCGAGCGAAAGGCGTCAGTTCTCCCTCGCTCGCCCCGTAGACGCCGCGCAGGCCCCGAGCTCCCGAGCGGCGGTTTCAGAACCCGCGGGTCACCCGGGAGCTCCTCCCGCAGTACCAGCCGAAAGCTCCCAGTGCCGAGGAGGGCGGGCAGCTGCCCTCCCCGACCTCGCCCCGCCCGCGCGGACGCCCCCGGCCCCACGCGGGGACCACCCCGGGACTCCCGCCGGACCCCGCGCGCCCGCGGCCAACCTGCGTGCACCTGCGCCCCGCGCCACGCCCCCGGCGCCCCACGTTTAGCCCTCACTGGGTCCCGCTTCTTAGTGGCTCTAAGCCCCGCCCCCTCGCTGGTCACCGCAAGCTCCGCCCCTCGAGGCCCCGCCCCTGCAAGGCCCGCCCCTTCACGACTCAGGCCCCGCCCACCACGGCCAGCCCGGGTCTAGGCCCCGCCCCGACACGACTCAGGCCCCGCCCCCGGCCAGCTTCGCTCCTCGCGCGCCCCGCCCAGCAATCCTCGCTGAACCCGGCGCGGTTTCCCCAGCGCTGCTCCACGCCGCAGTCCAGCGCCTGGAGTCCGCGCGCCCCGAGCCCCTGCCCGCTCATGCGCAGCTGGGTCACCCAGGTGCACCCACTTCCTTGCTGTCCCGCCGCCCTCCCTGCCCCCACCCCGCCTAGGCCCTGGGTGTCCCTTCTCCATCCTCCCTGGCGCCTCTGCCTCAGGCCACCTGGCCGTCCTCCTGGGCTCCCCGCTCGGGGGCGGCCCCTGGTCCGACGGTGCCGCAGACGCGCGCGCACAGGCCAGTCCCGCGGAGAGGCTGCTCTCAGGGGCTAGGCGGGGGGCTGAGTCAGAGGCTGGGGCCTGCCAGGAGCGGGGCGGCCTGGGGCGCAGCAGCATTGGAGCTGAAGGCGAGGGCGGCCCGCGCCGGTTGGGGAGCAGGGCCTAGAATTTACTTCACGACTACCAGCGTGGAAACTGCAGAGGGGCTGCCACATCGCTGCCAGGGCCTGCCCTGGGGCCTTGGATCCCGCCGGCTTCTCTCTCCACCCGCCTCTGTCCCACGTCTCCACCTGCCGTCCTGTTTGGTGCTTGGATCCACTAATGCCCAGTCAGCTTTCACGAAACGTCGGATGTATTTATTTTTTTTAATATCTGGGGTACACGTGCAGGATGTGCAGGCTTGTTGCATAGGTAAACGTGTGCCATGGTGGTTTGCTGCACCTATCAACCCGTCACGTAGGTATGAAGCCGGACATGCATTAGCTATTTTTCTTAATGCCCTCCTGCCCCCGCCCTCCCCCAACAGGCCCGAGTGTGCTTTGTTCCCCTCCCTGTGTCCATGTGCTCATGTTGTTCAGCTCCCACTTATAAGTGAGAACATGCCGTGTTTACTTTCCTGTTCCTGCGTTAGTTTGCTGAGGATAATGGCTTGCAGCTCCACCCATGTGCCTGCAAAGGACATGATCTCGCTTCTTTTTTATGGCTGCATAGTATTCCATGGTGTATATGTACATGTAACACATTTTCTTTATCCAGTCTATCATGATGGACCCTGGGGTCAATTCCATGTCTTTGCTATTGTGAATAGTGCTGCAATGATCAAATCACAAAAAGCAATTGCAACAAAAGCAAAAAATGACCAATAGGATCTCATTAAACTAAAGATCTAATTAAACTTTTGCACAGCAAAAGAAACTATCATCAGAGCTAACCAGAGACCTACAGAATGGGAGAAAATTTGTGCAGTCTATACATCTGAAAAAGGTCTAATATCCAGAATCTACAAGGAACTTACAAATTTACAAAAAAAAATTTTTTAAGTGGGCAAAGGACGTGAACAGACACTCCTCAAAAGAAGACATACATGCAGCCAATAAACCTATGAAAAAAAGTTCAACATCACTGATCATTAGAGAAATGCAAATCAAATCCACAGTGAGATACCATCTCACGCCAGTCAGAATGGCAATTTTTCAAATGCCAAGAAACAGGCCAGGCATGGTGGCTCATGCCTGTAATCCTAGCACTTTGGGAAGCCAAGGCGGGTGGATCACCTGAGGTCAGGAGTTTGAGACCAGCCTGGCCAACATGGCGAAACCCCATCTCTACTAAAAATACAAAAGTTAGCCGGGCGTGGTGGCAGGTGCCTGAAATTCCAGCTACTCGGGACCCCACTGAAGCAGTAGAATTGCTTGAACCTGGGAGGCTGAGGCTGCAGTGATCCAAGATGGCATCATGCACTCCAGCCTGGGCGACAGAGCCAAGACTCCGTCTCAAAAAAAAAAAAAAAAAAGTCAAGAAACAACAGATGGGCTGGGCGCAGTGGCTCACGCCTGTAATCCCAGCACTTTGGGAGGCAGAAGAGGGCAGATCACTTGAGGTCAGGGGCTCAAGACCAACCTGGCCAACATGGTGAAACCCCGTCTCTATCAAAAACACAAAAAAATTAGCCGGGCATGGTGGCGCATGCCAGTAATCCCAGCTCCTTGGGAGGCTGAGGCGGGAGAATCGCTTGAACCCGGGAAGCAGAGGTTGCAGTGAGCCGAGATCGCATCACTGCACTCCAGCCTGGCGACAGAGTGAGACTGTCTCAAAACAAAAGAAAAAAAAAAAAGAAGCAAAGTAACAACATAGGCTGGCAAGGTTGTGGAGAAAAAGGAACACTTTTACACTGTTGGTGGGAGTGTAAATTAGTTCAACCATAGTGGCAGACAGTGTGGCGATTACTTAAAGATTTAGAATCAGAAGTGCCATCTGACCCAGCAATCCCATTACTGGGTATATACCCAAAGGAATGTAAATCATCCTATTATAAAGATACATACACACATATGTTCAAAACGTTAGATTTTAAAGTAAAAACTCAGGGATAGCACGGCCCCCAGCAGTAGATTAAGCTGGATAAAAAGAGCCAGGAACTGGAAAGGGCATGGGGAGGCGCAGAGCTGAGGCCAAGGGTCAAGCACCTCGCCGGGAAATGCCACTGAGCACAGTTCTCCAGCCGCTGCCCAAGTCCCTCTTGAAATGGGCAGGACAGGGAGGGTGCGGCCGCAGGTGCTGGGGTTCATTTCTTAGGCCTGCGTCATGGCTATGGCCCTTAGCTGGGTGGTGTGTGGGCTGTGTCTATGACACCACCGAGGACGTGGGTATCCCTGGGGTCCCTTAGAATAGGAGGTGGATCCTGTGGCACTTTGGTGAAGCCAGCGGTGGTCCCATCTGGCCCTTTGCTCCGACCCTCACGGGTGCCCATACATGTCTGCCAGCCGGGCGAAGCTACCTAAATCTTTTTTTTTTGAGACTGAGTCTCGCCCAGGCTGGAGTGCAATGGCGGGGTCACTGCAACCTCTGTCTCCCAGGTTCAAGTAATTCTCCCGCCTCAGCTTCCCGAGTAGCTGGATTACAGGCATGCACCACCACGCCCGGTTAATTTTTGCATTTTTAGTAGAGACAGGATTTCACCATGTTGGCCAGGCTGGTCTCCAACTCCTGACCTCGTGATCCGCCTGCCTTGGCCTCCCGAAGTGCTGAGGAGTGAGCTGCGGTGCCCGGCCTTGTTTGTTTAAAGAAGTCCTCCTCTGTCGCCCAGGCTGGAGTGCAATGGCCTGATCTCAGCTCACTGCAACCTTCGCCTCCCAGGTTCAAGATTCTCATGCCTCAGCCTCCCAAGTAGCTGGGATTACAGGCACGTGCCATCAGGCCTATCTAATTTTTTTTCTGTGTTTTTAGTAGAGATGGAGTTTCACCACGTTGCCCAGGCTAGTCTTGAACTCCTGTCCCTCAGGTGATCTGCTCACCTCGACCTCTCAAAGCGCTGAAATTACAGGCATGAGCCACCGTGCCCAGACAAACATTCTTCTAAATCTAATAACCTGATTTGTCTCCTCTTGCCTTCAGGTCATCAATCTCCAGGTGGTCCTCAGTGAGAGATAGGTCCTCTCAATATTCAAGAGCCACCCTTCTACAGGGGACCCCTGGACTGCCCATCAGGGGGACAGGACAGAGGCACAATCCTGCCCGTCTCCCTGGATACCGCTCCCTGGCTGGCCACCACTTTCACTAACCCATGGAGCCAACCGTGCCCTGACAGCAAGAGGCCAATACTCACAGAACCACCACCGCTGCCCCTCTGTCAGCAGACAGCAGTTACAGAAGACTGACCTTTGTCCATTTCCCTCAAGAACTGGGGTCTTGGCCTCCTGCGGGGGGAAATGTTAGTGTGGGTAGCTAGGGGGTATGAGCAGGGCAGGAGAGGGCTCCCCACCACCACACACACACAACAGGTGTGCTGGCCACCATGAGGTGATGGTCAGGTAGTTGTTAACTGTCTCTAAAGTAATAATTGGTCACAGCCAGCGCCAGGGAAAGACAGCCTCCTAACAGATAGACAACAGCTGAAGCTGGTGATCAGCAGCTTCCCGTTAAGATCTCAGGAGCTGGGTGGGTGGGGAGAAGTAACACAAGACCCCGCATTATGTCACTGTATCAAACCCCAAGTCAGAAGGTCAAACCACACACTGGTCTTTCAAGGTGCCCTCCTAGCCTTCTTCCAGGCGTACTTTCCTTCCTCCTTTAAAGCTTTTTAATAAACTTCACTTCTGCTCTGAAGCGTGCCTCGGTCTCTCCCTCTGCCTTATGCCCCTCGGTTGAATTCTTTCTTCTAAGGAGGCAAGAACTGAGGTTGCTGCAGACCCGAACAGATTCATCACCAGTGACACTCCAGCATCCCCTTGTTCCCCGAGGCCCCCTGTCTGGAGCACCTTCCTTTCCACTGCTGCCTACAGGACTCCTCATCCCTCAACGCCCCAGGTCAACACTGTCTTCTCCTCCTGGAGCCTCCTTGCCACCTCGGCCAGAAGCCCTCCCTCCTGTTGACTATAGCACCTGCTCTCCCCTTCGAGACCCCGCCCCCTGGAAGGGCGTGGGTGTGGCTCAACACCTGCACAGGCCCAGCGCATGGTCAGGAAGGTCCTGGAGGGAGGGTGGAGGGGGCTGGAGGCACGAGGACCCTTTCTTTTGAGCAGGCAGGGTGGGGAGTGGGGGTTGCTGACCAGCCCAGAGCTGGGCTGGGGAGCCCGTTTCTCTCTGTGGTGGGAGCAGGCCTGGTGCCTCTGCTCTCCTGTCGACGGTGGGTGGCTGCGCAGGTGCAGGCAGCATCTGTGCCCTTGGCCCGCTTGGAACTTTTGTTAAAGATTAGACGTTTGAGGCCGGGCACAGCGGCTCACGCCTGTAATCCCAGCACTTTGGGAGGCCAAGGTGGGCAGATCACAAGGTCAGGAGATCGAGACCATCCTGGCTAACACGGTGAAACCCCGTCTCTTCTAAAAATACAAAAAAAATTAGCCGGGCGTGGTGGCGGGTGCCTGTAGTCCCAGCTACTCGGGAGGCTGAGGCAGGAGAATGGCGTGAACCCGGGAGGCAGAGCTTGCAGGGAGCCGAGATCGCGCCACTGCACTCCAGCCTGGGCGACAGAGCGAGACTCCGTCTCAAAAAAAAAAAAATTAGACGTTTGAATCTAATAATATAACTCTGAAAGTCAGACTCTCCCCATTCCCCAGGGTTTGCTGGGTTTTGGTTTTGTTGACTGTTGTGTTTTTTGTTGTTGTGGGCTGCCTCTGTGCTGATGCTCAGCCTGAGGTGTCAACTGAAGACATTCTCACGTCTTTCCTGATCATCTATCTATATTTATATATATAACATATATAAATATATAGTAAATATATATGTATATATACACACACACACATACGTGTGTGTGTGTGTATATATATATATATATATTTTTTTTTTTTTTTTTTTTGAGACAGAGTCTAGCTCTGTCACCCAGGCTGGAGTGCAGTGGGGCGATCTCAGCTCACTGCAAGCTCCGCCTCCCGGGTTCACGCCATTCTCCTGCCTCAGCCTCCAGAATACCTGGAAGCACAGGCGTGAGCCACCACATCCGGCTAATTTTTTAAACTTTTTTTCGTAGAGACACGGTCTCCCTGTTTCCCAGGCTGGTCTCAAACTCCTGGACTCTAGCGATCCCCCCAGCTTGAGCTCCCAAATTGCTGGGATTCCCGTCGTGAGCCACCATGTCCAGTCTAACTGTCTTTTAAAGAAGTTTAAAAATTACTCTCTAGCTGCGCAAGGTGGTTGGTGCCTGTAATCCCAGCAGTGTGGGAGGCTCTGGTGGGAGGACCACTCGAGCCCAGGAGGCTGAGGCTGCAGTGAGCCACGATAGCGGCACTGCACTGCAGCCTGGGCGACAGAGCGAGATCCTGACTCAAAAAAAAAAAAAAAAAGAAAAGAAAAGAAAAAGAAAAGAAAAAAGAAGAAAACACTTAAAGGATGACATCATTTTCGGGCGTTTCGTCCTTTGGGATTTGCCGTTTTCAGGATTTCACACCGTAGGGATGTTGATCTCTTGTGACTTCAACACTCCGGGTTCTGCTCTTCAAGACTCTGGCTGAGGTCTGTTTCAAACAGAGCCCAAACACGCAGATCTGTCGTCATCTAGGTCCCGTCTGCCCTGTGTGCCCTGTGAAATGGTGCCAAACATCCGCTAGCCACAGAAAAACCGACACCTGAGAGCTGTCGGTCCCCCAGCCCCGGCTGCCCTTCAGACGGTACCGACCGCGGCTCCCGCCGGGCTGCTGAGTGTGTCACTGTCGCCCAGCACACGAGCCCCTCTCCGATCCCCCGAGTTCCTCACCGAGTCCCTTACCCCCGGAAGTCCCTCGCTCTCCTCCCTTCCCCCCGGAAGTCCCTCGCTCTCCTCCCTTCCCCCCGGAAGTCCCTCGCTCTCCTCCCTTCCCCCCGGAAGTCCCTCGCTCTCCTCCCTTCCCCCCGGAAGTCCCTCGCTCTCCTCCCTTCCCCCCGGAAGTCCCTCGCTCTCCTCCCTTCCCCCCGGAAGTCCCTCGCTCTCCTCCCTTCCCCCCGGAAGTCCCTCGCTCTCCTCCCCTTCTGAGCGGTGACCCCCACCCCGAAGCCGGCGAGGCACCGCGGAACCCGGTCTGCCTGCGCTACCGCCCCCTGCTGGCCAGGCCCTCTTCCCAATCGCCCCGAAACCATTCACATCACCCACGTGTGCACGTTTTGTCCACATTTAGATCCCTGATCCATTTGCAGCTTATTCCTGTGAACGGTGTAATTTTTTGGGGGGCGGGGGGAAGGCGGGGTCTCGCTCTGTCACCCAGGCTGGAGTGCAGTGGCGCCATCTCGGCTCACTGCAAGCTCCACCTCCCGGGCTCAACCAATTCTCCTGCCTCAGCCCCCTGAGTAGCTGGGATTACAGGCCCGCACCACCATGCCTGGCTAACTTTCGTATTTTTAGTACAGATGGGGTTTTTCTTTTCTTTTCTTTTCTTTTGAGATGGAGTCTCACTGCTGCCCAGGCTGGAGTGCAGTGGCGCGATCTCGGCTCGCTGCAAGCTCCGCCTCCCGGGTTCACGCCATTCTCCTGGCTCAGCCTCCCGAGTAGCTGGGACTACAGGCGCCCGCCACCACGCCCGGCTAATTTTTTTGTATTTTTAGTAGAGACGGGGTTTCACTGTGTTAACAAGGATGGTCTCGATCTCCTGACCTCGTGATCCGCCTGCCTCGGCCTCCCAAAGTGCTGGGATCACAGGCGCGAGCCACTGCGCCTGCCCGAGATGGGGTTTCACCATGTTGGCCAGGCTGGTCTCGAACTCCTGATCTCAACTGATCTGCCCCCCCTTGGCCTCCCAAAGTGCTAGGATTACAGGCGTGAGCCGCCACACTCGACCTGAACGGTGTAATTTATACATGTAAAACCATCTTGTTCAGACAGCTCACCAGTTGTCCTAGCACCTTTCATTACAAACTGCATTTTTGCCCCACTGATCTGAAATACCCACTTTATTAACTAAATTTCCATGTTGCTAGGTCTATTTCCAGATATTCCATTTTTGTCCATCTGTCTGCTTCCTGGTCATGTGTCACATACCTTAATTACAGCGGCTTTAGAGGATGCTGCAGTGTCCACAGGGAAGCATCAGTTTTGTCTCCTGGGTTTCTTGGGCACCATCAGACGTCTGTGCCCCCACATGAACTTCAGCGTCAATCTGCATTAACTCCACAAAAAGCTTTTGGTGCTGTTGTAACTGGGATTATGTTTCATTTCTGAATTAAGAATGGGATTTTTATGATGTTGTCATCCCATCAAAGAACAAGGAATTTGCCCGTTTGTTCAAGTCTATGTGGTTTTTTTTTTTTTTTTTTTTTTTTTTTTTTTTTTTTGAGACAGTCTTGCTCTGCCACCCAGGCTGGAGTGCAGTGGTGTGATCTTGGCTCACTGCAAGCTCCACCTCCTGAGTTCACACCATTCTCCTGTCTCAGCCTCCTAAGCAGCTGGGACTACAGGCGCCCGCCACCACACCTGGCTAACTTTTTGTATTTTTCATAGAGATGGGGTTTCACCATGTTAGCCAGGATGGTCTCGATCTCCTGACCTCGTGATCCACCCGCCTCAGCCTCCCAAAGTGCTGGGATTGCAGGCGTGAGCCATCGCGCCTGGCCTAGAAGTTTTTAATTAGCCTGGTGTGGTGGTGTGCACCTGTAGTCTCAGCTACTTGAGAGGATGAGGAGGAAGGATCGCTTGAGCCCTGGAGGTCGAGGCTGCAGTGAGCTGTGATCACACCACTGCACTGCAGCCTGTGGGACAGAGCAAATCCCCATCTAAAAAAAAAAAGTGTTTTAAAGTTTCCTCATGGCCGGGCACGGCCCGGTGGCTCACGCCTGTAACCCCAGCATTTTGGGAGGCCGAGACGGACAGATCATGAGGTCAGGAGTTTGAGACCAGCCAGGCCAACATGGTGAAATCCCGTCTCTACTAAAAATACAAAAATTAGCCGGGCGTGGTGGCAGGTACCTGTAATACCAGCTACTTGGGAGGCTGAGGCAGGAGAATCACTTGAACCCAGGAGGTGGAGGTTGCAGTGAGCCGAGATCATGCCACTGCACTCCAGCCTGGATGACAGAGCGAGACTCTGTCTCAAACAAACAAACAAACAAAAAGTTTCCTCATTTAGGTTTTATACATTTCTTGATAAATTTATTTCTAAGCATTGTTTTATTGCTATTATAAATAAGTTTTCTCTACTATCATATCACCTCACTGGTTATTGGTTGTGTAGATGAAGACCATCTATGTTTTGACGGCAACTTCACCTCCTCTAACTTACTAAATGTTTTTACTGATTCTACAGGGCTTTCCATGTATATCATATAATGCACACAAGAGATAGTTCACTTTTTTGCAAATCTGTTTTGCCCAATTGCATTAGGTAACACTTCCAGTACACACACACACACATATAGCTACAGACACAGGCGTCCTAAGAAAGTATTCACCAATTCCTATTTTGAGTGCGTCTATCAATAGTAGGTACCACATTTTCCCAAAGGCTTCATCAACACCTATGGATACAATCACATGCCTTATCTTCTTAGATGGATTCATATGGTGTAGTATTTAATAGGCTTTCTAATTGAACCAGTTGCAGTCTTAAATTCCACTTGGTCATGGTTTATTATTTTCTCAATGTGGTTTTGTATTATTTGCTAATATTTAACATAACTAATTTGAATCAATATAATTAACACTGTAATTTTTCATTTTTGTGGTCTTTTATCACATTTTGCTTTTAACTTTTATTTATGAGATGGAGTTTTGCTCTTGTTGCCCAGGCTGGAGTGCAATGGCGCTATCTCGGCTCATTGCAACCTCCACCTCCCGGGTTCAAGAGATTCTCCTGCCTCAGCCTCCCAAGTAGCTGGGATCACAGGTGCCTGCCACCATGCCCGGCTAATTTTGTATTTTTAGTACAGACAGGGTTTCGCCATGTTGCCCAGGCTGGTCTTGAACTGCTGGCCTTAAGTGAGCCAGCCACCTCAGCCTCCCAAAGTGTTGGGATTACAGGCATCAGCCACTGCACTCAACACCCTGTGGTAATTTTCTTTGTGCTGAAGTCATTTTTTCTGATGTTAAATACAGCCTCTCCACTTTATTATGTTTACATGGTACTATTAACCTATTTACGTCATTGTATTTGAAGTGTCTTGTAGATGACATACTGATGCGTCACACTTTTTATCTGTCCTATCTTTAAATAGCATGTGTAGATCATATTTTTTTTTTGAGATGAAGTCTTGCTCTGTTGCCCAGTCTGGAGTGCAGTGGCACGATCTTGGCTCATTGCAACCTCCACCTCCTGGGTTCAAATGATTCTCCTGCCTCAGGTTCCTGAGTAGCTGCGACCACAGGCATGAGCCACCAAACCTGGCTAATTTTTGTATTTTTAGTAGAGACAAGGTTTTACCGTGTTGGCCAGGCTGGTCTGGAACTCCTGACCTCAAGTGATCCACCCGCCTCGGCCTCCCAAAGTGCTGGGATTACAGGCGTGAGTGCCCAGCTGATCATGTGCACTAATGTGTTTGATTATCTAGGATTCAGCTCTACCAGTTATTTTTTATTTTTTATTTTAGACAGAGTCTTGCTGTCACCCAGGCTGGAGTACAGTGGCGCGATCTCAGCTCACTGCCACCTCCACCTCCCCGGTTCAAGTGATTCTCCTACCTCAGCCTCCCACGTAGCTCGAATTATAGGCTCCCACCATCACCCCTGGCTAACTTTGTATTTTTAGTAGAGACGGGATTTCACTATGTTGGCCAGACTGGTCTGACTCCTGACCTCAAGTGATCCGCCCGCCTCGGTCTCCCACAGTGCTGGGATGACAGGCCTGAGCCACCGCACCTGGCCACCACTTCGTTACCTACTTGTTCTCTTTTGTTCCCAGTACTCAGTTTCCCCTTTATCACAATTCTTTCAGGCTATTTAACACTTTTTTTAGTAGTATGTTTTAATTAACATATTGGACCATTTTAGTATATCTCATTGTCCTTTTTTTTTTTAGACAGAGTCTTGCTCTGTCACCCAGGCTGGAGTGCCGTGGCACAATCTCGACTGACTGCAACCTCCACCTCCTGGGTTCAAGTGATTCTCCTGCCTCAGCCTCCTGAGAAGCTGAGATTACAGGTGCCCCCAACCACACACAGCTAATTTTTGTATTTCTTAGTAGAGATGGGGTTTCACCATGTTGGCCAAGCTGGTCTCAAACTCCTGACCTCAAGTGATCCACCCACCTCACTCTCCCAAAGTGGTGGGATTACAGGCGTGAGCCACCACACCCAGCTGTACACTTCTTTAGTAATTAAAATATACAGACTTAGCTTTTCCAGTCCTTCTGGAATGGTATTTTGCCACTGAAATGGAGCACGGAACCTCCACGCCGTCCAGCCACGTTGCCCCTCACCTTCATGTTGTAGTTGTCTTATGTATTAAATATACATCAGTTGAAACCCCATGTGATAATTTTTGCTTTTGACAATAATATATATTTTAAAGAACTCAAGAGTAGAATGATCTGATCTATTTACTCAGGTATTTACTCTTCTATTGCTTTTCCTTTGTTCCAGGTTTCCTTAAGAGTTTTCTGTAACCATTTATTTAAACCAGGTCTGCAGGCAATTCTTTGTATTGCCTCATCGTTACTTCTGTTTCATTCCTAAAGGATATTTTGTTGGATATAGCAATCTGGGTTGGCATTTCTTTTTATTTCAGAACTTGAAAAATGCTCCTACATTTCCTGTTGGCCTCTATGGCTTCCGACGAGAAACCCGGTCAATTGAATTGTTCTTCTGGAAGCACTGTGTCCACTTTCTCAGCCTCCTTCCAAGACTTTCACTCTGTAGCTTTCGGCAGCTTCGTGGTGGCAGGGGCTTGGTTTTCTTTTCTTTCTTCTTTTTTGAGACAGAGTCTCGCTCTGTTGCCCAGGCTGGAGTGCAGTGGTGCAATCTCAGCTCACTGCATGCTCTGCCTCCCGGGTTCACGCCATTCTCCTGCCTCAGCCTCCCCAGTAGCTGGGACTGCAGTCGCCCGCCACCACGCCCAACTAAATTTTTGTATTTTTCTTTTTTTTTTTTTTTTTTACTAGAGACGAGGTTTCACTGTGTTGGCCAGGATGGTCATGATCTCCTGACCTTGTGATCCGCCCACCTCGGCCTCCCAAAGTGCTGGGATTACAGGTGTGAGCCACCGCCCCCGGCCTGGGCTTGGTTTTCTTTAGGTTTATCCTGTCTGGGGCTCATGGAACCTCTTCAAACTTAAGTTTTTATCTTACACCAAATATGAGAAATGTTTCATCATTATTTTTTCAAGTGGTTTTACTACATCACACTTTCTCCTTTTCTTCCAGGATACTGAGGTCATGAATGTTAGCCATTTGGTATCATAACACTGCTCCCCAAGGCTGTTGCACATATGCTGAATAATTTAAGATTATAGTCTACACTTCTGAATTTTAGGTTATGACACTCTGGGTCTGTCAGTCCCACGGGTGATGGAGATACTGGTTCATCAGGCGAGTAACCTAGTCAGGTTCAGGAGGCAAGTTCTATTGAAACCATGTGGGTCGTGCTTTCCATGTTGATTCTGTCTTAAAGCCTACGCAGAACTGCTCATGTCTCTTCTCGGGCGAGGCTCGTCCACCTACAGAGTGGTCAACCTCACAGGCCAGCTCCTAAGGCTGATGATGTGTTTGCTGCTGCAGGACTGCCTGGAGGCCAGGGCAAGCGAATGGGAAAAACTAAACTTTCGGATTTTTTCTCTCACAGTGTTAGGACACCTGTTTCCCACTCGTTGTGTGAAAACGGAAGTCAGCATGAGGCCCCGATCTGGAGCCTAGTGGGTGCTGGTGCCAAGCTTCTGGGACCCTCCAGGCCTTCAGAATTGTGAACAAAATAAACCTCTTTTCTTCATTAAAAAAAAGAGGCCTTGCAAAAATTTTTATGTCCATAGTGGGAAAAATGACATTACACTCTACAGATACGGTCAACAAAAATCAACTCCAAATGGATTAAGCAACTTGGGATAAAACATAGAAACTGTGGAAGCCAAAATAGTACAGCATATTTAAGGCCTTAGGAGAAAAGAAATTTCTGATGAAGATAAAGGAAAGGTTGTATAAATTTGAGTATGCCAAAATTAAGAAATATTTTTCCTTTTTTTTTGAGACAGAGTCTCACTCTGTTGCCAGGCTGGAGTGCAGTGGCGCGATCTCGGTTCACTGCAATCTGTGCTTCCCATCTTCAAGCAATTCTCCTGCCTCAGCCTCCCAAGGAGCTGGGATTACAGGCGTGCACCACCACATCTAGCCAATTTTTCTATTTTTAGTAGAGATGGCGTTTCACCATGTTGGCCAGGATGGTCTTGATCTCCTGACCTTGTGATCCACCCACCTCGGCCTCCCAAAGTGTTGGGATTACAGGCCTGAGCCACCACACCTGGCACAATCTTTTTCCTTAAGGCATCATCACAAAAGTGGAAACAGGTGAAGTGGAAACCACTGCAATCTTCTAAGTCACAAGTGGTGACTCACCTCACAACAGCCTCACTATTTCTAAAAAAGAACAAAGATCAAACAAACCAGGAAAAAACAAGACCAGGTACTTCATCCAAAAAGGAAAATAGCCAGCGTAAGCAAAACCATGTTCATACTATCAGTAATGAAGAGAAGTGCAAACCAACACCCCAAGGAGATGCTGTTTCACAACCACTTTGGAAAAAACGTCACTCCCTAAGAAGGTTGAACGAGTAGAGAGAAAGAATAAAACTGCCCAGGAGTCAACATGGCAGTTCCTACAGATAGTTCAAGAATCCCTGGGCTGGGTAAGACCTTGTCACAGACATGTGCTTAGGTAGAGAGACTATGAGGAAAACCACACCACTGGTGGGGCCTAGACGCGGACTCGTCAAGGTGAGTGAGTGACACACACAGGTTCCTGACATGGAAAGTTTATCACTCACAGTGTCAAGAGAAGGCGGCACATCACTCCAGGCAGGGCCCAAGGGGAGCTGCAGAGCTGGGCAGGAGGCAGAAGTCAGAGCCAGGGGAGGCAGAGGCCACAGGGTTTTCACAGGAAAGGCAGGACAGGGCAGGATGAAGTCTGGGGCTGGCTAGTCTGCATACTTCCAGCAGGCCCAAGGGCATACAGCATGTCCTGCTGTCTAGTGCCTCATCCTGGGCTGACTTCAGGGAGGAGAAATACTGGCTTGGTGTGGTAGTTAGAAAAAGGAAGTGGCCGGAAATAAGTACTTGCAACAGTTGAGTTGCATACGCAGTGCGAGCTGAGTTGCATACGCAGTGCGAGTTGAGTTGCATACGCAGTGCGAGTTGAGTTGCATATGCAGTGCGAGTTGAGTTGCATACGCAGTGAGTTGAGTTGCATATGCAGTAAGTTGATTTGCATACGCAGTGCGAGTTGAATTGCATATGCAGAGCGAGCTGAGTTGCATACAGTGTGAGTTGAGTTGCATATGCAGTATGAGTTGAGTTGCGTTGCATATGCAGTGCGAGCTGAGTTGCATATGCAGTGAGTTGATTTGCATACGCAGTGCGAGTTGAGTTGCATACACAGAGCAAGCTGAGTTGCATACGCAGTGTGAGTTGAGTTGCACACGCAGTGCGAGTTGAGTTGCACACGCAGTGCGAGTTGAGTTGCATACGCAGTGCGAGTTGAGTTGCATACGCAGTGCGAGTTGAGTTGCATACGCAGTGCGAGTTGCATACGCAGTGCGAGCTGAGTTGCATACGCAGAGCGAGCTGAGTTGCATACGCAGAGCGAGCTGAGTTGCATACGCAGTGCGAGCTGAGTTGCATACGCAGAGCGAGCTGAGTTGCATACGCAGAGCGAGCTGAGTTGCATACGCAGAGCGAGCTGAGTTGCATACGCAGTGCGAGCTGAGTTGCATACGCAGTGCGAGCTGAGTTGCATACGCAGAGCGAGCTGAGTTGCATACGCAGAGCGAGCTGACTTGCATACGCAGTGCGAGCTGAGTTGCATACGCAGTGCGAGCTGAGTTGCATACGCAGAGCGAGCTGAGTTGCATACGCAGTGCGACTTGAGTTGCATACGCAGAGCGAGCTGGGTTGCATACGCAGAGCGAGCTCAGTTGCATACGCAGAGCGAGCTGAGTTGCATAGGCAGTGAGTGGATTCGCATACGCAGTGCGAGTTGAGTTGCATACGCAGTGCGAGTTGAGTTGCATACGCAGTGCGAGTTGATTTGCATACACGGTGTGAGTTGAGTTGCATATACGGTGTGAGTTGAGTTGCATATGCAGTGAGTTGATGTGCATATGCAGTGAGTTGATTTGTATATGCAGTGCATGTTTCCAGCAAGTTGTTTACCATCTTTAGGAATGATCTAGCCTGAGAGGGACGGTCTAGCCCCCACAGCAAGACCCCAGGATGAAAATGTACCCTAACAAAAAAAAAAAAAACATAATTAATACAATTGGTCCTTTAATATTTTATCTTACTCTGAGGAACCCTCAGACATTGGGAGTGGAGATTTTCACACAGGAGGGCATAAGTTGCCCTAAGTGACACAGAACACGTTCTGAGAGTTAGGAAGAGAAATACAGGTATCTGCCTAACCAGTACTTGCAGTCCTGCCCATAACCCAGTTTTCCATCATGCTTGGTGTCTTAGTCTGTCTGTGTTGCTACATATCTGAGGCTGTGGGTAACTTAGAAAGAGGCTTATTTGGCTCATGGTTCAGCAGGCTGTGCAAGCATAGCACTGGCATCTGACCTGCTTCTGGTGAGGACTATTTGCTGTGTCAAACAGGGCAGAGAAGGTCAAGGGCAGTGAGCCAAACCCGAGGGACGGCTTGGCTTTATCACAACCATGCTCCCAGTAACTAGTGCATTCCCCTACAAACCAATCCAGGCTTGACACAGCAAGAATGAATGGTATCCAACCATTCAGGAGGGTGCCCCCATGACCCAAACCCCCACCAGGCCCCCTCCCAGCACTGCCACACTGAGGGTCAAAGCTCAACATGAGACTTGATGAGGGCAAACCAATCACATCCACATCACAGCATATGGTATTACTCAAGAAAATCACTTTGAAATGTTGGGGGTCCAATGATAATATCCTTGAGGAGTTATAAAGGTGATAAAGGGATGAGTTTGACAATTATCAGGATGGCAGGTCTGTAGTTCTGCTGCAGGAGGGTATGAAGCAAACAGTTAGTATGTGTAAAGAAGAGGCTCTGTGTGAAGCCAAGTCAAGGGAGTAAGGAGATGAGATGGAAAGCTGCAGCGGAGGAGAAGGCACTGGGGAGACAGTGGCCTTCCCAGAGGCTGATAGGAGGCGGGCACCTCCTGGTGAAACAAAACATTTTGGTATCAATTATTGAGACTTCACAGACACTACTAACTCCTACCAGATTTTCCTACAGGCAAGGGGTGCAGGGCTGTGGGTTTTGGTTGAGATTACACCAGGATCACGGGTTAGCGGACAGCAAGCTCAGCTCATCACAGAATCTCAAATATCAAATTTGTGCCTTAGGAACCCCAGTCCATGGGCATCGCTGCTGAGGAGGTTCTGAAGAAGTGCGTGAAGTCACCTCCAGTGAAGGGAGGGGGAGTCGTCGGAGGGGTAGTCGTCTTAATTGAGGTCTGTGCTGGGGTGATGTCTCCACCAACAGTGGGCATATCAGGCAGGGTGGTGTCTGGGCTACCGCCTGCTCAGGATGCTGTCACTAGGAGTCCGAGCACCAGGATGATGCAGTCCTGGCGTCACCTGTGACCCACAAGTTCTGGACTCAGGCAACTGTGAGTCAGTTCTAGCAGAGACCTGCAGGACTTATTTCAGCCAATCAGGATGTCACCTGAGACCAGTCCAGGAGCCGCTACAACCCCACAAGCTGGTTCCCGCTAATCTGATGACCTTTAGTGTCAATGCCAACAATTAAAGGTGGCAACAGATGAGCTAAATAGCCACACTCAATCCCACAAGAGAAACATGGCACAACCCACTCCTCTCCACAACAAACACGTAACATGAAGGTGCATGGCTCTGTCCATCCAGAATTTCAAACACGTGACATGAAGGTGCACAGGTCTGTCCATCCAGGATTTCAAACATGTGACAGGAAGGTGCACGGGTCTGTCCATCCAGAATTTTAAACACGTAACATGAAGGTGCATGGGTCTGTCCATCCAGAATTTCAAACACGTGACATGAAGGTGGACGGGTCTGTCCATCCAGGATTTCAAACACGTAATATGAAGGTGCACGGGTCTGTCCATCCAGGATTTATTGTTCACCTCGTTGTAGATTACCTTTATACCGTGGGGATTCAACACCACAGAAACAGTCACCAAGCAGCTGCTGCCCTGATGGCCACAAAAAACATAACCCAGGATTGCTGCAGCCAGAGGACACACATTCGTGTCACTCACATGAAGTCTTGCTCTGCCACTGTGTGTGTTTAAGGGCCTCATCCAAGAAGCGCCAGTGACAGGGCCAAGCGCCACAGAACATCAGGACCAGCCGTGTCCCTGGTCTGTTTTCATGGTACACAAAGGAGCAGCACACACACAAGCAGCAGCTGCCCCAGGAGTGCCGGGTCGCAGCAGCTGCCCCATGAATGCCGGATCACAGCAGCTGCCTCATCAGTGCCGGATCGCAGCAGCTGCCCCAGGAGTGCCAGATTGCAGCAGCTGCCAGGACCGCTCTGCATGCTGTGAAGAGGATCTGGAGGTCAACAAGGACACTCAGGGCTCTCACCCGTCCGGCACTGCCTAAGGTACAGGAATTCCCTCCTCCCCACGTGGGGGGTGGTGGTTCTCCCTCCACGGCCATGAAACGGGGGCATCTCAGGGTACAGACCTCGCCCCTCTCCACTCTGCCCCTCCTTGCACCCTGGTGTTTTATCTGAAGGGATCAGGTATGGGAGAGGAACAAGGGCATTTTCATAAAATGTAGAGCTGTGTTATGCCCCAACATTGGCCAGTGTGGGACCCTACAGGTGGGTCATGCCTAAGAGCATGACTAACCAACCAGAGCCTACGCTGCTCATACAGGATCCCATCTGGATACTTAAGACTAACCAACCAGAGCCTACACTGCTCACACAGGATCACATCTGGATCCTCAAGACTAACCAACCAGAGCCTACACTGCTCACAGAATCACATCTGGATCCTCAACACTAACCAACCAGAGCCTACGCTGCTCACACAGGATCACATCTGGATCCTCAAGACTAACCAACCAGAGCCTACGCTGCTCACACAGGATCACATCTGGATACCTAAGACTAACCAACCAGAGCCTACACTGCTCACAGAATCACATCTGGATCCTCAAGACTAACCAACCAGAGCCTACGCTGCTCACACAGGATCACATCTGGATCCTCAAGACTAACCAACCAGAGCCTACGCTGCTCACGCAGGATCACATCTGGATCCTCAAGACTAACCAAGCAGAGCCTACGCTGCTCACAGAATCACATCTGGATCCTCAAGACTAACCAACCAGAGCCTACGCTGCTCACAGAATCACATCTGGATCCTCAAGACTAACCAACCAGAGCCTATGCTGCTCACAGAATCACATCTGGATCCTCAAGACTAACCAACCAGAGCCTACGCTGCTCACACAGAATCACATCTGCATCCTCAAGACTAACCAACCAGAGCCTACACTGCTCACAGAATCACATCTGGATCCTCAAGACTAACCAACCAGAGCCTACAGTGCTCACACAAGATCACATCTGGATCCTGAAGACTAACCAACCAGAGCTTACACTGCTCACAGAATCACATCTGGATCCTCAAGACTAACCAACCAGAGCCTACGCTGCTCAAAGAATCACATCTGGATCCTCAAGACTAACCAACCAGAGCCTACACTGCTCACACAGGATCACATCTGAGTCCTCAAGGCCTACTGTTAGCCAGGCTGCGACGTGGACACTGTAGCAACCAGACTGGAGGATTTCTACAGGGAACAGAGTCCTCACTCCAAGAATGATCAGTGCAGCATCATAAAGATTCAAAATACGTCTACAGAACCCCCAGAAAGACATGTCTCAAGTTAGCCCACAAGGTTTTAGAACACAGGGAAGCGACTGCTATCTTCCATACATTCACAACACTTCAAGTGTCAATCACCACGTTTACTAAAGGGTGAGGAAAGATGTAATGTAAAAAATGACTTCCCAACAATTCTCACCCTCCTAAGGTTTTTCTTCATTGTGAGATCACAAGGGATCATCAAAGTACTGAGCAGAACAGCAACAATGCTGCTGCATATCACACATCAATAGAGTTCTCTCTACTGGATACCATCCATATTCAGCAAGACCTTAGAGAACACTGAGGGCTTTCTCTGTGTCTGCTGCATAGGGCTCCAGGGTGAGTTCCTGCCTGCCGGGTTGTGATGAGATGCTGATTGCCTAGCCACATTCCTCAAGTCATGGACATCTGGAGAACGAGAGGTCTTTCATGTCTTCAACGTGAATGAGTGTAGCTGACAGCTTCCCCACATTCTTTACATTAGAAAGGTTTCTCATCAGTGTGAATTTGAGTGTGATGGTTAAGGCATGAGGAATTCTTAAAAGATTTTCCACAGTCCTTACATACAAAAACCTGCTCTTCAGTGTAAGTTTTTAAATGTTCTTTTAGTAGATAAAACCTATTGTATGCTTTCCCACATTCCTTACATTTATAGGGTTTCTGCCCAGTGTGAATTCTTCCATGTTTATGCAGGTGAGAGGAGGCACGGAAGGCTTTCCCACACTCGTTACATATGTAAGGTTTCTCTCCTGTGTGAGTCCTTCTGTGTTCGATAAGGTGTGAGGAGGAAGCAAAGGCTTTCCCACACTCCTTACATATGTAGGGTTTCTCACCGGTGTGGGTTCTTATGTGCACGATAAGGTGTGAGGATGTGGTGAAGGCCTTTCCGCATACTTTACATTCATAAGGTTTCTCTCCAGTGTGAGTTCGTATGTGCTCGGTTAGGCTCGAAGAAACAGTGAATGTTTTCCCACAGTCCTTACATTCATAAGGTTTTATTCCAGTGTGAATCTGAATGTGCTTATTCAGGCACGAGGAATTTCTGAAGGATTTCCTGCATACCGTACATATAAAGGGCTTCTCCTCTGTGTGAGTTTTCACATGCTCATTCAGTAGATAAACCCTATTGTAGGCTTTCCCACAGTCCTTACATTCATAGGGCTTCTCCCCGGTGTGTGTCCGCATGTGTTTAGTGAGGCCTGAGCGCCCTGTGAAGGCTTTGCCACACTGCTTACATTCGTAGGGTTTCTCTCCGGTATGGATTCTCGCGTGCTCAGTCAGGCTTGAAGAAACAGTGAAGGATTTCCCACAATCTTTACATTCATATGGTTTCTCTCCAGTGTGAGTCCTTACATGCTCAGTAAGGCCCGAGGATGTACAGAAGGCTTTCCCGCAGTCCTTACACGTGTATGGCTTCTCGCCCGTGTGTGTTCGTACGTGTCTAGTAAGGCCACAGCGCACAGTGAAGGCCTTCCCACAGTAGCTGCATGTATAGGGTTTTATTCCAGTGTGAATTCGAACATGATTATTAAGGCATGAGGAATTTCTAAAATATTTTCCGCAAACCACACATGCAAAGGGCTTCTCCCTCGTGTGAGTTTTTCCATGCTCATTCAGTAGATAAAACCCACCGCAGGCTTTCCCACAGTCCTTACATTCATAGGGCTTCTGTCCAGGGTCTGTTTGGACGTGTTTAGAAAGACCTGAGAGTCCAGTGAAGGCTTTTCCGCATTCTTTACATTCACAGGGTTTCTCTGCAGCATGAATTCTTACATGTTGAGTTAGGCTGGAAGAAACAGGGGAGGCTTTTCCACATTCTTCCAATTCACAGGGCTTTTCCCCAGGGTGGACTTGCACGCGACCAGTAAGGTAGGCAGTGTACCTAAAGGCCTTCCCACATTCCCTACATACGTGGGGATTCCTGACGGCATGCATTTCAACAGGTGTGGCGCAGCCCATGGAGTGAGTTAGAGCTTTCCCACACGGCTTCCATTTCCATGTTTCTTCTCCGTTGTGACTTCCCGCACGTGCCTGAAGGTATGACTGATTAAGGAACACTTCCCCACAGCTGCTGTAGTCAAGAGATCTGTCCCGAGTGCATGCTTGCTGGGAAACAACATTTGGAGTAGAGCTGAAGGCTTTTCCACACTGACCCAACACGGAAAACTGCTCTCCAATTTTGAACAAGGTTTTCTGGCATGGAATAAAAAAGTCCCTTTCATAATGATTAGACACACAACTGTCTCCTGTATTTTGAGTTCTCACGTGTGTGCTGAGGCCTGAGTGTTCACTGAAAGCTTCTCCACACTGCGTGCGGTCACAGAGCTGCCCTCCATTGTGGCTTCTTGCCTGTTGGTGAAGAATGAGTGGTGGTCAGGGGGTTACTGAGGCTGATTCATAGATCTCACCCAGCTGAAGACAGAGCATGACGATGATGATTACGATTTTTGCCATTTTCATAACATGCAAGCAGCTCCTGCCCTGTAGATGTCTTTCAAGTCAAATGAGGAGCCCCACTGCAAGAATCCTGTGCCATCAGGACGGGCGCAGCAGCTCATGCCTGTAATCCCAGAACTTTGGGAGGCCGAGGCGGGCAGATCACCTGAGGTCGGGAGTTCAAGACCAGCCTGACCAACATGGAGAAACCCCGTCTCTATTAAAAATACAAAATTAACTGGGCATGGTGGCGCATGCCTGTAATCCCAGCTACTCAGGAGGCTGAGGCAGAAGAATGGCTTGAACCAGGGAGGCAGAGGTTGCGGCGAGCTAAGATTGCGCCGTTGCATTCCAGCCTGGGCAACAAGAGCAAAACTCCATGTCAAAAAAAAGAATCGGCCAGGCACAGTGGCTCACGCCTGTAATCCCAGTACTTTGGGAGGCTGAGGTGGGAGGATCACAAAGTCAAGAGATCGAGACCATCCTGGCCAACATGGTGAAACCCCGTCTCTACTAAAAATACACAAATTAGCTGGGCATGGTGGCACATGCCTCTAGTTCCAGCTACTTGGGAGGCTGAGGCAGGACAATCACTTGAATCCAGGAGGCGGAGGTTGCAGTGAGCCAAGATCGTGCCACTGCGCTCCAGCCTGGTGATGGAGTGAGACTTCATCTCAAAAAAAAAAAAAAGAATCCTGCACCATCTGCTCTAACTTCGAAAAGTCTGTGCGCACAAAACAGCTCTGCGATCTCAAGACCTCGTCATGTGTGCGCTGATGTGTGTCTGAAGCACCAAGTTTCAAGACAGGATGAGGTCCTCCCAAATTCCGCACATTCAGAGTGTTCTCTACAGACAACCCCTGCCTGAGTGAATCCTGCTTCTCTAAATTCTCTCAATTTTGCTCATTTTCTATAGTGGAATTCCCAATCTTTTATGAGTGTGATAAATAAAAAAATCTCTCTTGTTAATCTTACCGTCTGTGTCTCATTTGATGCTCTGAACCAAGATCTATCCTGCCGAAGTGCTGGCCCTTTGGTTTTAAGTCGCCATTCTGAAAAGAAAGAAGAATGACCTAAAAACGATCAAACTCATTGGTATTTGTTTTCATATAAGACATGGCAGAAAAAAAAACAAAGCAAAGATAGATTTAAGGAGTTTGGCTATGTGTAAAATTTGGAATCATAGGAACTGGGAGTCATAATTTAGAAGATTTTAAAATACATTTGGTCCATAAAGAAGAAATGTGAGGTGAACAGAAACAATATTATCAATGAAAGAAAGCAGGAAAGAGCTGGACAAAGGGCATACATTCAAAACACAAACTTGGCCAGGCGTGGCAGCACGCACCTGTAATCCCAGCTACTCAGGAGGCTGAGGCAGAAGAACTGAGTGAACCCAGGAGGCAGAGTTTGCAGTGAGCCAAGATTGTGCCACTGCACTCCAGCCTGGGCAACAGAGCAAGACTCCGTCTCAAAAAAAAAAAAAAAAAAAAAACCCACAAACTGAAAGAACAAAACAGCAGGTTTTTTATGAGATCACAAGAAAGGGAAAATCCAGATCAGATGGAAAATAAGGAATTACGGGAAGCTCAGGATACCCAGAGCCAACAGCCTCATGTTCTGTGCCAGAATGCATCTTAAAACGTGCACTCAGGATTCTTCCACAGCCGCTAAACTCGACACTCAGGATCCTCCCACAGCCGCTTAACTTGACACAATCCTTCCATAGCCGCTAAACTTGACACTCAGGATCCTCCCACAGCTGCTAAACTTGACATCGACCAGGCGTGCTCTTCACACTTACCTTGGAGAACTGCTCTCCGCCCTGCCCTCAACTCCTCTTCCTGCTCCAGCCAATAGATCACACTGGGTTGGAACAGGTGATGTCCTGTACACAGGGAAAGAGACATCGATGGAAGAGGCTCAGGCAGGGGATGACAAACCTACCCGTGAACAGGAACTACATTTCCTTTTTTTTATTATTTTTTGAGACAGCGTCTCGCGCTGTTGCCCAGGCTGGAGTGCAGTGGTGCAATCTCGGCTCACTGCAACGTCTGCCTCCTGGGTTCAAGTGATTCTCTTGCCTCAGCCTCCTAAGTAGCTGGGACTATAGGTGCCCGCCACCACGCCTGGCTAGTTTTTTGTATTTTTAGTAGAGATGGGGTTTCACCGTGTTGGTCAGAATGGTCTCAATCTCCTGACCTTGTGATCCGCCCACCCCGGCCTCTCAAAAGTGCTAGGATTACAGGCATGAGCCACTGCGTCTGGCGTCCCAGAGTGCTCGGATTACAGGCGTGAGCCACTGCGCCCAGCCTCCCAAAGTGCTGGGATTACAGGCATGAGCCACTGCGTCCAGCATCCCAGAGTGCTGGGATTACAGGCGTGGCCACCACACCCTGCCTCCCAGAGTGCTGGGATTACAGCCCTGAGCCACTGCGCCTGGCCTCCTAGAGTGCTGGGATTACAGCCCTGAGCCACTGCACCCAGCCTCCCAGAGTGCTCGGATTACAGCCCTGAGCCACTGCACCCAGCCTCCCAGAGTGCTCGGATTACAGCCCTAAGCCACTGCGCCTGGCCTCCCAGAGTGCTGGGATTACAGCCCTGAGCCACCGCGCCCGGCCTCCCAGAGTGCTGGGATTACAGCCCTGAGCCACTGCACCCAGCCTCCCAGAGTGCTCGGATTACAGGCATGAGCCACCGCGCCCGGCCAGGAACTACGTTTGTTTTTTTTTTGAGATGGAGTCTCGCTCTGTCACCCAGGCTGGAGTGCAGTGGCATGCCAGGAACTACATTTCTAAAGAATGCAGTGAAATTGTTTCAAAAGGGCTCAAAGTGCAAATACTCCATCCTTCTGCGCCCCAAAGAAACTGGTTATCTCTGATTCCTGAAGCCCACATTCAGGCTTAAATATACACGTAAAAACCACAAAGACTCTTACTCAAATAGGAAATAACAGAAGTGCAATAAGAGATCTTCATTCACTTGGGAAACTACTACCCAGTGGTTCTCAGTGTTAGAGTGAATTGGCATCGTCGGGAGGGCTTGTTACAGGAGAGATGACAGGCCCACCCCCAGGAGACATTCTGATCCAATGTGTCCCAGCTGAAGCCTCAGAATGCATGTTTCTAGAGGAGTGACGGTGATGCTCATGACCCCAGGACCACATTCTGGAAACGACCACACTAGCACCAAGCCTACTAGCACAGTTGTTATATCTCTTACTTCCCGTGGTACTCGGCTTTGCCGTCACCAACCCTGGAACACAGTAAGGACACATCAAGTATTGGTTCCACAGAAGTTGCAAAGGACGGTGGCAGCCTCACCTACTGAGGCCAGGTTCTCGTAGTTTTCCAGCATCACATCTCTGTAGAGGTCTCTCTGAGATGGGTCCAGTAAAGTCCATTCCTCCTGGGTGAAGTCCACAGCCACGTCGTCAAAGGTCACCGCGTCCTAAATCATCACACATGACGGTTGGAGCCTTCCAACGTGTCCATCGGTATTCACTGAAGAATGAGGAGGCGGGGCCCTACGCCTATGGGACTGTGAGGCCTCCTACTGTCTACCCCATGGCCCAGTGGTCCCAGGAACCCTTCTCTGCCCGCACACACGCCCTGTCGCTCTCCTCCAGTCACGCGCACCCTGTCGCTCTCCTCCAGTCACGCGTGCCCTGTCGCGCTCCTCCAGTCACGCGCACCCTGTCGCTCTCCTCCAGTCACACGGCCGCAACGACACCTCTAACATGTGAGCTTCTCTCACCACGCTCACTGGGCACTCCCCTCGCCTTATGTCCCTCTCCTGAGCACACTACAAACAAGTGGTAACTCGTGATGTGGAAATAAGTTCCCAGAGAGGATACCTTCCCCTTCCTTACCATGTGTCAGAGCACTAAGCAAAGTACGAAACACGCATTTGGCACAAGGGTGAAAATAATGAGTAATGTTGTGGCTGGGCGCAGTGGTGCAAGCCTGTAATCCCAGCCCTTTGGGAGGCCAAAGCGGGTGGATCACTTGAGATCAGCAGTTCAAGACCAGCCTGGCCAACATGGCAAAACCCCGTCTCTACTAAAAATACAAAAATTAGCCAGGCATGCTGGTGGGCACTTGTAATCCCAGCTACTTGGGAGGCTGAGGCAGGAGAATTGCTTGAACCTGGGAGGCGGAGATTGCAGTGAGCCGAGATTGGGCCATTGCTCTCCAGCCTGGGCGACAAAGCGAGACTCCGTCTCAAAAAAAAAAAGTAACACTGAAATACGGGGAGGATTTTCACAGTAACACCTGACCAGCCAGGCTCTTCTCCCTGGAGGCGTTCAACTAGGGACTCGGTCCTTGAGTGAGGCTGTGCAGACAAGTCTGCTCAGACAGAAACTTGTCTATCTGCTGAATACCAGTATGTTATTTTAAGAAAAAATACAGTTTTGGCATACCTGGTAACAATTTATCAGCCAGCCAGCCACCATCCCTGCTGCCTGTGTCTGTTCTTCATGAAGGCAGACTGAGTCCCTAGAAACATGACCTCCTAAAAAACAAAGAAGGCAAGAAGGCATGAGAACCCAGAGCTGACCCTAATTCCACACTCATGGACCCGGAAGTCATTCCATCCTAGCAGGAAATTATCACGTACTCCTGCACACTCAGGAAAACGCACACACACAGATATACAGTGTCAGGGAATTCCCACATACACCTGCACACTCAGGAAAACACACACACAAAGCCATACAGTACCTCAGGAAAACACACACACACACACAGCCATACACTTCCTCAAGAAAACACACACACACACAGCCATACACTGCCTGAGGAACACACACACACACACACAGTCATACAGAGCGAGGGAATTCCCATGTACTCTTGCACACTCAGGAAAAGACACACACAGCCATACAGTGCCTCAGGAAAACACACACATACAGCCATAAACTGCCTCAGGAAAATACACACACACACAGCCATACAATGCCTCAGGAAAATATAGTCCCTCAGGAAAATACACACACACACACACACACACACACACAGCCATACAGTGCCTCAGGAAAACACACACACAGAGCCATACAGTGCCTCAGGAAAACACACACAGACACACACACAGCCATACAGTGCCAGGGTAGTCTGTTTCGCCTGGTGACACAAAATGTTTGTGAGCTATGCCGCCCATCAGGAAATGGTAACAGGCTCCTATTGCAGATATGGAACGGTACGCCTTGAGGAACGTGACTCTTCATTTGCCCGTGGTGAGAAAACTCATGAAGGAGTTTACACATCATCCCTCCCCAAAGCACACACCCTGGGGCTGACTTACAGGTCAGCATTCTCTGGCTCACTCCAGCAGCTGCAATAGGAACCCGGAGCGTGACTACTCAGGCCCCGTCCATGGGCCTGATACACACACTGTGTATCAGGACCTAGAGCAGAGGCTCTGAGAAGGAGCCCCACCAGGACTTACCGTGGGCCAGGTCAGGGGCTGCCATCCTGGGAGGCTGACGGAAGCGTCTGAATGCTCCTTTCCTGAAGCCAAGGCCACTGCAGGGCAGCTTGTGAATCTATGTGGAAGGTACAGTCTCCATTCCTCCTGACCCACGGATGGCTGGATCCCTATTTCCTAGCAATCATGATGAAGAAGCATTACTTCCCAGTTATCAAACCTCACGCATTAGCTTGTTTCTGCAGATGATATATGTGAAAGCCACTATATCCACTTTACTCTCTTGAGGACTAGTAATATCCACGTCACCTACTGAAGAGCAGTATATGGGTCAAAAGACACAACAGAAGCCTTTAATTATCAGAACAGCCATTCACAGATTTCACCCGTGTTCATACCTAAAACAGCCTGGATTCAGATAACATGAACTGGTCCACATCATCCACTTAGGAAGTGGTGAACCAGGACGGTTAGCTGGTACATGTTCGACCATCTCGTCACAGGTTTTGTTTGCTTTTGAGATGGAGTCTTGCTGTCACCCAGGCTGGAGTGTAGTGGCGCAATCTCGGCTCACTGCAACCTCTGCCTCCCAGGTTCAAGCAATTCTTCCACCTCAGCCTACCAAGTAGCTGAGACTACAGGCGAGTGCCACCACACCCAGCTAATTTTTTTGTATTTTTAGTAGAGGTGGGGTTTCACCATGTTAGCCAGGATGGTCTTGATCTCCTGACCTCGTGATCCGCCCACCTCGGCCTCCCAAAGTGTTGAGATTACAGGCGTGAGCCACCGTGCCCCGCCCCGGTCTCGTCAGTTTGTACTCCTGAGTCTGCGGTCACTCCCCAGCAGGACAAAGGTAGGTCTAGAGCTGTACTTTCTTATTCTACCGATGAGGTGACTAAAACAGTAAAGTTTCACATGTCAGAAAAACATGTCCATTCTCCTTGTATAAACTGTACTTACTACTAGGTGTCGGCGGGGGCGAGGTCTTTGGGCTAAAAGACCCACAAATGTGTTGACTTTGTTGTCACCTGCACAGGCTCTTTTCCCTCCTTCAAAAAGGGATGTAATATTCAGTTCTCCACCTTAACATCATCCCCAGAGGACCTGACCCTCAGACTGCACTCATACACTATGTTGACATGAGGCTGGTTGGATACAGTGAACAGAAAATGAACACATTTTAGATAACTTCATATGAAATATACACAACAGAGAGCTTGTGATTCAGGGGCCATAGTTTCTACGAGTTCAGCAGTCTGGATTACATAAAGACATCCCCTCCGATATGCACCTCCAAGTTACTGCACCTCATGACACCTATAACCAAAAAAGAGGCACAACACTCTGCAGATCTTTTAATTTTAGGGGCAACGTATATAACAGCGTTAACGCTCTACACAGTTGCCTGTAAGGCTGCCAGTGCCAAGTGTGGATCAGTGCACATTCAGGGTGCAGGACAAGCTTCTTAGGCACTTGGTGGAAAGGACCCAGCAGACCCACTGACACAGCGTCCATGGTAAACAGGATGCCGCTGGATGCCTCTGGCAAGCACTGATAAGACTCAGAGCACAACCCTCTGGGATTTCAGAGTAAATCTACACCCTCTAAACGGTCATCTATGCAGCTGACCACTTACCTTTTCAGAAATAGGCTGGGGCTTGGAACCAGGACAGAGTAGAGAAGGAACAGCTAACATGGGACATGAGGTGACTAAGGCTGAACTCAGCCATCTGAGACCTCGTGGACCCAAAGGCATAAGGTGCTTACTATCCGCCCTTTGCCAACCTCTCCTCTGAATTCAATTACAAGTTCATAGGAAGCAGCAAGAAATGGAGGAATATTTAAACGTATCACGAGAAAACAACACCAAAGTCAATATGATAGAGAAACCACAGGGGTTGTTCTAGGTGAAAAGACATAAACGATGGGAACAGATAAACCTTGAAGGGCTCTTAGTCCCCAAAATACCCAACAGCGCAATGTTGGAAAAATGTTGAGAATCCTAGATATTACACAAAGTAGACAGTGGATGACCTCCTTCTTATTTTTTTATTTTTTTATTTTTTTGAGACGGAGTCTTGCTCTGTCGCCCAGGCTGGAGTGCAATGGCACGATCTTGGCTCACCGCAACCTGTGCCACCCAGGTTCAAGCGATTCTCCTGCCTCAGCCTCCCGACTAGCTGGGATTACAGGCATGCGCCACCATGCAAGGCTAATTTTGTACTTTTAGTAGAGACGGGATTTCTCCATGTTAGTCAGGCTGGTCTTGAACTCCCGACCTCAGATGATCCACCCGCCTCGGCCTCCCAAAGTGCTAGGATTACAGGCGTGAGCCACTGTGCCCAGCGGACCTTATTATTTTTAATTATTATTATTATTTTTTGAGACGGAGTCTCGCTCTGTCGCCCAGGCTGGAGTGCAGTGGCGCCATCTCGGCTCACTGCAAGCTCCGCCTCCCGGGTTCACGCCATTCTCCTGCCTCAGCCTCCAGAGTAGCTGGGACTACAGGAGCCCGCCACCACGCCCGGCTAATTTTTTGTATTTTTAGTAGAGATGGGGTTTCACCGTGTTAGCCAGGATGGTGTCGGTCTCCTGACCTCGTGATCCACCCGCCTCGGCCTCCCAAAGTGCTGGGATTACAGGCGTGAGCCACCGCGCCCGGCCTAATTTTAATTTTCTTAGATGAAATACTAATATTGTGGTTTCAGTAGGATAATGTCCTTACCCTTAACAGACGCTTTACCAAGTATTTAAAGGTTAAGTATCATGTGTGCAGTTTAATTTCAACTTACTTACACTCAAATAATAATTCACCGTAAGGTTTATTTATTGGGGGAGAGAGAAAACATGGCCCAAAGCTAAAAAGGAGTAAAACGATTGCAGTGGATATTCCTTGTAGCAGATGTTCACATTTTTATTAGATTCAGATTTTCTAAAGCAAAACGTGAGAAAAAATACAGTTAGTCGAAACACACTGTTCACCGTGGATTCGATTACTCCAAGACCAGCGGGACAACGGCCGCATCCCTCCCGCCCCGAGGGCCGGGCCTGGAAGTCCCGGCGGCGAGGGACGCGCGCTCCCGCTGGCCCCCACGGGCTAACTTTCACAGGGAGCTGCACGCCCGGGGCGCTCAGGGGTCTACCTTACGCTTCGGTCCCAACACAATGTGCCAGAAACAAATAAAAAACGTCAAAGCCGAAGCCAGATTCTCACAGAAACACGCCCTGTTCAAAGTGAAGGAAGCAAAGGGCCCCTCTCTCACCAGCTCCGCGGAATGGAAGCGCTGCCCGGGTCTACCGCGAGCGGCGGCGACTTTCCCTTCTGGAAGCGGTGCCGGGGGCGCAAGGCGCGAGGCAGGCGGGCGGGCGCCCACTCCCGGACCAGCTTCCCCGCGGACAGCCCGAGGACACGCGCGGAACTCTCCGGCGCCAGCACGCACCGCCGCAAGAACCGGATCAGCTGTAAGACAGGCGGAGGCGGGGCCGGCGCCGGAAGAGGGGCCGGCGCGTCTTTGGCGTCACTTCCGCCTCCAGCCTCCGGGCCGAAGCTTTGGCCTATGGTGCGGGGAGGTAGTAGTTTCTTCCGCGAGGGTGCGGGAGGGCCCCGGGGCGCCCTTGGGAACCGGGCTGGAGGCAGAGACAGGCCCGGAGGACCAGGCGGACGTAAGGATCAGGCCTCTGGACGCAACTGCGGAGCCGGAACAGACCAGGAGGGCGCGGTTGGGCGGGTACAGCCAGGAAGTGCTCGTCGCGAGCGCGGCCCGCGGTTCGGTCACAGCGAGAAGCCCGCGGGTGCTGGGAGTGCTCGGTCTTCTCTCGATCTCTGCAGGGAGTCACTGGCCCCGTTCCTTTTTATCTGTCTGAACATCACGCCGAACTTTTAACAGTTGATTCCACTGCATTTTCAATGTGGTATTTTTTTTTTCTGTAAATGTTCATCTATTTTTCGCTTCAAATATGCGTTTCTGTTACTTTTCTAATGTACCGTAGGAGCCAAGACCACCTATACTACGTTGCAAAATAGCACTGATACCAGGGGTTCTCCCAAGGTTCATTCAGAAATGTCACATGATTCCAGTAACAATACGAAAAGGTTTTTTTTTTGGAACCAGGCATATTGATCCTGGAGTTCACATGGAGGAACAAATGTCTCATAACGCAGACGACGCGGACAAACAAAAGCGCAATGCCCGACAGATGCGAAAACAGCCTCTGTCATTAAAACTGTGTGCTAGTGACACATGAACAGGAAACAAATGGAATATCCAGACATCAACCCAGTAACATGGAAATTTGGTTCATAAACATAATTTCAGAGCGGTGGAACAAACATGCAGTTTATAATGAAAGGTGCTAAGACAAATGGTTAGCCGTCTGAGAAATGATGAAATTAATTCTGGATCTCACAGGGATAAACTCCAAACGGATCAGGAGTCTAAATGTGAAAAACAAAACAAAACCACATGTGAAGTGTTCACGTGATTTCGTGGCTGATTAAGAAACAAGATGTGCCCAGGAGGTGGCGGTGGCGCACAAGCTTTGACAGGTTGGAGGGTGAGGGAGTCTCACGCACCATGAGATTACCCACAGGCTTCGAATTGGGGGTCACTACTCAGAAAAGAGAAAAAAATGAGCGTGGGCGGGGGGCGCGCAGAGAACTCCCAGAGAAGAAGGAGATCAGACAGGGGGAGGGCTGACGTGACTAGATCACGTTTCTCAGCAGCCTGACAGGTGTCTGAGTCACAAAGCTCTGAAGGGCAGCAACGGCTTGCAGTCTTTAGAGCCCCAGGATTTATCTTATCTATGGCTAGCAGAGATTGGACACAATTTCACGAAGTATACAAAGCAACCACATGCTAAATGGTTCAACACTATGAGTGTTTGGGATGTGTTTTATTTATTATTTATTAATTTTGATACGGAGTCTCCCTCTGTCGTCCAGGCTGGAGTGCAGTGGCACGATCTTGGCTCACTGCAACCTCCGCCTCCCAGGTTCCAGCTATTCTCCTGCCTCAGCCTCCCAAGTAGCTGGGATTACAGGTGCCCACCTTGTAATTTTTAGTAGAGACGGAGTTTCACCATGTTGGCCAGGCTGGTCTCAAACTTCTCACTTCAGGTGATCCACCCGCCTCGGCCTCCCAAAGTGGTGGGATTACAGACGTGAGCCACTGCAGCCACCGTGCCTGCCCTTGGGATATGTTTTTTTTTCTTTTAATTTTGTTTTGTTTTGTTTTTTTGAGACGAAGTCTTGCTCTGTCGACCAGGCTGGAGTGCAGGGGCACAATCTTGGCTCACCGCAACCTCCGCCTCCCAGGTTCAAGCGATTCTCCTGCCTCAGCCTCCAGAGTAGCTGGGATTACAGGCACGTGCCACCAAGCCCAGCTAATTTTTGTATTTTTAGTAGAGATGGGGTTTCACCATGTTAGCCAGGATGGTATCTATCTCTTGACCTCGTGATCCTCCTGCCTCAGCCTCCCAGACTGCTGAGATTACAGGCGTGAGCCACCGCACGGATATGTTTTAAGTAACTGAATGTATTAAAATTTGACTTTGGCACCAGCAGGCTATTGTGAATAATGTTGCTTTGAGCATCGTGTGCAAAAATATCCTGGACCCTTGTTCTCAGCACTTTTGGATATATATGCAAAAGTGGAATGGCTGGGTCACATGATAATTCTGTCTGATGTTTTGAGAAACCACTGTCCTGTTTTCCAGAGCTGCTGCACCATTTTGTATTCCCATGAGCAGGTGCACAAGGTTCCAACTTTACCACATCCAGCCAACAGTTACCTCCTATTTAATGGCTAAGAGCCATCACCACCGGGGTAATGTGATCTCACTGTGGCTTTTGTTTTCATTTCCCTAATGTTTAGTTATGTTGATCATCTTTTCATGTTCTTATTGGCCATCTGTTATCTTCTTTATTATAAGTCCTTTTCTGAATTAAATTGGTTTTGTTGTTATTCTTGAGTTATAGGAGTTCTTAATAAACTGAATATTAATCCTTAAGCAAACACAAGATTTGCAAATATTTCCTCCCATTCTGTGGGTTTCCTTTTCACTCTCATGATTGTCCTTGGATGCACAAAATTTGTAATATTGATGTAGTCCAATTCATCTAGTTTTCTTCAGTTGCCTGTGTGGGTGATTTCATAACCAAGAAATCATTTCCAATTCCAGTGCCATGAAGTTTTTTCTCTATGTTTTCTTCTAAGAGTTTTATACATTAGCGCTTACATTTAGGTTTTTGATTCATTTTGAATTAATTTTTATATGTGGTATAAAGTAAGGGTCCAGCTCCACTGTTCTGCATGTAGATATCCAGTTTTCTCCAGCACCATTTCTCCCCCAGGCTCTATTGAGGTACAACTGACAGATTTAAAAAAATCATATATACTTAAGATGTGCAATGTGATGATTTGATGTATGCACACACTGTGAAATGACCATGATCAAACAGATCTACACATCCATCCCCTCAGCTAGGCACCTTCTTTTGAGTGTGTGGTGAAAATAGTTAAGATCTACTATCTTAGCAAATTCCAATCATCATACAATATAGTAGTATTAACTAAAATCTCCATGCTATACATTACATCCCAGATCTTACTCATCCTTTAACTTAAAGTTTGTACCATTTGACCAACATCTCCCCATTCCTTCCACCAACCCCATCCTCTGGCACGCAACATTGTACTCTCTGCTTCTAGGAGTTCAGCTTGTTTGGATTCCATGTGAGGTTACATAGGATTTCCTTTCTTTTTTTTTAAAAAAAGGCTAAATAATCGTGTGTGTGTGTATGTGTGTGTTTGTGTCATAGTTTTGTTTTGTTTTTAGAGATAAGATCTCACTCTGTTGCTCAGGCTGGAGAGAGTGCAATGGCACAGTCATGGCTCACTGCAGCCTTGAACTCCTGGGCTCAATCATCCTCCTGCCTCAGGATCCTGAGTAGCTGGGACTACAGGCATGCACCACCACACCTGGCCTTCTTTTTCAAGATTGGTTTAGCTAATTGAACTCCACTGAGATTCCATATGTGCACTTTATTTCTTTTTTGTTATTGTTGTTGTTTGAGACAGAATCTCGCTCTGTCACCCAGGCTGGAGTGCAGTGGTGCAATCTCGGCTCACTGCAAGCTCCGCCTCCCAGGTTCACGCCATTCTCCTGCCTCAGCCTCCGGAGTAGCTGGGACTACAGGCGCCCACCACCATGCCCGGCTAATTTTTTTGTATTTTTAGTAGATACGGGGTTTCACTGTGTTAGCCAGGATGGTCTCGATCTCCTGACCTTGTGATCTGCCCATCTCGGCCTCCCAAAGTACTGGGATTATAGGCGTGAGCCACTGCGCCCGGCCCTCATTTTTTAATTTATGTTTTTTGAGATGGAGTCTCACTCGGTTGCCCAGGCTGGAGTGCAGTGGCGCCACCTTGGCTCACTACAATGTCCACCTCCCAGGTTCAAGCAATTGTCCTGCCTCAGCCATGCCAGTAGCTCAGATTACAAGCGCGTGATACCATGCCTCGCTAACTTTTGTATTATTAGTAGACACAGGGTTTCGCCATGTTGGCGAGGCTGTACTCCTGACCTCAAGTGATCCTCCTACCTTGGCCTCCCGAAGGGCTGGGGTGTAGGAGTGAGCCGCCGCACCCTGCCTGTGCGTGGTATTTTAAAGCTAATTTTGGAAGTACTTTAACCTCACTTCTGTCATATTCTGCTGGTCACAGAGACCAACCCTACTATGATATAAGAGGACTACACAGAGGTATAAATCTCAGGAAGCAGGAATCACTGGGGCACATCATCCTCCTGGAACAGAGAAGAATTTGGCAACATCCAACAAAACTACAGGTGCAATCCAGCAATCCTACTTCTCAACATTTTCCCTGAAGGCAAATCTCTTAACAATTCAAAAATGCCTTAGACGACCAATTGCAGTCAAGCAGTCGGGTAGCTGAGTGTAGCATGGTGCCTCCAGCAGTGGAGTGCTACGCAGCTATGGAGATGAAGGTCTCTATGAGCTCCTATGGAGTGATTTCCAAGATACATTATTAAGTGAAAATGTAAACTACAGGCCGGGCGCGGTGGCTCACGCCTGTAATCCCAGCACTTTGGGAGGCCGAGGCGGGCGGATCACGAGGTCAGGAGATCGAGACCATCCTGGCTAACACGGTGAAACCCCGTCTCTACTAAAAATACAAAAAATTAGCCGGGCGTGGTAGCGGGCGCCTGTAGTCCCAGCTACTCGGGAGGCTGAGGCAGGAGAATGGCGTGAACCTGGGAGGCGGAGCTTGCAGTGAGCCGAGATCGCGCCACTGCACTCCAGCCTGGGCGACAGAGCGAGACTCCGTCTCAAAAAAAAAAAAAAAAAAAAAAAAAGAAAATGTAAACTACAAAACAGTAGCTACAGTAGGAAACCTTTTCTTTGGAAAAATAGACTGGGCGCAGTGGCTCATGCCTGTAATCTCAGCACTTTGGGAGGCTGAGGTAGGCGCGGATCATTTGAGGTCAGGAGTTCGAGACCAGCTTGGCCAACACGGCAAAACCCCGTCTCTACCAAAAAATGCAAAAATGAGCTAGCCATGGTGGTGGGCACCTGTAGTCCCAGCTACTCAGGAGGCTGAGGCAGGAGAATCGCTTGAACCTGGGAGGTGGGGGTTGCAGTGAGCCGAGATCACGCCACTGCACTCCAGACTGGGCGACAGAAGGAGACTACATCTCAAAAAAATAATAAAAGGAAAATAGACAATAAAATATACATGTATATTTATCTCTTCATGTTGAATACAAGGAAATACAGATAAGATTATTCAGAAAATAATAACCCACAGGTTGAGAAGGATGGTAGGATGAGAACAAGGTGGAAAGGAAGGGGACAGGGAAGGCCCTCTAAAGATGACATTCTGTTCAGTTCTGATGTCCAAACTGAGTTATTTCTTTACATTCTTAATGTTAAAAAATCAACATAGGGCTGAGCGTGGTGGCTCATGCCTGGATTCCCAGCACTTTGGGAGGCCAAGGCGGGAGGATCACTTGGGGCCAGCAATTCAAGACCAGCCTGACCAACGTAGTATAACCCTGTCTCTACTAACAGTACAAAAAAGCCGGCCGCAGTGGCTCAGGCCTGTAATCCCAGCACTTTGGGAGACCGAGGCAGGCGGATCACGAGGTCAGGAGATCGAGACCATCCTGGCTAACACGGTGAAACCCCGTCTCTACTAAAAATACAAAAAATTAGCCGGGCGTGGTGGCGGGCGCCTGTAGTCCCAGCTACTCGGGAGGCTGAGGCAGGAGAATGGCATGAACCTGGGAGGCGGAGCTTGCAGTGAGCCGAGATCGCGCCATTGCACTCCAGCCTGGGCGACAGAGTGAGACTCCGTCTCCAAAAAAAAAAAAACCAAAAAAAAAATACAAAAAAAATGAGCTGGGCATGGTGGCGGGCCTCTGTGATATCAGCTACTCAGGAGGCTGAGACAGGAGAATTCCCTGAACCTGAGAGGTTGTGGCTCACACTCCCTCACCCTGCTCCCCTCCCCTGCAGCTCTCTCTGCCCCACTCTTCCCTCATGGGACCTAGGGACAGAGGACTAACCTTTCCACTCCTGGACTCCACCCTGCCCACGGTCTGTAGGTAATAAATCTTTAAACGTGTTTCCTATTGTAGCAGTTGAATTTGCGCCTTCCACAGGAAGGGCCAGGGGGTGCCCAGTCTGCGTTTTCCCGGAGACCTGGGGCAGCAGGGGGGATACAAGGGCGGGCTCCCAGTGCCAGAGCCATGGTCAGGCAGGCACAAGCTGGACACAGGTCAGACAAGAGCCACGGGGCATCTGTCAGCATGAGCAGATTCCCCATGGGATGGACCCCAGATCGCAGGTTGGACAATGAGGCATTGGGCCTTCCACCGTGTAAAAGCTGCATCCCGTCACAGGTGCATGGCAAACGCCATGTCCAGCCCCTTTGTTTCCCATGAGCGCAGGGCTGCCAGCTGCCTGTCACTGGAACGCAGTTTAGCTGAGGGCTCTCAAGACAGGGTGGAGGGAGTCCTTGGAGGCTCTGCTGATACTCAGCATAACAGAGTGACAGATGGCAGCCTGGCCCCAAACTGCAGCTTGTGTGTGAGTCACAACCACAGTGAAGGGCCTCAGTAATGCGTTCCAGGTGAGGGCAAGCGAGTATACTTCGCTCATCTCTCCCGCTGAATACAACACCAAACCTGGACAGAATGTATGGAAAAGGTCACTGAAGACTGAGAAGTAAACAGCAGCAAGGAGAACTGGGAAAATACCAAATTTTGAAGCTCTGCCAAGATGATGCAGGGCAGGTGAGCCCCAAATTCGGGCTTGGCCCAGGAGAGTTCTTGGCTTCACCCAGGAAAGAATGTAAGGGTGAGCCTGGGGCAGGAGAAGGCAGGGTTACAGAGGCAGCCATGTATGGAAAGTGGCTGCTCCTTGCAAAGCACGGCTACCCCACAGGCAATGCACGCAGAGTAACTGTAGATGGGCTATTGACAGCTGTATTTATTTATTTTTTTGAGACAGTCTTGCTCTGTCACCCAGGCTGGAATGCAGTGGTATGATCTTGGCTCACTGTAACCTCCGCCTCCTGGGTTGAAGTGATTCCCCTGTGTCAGCCTCCTGAGCAGCTGGGATTACAGGTGCCCACCACCACGCCTGGCTAATTTTTGTATTTATAGTAGAAATGGGGTTTTGCCATGTTGCTTGAGCTGGTCTCGAGCTCCTGACCTCAAGTGACCCACACGCCTCAGCCTCCCAAAGTGCTAGGATTACAGGTGTGAGCCACCGCACCTGGCCAGCAGCTGTATTTACACCCACTTTTAATTATATGCAAATTAAGGGACTTTTTAGAACTTTCTAGAGTTTCTGGAGTTTCCAGAACCATGTAAGGTCACTTTCGGTCATCGCCATGGCATGTGGCCATGGTACTTGATCTTCTTTGGGTGTGTGGTCTTATTTCTTTCGTTCATTTGTTTAGTTTATGGGTGCCCTTTTATTTATCAGCCAATCTGATAGCATGCTAGACATAACACACATCACATAAGCAAAGCAACCTAAATAAGAGAGCTGGATCCAAGTTATTTACAAAATTGGGACCTCTCTACCTGGCTAAACTTTGTTTGCTCTAATGGGTGTGGAATACAGGGTGAGGCAGGGAAGGGGATCTCAGAGCAGCAAATAAGGAAGGGCGGGGGTGATCCTGGCTCACCCAATATTGGCAGAACACACAGCAGGGACACTTACCTGTCCACAGGAGCCAAAATGGCACTGCCCGGTCTCCCCCAGGTCTCCCTGGTTTGGAGGGGTTCAGCCATTAGGAGGGGAGCAGCGTGTGGTTCTGCAACCAGCCGATCGGAGCAGTGGGTCTCACACGAGGTGGTGCTGTGGCTACTTGCCTGTCCACTCGGCTCCGCCACCTGTCAGGAAAGACGATGGCCCCTGAAAGAGCCTGTGGCTAGTGTCACAGGTCTGCAGTGTCACAGCGTTCCACTGTCCCAGCCGTGATATTTGCAGCTTTGATGGCCATGGCACTGGTCACTGTCTCTCACTGACCCGCCACCTTGCGTCATTTGCTGCCCTGCCAATCACCGCCTCTCTGCCTCTCACTGTCTTCTCTTCATCCCTTTGTGGCCGCCAAGGTGATGTAGGGCAGCTGAGCCCCAAAATTGCAGCTTGGCCCAGGAGGGTCCTTGACTTCACCCCAGAAAGTATGCGAGGGCGAGGCAGCGGTGGAAGAGGCGGCTTTACTGAGCAGCCATGCACAGAGAGTGGCTGCTCCATGTACAGAGAGTGGCTGCTCCATGCACAGAGAGTGGCTGCTCCATGTACAGAGAGTGGCTGCTCCATGTACAGAGAGTGGCTGCTCCATGCACAGAGAGTGGCTGCTCCATGTACAGAGAGTGGCTGCTCCATGCACAGAGAGTGGCTGCTCCATGTACAGAGAGTGGCTGCTCCTTGCAGAGCAAGTCCAATCAACAGGCAGGGCACCCAGAGCAGCCACTTGGAGGCTGCTGGCAGCTGTATTTACCCATATTTAATGACACACAAATTAAAGAGGTTATTGGCCGGGCGCGGTGGCTCACGCCTGTAATCCCAGCACTTTGGGAGGCCAAGGAGGGCGGATCACGAGGTCAGGAGATCGAGACCATCCTGGCTAACACAGTGAGACCCCTGTCTCTAGTACAAAATACAAAAAATTAGCCCGGCGTGGTGGCAGGCGCCTGTAGTCCCAGCTACTCGGGAGGCTGAGGCAGGAGAATGGCACGAACCCGGCAGGCGGAGCTTGCAGTGAGCTGAGATAGTGCCACCGCACTCCAGCCTGGCGACAGAGCGAGACTCCATCTCAAAAATAAATAAATAAATAAATAAATAAATAAATAAATAAATAAATAAATAAATAATAAGTAACCTCTTTATTTTATTTTTTGAGACCAAGTCTCGCACTGTTGCCCAGTTTGGAGTGTACTGGCGTGATCTTGGCTCACTGCAGCCTCCGCCTCCCAGGTTCAAGAGATTTGCTTGCCTGGGTGTTCGGTGGCTCACGCCTGTAATCCCAGCACTTCAGGAGGCCGAGGTGGGCAGATCACAAGGTCAGGAGTTCAAGACCAGCCTGGCCAAGATGGTAAAACCCCATCTCTACTAAAAATACGAAAATTAGCTGGGCGTGGTGGAGCACGCCTGTAATCCCAGCTACTTGGGAGGCTGAGGCAAGAGAATCACTTGAACCCAGGAGGCAGAGGTTACAGTGAGCCGAGATCACGCCACTGCACTCCAGCCTGGGTGACAGAGCGAGACTCCATCTCAAGACAAAACAAAAAAAAACAAAAACAGAAATATCTCAAATCAACTTAAACAACCAGAAAGGAACAACCTAAACCCAAAGCTAGTAGAAATAAGAAAATAATAAAAGATTAGAACAAAAATAACAGAAATGAAAAATAGAGGATGAAACCAAAAGTTGATTTTTTGCAAAGATCAACAAAATTGACAAACTTTTTGCTAAATGGACTAAGAAAAAAGAGAACACTCAAGTTACCAATAGTAGAAATCCAAGTGGGGACATTACCACTGATTCTACAGAAATAAAAAGACCGCAAGAGAGTGTTATGAAAAAAGTCGTACACAAATTGTATAACCCAGATGAAATGAACACATTCCCAGACACGCTAAACATACCAAGACTAAATCAGGAAGAAGTTAGAAATCTGAGTGGACCTGTAAGTAGTATGGAAGTAGAATCACTAGTCAAAATTCTGATAAAGAAAAGCCCTGGTGGGCACCGTGCCCACACCTGTGATCCCAGCACTGGGGGAGGCCGAGACGGGCGGATCATGCGAGGTCAGGAGTTCAAAGCCAGCCTGGCCAACATGGTGAAACCCCATTTCTACTAAAAATACAAGAAAATTAGTTAGGCATGGTGGCACACGTCTATAGTCCCAGCTACTCGGGAAGCTGAGGCAGGAGAACTGCTTGAACCTGGGAGGCAGAGGTTGAAGTGAGCTGAGATCATGCCACTGCACTCCAGCCTGGGCGACAGAGTGAAGCTGCGTCTCAAAAAAAAAAAGAAAAGCTCTAGACCTGATGCCTTCACTAGTGACTTCTACCGCATGTTTAAAGATGATTTAATGTTAAAAATTCTCAAACACTTCCAAAACACTTAAGAGGACGAAATACTTCTTAAGTCTTTCCATGAAGCTTGCATTACTCTGACACCAAAGCCTGTCAGAGATATAAGAAAACTAGAGACTAATATCCCTTACGAACATTAACATAAAAACCAACAAAATAGGCCGGACGTGGTGGCTCATGCCTGTAATCCTAGCACTTTGGGAGGCCGAGGTGGGCTGATCATGAGGTCAGGAGATTGAGACCATCCTGGCTAACACGGTGAAACCCCATCTCTACTAAAAATACAAAAGATTAGCTGAGCATGGTGGTAGGCACTTGTAGTCCCAGCTACTCGGGAGGCTGAAGCAGGAGAATCGTTTGAACCTGGCAGGCTGAGATTGCAGTGAGCCAAGATCGCGCCATGGCACTCCAGCCTGGGCGACAGAGCGAGACTCTGTCTCGAAAAGAAAAAAAAAAAAAAAAAAAAGTCATATATGAAAAACCCAAAGCAACCGTCTTACAGAATGGTGAAAGAATAAACTTTTCCTTTAGGATAAGAAACGAGGCAAGGTTGCTGGCTTTCACCACTTGGACTCAGCATAGTACTGGAAGTTCTGACCAGAGCAATTCGGGAAGAAAATACAATAAAAGCCACCCAAATTGGAAAGCAAGAAGTAAAATCATCTGTTCGCAGAGGATATGATCTTATATACGGGAAATCCTTGAAGATTACACACACAGACAGAATGTGTTCGAACTAATAAATGAATTCAGCAAAGTAGCAGGATACAATGTCAAAATGCAAAACCAGTGCATTTCTATATACTATCAATTAACAATCTAAAAAAGCATTTACGGAAATAATTCTACTCACAATAGCATCTTGGCCAAGTGTGATGGCTCACGCCTGTAATCCCAACACTTTGGAAGGCCAAGGCAGGCGGGTCACTTGAGGTCAGGAGTTCAAAACCAGCCTGGCCAACATGTTGAAACCCCATCTCTACTACGAATACAAAAAAATTAGCCAGGTATGGTGGCAGGCGCCTGTAATCTCAGCTAGTTGGGAGGTTGAGGCAGGAGAATTGCTTGAACCCGGGAGGCAGAGGTTGCAGTGAGCCAAGATGGTGCCACTGTACTCCAGCCTGGGTGACGGAGCAAGACTCTATCTGAAAAAATAAAAGTAAAAGAATAAAATACTGCCGAGGTGGATGGATCATGAGGTCAGGAGATCAAGACCATCCTGGCTAACACAGGGAAACTCCGTCTCTACTAAAAATACAAAAAATTAGCCGGGTTTGGTGGCAGGTGCCTGTAGTCCCAGCTACTCGGGAGGCTGAGGCAGGAGAATCACTTGAACCTGGAAGGCGGAGGTTGCTGTGAGCCGAGATGGCGGCCACTGCACTCCAGCCTGGGTGACAGAGCGAGACTCCATCTCAAAGAAAAATAATAAAATAATAAAATAATAAAATACTTAATAACTAACTTAACCAAGGAGGTAAAAGAATTGTGCAATAAAAATCTACAAAAAATTAAAGAAAGCATAAACAAATGAAAACACATCCCATGTTCATGGATTAGAAGAATTAATATTGTTAAAAATGTCAACACTGCCCATATAAATCTGCAGATTCAGTGCAATCAATTTTGATTAATTCAAAACAGTATTAATTCTTCTATCAAAACATTTTGATAGGGAATTCGTATCAAAGTCCCACTGACATTGTTGTTACAGAAAAATTCATTTAAAAACTCACATAGGCCGCGCGCGGTGGCTCACGCCTGTAATCCCAGCACTGTGGGGGCCAGGCGCGGTGGCTCCCGCCTGTAATCCCAGCACTGTGGGAGGCCGAGGCGGGCGGATCACGAGGTCAGGAGATCAAGACCATCCTGGCTAACACGGTCAAACCCCGTCTCTACTAAAACTACAAGAAAATTAGCTGGGCGTAGTGGCGGGCTCCTATAGTCCCAGCTACTCGGGAGGCTGAGGCAGGAGAATGGCGTGAACCCAGGAGGCGGAGCTTGCAGTGAGCCGAGATCGCGCCATTGCATTCCAGTCTGGGCAACTGAGCGAGGCTCCGTCTCAAAAAAAAAAAAAAAAAAAAAAAAATTCATATGGAACCTTGTGGAACCCCAAATAGTCAAAATAATTTTTAAAAAGAACAAAGCTGGGCTGGGCGCGGTGGCTCACTCCTGTAATCCCAGCACTTTGGGAGGCCAAGCTGGGCGGATCACAAGGTCAGGAGATCGAGACCATCCTGGCTAACACGGTGAAACCCCGTCTCTACTGAAAATACAAAAAAATTAGCTGGGCGTGGTGGTGGGCACCTGTAGTCCCAGCTACGTGGGACAAAGCTGGAGGACTCACAGTTCCCGATTTCAAAACTTACTTCAGGCCGGGCACAGTGGTTCATGCCTGTAATCCTAGCACTTTGGGAGGCTGAGGCGGGTGGATTGTCTGAGCTCAGGAGTTTGAGACCAGCTTGGGCAACACAGTGAAACCTCGTCTCTACCAACATACAAAAAATTAACTGTGCTTGGTGGCACGTGCCTGTAGTCCCAGATACTCGGCAGGCTGAGGCAGGAGAATCGTTTGAACCCGGGAGGCAGAGGTTGCAGTGAGCCAGGATCACACTGCTGTACTCCAGCCTGGGTGACAGAGCGAGAATCTGTCTCCAAGAGAAAAAGAAAAAAGAAAAGAAAAAACTCACCTAAAATCTTCAGTAATTGGGTTGGGTGCAGTGGCTCACGCCTGTAATCCCAGCACTTTGGGAGGCCGAGGCGGGTGGATCACCTGAAGTTGGGAGTTTGAGACCAGCCTGGCCAATATGGAGAAACCCGGTCTCTACTAAAAACACAAAATTTAGCCAGGCGTGGTGGCGCATGCCTGTAATCCTAGCTACTTGGGAGGCTGAGGCAGGAGAATTGGTTGAGCCTGGGAGGCAGAGGTTGCGGTGAGCCAAGATCACGCCATTGCACTCCAGCCTGGGCAACAAGAGTGAAACTCTTTCTAAAAAAAAAAAAAAAAAAATCTTCAGTAATCAAAACAGTGTAGTACTGGCATGAAGACAGCCATCTAGACCAATGGAATAGAATAGAGAGCCCAGCAATGAACACTCCTCAATATGGTCGAACGATTTTTGACAAGGGTGCCGAGACCAGTCGATGAAGAAAGGACAGTGGTTTTTCAACAAATGGTGCTGGGGAAACGAAATATCTTCATGCAAAAGAATGCAGGTGTACTCTTACGTAACACCAGATACAAAAATTACCTAAAAACGGATCAAATACCTTAATGTAAGACCTTAACTTATAACACTCTTAGAAGCAAACATAGGGCAAAAGCTTCATGACACGAGACCTGGCAATGATTTCCCAGATATGACACCCAAGGCACATGCCAGAAAAGGAAAAACAGACTGACCTTCATGAAAATGAAAAAATTTTGTGCATCAAAAGACAATATCAACACAGTAAAAGAGCTACTCGCAGAATGGGAGAAAATATTTGGAAATCATATATATAATAATGGATTAATATCTAGAACAAAGAGAGAACTGCTAATGCTCAATAACAACAACAACAAAAAGGAACAGCCCAATTCAAAAATGGGCAAAGGACTTGGACAGATATTTCTCCAAAGAAGATATACAAATGACCAATAAGCACATGAAAACATGTTCAATATCACTAATCATTAGGAAAAAGCAAATGAAAACTACAATGAAATACCATCCCATACCCATTATTAGGATGACTACCATCAAAAAAACCCAGAAAATAACAATGTAGGTGAGGATGGGAGAAATCGGTACCTTGCTGCTGGAAATGTACAATGGTGCAGTCACTGTAGAAACAGTATGGTGATTCCTGAAAAAGTTAAAAATAGAACTACCCTCTGATTCAGCAATTCCATTTCTAGGTATATACATTGAAAATAATTCAAAGCAGGGTGTCAAGGAGATATTTATATTTCATGTTCATAACAGCATTATTCACAATTGCCAAAAGGTGGAAGCAACCTAGTTTACAGAAACAGATGAATGGGTAAACCAAATGTGACATATCCATACAATGGAGTATTATTCTGCCTTTAAAAAGAAGGAAATTCTAACATATGGAAAGATATGAATGAATCTTGAGGACATTATGCCAAATGAAATAAACCGTTCACAAAAAGAAAAATGCCGTGTGATTCCACTTCTAAGAGATACTTAGCTTAGTCAAAATCACACACAGAATACAGAATGCTAGTTCCCTGGGGCGAGGAGGAGGGGCTATGGGGAGTTACTATGTAACGGGCATCGAGTTTCTGTTTTACAAGGTGAACAGAGTTAAGGAGCTGGATGGGGGTGACGGCTGCACCATAGTGTGAATGTATTTGATACCACTGAACTGCACACTTAAAATGGTTAAGATGATACATTTTGTTGTGCTTTATCACAATAAAATAACTGAAACAAACCGGAACATGGGTGTTGGCAAGGATGTCGGGGAACGAGCACCCTTCTGTATTGCTGGTGGTGAAATCGAACCGCCGCTGCGGAAAACCGTTCTGCGGTTTCACAAACAGTTCACACCCTAAGGCCCAGCTATTCATGCCTAGGTATACACCAAAGATAAATGGAAACAGGCACCCAAATACTTGTACGAAAATGTTCATCGTGTCACTGGACGCAAAAGGCAAAAAGTGGAAACAACCCACTGTCCATCAACAGAGGAAGAGAGAAACGTGTGGGCTCCATCCACGGAATATTATTCACTCCTGAAAAGGAACGCGGGTCTGATCCCCGCTCCACCGGGGACGAACCTTGAAGACGCGATTCTAAGCGAAAGACGCCGGAACACAAAAGGCCACAGCACGTAGGGCTCCATTGAACGGAGGTCAGAACAGGCTGGTCCGCGGAGCAGGGCGGGGGCTGCAGGGCCCTGGAGGGGCGCGGAGAGCGGCCGCCGACGGGCGGGCTCTGCTCGGGTAGAAGCTGTTCCGGAGCCCGAGAAGGTGCTGGTCCCGCAACACTGTTGGGGGGGCCCCGCTGAGCTGAGCCTTGCGACCCGGTTTATGTGACGTGAGTTCCACCTCAATCTAAGTGTGAGGAAGCGAACAGCGTTCTGAAACGCAGAAACGTGCCCATTCGAATTGTTAACGCGAGCGCAGAGCCCACTGACAAAGCAAAATAAGACAAACCGGGAGTCAGAAAACTCAGCGACCCACAGGATCCACCGTGATGTTTCCCACAAATGTTACCGCGAAAACAGTCGGACTTGAAAATAAACGCGACCTACCTGGTTCTCGGAAGGGGAGAAGGATCCGGGCGAAAGGCGTCAGTTCTCCCTCGCTCGCCCCGTAGACGCAGCGCAGGCCCCGAGCTCCCGAGCGGCGGTTTCAGAACCCGCGGGTCACCCGGGAGCTCCTCCCGCAGTACCAGCCGAAAGCTCCCAGCGCCGAGGAGGGCGGGCGGCTGCCCTCCCCGACCTCGCCCCGCCCGCGCGGACGCCCCCGGCCCCACGCGGGGACCACCCCGGGACGCCGGCCGGAGCCCGCGCGCCCCCGGGCAACCTGAGTGCACCTGCGCCGCGAGGGCACCTGAGCGCTCCCGGCCACGCCCCTGCCACGCCCCCGGCCCCCACGTGCCGCCCTCACGGGGCCCCGCCCCCTCGCGGTTCGGCCGCAAGCCCCGCCTCTCAACCTTCCCGCCCCTCAACCTCCCCGCCCTATGCCCCAGATCGGGCCCCGCCCCTTTACGCCTTAGGCCCCGCCCTCACACCGCCCGCCCCCACACCCCGCCTCCACTGGACTCAGGCTCCGCCCCTTAATGCCTCGCCCCAAAGCCCCGCCCCAGGAGCCCGCCCTGGTCCAGGCCCCGCCCCGTCCCGAGCGCAGCCTGCGACCGATGGAGCAGGAGGCGCGGGTGCTGAGAGCTGCGGGCGGCTTTGGCCGGGCCCGGCGCCTGCTGGCCTCCGCCTCGTGGGTACCCTGCATAGTGCTGGGGCTGGTGCTGAGCTCCGAGGAGCTGCTTACCGCGCAGCCCGCGCCCCACTGCCGACCGGACCCCACGCTGTTGCCCCCAGCGCTGCGCGCCCTGCGCGGACCCGCGCTGCTGGACGCCGCCATCCCGCGCCTGGGGCCCACGCGAGCCGCGAGCCCCTGCCTGCTCCTGCGCTACCCCGATCCCGCGCCCTGCACCCGCCCCGGGCCCGCGCCCCGCGCCCGCACGCAACGGCACCCGGCCCTGCACACGCGGCTGGCTCTACGCGCTGCCCGGCGCCGGCCTCCTGCAAAGCCCGGTCACCCAGGTGCGCCCCCGTCCCTGCTGCCCCGCAGCCCTCCCCGCCCCCAGCCCGCCGAGGCCCTGGGTGTCCTTTCTCCATCCTACCTGGCGCCTCTGACCCGGGCCCCCCGGCCGTCCTCCTGGGCTTCCTGCTCCGGGGCGGCCGCCGGCCCGACGGTGCCGCAGACGGGCGCGCACGGGCCGGACCCGCGGAGAGGGGCCGGGCGGGGGCTGAATCTGGGCCTGGGAGCTGCCAGGCGCGGGGCGGCCTGGGGCGCTGGAGGATTGGAGCCGAAGGCGCCGGTGGGGGAGCAGGGCCTGGAATTTGCTTCAGGACCACCAGCGTCTTCAGCAGACCGTGGCTTTGGGCTGGCTTTCCAAGGCAGAGTCTCTGCTTGGAGGGACTGACGTGGTCAGCACAGACTGGGGAAGGTGGGCTTCCCATCAGTGAGGTGCGCAGAGGCTGGGCTAGAGACTGCATTGCCTGAAGGGAAACCTTGACGATCTGCGTGAGAAGAGATGGGGAGGCGGGCGGCAGGGACCTCCAGGCCCCTTTCATGCCTTTCCGCGCTGGGGCTGAGACCTGCACACCCCTGAGGCAGCCTTTACCCCGAGGCCCCCATCCCCCATCCTGGGAGGACTGGCCCCAGTGTGGAAACTGGAACGGGGTTGCCACATCTTCACAAGGGCTGCCTGGGGCCCTGGAACCCGCCGGGCTTCTCTCTCCACCCTGCTCCCTCCCACCTCCCACCTGCCCTCCTCCTGTTTGGTGCCTGGATCCAGGAATGCCCCATCAGCTTTCCCAAAACGTCAGGTTTGAAAGTAAAATCTCGGGCATAGCACGGCCCCCAGCAGTAGATTAAGCTTGCCAAGAAGACCCAGGAACCGGAAGGGGTGGGGGGAGGCGCAGAGCTGAGGTCAAGGGTCAAGGGCCTCACCGGGAAATGCCGCTGAGCACAGCTCTCCAGCCGCTGCCCGAGTCCCTCTTGAAATGGGCAGGGCAGGGAGGGCGTGGGTACCAGCGCAGGTGCTGGGGTTCATTTCTTAGGCCTGTGTCATGGCTATGACCCTTGGCCGGCTGGGGTGGGGGCTGTGTCTATGACGCCACCAAGGCCCTGGGTGTCCCCGGGGTCCCTCGGAATAGGAGGTGGAAACGGGTCGGACAAGAGCTGGCCGTGGGGGAAGAGCAATGGTGTGCGGAGGTGGGGGAGGCCCTATCTAGGGACAAGCAGAAAACTTAGGGTGGGCAGATCCCCCCGACCCCTGTGCAGGGGCTGCCGGAGACCAGAGAGGCTGCTGTGTGACCTGGACCAAGCCCCTTGCCCTCTCATGCCTCAGTTTCCCCTTCTCTCCACGGAGGGATTGAGCAGGACATGGAGGGCCCCTTCCAGTAGCCATTCTGGGACTCCCTGCACCTGTCCCCAGGGGAGGGTCCTGAGCTGGCCTCCACGTGGCTGCTGTTCCCCATAGTGGAACCTTGTGTGTGGAGACGGCTGGAAGGTCCCGCTGGAGCAGGTGAGCCACCTCCTGGGCTGGCTGCTGGGCTGTGTCATCCTGGGAGCAGGCTGTGACCGGTGAGGCCCCTTCCCTTTTCCTGCTGCCCAGCAGCCCTCCCCTCCGCCCACTCTCAGGGTTCAGCTAGACCTGGTGCTGCCAGGATGAAGGTTGGACCCTGGGTTATCCTGACCCTGTCCAAGCATGTCCCCCGCTGCCCACCAGGTTTGGACGCCGGGCAGTTTTTGTGGCCTCCCTGGTGCTGACCACAGGCCTGGGGGCCAGTGAGGCCCTGGCTGCCAGCTTCCCTACCCTGCTGGTCCTGCGCCTACTCCACGGGGGCACATTGGCAGGGGCCCTCCTCGCCCTGTATCTGGCTCGTGAGTACCCTGGGGGCTGCTGTCACTGGGGGAGGGGCAGTGGGTGGCCCGCAGGCCTCTGAGGCTCCCTTGCCGAGGGCCCCGAGCTGCAGGGACAGTGAGCAGTGAGTCCCTTGGGCATCCCGCTCCTGGGCAGGTCACCAATAGGTCCCCGCAGTTCCCAATGGAACTGTTCCAGTCCTCCCCGAGGCCTCCACTTCAACCTGTCTGTGTCTGCCCAGGCCTGGAGTTGTGTGACCCTCCCCACCGCCTGGCCTTCTCCATGGGGGCTGGCCTTTTCTCGGTGGTGGGCACCCTGCTGCTGCCCGGCCTGGCTGCGCTTGTGCAGGACTGGCGTCTTCTGCAGGGGCTGGGTGCCCTGATGAGTGGACTCTTGCTGCTCTTTTGGGGGTAAGTGTGGTGGGAGCTGGGCCAGCAGCCCTCATCGGGGCTGACTATGTAGCTTCCCTCTGCACCGACGTATCCCATGCCAGGTAAACGCATGGGTTACAGGGTCACAGAGAACTACAGTGATGTCCTGCCCCTGAGCCTGGGGGTGGGGTGGGGGCCCTGGCCTTTGCCTCTCCTTCCAGGAGGAGGTGGAGGGAGCCGTGGGCATCCTCACCAACGCTGCAGGTTCCCGGCCCTGTTCCCCGAGTCTCCCTGCTGGCTGCTGGCCACAGGTCAGGTAGCTCGAGCCAGGAAGATCCTGTGGCGCTTTGCAGAAGCCAGTGGCGTGGGCCCCGGGGACAGTTCCTTGGAGGAGAACTCCCTGGCTACAGGTCAGGCGCCTACCAGGGAGGAGGGAGATTCAGGTACTGGAGGAGGGCTTCGGAGAGGCACAGCTCCTCACCCCCCTCCCCTCACATCTCTGCGGCTACAGAGCTGACCATGCTGTCTGCACGGAGCCCCCAGCCCCGGTACCACTCCCCACTGGGGCTTCTGCGTACCCGAGTCACCTGGAGAAACGGGCTTATCTTGGGCTTCAGCTCGTGAGTCGAGGAAGGGCTGGGGTCCTGCACCATCCCCCGGGGTGGGCATATGGTCCCCAGAGTCCCCGGCTCTGGCTGGGCCCATAGATTTGCTCTCTCTCCCAGGCTGGTTGGTGGAGGCATCAGAGCTAGCTTCCGCCGCAGCCTGGCACCTCAGGTGCCGACCTTCTACCTGCCCTACTTCCTGGAGGCCGGCCTGGAGGCGGCAGCCTTGGTCTTCCTGCTCCTGACGGCAGATTGCTGTGGACGCCGCCCCGTGCTGCTGCTGGGCACCATGGTCACAGGCCTGGCATCCCTGCTGCTCCTCGCTGGGGCCCAGTGTGAGCTTGGGGCCCCGCAGGCCATACAGGAGCCATTGTGTTTGGGCCGACGGTCTGCCACACCAGGGGGCCATAGTGCCGACAGGGGAGCAGCCTGGGGTGGCAGCCCAAGGCCAGCTGCTGTTTGTTTTCCTCTGATCCTTGTGGAAGGCCCAAAAGGATCTTTTGTGACTGGCCTAAAGTAAGGAAACTGTCTGAGCCTAAAACACCTGCCCCAGCCACAGAGTGCAGCACAGGCATGAGAGGTCAAGAGGCCGGGCTGGGTAAAAGCTCTGCCCAGAGTTCCAGGTGGCCGAGGCCGGCCATGGACTGGTGTGGGAGGGCCCATATACTCAGGGCCAGCCACATGGTGTGTGGAGCTAGGTGCAAAATGAAATGCAGGCCTTGCTTCCAACGTATTCGAGATTTTAGGACGGTTCTCGAAATTGCAAAGACAGTGGACAGCACAGCAGTAGCTGAGCGTGGGCCCGAGTGGAGGTGGTCGGTGTGGCTGCGGCTCGGGGTCAGGATTCTAACATCCTTAGAATCCAAGCCAGGCTGGAATCAGGCTGCAGAGGACAGGTTCCCCCTCCAGGTTTCTCAGGGGGGCTGGAAAAGGAGGCTTGGAAAGTGGGTCCCCAGACAGTGGTGTGGTTCTCTGGGGAAGGGCCCTGAGTGGCCAGGGTGGAAGGCCTGGGGAGAGAGCCTGGGAACCCCTGTTCTTTGTCCCCAGATCTGCCAGGCTGGACTGTGCTGTTCCTCTCTGTCCTGGGGCTCCTGGCCTCCCGGGCTGTGTCCGCACTCAGCAGCCTCTTCGCGGCCGAGGTCTTCCCCACGGTGATCAGGTGAGCTTCAGGGTTGCCCGGCCACACAGCAGGGTCCAGGGCCTCTCATGGGGAGGAGGGGCCAGGTGGACAGGAGGCCCTGTCCCCATACCCCACCCAGGTTCCTGCCTGTGATTCCTCCATCCAGTAAGGACTCGGGGTAAAGCACTGCCCTGCTCCTGGATGGTGGGGGCCACTGCTCACAGAAGGCTCTGGGCAGACGGCTCAGGAACTGGGAAGGGGAGGGAAGGCCACGCAGGCCTGAAGCCAGGAGTGCGGGGTGGGGGCAGAGATGAGGAGGCCTCCAGAAATGGCAGAATTCTCGGGGAAAGCATCACTTTTCGATCTTCTTCTTCTTCTTTTTTTTTTTTTTTGAGATGGAGTCTCGCTCTGTCACCAGGCTGGAGTGCAGTGGTGTGATCTCAGCTCACTGCAGCCTCCAACTCTCTGGTTCAAGCGATTCTCCTGCCTCAGCCTCCTGAGTAGCTGGGATTACAGGCACCCACCACCACGCACAACTAATTTTTGTATTTTTAGTAAAGACAGGGTTTCACCATGATAGCCAGGATGGTCTCGATCTCCTGACCTCATGATCCGCCTGCCTTGGCCTCCCAAAGTGCTGGGATTACAGGCATGAGCCACTGTGCCCGGCCACTTTCCAGTCTTGAACAGAGCAAAAAGTGCTCCAGGAGAGGAAGGAGGTTTTTCCAAAACAATTTTTCAAATTATCCTCAGCCAGCAAACCTTAGGCTGTGCGGAGGCCGGGCCTTCCCCCTGCTCACTCTGGAGTCACATGTGTGTCCCCCAATCTGTTGCCCCACCAGCTGCCCCCAACGCACTCTCTCCCACAGAGGGGCCGGCCTGGGCCTGGTGCTGGGGGCCGGGTTCCTGGGCCAGGAGGCTGGCTGCCCCCAACACACTCTGTCCCACAGGGGGGCCGGGCTGGGCCTGGTGCTGGGGGCCGGGTTCCTGGGCCAGGAGGCTGGCTGCCCCCAACACACTCTGTCCCACAGGGGGGCCGGGCTGGGCCTGGTGCTGGGGGCCGGGTTCCTGGGCCAGGCAGCCGGCCCCCTGGACACCCTGCACGGCCGGCAGGGCTTCTTCCTGCAACAAGTCGTCTTCGCCTCCCTTGCTGTCCTTGCCCTGCTGTGTGTCCTGCTGCTGCCTGAGAGCCGAAGCCGGGGGCTGCCCCAGTCACTGCAGGACGCCGACCGCCTGCGCCGCTCCCCACTCCTGCGGGGCCGCCCCCGCCAGGACCACCTGCCTCTGCTGCCGCCCTCCAACTCCTACTGGGCCGGCCACACCCCCGAGCAGCACTAGTCCTGCCTGGTGGCCCTGGGAGCCAGGATGGGACCAAAGTCAAGGCCTGGGGCATGGCTGAGTACCCCAGACGTCTGGTCCAGGGCAGACACATTCCTCTCAGAAGCCCGTGTCTCAGTGCAGGTGGAGCCGTGGGGACAGCGTGAAGGTGTCTCCAGCCAGGCCCCAGGCACTGGGAGGCCCTGGGTCTCCCCCCAGCCACACCCAGTAGGTGTGGAGGATAAAGGCTTCTGTGGAACTTGGCGTCCTCCCTGGTTCTTCCCTCAGGCCACACCTGGGGCCTGGAAGGGTCTCACCTGTGCCTGCTCCCCACCTCTGGGCTCACCAGCAAGGAGCCAGGGTGTCAGCGGCTGCTCCATAGCCCCTGTCCAGGTAGTGGCAGCCCCCGGCCGCCTCCTGCCCCAGCCAAGCAGGGTGGTATGGGGGCCTGGCCCTCAGGTCCCTGCCAGGCCAGGCCTCACTGGCCCCATCCCCCTCATGGTCAGTGTGGCAGTGGGCGCCCGTCCTGCATGAAAGAGACTAGCACGTTTTTCATTCAGATTTACCCAGGAGGTTGCTGTCTTTCATACAAAGATGAGGTTCACTGGTAGGAGGCAAAGGTGGGACTAGGGAGGTGACCCGCATGGGGCCGATGGAGAGAAACTCTTCCCACCCCGGCAGGAAGGGGCCTCTTCCTGGCCGCCCCATCCACACTCAGGTTCTGCCCCCAGACTTGGGCCCTCGCCTACAGGAAGGAGGCTGCCCCAGGCCCAGGGGGGTCGGGCCCGGTGACCTCAGGCTGCCTCTGCAGGGGCCATCACTGCCACGAGGCCGGGGAGTGGCATGTCCAGTTGCGCCCCAGGGTCAGGCTGTCCGGCCTCTGTGTCTGGGTAGCAGTGCCCCAGGAGAAAGACCCTCCCTGGCCTGGTGGTCCCATCTGGCCCCGTACTCCAACCCGCACGGGTGCCCATACATGTCTGCCAGCCGGGCGAAGCGGGGCCCCCAGTCTCTGAGGTAGTCGTAGTCCTGGTCCTCATCGCCCTGGCTGGACAGGATGGAGCTCAGCGTCCCCGCCACCGAGCCGTCACCCTCGTAGTCATAGATGAGGGCTGTGTCGTAAGGCGGCACACTGGGGTCACTATCTGCAGCCTCCAAGCCCTATAAAGAGGCCCGGAGAGCTCAAGACACATGGAGGGGCCAGCGGGTGCCCCACCGCCGTGGCCACAGCCCAGGGCAAAGTCAGCTCAAGGCACGGGCTCAGGAAGGGGAAGCTGCCCACGTCCGGGGGCGAGGTCTGAGGGGAGGCAAAGCGTCCTGAGGGCACAGCAGCAGGGTTGTGAAGAGGGTGCCACGGACTACCCCCTTCCTCAGTATTAGGCCAGCGGCCAGCCCGTCCCCCGGGGCTCTGCCCTGCCCCAGCAAGGTGGGAAGGGGTTGCTCCCCCTCACCCTGGTCTCTTCCTCCCCGTGGCCCTTGTCCACTCAAGGCAGAACCCGAGCCTCCTGGACACCCCCATCCGCAGAACGGCCCGTCTGCCTTTCGGAGGCTCTGTCTGCATGTCTGTCCTCTCAGCTCGTGGGGACACACGCTCCTAACCGGGGGTGTACACCTTGGCTGGGGGCTTTCTCTGAGCCAGGTGCTACAGGTGCAGACAGGCACAGAGGAGGGTTCCCTGTGCGCCCCACACCCCAGATTCCCCGTGTGCACATTCATCCTGTGGATGGCAGGGAATCATTAACGCTGTGTCCAGAGGGTCTTCTATGGAGGCCCTGATTCCGCTGACAGCCACCGAAGCCCAGGGGATGCTCCCGGGGCTCCCCCACCCCCTCCATGGTGGACACGGGGCAGTGGATGGGTCTGTGGCCATCGCCACTCCATCTGTGCAAAGACCCGCGTCGCGGGTGGAGGCTGAGGGCCCAGTTTGGACGGTGGCAGCGGGGCTTCCACACTCCCGCCCGCACACCATCTTCCTCTGCGGTGCTCTGGGACGGCCCATAAGTGCATGCAGGCGCCGGTTCTTGCATGCATGTGCAGGTGTGTACATGTGCATGTGTGTGTGCACCTGTGCGTGCCTGTGTGTACTGGGGTGTCCCCAGGAGCACCTACATCATTGATGAAGTCGGCGATGTCCAGGGGGCTGGTGGGCAGCACTCGGGGTGGCTGGGGGTGCAGGCGGCCCTGCGGGGCATCTCTGCGAAGTGGCGGCGGTCCCAGAGGCAGGCTCAGCGCTGTCGGGTGACGCAGCTGGCTGATGTCGTAGGCGTCCTGTGGGCGAGGAGGTGGAACAGAGCCAGGCATCCCTCGGGTGGCCCTGGTGGAGGTCTCAGGTACAGGCTCCTGGCCAGCTTGTTGTAAGAAGGCCCGCGACCTGGGTTCCTTGGGGACCCCTCCCCACCCACACCTGCCCCCTCACCTGGTCCTCCTCCCCGCCTCCTTGCTCATCGTAGTTGAGGACATTGTCTCGAAGGTCGTCCTGGGGGCCGTGCAGCAGCCCCTTGCCCCGAGACTGCTTCCAGAACCGCGCCCGGAGTGCCACGAGCAGGACCAGCACTGGGGAATGAGGGGACGCAGGCTGGGGCCAGGCACAGGGCGCGACTTCAGGGGGCCGGGCTGCGAAGGAGGTGGGAGGAGGGGGCGGGGCGGGGCAAGGCTGGTAAGCAGGGGTGGGGTTGAGGGGGCGGCAGTTGGGGAAAGGGCGTGTCTGGCATGGAGGAGCCGGGGTTGGGGAGGAAGCCGCGAGGTTAGGGAGGAGGGGGCCGGGTTGTGGAGGAGGGAGCTTGGCTGGTAAGGAGAGGCCGGCTTGGGGAAGAGGCGTGGCTGGCAACGAGGGGGCGGGGTTTGCGAGCAGGGGGCGGGTTGGGTGGAAGCGGCGTGGCTGGTAATGAGTGGGTGGTGTTGGGGAGGAGGCGGCAGTGGAGAAGGGGCGTGGCTGGTAATGAGGGGGCGGGGTTAGGGAGGAGGCGGAGCTGGGGAGGAAGGGGCGTGGCTAGTAATGAGGGGGCGGGGTTGGCGAGCAGGGGGCGGGTTGGGTGGAAGCGGCGTGGCTGGTAATGAGTGGGTGGTGTTGCGGAGGAGGTGGAACTGGGGAGGAAGGGGCGTGGCTGGTACTGAGGGGGCGGGGTTACGGAGGAGGAGGAGCTGGGGAGGAAGCGGCGTGGCTGGTACTGAGGGGCGGGGTTAGGGAGGAGGAGGAGCTGGGGAGGAAGCGGCGAGGCTGGTAATGAGGGGGCGGGGTTAGGGAGGAGGCGGAGCTGGGGAGGAAGCGGCGAGGCTGGTAATGAGGGGGCGGGGTTAGGGAGGAGGCGGAGCTGGGGAGGAAGCGGCGTGGCTGGTAATGAGGGGGCGGGGTTAGGGAGGAGGCGGAGCTGGGGAGGAAGCGGCGTGGCTGGTAATGACGGGGCGGGGTTAGGGAGGAGGCGGAGCTGGGGAGGAAGCGGCGTGGCTGGTAATGAGGGGGCGGGGTTAGGGAGGAGGCGGAGCTGGGGAGGAAGCGGCGTGGCTGGTTAGCAGGGGACGGCCTGGGGAGGAGGGTCCGAGGGTCCGAGGGTCCAGGTGGAGGCGGGGCGCTCACTCACCCAGCAGCAGGAGGGCGCTGGCCAGCACGATGACCAGTGCGCCCAGGCTGAGGCCTGTGCCCCCCGCCAGCAGCGCTGCGGCCCCCGGCAGGCAGACGCCGTCCTTGCCGCAGCGGCACACGGTCACGTTCAGAGGCTGCTCGCGCTGCTGGGGCGGCTGCCCCGAGTCCCGGAGCAGCAGGCTGAGGCGGTGCAGGCCTTCGGGGACCTGGTGTCGCGGCCGCAGGCGCGCGTGGCTCACTGCGGAGGGCGCCTGTGGTGAGCGAGGGCCTCCCGAGGCCGCCCCCACTTCGCCTGCCCTCCTCGCGCCGAGACAGGGTGGGGATCCCGAGATCCTGGGCCTGGGTCCCCCCCACCCCCACCGTCCTCTGGGCACAATGAGTAACCCTGCCCCACGGGAGGATGCAGTGGTGGGGGGGGTGGCGGGAGGGGACCTGTTGCAGGACCACGGGTTTGCATGCCCCTCACCCTCCTGCCCCCGTCCGAGGCCGGAATGTGGGGGTGGGGGGAGCGTGGGGATGGGGGGAGCGCGGCGGTGAGGGGAGCGCACCGTTGACCTGGCTGAGGCTCCAGTTCCGGCCGAGCTCTGGGAGCCTGGGGCTCAGCTGGAAGTGGAAGGGGGCCCCGTGGGGGGGCAGGTCCTCATCCGTGGCGCCCAGGAGGAGGCCTGGGCCTTGGTGTGGCTCGCTGCACAGGCTGCCCGGCGGCGGCGGGGCCAGCACAGGTGCATGGTCGTTCACCTCCAGGATCTCGATGGACAGGGTGCCGGTGGCGGTGCGGGGCTGGGAGGCTGCAGGCGAGGAGGCCGCGGCTTAGTGACCCCAACACCCCAGCCTGCCCCACCAGTCGGCTCAGAGCGGGTGCGCAGCTCTGAGCCCCCGGGCGACATGGGCAGAGCCCTCCGACACTGGCAGGGGTGCTCAGCCGGGACAAGGCCAGGTCAGGGAGCCCCAAGCCGGCGGCGCCGCTCACCGTCATCCTGGGCCAGGACGATGGCTCTGTACCAGCCGCCCTTGAGGAAGGGGGACGCCGGGCTGAGCACGTGCTGGGTCTGGATCCGGCCAGTGGCTGCGTCCACTTGCAGCCAGTCTTCCGGGTCGTAGTCCTTGGAGTAGCTGATGCAGGGGAGGGGAAGAGTGGGATCTGAGTTTACCCCAGGGCCCCACAGGTGTGGTCAGGTATGGGTGCGTGACATGCACTGCACACACACAGGCACACACATACATACCACATGCATGCACACATGCACACAACATATACACACGCACACACAGCCTTACATGCCACATGCATGCACACACCACATACACATACATGGGCATGCACAGCACACACACATGCACATATATACACATAGACACTCCCCCCCACCTTGCACATACCACCCCCCACACACCTATACACCACACGCATGTACCACACATGTGCACACACATATGCACATACACATGTACACACAACCCATGTGAATATGATGGGAGCTGCAGTCACCAGCACCTTCTGTGAGGTGAGGAAACTGAGGCTCAGGGAGGGCAGGCGAGCTGTCCAGGGCGCTGAGACAATTGTGTGGCAACCTAGTTAAGCCTCAGTTGGTGCTGGCCCTTCCCGGGCCCCGTGGACACAGACAGGGATACACAGGGCCAGGCTTGGAGTGAAATGAGATGCGAACGGCCAGTCCCTTGGGAGCAAGGGCCTCCTGGGATGGACACGGCTGGCAGGGACAGACTGGCGTGCACAGGCTGGAGTTGGGCCTGCCCTAGGGGGTGAGGTCACCCCAACATGCACACACGGGCATGCTCGGGACTCGAGACCCTCCAGACCTTCAGGAACCCACACAGCAAATGGCCCCTACACCCTCTGACCCTCAGAGCCCAGGGATCAGGGGCACCCGAAGCAGGAATGGGGCCGTTAGCCTCCTCTACCTCTCCCAGGGCCTCAGGAGCCCCACCTGAGCCTCTGCAGCTGCTCTGTGTCAGGGTCCCGGGCAGAGAAGGTGGCCACCAGAGTGCCTGGGGGTGCCCCCTCTGCTAGGCTGGTCCGAAGTGGGTTCTCCTGGAACACGGGGGGCTCGTTGGTGTCCTGCACATGCACGCGGACCTTGGCCTGGCCCCGCTCAGCCCTAAGGGCAGCCGCCTGCAGCGGGGCCTCATTCTGCACCGACACTTTGAGTTCGTAGTGTTCACAGCTCTCATAGTCCAGGGCCTGAGGGAAGGAAGCACAGCCCGTCATCCGCCCAACGCAAGTGTGGGCACCCGAGGGCAGGTGCCATGGGGGAGCCACTCCTTGGGTCTGTCCAGAGCACCTGTACTTTCCTTCTGCCCCTTTTTAACCTTGAAAAAACAAATTATGCAGGACAAGAAGGCACAAAGAATATTATTAAAATGCTGGTTGTGTGTGGTGGTGGTTGGGGAGCAGCCCAGGGTTCAAGCACATACTCCGCGGGTATTTCAGCGAGGGCCGTTGGGGGATGGCGCCAGCCCCTGCAGTCACTTGATTTTAAATAAAGGAGATCGTCCTGGGTGATGTGGGTTGGCTTTATCCACTCAGGTGAAGGCTTTGAGAGCAAAACTGCATTTTCTCTGCCTCTAAACTGCTGCGTCGGCTCCAGCCTGTGGTCTGCACGTTAGACCTGCCCAGCCAGACCCCAGCACCGCATGAGCCAATTTCTTGCAGTAAACCTCTTACTGTGTCAGTATCTAAATACACCCACATCTACACGTGTGGACATATCTGTGCATGTGTCTCCTATGGCCTCTTTCTCTGGTAGAACCAGGACTGACACAGGTGTGCAGCTGTGATTTTGTACATGGATTCCATATGAAAGGAGGAAGGCTGGACAGAGCAAAGTGGTGGAGGGTGTCCCCTGCCTCTGGCCCTCAAGCCCCATGGGTAGCGTGGCCTGGGACCCAGTCCTCAGGCTGGGGGGCTCCATGCCCTCCCCCACTCTCTCTCACCCAAGGACGAACACAAGGTCCCAGCTGGTCAGAGGATGTGAACCTGCCAGGAAGGGGCTCAAACCCCAGCATGGGCATCTGTGTGTGGGCATCTGTGTGTGGGCATCTGTGTGCGCCAGCATCTGTGTGTGCCGGCATCTGTGTGTGGGCATCTGTGTGTGCCGGCATGTGTGTGTGCCGGCATCTGTGTGTGGGCATCTGTGTGTGCCGGCATCTGTGTGTGGGCATGTGTGTGGGCATCTGTGTGTGCCAGCATCTGTGTGTGGGCACCTGTGCGTGGGCATCTGTGTATGGGCATCTGTGTGTGCCGGCATCTGTGTGTGGGCATCTGTGTGTGGGCATCTGTGTGTGCCGGCATCTTTGTGTGGGCACCTGTGCGTGGGCATCTGTGTGTGGGCATCTGTGTGTGGGCATCTGTGTGTGCCGGCATCTGTGTGTGGGCACCTGTGTGTGCCAACATCTGTGTGTGGGCACCTGTGTGTGGGCATCTGTGTGTGGGTGTCTGTGTGTGGGCATCTATGTGTGCCAGCATCGGTGTGTGGACAGTGTGGGCATCTGTGTGTGGGCACCTGTGTGTGGGCATGTGTGTGTGGGCATCTGTGTGTGCTGGCATCTGTGTGTGGGCACCTGTGCGTGGGCATCTGTGTGTGGGCACCTGTGCGTGGGCATCTGTGTGCCAGCATGTGTGTGGGCACCTGTGCGTGGGCATCTGTGTGTGGGCATCTGTGTGTGGGCATCTGTGTGTGCCGGCATCTGTGTGTGCCGGCATCTGTGTGTGCCGCCATCTGTGCGTGGGCATCTGTGTGTGCCGGCATCTGTGTGTGGGCATCTGTGTGTGCCGGCATCTGTGCATGGGCATCTGTGTGTGCCGGCATCTGTGCGTGGGCATCTGTGTGTGGGCATCTGTGTGTGCCGGCATGTGTGTGTGCCGGCATCTGTGTGTGGGCATCTGTGTGTGCCGGCATCTGTGTGTGGGCATCTGTGTGTGCCGGCATCTGTGTGTGCCGGCATCTGTGTGTGGGCATCTGTGTGTGCCGGCATGTGTGTGTGCCGGCATCTGTGTGTGGGCATCTGTGTGTGCCGGCATGTGTGTGTGCCGGCATCTGTGTGTGGGCATCTGTGTGTGCCGGCATCTGTGTGTGGGCATCTGTGTGTGTCGGCATCTGCGTCTGCCGGCATCTGTGTGCCAGCCGGGGGCCGCTCACCTTCACAATGGACAGAACACCCTCGTTGGTCTTGGGGTCCGTGCGGATGGTGAACTGCCCATCGGGGTCGCCTTCCAGGATGGTGAACCTGGCCACCCAGTTTGGGGAGCCTGGCAGGTCCCTGTCCTCCACTTCCAGGCGTCCCACATCCACTCCGCTGACGGCCTCTATGGCCTCCATGAAGAACTGGGTGGGGGATCCCAGCCCCAGTTACCAGCAGGGCTGGGGGGACAGCATGGGTGGGGCCCTCAGGGCCCTCAGCCCACCCTCCCCTCCCACCCTCCCTCCTGCCTCCCAGCAGGAACACCCTCCCTTGCTCCTGTCGAAGCTGCTCCCCACCCACTGGGTGTCCTCAGGTTTGTCTGTTTTGTGAGTCACTGTCCCCCACGTGCCCCCATGGTCCTCCTCTGTGGGCTCAGCTTCGTGCTCCCTTCCCATACAGCAAAGGCCGGAGGGAGACTTGCTCTGCAATGCGAGAGGGCCTCAGAGGGTCCCATGGGCTGCTTCTCCCCAAGGGCCTCTCTCCCAACTCTGACTCCATTCACACACTGCCACGCAGCACCCCGGGGCCCCTCCAGCTTGGGCTTCCACCCGCCCACGCGGAGTTCCTTCTCCAAAGCACACCATCCTCCTGCCCCATCATGAAGCCCGCTGCCTTCTGCAGGAGCCCAAGAAGGGAAGGCAGCTCTAAGCAGGGGCTACTTTCGAGGGAGGGACAGCAGCAGCACCTCATCCCTGGTGAACTCGGGGGCATTGTCATTGATGTCATCAAGGGTGATGATGGCTGAGGCAGTGGCTGTGAGGCCGTCTCCAGACATGTCCGCCACCTGCAGGGTCAGATTGTACACCGCGACCACCTGGGGATGTGGGGCACAGGGTCAGAAGATGAGGGCCCAGGTGGGGCACATGGGGACTGGTCAGGGGTGGGAGCCAGGCCACCTGGCCAGCTCAGTTCCTACGGGAGCACCCAGTGGGTGTTGAAGACCCCAAGTGGCCCTGAGAATCCTGCCCTGATCCTAAGTGCATGAGGCTGTGATGCTGCCCTAGCCTATGGCACTGGATAAGCATTTACAGAACACCTACTGTGCACTGGGTAAGCGTTTACAGAGCACCTACTGTGCGCTGGGTAAGCGTTTACAGAGCACCTACTCTGCACTGGGTAAGCGTTTGCAGAGCACCTATTCTGTGCTGGGTAAGTGTTTACAGAGCACCTTGTGTGCCCGGGGTAAGCGTTTACAGAGCACCTACTGTGCACTGGGTAAGCGTTTACAGAGCACCTACTGTGCGCTGGGTAAGCGTTTACAGAGCACCTACTGTGTGCTGGGTAAGCGTTTACAGAGCACCTACTGTGTGCTGGGTAAGCGTTTACAGAGCACCTACTGTGTGCTGGGTGTTTGCAGAGCACCTACTGTGCGCTGGGTAAGCGTTTACAGAGCACCTTCTGTGCGCTGGGTAAGCGTTTACAGAGCACCTTCTGTGCGCTGGGTAAGCGTTTACAGAGCACCTACTGTGCTCTGGGTAAGCGTTTACAGAGCACCTTCTGTGCGCTGGGTGAGCTTTTACAGAGCACCTACTGTGCGCTGGGTGTTCACAGAGCACCTACTGTGCGCTGGGTGAGCGTTTACAGAGCACCTACTGTGCGCTGGGTGAGCGTTTACAGAGCACCTACTGTGCGCTGGGTGAGCGTTTACAGAGCACCTACTGTGCGCTGGGTGTTCACAGAGCACCTACTGTGCGCTGGGTAAGCGTTTACAGAGCACCTACTGTGCGCTGGGTAAGCGTTTACAGAGCACCTACTGTGCGCTGGGTGGGCCTTTACAGAGCACCTTCTGTGCGCTGGGTGAGCCTTTACAGAGCACCTACTGTGCGCTGGGTGAGCGTTTACAGAGCACCTACTGTGCGCTGGGTGAGCCTTTACAGAGCACCTTCTGTGCGCTGGGTGAGCCTTTACAGAGCACCTACTGTGCGCTGGGTGAGCGTTTACAGAGCACCTACTGTGCGCTGGGTGAGCGTTTACAGAGCACCTACTGTGCACTGGGTGAGCGTTTACAGAGCACCTACTGTGCGCTGGGTGTTCACAGAGCACCTACTGTGCGCTGGGTAAGCGTTTACAGAGCACCTACTGTGTGCTGGGTAAGCGTTTACAGAGCACCTACTGTGCGCTGGGTAAGCCTTTACAGAGCACCTACTGTGCGCTGGGTAAGCGTTTACAGAGCACCACTGTGCGCTGGGTGTTTACAGAGCACCTACTGTGCGCTGGGTAAGCATTTACAGAGCACCTACTCTGCGCTGGGTAAGCCTTTACAGAGCACCTACTCTGCGCTGGGTAAGCGTTTACAGAGCACCTACTGTGTGCTGGATAAGCGTTTACAGAGCACCACTGTGCGCTGGGTGTTTACAGAGCACCTACTGTGCGCTGGGTAAGCATTTACAGAGCACCTACTCTGTGCTGGGCACCTAGCACACCAGTGAGCTTGGGTCCCTGCCCTGGGGAACCGTGGTTAGTGGCAGGAACAGAAATGGACAAAGACCACGTAACAGTGTAACCAGGAGGGCTTCCTAGAGGAGCTGACTCAAGGGGGGTCTTCCGGGAGCACCGAAGTCCGACAGCAAGGGGCAACAGGGGCCCTGACAGAAGGAGTTAGTTACTTACCAGCGGGGAGCCGTTGCCATGAGGCTGAGAGGGGCGGGGCTGCTTGGGGAGCCCTGCCCTGTGCCGGGCCCCTCACGCCCTACTTGCACCAGACCCCTCCCACCCGGGCCAGCGCGGCTCCTGTCTGCGCATCAGTGGGTTCACCCCATGCCATCTCCTCAGGAGCCAGGGCCACTGCAAGCTCTGCAGTGACGGCAGGGACAGGAGCGTCTGGGGTGGGCAGGCTGGGGGCAGAGGGACCCGCAGGAGATGGGCTGCCCTGGCCGTGCGGGTGTGGAGCTGCCGGGGCGCCACCTCACCTCGCGGTCCAGCCCCACTTGCACTGTGCGGATCTCTCCTGTGAGCTCGTCGATGCTGAAGAGCTCGGGGCTGCCCTGCTGCAGGATGGAGAACCGCAGCGCTGCGTTGTCCGTCTCGGGGTCGTCGGCATCTGTGGCCTCTGCCCTGGTCACATAGGTGCCTGGGAAGCACAGGGAGGCGTGAGGGCCAACGTCCACAGGGCCGATGGGCTGGGGGCATTGTGAGGGGCGTGGGGGCACCTCGTGTGCACAGGCTCCCCGGTTCCAGCACGGCTGACCCCAGATGGGGCAGTCAGTCCATGCTGCTGTTTGCGTCACCGAGGCGGCCAGCATGCGGCAACCCCCAGGTCGAGATGCTTCCCGCTGCCCCTGAAGCCCACCGTGCTGTGTCCAGGCCACCTATGTGGTCGAAGCCTTTTGCCCGGCTTGTGCTGTTTATGGGGTCGGAGCACAGGAGCATTGGATGCGACCTGGGTCAGGTGCTGGCTCCTGGGCCTGCCCAGTGCAGGGGCTAAGGGCGCTGGGTCAGATTGGGCTAGCTAGCGGGGGCCTCCAGGAGCTGCTGGCATCCAGGGTGACAGAGGATGCATGGGCAGGCTGAACAGAGGACACACGGGCAGGATAAGACAGAGGACGCACGGGCAGGCTGGGCAGAGGACGCAGGGGAAGGATAAAACAGAGGACGCACGGACAGGATAAGACAGAGGATGCAAGGGCAGGATAAAACAGAGGATGCGCGGGCAGGCTGGGTGCAGGACACACGACAGCCGAGCAGAGGACGCGCACTGTGACTGTGTAGGCCAGAGCCCCCGCCCCACCTGCTGTGGGAAGCGGTACTCACGAAGGTGCCGCTAGAGGGACCACATATGGCAGGACCAGGTTTCACCTCCCCCCATTTCCCTCTCCTGAGATTTAGGCCTGACCCCTCTGGCAGCTCAGGTGGACTTAGCCACCGAGGTGGGGTGGGAAGGACGGGCTTTGGGCCACCCTGGGGAGCAGCTCCTGGCTGGCTGTGACTTCCCCCCGGGACAGCTGGAGCTAGGACGTGCTGTCTGTCACCTGGGGCAGAACGAGGCGCGGAGGCCACTGCCACAGACACGGGAAGGAAACTGAGGCGGGATATGAGCCTCCAAGCCTGAGCCTGGGCCAGGCCTGGCCACAGTCCTTGGTAGCCTCAGACACGAGGGGGCCTGTGCCTTTCCACCAGGTCTTTACCACCGGCCCCCAGGGAGGTGGGAGCGAGTCCCCGTGGCTGGAGCTTACAGGTCAGCCTGGGTTTAGGGTGAATCACAACCTAGAGATGCCTGTGGGTGCTCTGGACCCCATGTGAGTACAGGGTGAGGATGGAGTGTGCCTGGCTCCAGATGGCCCCCTCAGCAGGAGGGAGAAGTCATTTGCTTTTGGGGGAGAACAAGACCCCTGAAAAACCTCCACTCCCAGGCTCAGATTTTTGGGTTTGAAATTTATGTTGGAATGGGAAGTGGCAGGAGTTGACCTGTGGAAACGGACCTGCCTCGGAGACTTGTTTACTTATTTTTAGACTCTGAGGGGCCTCTGGAATTCTTGCTTAAGGGAAGTCCTGGACTTCACAGAGCCCTTCCTTGCAGCCCCTCCCGGCCCGGGGCTGTGGTCCTGTCTCACCTGGGACTGCACCCTCCAGCACGCGGCCAGTGAACGCCTCCTGCAGGAAGGCTGGCCGGTTGTCATTCTGATCCACAACTACAATCTCCAGGTCCGTGGGGTCCTCCAGGGTGGATCCTCCCAGGTCCAGGGCAAACGCTCTTAGCTGTTCAAACATAGAGCAAGGGCTGGCTCTGTGGCCCCCAAATTTCTGTGGCTCCCGTTAGGGCCATGCGAAAGAGACAGCACGTTCAGACTTTGTCTCCAGCTGGAAACACCAGCTTAAACAGGCGAGAAACAGCACAGGGTGGGGCATCTGTCACAGTGACTGAGGACGTCCCTGAACGGGAGCCACCTTCCCTTAGCAGACAGGGCAGGTGCCACTTTCCCTGCTTGCCTTGGCAGCCAGGAAGCTCACAGCTTCACGTGTGACTAAAGTAAGGCTCTCAGAGGGTTCCTAATCTCTCTCCCTGTCTCTCTGTGGTCTTTGTTCCTCCTGAAGTTATGTTTTTGTTTTTTGTTTTTTTTTTTGAGATAGAGTTTCACTCTTGTTGCCCAGGCTGGAGTCCAATGGCGACATCTCAGCTCACTGCAACCTCTGCCTCCTGGGTTCAAGCGATTCTCCTGCCTCAGCCTCCCAAGTAGCTGGGATTACAGGTGCACGTCACCACGCCCAGCGAATTTTTTGTATTTTTAGTAGAAATGAGGTTTCATCATGTTAGCCAGGCTGGTCTCAAACTCCTGACCTCAGGTGATACGCCTCGGCCTCCCAAAGTGCTGGGATTACAGGGGTGAGCCACTGCGCCTGGCCTCCTCCTGAAGTTTAATTCCCCTGTGCACATGACATTTTAAACTGCCTCCCATCCTTTCGGAGAATGGGCACAATTACAGTTTCCAAGTGAGAAATACTCTCTAATAACTTTTGATGTAAGGGATACAAGGACTGGTTCTCAAAGTCTAAAGGAGGATTTGGGGCAAATAAAAGGAAATTTTGCTTCCTGCAGAGGCAAAGGCAGGAAGCGTCCTTTCCCCACATCAAGTACAAAGTTACTTTTCTTTTTTTTTACCTTTTGAGATGGCATCTCGCTCTGTTGCCCAGGCTGGAGTGCAGTGGTGTGATCTTGGCTCACTGCAACCTCCACTTCCTGGGTTCAAGTGATTCTCCTGCCTCAGCCTCCCAACTAGCTGGGATTACAGGCGCGTGCCACCACACCCGGCTAATTTTTTGTATTTTTAGTAGAGATGGGGTTTTGCCATGTTGGCCAGACTGTTCTCAAACTCCTGACCTCAGGTGATCCACTCGCCTCGGCCTCCCAAAGTGCTCGGATTACAAGCATGAGCCGTTGTGCCCAGCCCAAAATGACATTTTGGAGAGGGCAGGCTGGGGGAGGACAGGCTGGGAGAGGGCAGGCTGGGAGAGGGCAGGCTGGGGGAGGGGAGGCTTGGGGAGGGCAGGCTGGGGGAGGGCAGGCTGGGGGAGGGCAGGCTGGGGGAGGGGAGGCTGGGGGAGGGCAGGCTGGGGGAGGGCAGGCTGGGGGAGGGGAGGCTGGGGGAGGGCAGGCTGGGGGAGGGGAGGCTGGGGGAGGGCAGGCTGGGGGAGGGCAGGCTGGGGGAGGGGAGGCTGGGGGAGGGCAGGCGCCTGAAGGGAGTGCAGACGGGGTTCTGGTTTTCTGGGCTCTAGGGCTTGCTCCCACTGCCCTTTTTTTTCTTCTTCTTCTTTCTTCTTCTCCTCCTCTTCCTCCTCCTCTTCTTCTTTCTTCTTCTGTTTTTTTTTTTGAGACAGAGTCTCACTCTGTCACCAGGCTGGAGTGCAGTGGCGAGGACTCAGCTCACTTCAACCTTCGCCTCCCGGGTTCCAGCGATTCTCCTGCCTCAGCCTCCTGAGTAGCTGGGACTACAGGCGCACGCTAGAATGCCCAGCTAACTTTTGTATTTTTTAGTAGAGACGGGGTTTCACCATGTTAGCCAGGATGGTCTCGATCTCTTGACCTCATGATCTGCCTGCCTTGGCCTCCCAAACTGCTGGGATTACAGGCGTGAGCCACCGCACCCGGTCCTCTTTTCTTCTTTTTTTTTTGAGAGAGGGTCTTCCTCTGTCACCTAGGCTGGAGCGCAGCGGCGCAATCACGGCGCACGGCAGTGTCGACCTCTCGGGGGATCCTCCCACCTCAGCCTTCCAAGCAGCTGGGACCACAGGCACGCAGCAACACCGCTGGCTAATTTATTTTACCATTTTATCTTTTTTGTTTTACCATTTTATCTTTTGTTGAGACAAGGCCTCACTTTGATGCCCAGCCTGGTCTCGAACTATTGGCTTCAAGCGATCCTCCTGCCTCAGCCTCCCGAAGTGCTGGGATTGTGTGAGCCACCGCGCCCGGCGCTCACTGCCCCTTCTCTGAGAATCCCAGCCCCCAAGGGGCATCAGTGGTTTCTTCCCTGACTAACCCCACTGCCCAGAACAGTGGCGGCCACTGGGATCAACATTATTTTGGGGCCAGGTGTGGTGGCTCACGCCTGTAATCCTAGCACTTTGGGAGGCCAACATGGTGAAACCCCATCTCTACTAAAAATACAAAAATTAACTGGGCACGGTGGTGGAGCCTGTAATCCCAGATACTCAGGAGGCTGAAGCAGGAGAATTGCTTGAACTGGGGAGGTAGAGATTGCAGTCAGCTGAGATTGTGCCACTGCACTCCAGCCTGGGCGGTAGAGTGAAGCTCCATCTCAAAAAAAAAAAAAGGTCGGGCGCGGTGGCTCACTCAGGAGATCGAGACCATCCTGGCTAACACAGTGAAACCCCGTCTCTACTAAAAATACAAACAATTAGCCGGGCATGGTGGCAGGGGCCTGTAGTCCCAGCTACTCGGGAGGCTGAGGCAGGAGAATGGCGTGAACCCGGGAGGCGGAGCTTGCAGTGAGCCGAGATCCCGCCACTGCACTCCAGCCTGGGCGACAGAGCGAGACTCCATCTCAAAAACAAAAAACAAAAACAACACTATTTAGAGATTCTTCACGACACTCCTGAGCTCCCAGGACCAGTGGGTTGCTGGCTGTGGTTGAGCCACAGAAGCTACAGCGGCTGCAGCATGCTCCTCCCTGGCAGAACCAAGCCGCTCCTCCACGGGACCTCTGTCTGCCCTCCAGTTAAATGGGCACATAACCCTCAACAGTTGCCTCCTCCGGCTGCAGGGCCTCGGTCCCAAACCCCTGTACCTGCCCCCTCACTTAAGGGTGCCTGGATCTTGCAGTCTGGCCTGAAGCCCACCGAGCGGGGAGGAGAAGCCTGGTGGGGAGGAGGGGCACTGGCTTTCCACCAGGCCTGCTTGAGGGGCACAGGTCCGACCACGCAGCTCCGCACCCTGAAGCGATCAGTCTTCTCGCGGTCCAGCATGGCATTGAGGAAGACCTTCCCTGTGAACTTGTCGATAGAGAAGACGCCCCGGGGCTCCTCATCCACGCCGGGTCCCTGGATGCTGTAGATGACGCTGCCCAGCTGCTGCTTGTCCGACTTGATCTGTGGGGCAGGAAATGGGTTTGGGGAGAGCTGCTCCGGGCGGGGGCCTCTGCCCTCTCTGCAGCCCCTCAGGCCCCTCCCCAGCTGACAGCAGGGCAGGTCTAAGTCTCCTAGGACTGGAGGACGGATCCTGGTACCCAATGAGGAGCTGTGCTGGGCTGGGGACAGCTCAGCCTGTGGCCCCAAGGGTGCCCCGTCTTGCAGCCTCATTTCAGGCTCAGCTCCTGGTGTCCTCAGGGCCCTGGTCTCTGGGGCGATTTTGGGTATGTGAAGCTGAGGCCCACGCAAGGCAGTTCACCTTCACCTCCATCTACTCAGCGTCGGCGAACACGCACACAAAAATCACGCCCGAGCGTGCAGCCTAACGTGGAGTATGTCCACCCGAGGCGCATGTGGGGTGGGAGCAGCTCTGGACTCCCCTGTGGCCTGGGGCAATGGGGAGGGTTTGAGCCCTGCTCTAGACCCAGGTTGGAAGCCCAGAGCCCTGGCAAGGTGGGCGAGTCCTGCCTCAGCTCTGTCCTGAAATGGGGCCCCGCTGGCTCCCAGGAGACCTTTAGAGAATGAGGGAGGCCCACTGGGGACCAGCCTACCCCTTTCTCCCCTCCTGCCCCCTCCACCTGCTCACCTGAACCAGGGGGTAGGGGAGACGCTTGTGGTTCTCGGATACGCTGATCGGGGGGATGACCCAGGCCCTCCGCACGCGGCTCAGGGCAGGCGCCCGGCGCCAGGGGTACAGGGTGGTGGGCCTCCTCCATCCAGGAACCCCCAAAGACAGGCAGAGGCTCTGCAACAAAGACAGATGCGTCCCACAGTACCGTCTCCTGGAGCCCTGGGCGGCAGCGTGCAGCTGGGAGCTGTGGGTGGTGAGGAGGCCACGGGGCGCAGTGTTTCCCTCAGCCCACGGGTCGGTGCCCATTGGCGCAAGGCGGCTTCCACACACGGGGCTGCGTAGCACAAGGGCAAAGGCACGTGAGCCCCGCCCCCGTCGGACTGAGCCAGGGCCTTGGTGGCCACACCCCAAGTACTGGCCCTCAAAGCCCCCATCCAGCTGCCCCCGAGTCTCCTACTGGGCCCACTCAGCAGCCAGGCTGTCTGCAGCCCCTGGCGAGTGCATGGGCCACTGGGAGGTAGCGCTAGGGTTCCAGGCCTCTGGCTGGGAGGGACACCTGAGATTCACCCGGCGGGGACACAGCCTCGCCCCAGGTGCCAGGGTAGCGGTGCACACGGAAAGCCCCTGGGCCAGCCAGGGCTGGGGAGAGCGTGGGGTCCTGACACGGAATGACCCCAAGAAGCCAGTGGCGGTGCCTGTGGGCACAGTGGGCTGGCTGTGGAGGGTCCGGGGGAGCGGCAGGGGAGGTGCCTGCAGGAAAGTGCCCGTCCCCCTCCACCTCTCCAGGCTGCTTTGTGGGAACTGAACCCCGGGATGCGAGAGTTCAGCTCCAGTCCATCAAGAGCAGCTGGAGATGTATCCGTAATTCATACAGCGGCCCCCAACTGGACTGTGCTGTGTGGCTGAACCGGCCTGCAGCTGCTGCTGGTCTGTCAGGTCCCAACACGTCAGGGCTGGGCAGCCAACGCTGGTGGTGCGGGTTCCTGAGACTGACTGGGCAGGGGCCAGGGCTGCCTCGGTGGGGCTGGGTGGGGTGGGGCTTGTTGTGGCTGCACAGCCAAGAGGGACATGGCTGGGGACAGAGGGGCAGCCCCACCCCCAGCCTCACTCTTCTTCTCCCAGAACAGGGTACCTCGGTAAAATCTTCATCTCTTCACCCCAATACTTCAGCTGCTGGGACCCTGGTGTGCCCATCTCCTCCTCTCCCACATCAGGGGCTGGGACGCACTGTTTGTAATGCACACGGGAAGCCCTGGTGCTCGGGGATGGGGCCTGGGCAGAGTGTGGGGTGCAGAGGGAGATGCTGTGCACCCCACCCTACTCCAGGGCCGGGACGACCCTCAGGCCGGTAAAGACCCCAAAGTGGAGGTGGCTGCCCCCAAATTCTCCCGAGGTCCTGACGGTCAGCAACTTTTGTGACCACAGATAGCCCCACACCCACCCCTCAGATGGGGAAACTGAGGCCTAGAGAAGGGACCCAAGTCCAAGAGCCAGGTGGAGAGGGGCACTCGTAGTGACCCCAAAAGCACATCCTGAATTTTCTGGTTTTAAAAATGCGGTCACCGTACCCAGCTCCTAGCCTGGGCCTTGGGCCTCCCTCCTGGGGTGCCCGGCCCCACCTTGGTCAAAGGGAAGCTTAGAGACGGCGGGTCCTGCCTGTCCTGGGATCCCCAGGACACCTGTGCTTGGGACCCCCGAGCCTGGGGAGTCAGTGTTTCTGGGTGGGCTGCATGGCTCTTCCTGAAAGACCCCTGACCCTAAAGCACAGCCTGGTGGAAGCTGCCGCAGCTGACAGGACATGGCTCTGGGCTGACCCCACTCGGCTCGGCACGGACATGGGGGTCACCCTCGAGCTCCCCGGTCAGGCTGATGCCTGGTGCAGCTCGTTGGGGCACAGAGTCTGCCTGAACTTGGTGAGGGCAGCAGGGGCCAGGGCTGGGGGAGAGGCAGGGGAGAGGGAGATGAGGGAGGAGGAAACAGGGCTGCCCTCTCCCATCCCCTGTGCCCTCTCCCCGTCCCCTGTGCCCCGGGCCTGGCTAGGAGCTGTCTGTGCCTCCCTAGTCCTGGGGGTCGCCAGGCTCCCGGCCTTTCTCTCGGGTGACCCTCCTCCCTGGAGGCCCCCTCCCACCCAACAGCGCTCTCCTAGCTGCCAGAATGTTCTAGATATTCACCATCCAAGACCCACAGGCCACATGGGGCTGCTGAGCCCTTGAAATGTGCCTGGCAAAAGTGAGGAGCTGTGTTCCCCTTTCACCTCATTGTGGTTAAGGCCCCATGTGTGGCCAGCACCCAGCCCCACATGCCCAGCGCTCACAGCCCCAATCAGCCTTGGCGAGGGTACCCCGACCTTCCCAGCCCCCCACTGCAGGGCTGTGGGGGTGAGAGACCCGAGGCCCTTCCCGCCCCCCACCGGTACCACGTGTAGTGAGGGTGTGGCGTCTGCATCGTCCCAGTGACAGGGGCTACAGAGGAAGATGCTGAGTTGGGGTGGGCAGGGTGGGAGGCTTCCAGGACCCTGTGGCCAGGGTTGTGGTGGGGGTGGCAGCAGCTCCCCAAGGAACAGACCCTAACGCAGAGACGGGGCAGCCTCCTGCACCACCCGGCTGGGAGGGGACAGAGACCCCCTACCCCGGGCCATGCTCTCTGGGGCACCCCCACCCAGGACAAGCCCTCAGGCTGCTGGGCTGCCATGTCGGGCAGGGGGACGGGTGGGAGGTGCTGGGGGTCCCAGGCAGGCGATGGGGAGTCTGGGAGCAGAGCAGGCCCCAAACATCACCCACCACACACAAACTCCTCAGCTCCCCTTTCAGACAGGGCCCCCATCTTAATATCACCATCTTCGCGGCCTGCTCCTGAGCTCCTTCCCCATCTCCACATCACCGTCTTCGCGGCCTGCTCCTGAGCTCCTTCATCTGGACAGCAGGTGGGCTGGGGTCTAGGGAGGCTCACGGGACTCCCCAGCCGGCACCAAGTCCTGTGCCTACTACAGAGGTGTGCCGGCCACGCCACACCAACACCTAGAACAGCTCCCCACATTGTGCGAGCGGAGGGAGCACCGAGTCGGCCCTGGTGAGCGGGACCCTGCGTGGGAGGCCTCACCCAGCTCCCCGCTGGAAGGGGGCACCCGCTCCAGGCAGGGTGGGGCCCCATGAAATGGAGCACCGAGAACCGGGGGGTCAGAGCTGGGCCAGCTGGGCCGCCCCTCCCCCTGCAAAACCACAGGTGTCGACAGCTACTCTGACCACCACGCCCCTGCTGGCTCCGAGGCTGCCCGCTCTCCTCAGCCCCGTGCCAATGCCTCACCCTCCAGTGCCGCCTGCTCCTGCTGGCTTTGCCGAGACTTCAGTCTAGGCAGGGGCCGGGACGTGGGGGCATGTGGCCTTGAGAGGAGGCAGCGGTTGGGGGCTGGTAAGTCTGAGTGGGCGGGGGCCGGGAAGGAGATGTTGGCATGGCCAGGAAGCCTGTCAGGCCGAACCCCCATTAGGCTTGGCCTCTGTCCTCCACCACCGGCCGCTTACCCTGTGTGGACGAGCAAGGCCCAGGCTGCCCATCTGCCCACCCTGAGATGGGGCACTGGGGCCTCTCGCTCTGACTGTGTCCTGTGCCCAGGGCTGGCCCAGCACACAGAGGTCCCCACAGGCAGCGGCAGCAGCCTCCAAACCATGGCCACCTTCCCTGGGGTTCTTGGTCCTCGGCCAGCAGGACCTGAGTCCCCTCCTCCATGGCCTCCTGGGAGTCCAGAGAGTAGCAAACGCTTTGGCAGGAAGCAGGGAGAGGATGGGGTGGGGGTTCCTCAGGCTCCCAGGCAGGGGACCCTGCCGGGGAAGCTCTCTGCCAGCTGACAGATGGCGGCCCTGGCCTCGGAGCCTGCCAGCACCCACAGAGCACAAGCCACTTCCAGGGCAGGGCAGCTCCTGCCAAGTGGAAACCTGCCTGCCCAGCATGGGGCCTTCATCAGCCTCGGTGGGCACAGGGTCTGTTTCCGGCCGTGGCTGGGCAGCTTTGCACCTCCCTCTCCCCCTCCCCTTTGGTCCTCCCAACCCCCCGGGAGCCTGTGGTGGTCCCTTCACCTCCCAGCTCTGGGCAGTGAGGTTCAGAGAGCCTGAGGCATTTGCTCAAAGCCACACAGACAGAGCCAGGAGTCACGTGGGGTCTGAGACCCAGATTAGGCTCTGAACCGCATGCTCTGAAGGAAATCCAGCCACAGAGCCACACCGGCCTTGGGCTAGGCATGGGCATGGGGCAGGGAGACCCCAGGCTCTAGGAACCCCACACGGCTGAGGTGGAGGGGCCACCCCCACCCGGGCAGACGTTTCCATCCCCTCCCTGCCCAGCTGCCACCAAACCTGGGCCAGCCCTGTTCACCCAACCTCCAGCTGCCTCCACCGGAGACCCTCCAGTCACGCTGGGCCGGGTGTGGTCAAGCCAGAGGCTGGGAGTCCTGGGCCCAGGCCTGTCCACAGCCTGAGTTCACCAGGTCACAGCAGCCACAGAGCCTTGGCAGGGCTCACTTGCCCAGATCACGGCCAATGTGGGTGTGGGTGAGCAGGCTGGCCACGGCCCACTTCCGGCTCTCGGGGGCGTTCTCAAAGCTGGCTCTTTGTCCTCCCACCCCATCCCCGTCCCAGAAGACGTGGCCAGTGGAGGGAGGGCCTGGGAGCCGTCCTGGGGAGATCGGGACATCCGGTGCCCAGGACAAAGCCACATCAACGCAGCCAGCCCACAGCCCTGCACCTGGGGTAGGGGACGCAAGCACCCTGGGAGGTGGATTTTGTGGACACTCGTCCACTCCTCTCTGTCCCCCACCCAAGCCAGGCAAGACCCATGGACATTAGTGACCTGCTTCCCCACAGGGGGTCCCCAATGACACCCCCAAGCTCATCCTCGACTGGACCCTTAGCCAAGAGCCTGGAGGGAACCACCTCGAAGCCCTTGAGACGTCTGGGGCCACCGCCCTGCAGCCAAGCTCCTGGGACTTAACGCCTCTCTTGAGGTCTGCTCCTAGCCTGACACTCAACCCCAAGGGGCTGCTGTGTAAGAAAGCTCTGCACACACTGGGCGCTTGCTGCAGTCTACAAACACCACTGCGAGGTGGGAATGGGGTTTACGAACACCACTGCGAGACGGGAACGAGGAGCGGTTCTGGGGCCGACCTTGCACTCCTGCTCCCCCGGTTTTCCAAGGAAGGGTGCTACGAGATTCTAGGAACACGCTTGGTGGCGTGTGGGTGGGTTTGCCTGGGAAGAGAGTGCGAAGGCCCCTCAAGCTTCTCAGGCTTCAACCCCTCCCCCAGGCTGGAATCTGGGGCCACCCCGTTCCTGGATGGCCAGGCATGCCAGGAATGGCCCCAGCTGTTGGCCTGGCCCAGAGCGGCTGGAGCATCTTCCCTGGGCCCCACCCTCTCTAGCTGCTGCGGGCTTCAGAGAAGGGATGTGGAAGAAGAGGCATGGAGGCAGCTGTCCCCTCCAAAGCACGGTGTCTGGGGCTGTCCTTCCACTGTGGGAAGAACAGTGGCCTGGGAGCCACTTCCCTTCTTGGCCTTGGTCACAGTCACCCGAGCTAAGAGCCCCTGCCTGGCCCCCAGGGTGCTGCTGACTGTCTCCCAGAGACCAAGGGGCTCCCAAAACCCAGATGCAGAAGTGGGGACCTTCCCAGCAGGCTGGGGTTCTCTGTGAGTCAAGTGTGCTGCCCCAGACCTCAGCCGCCTCCCAGCTGGGGTGGGGTCCCAGGTGTAGAACCAGCAACTAGGGATGGTGTAGGTGCAGCAGGGCTGAGAGGGGCCAGTTCTGAAGACACCCTCCGGGTGGGGCTGAGTGAGCTCAGCAATCAGAGGTGGCCCGAGCAGGGGAGCAACCCCTCACTTGTAGAAGGCCCTGATGGGCCCACGCTGCCTGCCTGGGGGCTCACCAGGAGGCGGCCCAGGACCCCAAGGCTGCCCAGGAGAGCTCACAGTCCTGAAAGCTGAGCTGCTGGGGGAGGGGCAGGCAGGGTCCTGACACTGACATATTTTGCCTCACAGTGGAGTGAATTTGAGCCTTGGCGATAGTCCCCTTGCCATCTGGCCCCCACCTCCACCACCTCCCCCAGCCTCCAGCTGTCGGGGGAGGGGGTTATTGTCCCCCAGCCCTGGGCGAGAAAAGAAGGGACAGTGAGAGGGAAGGCTTCTGAGGAGGGAGAGGTCCTGCCTGCCTCCCCACCTGCCACAGAGCCCCCTGGGGCCTTTTGAAAGGCAGACACTCCCAAATCCAAAGGAAGAGGTCTGGAGGAATGTTTTCACAGGCGCCAGCCTCCCCACCACCATGCCCTGGGTTGGGGTGCCAGGGAAGAAACCCTGTCCCCAGAGCAGGTGGGGAAGGGCCCTGGAGGCATGGAGCCCCCCAGCCTGCGCTCCCCGGCAGAGGGCTGAGGGGTGGAGGGCCGGGGGGTGAGCACGCATGCTGAGCCACTGTCTCCCCCCACCACTGTCTCCAGATGGGGGAGTCGGGGGTGGCAGGAGCCGTGGTGCCCTCAGGGGCAGCTGCTGGAGGGTCTGGCTGGCCAGGCGCCTGGTCAGCTGCCAGGGGCTGAAATTGGAGCCAGCTGGAGCTGGGAGGCCTGTGGGAATGAGGGGACTCAGGAAGCCCCTTCAGTGGGGGCTGGGAAAGGAGTGGCTTCCCTTACTCACTGTGTCCAGCACTCCCTGACCACCCCAGGACCACAAGAGCAATGAATACTGTGAGCACCGCTAAGCCCTTTATGTGCATTCTCTCTCGAATTGGCCAGAGAGAGGCTGCCCTCTTGTACCCAGTGACGTCCCAACCACAGCCGGCCATGCCCCAGCCCAGCCCAGTCCCTGGGGGCTGAAGCCACTGAGGCCACATCCTCCATGTCTAGGTCCCCCTAGGGTGTGAGGAGACGTGGCTCCAGCTAGGCAGTACCCATGTCGGGTGTGGGGGGCTGAGGCCTGGGCTTCCTTCCACTCTGGCTTGCTCCCACGTTGGAGAGACCACGGTGCCAGCAGTCCAGACAAGATTTTTAGGGGCAGAGTCCAGCAGCCTCTGGGGGCTGGGCCCCCAGGCCTGATCACCCCAGGCAGCTGCGGCAGGGTCCCAGGTGAAGCCCAGGAACAGAGCCCCCAGGGCTGCCACACGCCACTCTGCAAGGCCGTGTGTTGCGACCTGGCTCGGGCTGGGCCCTCCCAATCGAGAAGTAGCCGTGAGGGTGAGTTCCTGGGGGCAGGGCCTGCAGCCACCCCTGCTGGCCAGGAACTTGGGGTGGGGGGTTTGGACAAAACCCAAGACTAGCCAGGGGTCCTGTGCCCACCGCAGGGAGTCCCTATAGAAACCTGGCCCCCAGCCCCCCAGAGAGGGGCACTCCTGCCGCTCCCCCCTCTCTCTGCTCCACTCAAGACTGGCAACCCCCAGACCCCGGCAGCGGTTCCTCCAAAGAGAGGGCACGGCTACCTGGGTGGCCCCTGCCTGGGGTCCCTGACCCCAGCAGCACTCTGCAGTCCTGGGGGTGATTCCACCAGATGGAGTGTTTGGTTACACTCACTCCCCACAACCCCTGGGGTGCTGCCCCCAGCCCAGGGACCCACCCGGAGCCACTCCGCTCACAGGCCCCCAAAGGCGACCAGGGCCAGTGGTTCTGGGGGAGACCTGTGCGGCTGCAGTTGAAGACACTGTCCCGCAGCGTCGAGGGAGGCAGCGGGGACCCCCGCAGGTGCCGATGCCTTACCTGGGCCAACAGCCCGAGGACGAGGAGGAACGCGGCGTCCATCGGGGCCGAGGCGGGAGCCGGGCCGGAGTGCACCCGCGACCCGAAGAAGCGCGTCCAGGCTGAGTGACAGCGCAAGTGCGCGGGGCGGGCCAGGGCCAGAGACAGAGACAGCACGTGTGAGGGGGGCGGGGAGGGGGCGGGGCAAGGGCTGAGTGACAGCACGAAGGAGGCCTCTGACGGGCCGAGGGCCGGCCTGGGCAGGGCTAAGGCTGAGTGACAGCGTGTTGGCAGGCGGGTGGGGCGGAGCCTCTGGCGAGCTAGGGCGGGGCGCAGGCTGAGTGATAGCCCGTGTGCGAGTGGGGCAGGCGGGGCGGGGCCGGGGCCGAGGGCTGAGTGACAGCGCAGGTGCGCCGGCGGGGCGGTGACCGCACGAGGCTGGTGGGGCGGAGCCAGAGGAGGATGGGGCGGGCGGGGCGGGGCCGAGGGCTGAGTGACACCTTGTGAGAGTGCGGGGTGGGGCCGGGGTGGGGCCGGGGCGGGGCCGAGGGCTGAGTGATAGCTTTTGCGGGGTTCCGGCGGGCAGGGCCAGGGCTAGGTCGGAGATACCCCGGCTTGCTGCGTTGGGAGCAGAGCCAGAGGCCAGGCTGTGGGGAAGGCAGGGTGGGTGCGTCCGGGTCAGGGACCAGCTGGGATTCCTGGCTTCTTCATTTCCTGCTCCTTGGGCCCGGCTCGCCCCTGCTCCAGGGAATCTGCATTGTAGTCCCTGCCGGGGGACACCTCTTGAGCACTTCCTTGGGCCCCTCGCCTCTCTGGCTGCGTCTCCTGCGCCTCCCCGCATCCCACTGAACGCTAGGCCCGCCTTCCACGCACCTCCTCGCGACCTCATTTTGCCCAGCTCTTATTCAGTATGGAACTGCTCTGGTTCACACGCCTCTGATACCAGCGTGGCTCGTAGGACACCCCCAATTCCCCCAGTCCACGCACCTCCTCCAGCATCCCCTTGTTCCCCGAGGCCCCCTGCCTGGAGCACCTTCCTTCCTACAGAACTCCTTCTCATCATCCCTCAACACCCAAGGTCAACGCTGCCGCCTCCTGGAGCCTCCTTGCCACCTCGGCCAGAAGCCCTCCCTCCTGTTGACTGTGGCACCTGTTCTCCCCTTCGAGACCCCGCCCCCTGGGATGGTGTGGGTGTGGCTCAACACCTGCACAGGCCCAGCGCACGGTCAGGAAGGTCCTGGAGAGGGGGTGGAGGGGGCTGGAGGCAGGAGGATCCTTTCTTTTGAGCAGGCAGGGTGGGGAGTGGGGGTTGCCGACCAGCCCAGGGCCGGGCCGGGGAGCCCGTTCCTCTCTGTGATGGGAGCAGACCCGGTACCTCTGCTCTCCTGTCGACGGCGGGTGGCTGTGCAGGTGCAGGCAGCATCTGTGCACTTGGCCTGCTTGAAAGGAGGCCAGGCTGCCCGGGAGGCTCAGGCCAGGACTGTCCCTAGCGCTCACTGCTCCAAGATGAGAGAGGGCAGGGAGTCCATCTCCAGACTGGGAGGCCTCTGGGGCTGGGGTGTAGCCTGTTGGGGACCACCATCCTGCCTCTGTGGTCAGTGACCTCAAAATAGGGGTGGAGAAGCCCTCTGAGTGCTTTTGGTTTTCATCCTCACGGGACTAGTGCAGGGGTGAGGTAGAAGTGCTCGCCCTCCCCCCAGAAAGAGGTCTGGGGAGGCTGCGGTCTGCCAACCCCAGCTCCTCTCCGCTTCCACCCTGCACCCACCTCGCTTCAGCCACCTGCCTCCCACCCACCTCGGGGAGAAACGGAGGCCAAATCCCTCCTCCATGGGATGTGGGGGTCTCTAAGGGAAAGGCTAAGCTGGGCCAGGTCCTGGGTGAGCCCCAAATGCAGGGCGGGGCCAGGGAAGCAGCCGGCTTAACCACTGCGGGAGGGTGTGCTCCCTGGCTGGCGGGCTATCCCCCAGGGGCAGGTGCCCCCGCGAGGGACCCCGCTCCACATGCTCCCAGGGCAGCAGGAAGGTCAGGAGGCAGGAGCCTGGGTCCAGTCCCAGCTCGGAGCCTTGGGCTGGAGGTTCTCCCCCGTGCCTCAGTTTCTCCTTGTGTCAGAGGTAGGTGGCAGGGAAGGGCTGGGTACCCTGAGTCTGGAGGTCCTGTGCAGTGGGGGCAGGGGTACATTTTCGGCTGCAGGACCATCAGCCCTAGAAGAGCCCTTCCCTTTCCTGGTGGACCTGGAGACGCCGGACCCTCCCTCAGCACCCCAAGCCTCCAGCTAGGACCCCACTCTGGGCCTTCTCCTCCTTTTTCCAGAGTCTGCAGTCCTGAGCCTTTGGGACTCACCCCCATCACTCCTGCCCTCTGCCTTGCCCACCTCAACTCTCCACCTCGGGGGACGCACCTCATGGGCATGAGGTGGGGGTGGGCCGGCCAAGATGTAGAGGGGGCTCCCTGGTCCACAGCCTCAGTTCCCATCCTATTTCCTCTCCCCAGTATGAGGAACGGGGGGACAACAAACAGGGTCCCGGACCCCCCAGGAGCCTTGCAGTCTTGGATGTCCCAGAGGTCCCCCCACCCCCAGCCCTTGGCCACTCCTCCCAACACCGCAGGCAGTGGTCGAGGCTGGGCTAAGGAATTTCCAACTTTCTCACGATAGATGCAGGCGGGTGCCGGTTTTCAGCTGAGATGCCATGGTGTCTGCTCTGGAGTGATTCTGTAATTGCACAGTGCAGTAACGGCACTTGACCCTTGATTATTAAATTGTATTTATGTAATTACAGTGTATAAATATACATGCACACCCCAACCACTAAGGGGCAGGCGTGATGCGGAACGCTGCGGTTGAGCAAGGTGGGCTGGACAGGGGCCCTGTGGAGGCCCAGGGCTTAGGCCAGTCACAGCCCCGTTACCGAAGAGGCAGTGGGGGCTGGAGGGCAGGGGTTAGCAGCTGTGAAGGCGGCTCCTACCCAGGGTGTGGGGCGTGGAGGGCAGAAGGGTGACGTCCAGGGAGTTTGGGTGACACCCGACACCAAGGGAGGGGACCCCGGGGTGAGGAGGCCCTGGTCTTGGTCTGGGGGCTGTGTCCATTCCAGACCTGACCTGAGGCTGGGGTGCCTGTGGCAGGGGCTCTGGGGGCTTGCTCTGCAGGTACCAACTGCTCCCTGAGGAGCCCCTGGGCAAGTGCCCCTGTCTGACAGGCAGGGCCTGAGGCTGGAGGAGGCCGGGGTGAGGAGACAAACACAGGTGGGCCCTGGCCGGGAGCCTGGCGTCGGCCATGGGCCATGCCCTTCCAACATTCTACTCTGGCCGGGAGGCCGCCAGGGCGCTGGGGTGAGGCCGACACCCAGTCCTGGGGCCGTCAGAGCACAGACCAGCCCATCTAGGCAGATGAAGGTCCCCACGGAGTGAGTGAGGGGTGGGGAGTGGATCCAGAAGGGCTGGGGCCACCAGCCCCCACGGCCCCTGAGCCCTGGCCTGAGTGCATGTGGCTGGCTCTGGGTAGTGGGCCCTGCAGAGGGACTTCCGCCCATAAGTTTCCCGTAAGTTTCCCCGGGACAGAGGAGACGCAGCTGGATCTCGGGGTGTGGAGGAAGCCAGGCAGTGTCTGTAGCTGGGGCCATCCTGGACCCTGCTGTGCTCCGGCTCTCTGGGCTCAGGGGTGACACTGCCCCCACATTCAGGCAGGCCACCAGCTGCCCCTGGCGGCCACAGGGGGTCAGTCCAGGTGGGCTCAGAGGAGCCCCATCAGGTATGGGGGTGCCGTTTTTGTTCAGAAGCCCCTGACCCCCCCTGCAACACACATGAAAAGAATATTCGAGAAGTCTGTTTAAAACATCTTGGGCATTCAAAACACACGGACAGACAGACAGACAGACAGACGGACATGTTAGACAGGAGGGGCTGCTGGTGGGGGCGGGGTGGTGCTGGCCCTCCTGAGGACCTGGGGACAGCAGGTCCCTGGAGCCTGACGGTCAGTCCTGGCTCTACGGGGAGTTGGGCACAGAGGGGTCAGGGGGTGGCGGGCCTGTCTGGGGCTCCCTCAGGCCTGTCCCTGACCTGGGGAAGTGGGGTCCTGTCCTGCCCAGCCAGCCTGACACTGGTTTTGCGTCCCATCTCCCCACAGTGACAGAGGAGCCAACCAGGCACTGGCTCAAGGTGCAGCCGTAAGAGCTCGGGTGGGCTCAGGACTGGCGGGCTCAGGGCTGGCGGGGTCAGGGCTGGTGGCCTGGTGGCCCATCACACCCGCCAGCCCCGGCAGGGGGCAGTGTGGCTCCAGGGATGCCAGTGGAGGCGGGTGGGGGAAGGGCAGCGGGCTCCTCCGATTGCTGGAGGGTGTTCAGGGCAGAGCTGGGAGGGGACGATGGGCTCTTCCCTGCTTCCGTCTCCATGCTGGACATGCCTGCCCCCTCCAGGCCGGCCCAGCACTGTCACCAAGCGTGGACGCCTTGACTTCCTGCCCTTGGAGCCCCAACCCGGGCAGGGATCAGGGAGGCCAGCGGCCAGGCATGCCCCAGGGGGGGGCTGCAAGTGTGGTCCATGCCCACCACCCTTTCCCTGGCCCTGAGCACTGGGAAGGTGGGGGGCAGCTCACCTGAGGTCTCACCTGGCGTTGGCCCTGAGACCACCCGAGCCTCCCCGATGGCTGAGGCGAAGGCACAAGGGTGGCCAGGCCAGCAGGGACTCCTGAGGTCGGGCCAGGCCCCAGCAAGGCTGAGGCTGAGTGGGCGGAGCTGGCCACAGGGGTGGGGACGTGGGACAGCACTGTTGGGGGAACCAGAGAGCAGAGGTCACCAGGCTGCTCCCGATGTTCAGGCTTTCACAGGGATCCATAAGCTGCAATGGCCCCCAGTCAGCACCCTCCAAAGACAGGCTGTGGCTGGGGATGGGGCTGGGGCTGACGGTGGAGTGGCCCACACCCCCCAAGGCCCCTAGAGTCCTGACCATCCCCACGGGTAGTGCCGGAGCTCCCAGCTGCCTTGTGAGTCATGGGGGTGGGAGCCTCATTTGGCTGAACCTCAGAAGGGCAAGTGGGGCATGAGTGGCCTTGTCCTGCCCCAGCCCAGAAAGCTGTGGTCCCGGAGAGAGTGGCTGTCCAGCCCCCCACACCATGCGAACGCTCCCCTCCCCAGCAGATCCCACCCATGGCAGGCCCATCTCTACCCAGTTCCAGACATCTGTCCTCTCCCCCGCTGCGTGGGTCTGTGTCCCCAGCAAATCCCACCCATGGCCCATCTCTACCCAGTTCCGGACGTCTGTCCTCTTCCCTGCTGCGTGGGTCTGTGTCCCCAGCAGATCCCACCCACGGCAGGCCCGTCTCTACCCAGTTCCGGACGTCTGTCCTCTCCCCTGCTGCGTGGGTCTGTGTCCCCAGCAGATCCCACCCACGGCCCATCTCTACCCAGTTCCGGACGTCTGTCCTCTCCCCTGCTGCGTGGGTCTGTGTCCCCAGCAGATCGCACCCACGGCAGGCCCATCTCTACCCAGTTCCGGACGTCTGTCCTCTCCTCCACTGCATAGGTCTCTGTCCCCAGCAAATCCCACCCACGGCCCATCTCTACCCAGTTCCGGACGTCTGTCCTCTCCCCTGCTGCGTGGGTCTGTGTCCCCAGCAGATCCCACCCACGGCAGGCCCGTCTCTACCCAGTTCCGGACGTCTGTCCTCTCCCCTGCTGCGTGGGTCTGTGTCCCCAGCAGATCCCACCCACGGCAGGCCCGTCTCTACCCAGTTCCGGACGTCTGTCCTCTCCCCTGCTGCGTGGGTCTGTGTCCCCAGCAGATCCCACCCACGGCCCATCTCTACCCAGTTCCGGACGTCTGTCCTCTCCCCTGCTGCGTGGGTCTGTGTCCCCAGCAGATCCCACCCACGGCAGGCCCGTCTCTACCCAGTTCCGGACGTCTGTCCTCTCCCCTGCTGCGTGGGTCTGTGTCCCCAGCAGATCCCACCCACGGCCCATCTCTACCCAGTTCCGGACGTCTGTCCTCTCCTCCACTGCATAGGTCTCTGTCCCCAGCAAATCCCACCCACGGCCCATCTCTACCCAGTTCCGGACGTCTGTCCTCTCCCCCGCTGCGTGGGTGTCTCTGTCCCTCCCTCAGTGCCCCAGGCCTCTGTCCTTTATCCCCATAACCCAACACTGTGACAGGAGGGAGGGAGGAGGGTGGAAGAGGGAGCAGGAAGGGGCCGCAGAGGGGAGGAGGGGCTCCGCATGCTCTGGGGCCCTGGAAGGAAGGTCGTGTGACGGGGTCCTCCTGAGCATGCTGGGCCCATGGTAGGGTGGGCATGGGGAGCACAGGGCAGTGCCCCCAAAACCTGTCCTCCCCGTCAGCCACAGGCACTGAGCACCCCGGAGAGGGCAGTGAGAACTGCTGGCTGCCCAGGGAGGGCGGGCGGGGGTGCTGTCCTTTGCAAGGACAGGAGCTTCTGGGTAGGGAGAAGGGCACGGGGTAGGGATGGGAGTTAAAGGGACCCCGGCTGCATCTATAGTCCAGGGGCTGCCTCATCCCCAGTGTCCCTGAAGGTAGCCTGTGCCATGGGACAGTGGCAGTGCCCTGGCCACCCAGCCTGGCTCTTGGAGCTGGGTGGTGCCCAGACTGGAGGAGGCCAGGGTGGCTGCCTCCTGACCACCATCTTACTGTTCCTACCATCCCGTCTCCTGGGTGGTGGTTGGCACCTGTGGAGGGCAGGGCTGCCTCAGGAGCTGGCAGCTCTCAGTTCTGATCCCTGGACATGAAGAAACTTGGGGTAAGGCCCCCAGTCCTCAGAGAGACCCTTTGAGCTTCCGGCTTCGTCATCGGAGGAGCCCAGCATTGCCCTGGGTCATTCCACACCCTGCCCTTTGGGGGGGCCGGCCAGGGCCACGGCTGGGAGATGACGGTCCCATCTGCTAGAAGCTTCTGGAAGGATGGGCCGCCTGGTGGCAGGCGCTTCTGGGCCAGAGCTGGGTGGGAGGGAGGGCAGAGGCCAGGGGGCGTGTGCTGGACACGGAGGGCACCAGGTCCTCTCCGCTGCCTCCTGCTCTTCCCAGCACAGCTGTGCTTGGCACCCCTGCAATCGGGGCAGAGAGGAAGGGGTTAGGGGTCCCTGAGTCAGCTCAGGCAGCCCCGCCCCTCCCCACCTCCTCCATCGTCTTTCAATCAATATCAAGTGGACGGGAGACAAATTTGGGAGCAAAGAATCCCAAGCAGCCGTATAAATCACAGTAACGACCATTCAGATTAAATCAGTCGCTGTAATAGAATCAATTTAGCTGACGCTGCCAGTCTCCCCGCGTTTAATCTCCGTCTCCAGCTGCTGGTGGGAGAGAGGCTGTTCAGCGACCCCTCCGATGACCCCTCCAGGCCTGGCCCACAGGCAGGGCTCTGCGGCCGTCAGGGCTGGGAAGAAAGGCTGGGCCGTCCTGGGGGATCAGGGCTCCAGGGCCCAGCCATTCCTGTTATCCTCTTTCTCCTTCTCCAGACAGAGTGGACTTGGACCAGGGGAGGCCCAGAAAGAGGCCTGCACCCAGGATGGTTCAAAAACCATGGGACAGATCCGGAGCCTTCCCCAGGGCCAGGATTCCAGGCTGAGCAGCCACACCCCGGGATTGTGCCACTGCTCTCCAGGCTGGGCAACAAGAACAAAACTACGTCTCAAAAAAAAAAAAAAAAAGGAAGAAAGAAAAGAGAAAAGATATTGTTTATTAAAATGAAGTCCCTTGAGACAAGAAGTTGAAAAATCTTAGTAAATTTAACTAGTGACTGTAAAACAAAGCCTAGTAAACAAACAAAACTGAAACTGGACAAGCCCTCCCAAGATGGGGGGGAGGACTCTGCGGGTGCCCCAAGGAGGTCACTGCCTGTCATGGCCTCGGGGATCCGTGGGGTGAAAAGCTATAAACTTGGTTGGAAAAAAACCTGCAGATCTTACAGCATTTAAAAATATTAAAGGCTAGCTGGGCGCAGCAGTGGCACATGTCTGTGGTCCCAGCTACTTGGCAGGCTGAGGTGGGAAGATGGCTTGAGCCCAGGCTCCATTGCTACAACATTTTAAAAAGAAAATTAGCCGGACATGATGGCACATGCCTGTGGTCCCAGCTTCTCAGGAAGCTGAGGCAGGAGGATTGCTTGAAGTGGGGAGGCAGAGGTTGCAGTGAGCCAAGATCGTGTCACTGTATTCCAGCCTGGGAGACAGAGCGAGACTCTGTCTCAAAAAAACAAAAAACAAAAAATAAAACAACAAAAATAAGAAATGAGATTAATGCATTTGAATACATTAAAATTTAACAATTCTGCACATGCTTCGATAGAACAAACGAAGTCAAAGGCAAGCCAAAGGCCAGCCACGTATCCAACGTGTAATCACAAAAAATATTGACCAACCCAACAGGAAATGGGCAAAGAACTGGAACAGGTGACTTGCAGGAAAATCAAATGGCCCAGAAACATATTCGAGATGTTCCACCTGACTTGTAATCAGGGAAATGCAAGCTAAAATAAGAAGATTCCACGTCACACTCAGCAGCGTGGTGAAAACTCAACATCTCCCATCGGGATGTTGGCCGGTTGGTGAGATGGGGCATCTCACACCTGCTGTGCACAGCCTCCTTGGAAGGCATCAGGCAAAATCAAGTAAGTGGAAGACATCTGGGCCTACGATCCAGTGATTCCACCTGCAGGAATATCTTCTGGAGAAATTCTTCCACTGTGCAAAAGTCACTGCACCTGCAGCCGACTGTAGCTTTGCTCTTGGACGGGGAACATCCACTGGCTGGGGTCAGTGCACACCGCACAGAGTGACCTGAGGACAACCAAGTGAGGCAGAGTCAGCATGGGGGACAGCAAAGCCCACAGGAGCCGAAACGTCCCTCACAGAGGAGCTGAGCTCTGCGGGCCACATGTGCCAGCACTGAAACCTAAATCCATGACATCACTCAGGCATCGGGGCCCCCGTGAGCAGCGAGCCTCACGGGCTGGGGAAGGCGCCCACCTGGTGACAGAGCCCAGAGGCTCAGGAGGCCAGAGGGCTCAGACTCCATGAACCTGGGCGGGGAAGTGCACGGGGTTGGTTGGCCGTAATCTTCTCTCTTCCGTCCTCAATGTGTAAAATGTTTTTTTATTTAAAAAATGTTCTTAATCCACATTAGTAAATTTCACTGTCCTGGGGACAGCAGAAGCAGGAGGTGGACACGTGGGCTTCCGTGTAGACTGGGAGGGGCTGCATGGACTCTGCCCGCCAATTAGGAAGCGTCGGTCCCAGGCCTGGGCTCACCTCCCCAAGCTCAGCCTGGGGCCAGCTCTGCCGGCTCCTGAAGGGCCTTGAGGCTGCTCTGATCCTGCTGTGGCTGTCACCACAGCACGGTGCAGCCGCACCTGGGGCCCGGGGCAGCCGCACCTGGAGGGTGGCTCTGAGGCCAGATCTGTGTTGTTTATGGACACTTATGTGTCTGTGTGTGCTGTGCGTGCGTATTTGTGTGTGCACGTGCGCATATGTGCACACCTGTCAGCATGTGTGTGTATGTGCGCGTGTGGAGGTGTGTGTGCACGCAGCCTATTCAGCTGGTGTGGGGTGTCATCTTTTTCTAGCTAAGATGAAGCTCTTCCCCATGGGGTGGGAATATGGGCAAGCGGCTGATGCATGAAAGGCACCACGTGCTGCTCGCATTGCTGCTGTCTTAATGGGCTTTGCTGTGCGGCAGAGGAGGGTGGGCAGGTGGTAATGAAGGAGACTGATGACTCCGTGGCTAGAGTAACTGAATGGTTGTGAGTGTCTGGTCAGACTGGCAATGGGGGGCGTGCCCTGTGAGCCTATGATGAGGGGCTGCCTGGGTGGGCACCGGCTGGTGCTTTAGAGAGGACTGAGGGTGTGGCTAGGGCCACCACGTGTGAGTCCGTCTCCCTCCTCTGTGACACATGGGTGTGCAGGTGCGCCCACGTGTATGTATATGTGACACGCTGCACGCATGCTCGCTGATGCGAACTCACACACGCGCCCACGTGTCCCAGGCAGACTGAAGCAGGGCCCACAGGGGAATGAAGCTGGGATGGGCGCCACCAGAGAGGTCGCATCGCACAGGGGCGGATGCAGAACGGGGGCAGCGGCTGGCCCAGGACGGTCAGGGCCTGGCTGGCAGAGCCTGGGGTCCTGTGCCCACCCTGTGCTCCTAAGGCCCTGGGCCAGCCTGGGAGCACCATGGATTCTGAAGATGTGCTGACTGGCCTGCAGGCACCAAGCTCCACCCATTCCAGCTCCGACAGGGCCCTGGGGAGCCCACTGGTCAGGGACTGTGGGCAAGAAGAAGACCCCTCTGCTGAGCCTGCAGCCTGTGTTTGGAGCTGGGCTAGGAACCTTCTGGAACGTGCCTTCCACCGGACAGAACCTTCCAGAACGTGCCTTCCACGGGACGGAAACTTCCGGAACATGCCTTCCACAGCATGGAAACTTCTGGAACGTGGCTTCCATGGGATGGAACCTTCCGGAACGTGCCTTCCATGGGACAGAACCTTCTGGAATGTGCCTTCCACGGGACCCTCTCATGCCCTTGCACAACTGCACCATTTTCCTGTGTCACCGAGGAGGACGTGGGCTCCGAGCCGCTGAGTGACCTGTTGGGGGCAGGGCTGGCGCTGGCCGTCCCAGCTTAAGGACTTGCCACAGCTTAAGACCCATGGAAGGAAGGTACGGGGAGGTGCTGAAGGGATGAAGGGCAGAGCTGGGCCTTGGGGCAAGGCCAGTGGCAGCGCCGGGCTCCTGGACACAGCAGATGGCCCCAGGCAACTGGCCCTGCCCTGCCCTGGAGACCCCTCCGCCTCCGAGTCCTCCACGTCCTTCCACCTGGATGCCGCCACAGCCCACCTGGGCCTGGCTTCACGCCCCCAGCTCTTGCCGGGTATGACGGGTGGGCATGGAGGGTGACTCAGCCCAGCCCAGGAAGGACCAGCCGCGTGGCAGGAAGACGGAGGGAGTGCCCGGAGCCAGCAGGGCGGCCACCGAAACCCCGCACTGACGCAGGGACCGAGGCACCCGGGGCCAGTTTCCGGGAGAGCCCCACGATGGCCCCTCCATTCCTCTTAGGCTTCCCGCCCAGGGCGGGCTGGTGCGGGGACCGGGAACTGGTGTGACCCAAGACACATCACCCGCGTGTCCTCTCACATCCCATTCCACCAACACCAAGGTTCCTTCTGGAGGCTCCTGGGAGAATCCATTTTCCGCCTCTTCCGGCTTCGGGAGGCCTCTCCTTGGCTGGGGGCCCCTCACGAAGCCAGTAGTGGCAGGCCAGTCCCCCTCACGCCCGCCTCCGCCATGGCCTCCCTCTTCCACTCAGCAGGACGGAGGTACCCTGTGCCCTCGCGGGTCACCCAGGGCAGCCTCCCTGTTGAGGGAGCTGATGTGCCGTCCACAGTCGCAGGTCCCCGCTGCTGTGTGAACTCACAGGTCCCAGGGTGAGGAAGCGGGGTCTTCGGGGCAAGGAAGCGGGGGGTCTTTGGGTGAGGAAGCGGGGGGTCTTCGGGTGAGGAAGCGGGGGGTCTTCGGGTGAGGAAGCGGGGGGTCTTCGGGTGAGGAAGCGGGGGGTCTTCGGGGCCGTCATTCTGCCACCCACAGATGGGAGCCTCCTCATGAGGCGTCCGGCCTCAGTGGCAGCTGGAGAGCCACAGGGGCTGTGGGGTGCCCAGCAGGGCGGGCTCAGTACTGCCCGCAGGACCACCCTGCAGTTAGGGCGACTCAGCGGCTCACAGCCTTCTCAGTTCAGTTCCTATCAGCTGACCGAGGCGGCCCCACCCCACCTGCCCTTGCCCTAGGAGCTGGGGATCTCCATCCAGCAAGACTGCGAACCAGGCCACCTCTGAGACCGGCTGCCACAGACCACATGCTGGCCCTGGCTGCCCGCTAAGGCCAGGGGACACCCTCCTTGAGACTCCCAGGGTGATGCTCAGCTCCTGAGGACCGAGCGGCCTCTGCATGGCGCTCCGTCCCCATCCCTCCGCCTCTCCAGATCTGCCTGGCTCAACGCACAATCATCCTGGGCCCTCCCAGCCTTACCTGGCCAAACCGTGGCCTTGCCCACCTGCCTGGACCATTCCCTCCTGATTGGGTGCGATCTGCAGACAGCAGTGTAAGTACTGCATGGAGGAGCCGCGGCCCGACGCCCACAGCACGCGCCACGTCCGTAAGCTGCACCCAGTCCAGCCTGGTGGCTCCCCGTGTGAGCCTGAGCTTGCCGGCCAGAGGGGACGACCTTGGGCTTTGGCCCCAAGCTCGTGATTCACACCCTCGCCCTCAACTCGCCTGCCTCAGCGGCTCATGTGCAAAGCAGGCTGAGCGCGCTGCCTTCAGTGGGTGTGAGAACCCTGGGAAGGCACCTCGAGGGGTGTCAGAACCCGGCAGGTGCCTCCAGTGTGGGGTGAGCGTGCGCTGGGTATGTGGGGACCTGCGGCAGCGCCCTCCGCCCACCCTCAGACGGGCTGGTGCTCAGGGGGTGCCTGTTGGGCCCAGGACCCACCCCTTCCGTGCACCCGCCTGTGGGGACCTACGGGCTTCCTGCTCAGAGAGAGGCAGATGAGCCCCACGTTGCTACCGCGGTCGTCCATCCCGTGCTCTTGTCTGTGCCGGCAGCTGGCAGGAGATGCTGCGGCCGTCGTGCGTGATGGATCATGAGGTGCAGTCACGGATGTTTATCCTCCAGTGACCTCGTCTCTCTTGTGGCTGCTGAGGAGATGCACATGGGGCGTGATCATTCGTATTGATCAATTTGCTGCTCATTTGCCACGTCGTCAATGTTTTCACACAGGGTCCACTTTACTCTTCCAGGCAGGAAAGCGGCTGCACCGACCTGCGGCCAGGAAGAAGGGGACAGAATCGACTCCCAGGGGGTCTGGGGGGAGCAGGAGTCTGCTCTGGCTCAGGAAGGCTCTAGAAGGGCCACCAAGAGCAGCCGCAACAGTGCACAAGGACCTTGTGATGAGAGCTACCTGAGCGAGTCCCAACCTGATCAGACGCACCATGTAGGGGGAGCCGGGGCCCCATTGCAGCTGCCTCGGGGAAGCAGTGACCACAGGCCCGGCTGAACCTGATGGTGACGGGGAAGGGAGGGACTGGTGTGCACACAGGTGTCCATGTGCCTGTATGTATGCAGGTGTGTGTGTGACACACACATACATGTGATATACGCAGGCGTGTGAGATACACATACATGTGACATATGCAGGCGTGTGAGATACACATACATGTGATATATGCAGGCGTGTGTGAGACACATACCTGTGGTGTATGCAGCTGTGAGACACATACATGTGATATATGCAGGTGTGTGAGACACACACATGATAGATGCAGGCGTGTGAGGCATATATGTGTATGCAGGTGTGTGAGACACATACAAGTGATATATGCAGATGTGTGTGACATACATGTGGTGTATGCAGGCATGTGTGACACATATACATGTGATATATGCAGGCGTGTGTGAGACATACATACCTGTGGTGTATGCAGGCGTGTGAGATACACATACATGTGACATATGCAGGCGTGAGACATACATACCTGTGGTGTATGCAGGCGTGTGAGATACACATACATGTGACATATGCAGGCGTGTGAGATACACATACATGTGACATATGCAGGCGTGAGACATACATACCTGTGGTGTATGCAGGTGTGAGACACATACATGTGACTTATGCAGGCGTGTGAGACACATACATGTGACATATGCAGGCGTGTGAGACACACATACATGTGACATATGCAGGCGTGACATACATACCTGTGGTGTATGCAGGTGTGTGATACACATACATGTGACATATGCAGGCGTGTGACATATACGTGTGACATGCAGGCGTGTGAGATACACATACATGTGACATATGCAGGCGTGAGACATGCATACCTGTGGTGTATGCAGGCGTGTGAGACACATACATGTGACATGCAGGCATGTGAGATACACATACATGTGACATATGCAGGCGTGAGACATACATCCCTGTGGTGTATGCAGGCGTGTGAGATACACATACATGTGACACATGTAGGCGTGTGAGACACATGTGACATGCAGGCGTGTGACTTACATACCTGTGGTGTATGCAGGCGTGTGAGACACACATGCATGTGACTTATGCAGGCGTGTGAGACACACATACATGTGACATATGCAGGCGTGAGACATACATACCTGTGGTGTATGCAGGCGTGTGAGATACACATACATGTGACATATGCAGGCATGTGAGATACACATACATGTGACATGCAGGCGTGTGAGATACATACATGTGACATGCAGGCGTGAGACATACATACCTGTGGTGTATGCAGGCGTGAGACACACATGCATGTGACTTATGCAGGCGTGAGACACATACATGTGACATATGCAGGCGTGTGACATACATACCTGTGGTGTATGCAGGCGTGTGAGATACACATACATGTGACGTATGCAGGCATGTGACATACATACCTGTGGTCCACACCTGTCTGCACACGCCTCCTGTTACTGATGGTTAACTCAGTGGCTGGCACACTCACCACCTTCTCACTGTGGCTGGCAACAAGCTGCTGTTCTGCACCAGGACCTCCTCTCAGGCTCCCAGCAAAGGAGGCCGGCAGCTTTGACACGAGGGTCCGGGAGCCGTGGCTCCTCCAGGTTAGTGGTGCACACAGCGCTTGCCACACCGCCCACTGCCTCACTCCGTGCTGTGCCTGGTGCTGCGTGGGTCCTGAGGCTCCTGCTCCTGACCCTGGTGCCGCTGGGACAGAGTCCAGGTGGGAGGGCAGTGTGTGGTGTGTGTGTGGCCAGTCCCCAGGGACAGGACGCCCGAGGGAACAAAGCCCCCACCCCTTGGCCAGGGCTAGAAGGGCCCCGAGAGAGCAGCAGCCGCAGTTCACAGAGTAGGGAAACTGAGGCAGAGCAGGCTCAGGTCTTGTGTGTTGGGCCTGGACACCTGGCAGGAAGGCAGCCCCAAGGGCCGCTGTTGGGTGGGAACGTGGGGCCAGCTTGGCACTCCTGAGCTGCCTCAGGCCTGGCCTGTCTAGGCCTCAGTGGACCGGCCAGCCTAATGCCTGGGCTGCTGGCCTGGGCCCTATCTGTTAAACGAATGGAGGAGGCAGGAGCTGGGTCCATGGTCTCCCTGCCAGGGAAGCCGCAGGTGGAGGGAAGGCAGAGGGCGGCAGGGGCTTCACCCTGGCCCCTGATGAGGGAGGGGCAGAAAGAATGGGGCGGCACCTGCCACAGGCTGTGTGTGGGACTTTGCTGGCAGCAGCAGGCGCGGTGCCACGGCTTTGGGGACCAGCTGGTCACCAGGAGTCCTGCCATCCCCTGGTGCCTGAGAGAAGCTGGGCCACCCGCCTGGGAGCAGCTCCTGGCAGCACCCCTGTGTCTGGCTGGGGTCAGAACTGGTGACTTTCCAGATTCAAGCCAGCCTCCCTAGGAGGTCAAAAGCACCAGGCATGTAGAGGGGCTTCTGACCCAGCTGGTGGCAGCCTGCTCCCAGGGCACCTGCTCCTGGGTCTAACTTTTGTGGCATGGGGCCGCCCAGCAAGGGGCAGGGTGTGTGGGGTGGGCGCTGCCAGCCACGTGGGACTGTGGTATCCTCATGGAGCTCAGTCACGGTGAGTTCGCAAACAGCACCCCCCGGCCTGTGTCTCCAGAGGCCAGGTCAGCACCAGAGGCCAAGATGGGGAATAAACTGGGCTTTAATGGGGAGGGAGGAGAGGATGAGTTCCCTCCAGGACGGGCTTGTTCTCGGCTGGTGGAGCAGAGGGGAACCAGGGGCCTGGCTGGGCACTGGCGGACTGTGTGCACGAAGGCCGACCAGCCTGGCACAGGGACCAGCTGGAGAGTCACTCGTGACTTTAGAACACGGCATTCAACCGCATGTCCTTGGAGCACCGTATTCTGGTCAACCGGCTGGTCAACGAGCTCCAGGCTTTCTGTAGTTTGTGGTCAACGAGCTCCAGGCTCTCTGCAGTTTCTGGTCAATGAGCTCCAGGCTTTCTGTAGTTTGTAGTATTGTCAGCAGAAAGTTACACTCATTATTTCGAAAGCATGATATACTGATGTATACTATCGGATAAAGCAAATGATTATGTAAGCTTTTTAGGAATCAAAAGTTTCAGGATTAAAGGAGAGAGATGCAAATGTAAAATTAGTGGAATTAAGTAAAAATTTTGCTATGTTAAATTTGACCTTTTCCCAACAGAAGGCATTTCCTTAGCTACCAGCAAGGCCTAGACACAAACGTCTGGACTGTAGTCTCTGACTGCCGTTCCCTTGGGTCCAGGCCTCTGGCGGGAGGGCGGGACCCCTTCCTCTGACTGTTCCCGGGGTCAGGCCATGGGGATGCACAAGGCCACACCGTGAGGCAGGAGTTCGGGTGGGGCAGGGCCGTGGACTGGGGCACCCACCAGTCCTGGAAAACAGGGCTGGGACGCTGCTCTGTGGCCTCAGACAAGCTTGGTGGGCGACATGCTCAAGTGAGCAGGGGCCCCAGGCCACGTCCAACTGTCCGCGAGGCATGTGAGCCTGAGATGGGGCTGGTCTCCTGTCAGAGGCACGTGAGCCTGAGATGGGGCTGGCCTCCTGCCCGGCACACTCGTTTCTGGCCACTCTTTCAGACGTGCATTCCGGGGGCAGAATGTTCTGGGTAAGTTCAGGCCAGACACTGCTGGGCGATGACTGTTACTTCCCCCAGGCTGTGGGGAGGAGGCAGCCTATTCTTCTGAAAATTGTCCAGAAACTTCTGGATTCTGCATGTGGCCCCTGTGCATCTGAATTGGCCCCGCTAAGTAAATGCAACGTGGGTGCACCCAACATTCACAACACACCTTCCTGAGGTTTCTGCATCGGCCACGCCTGTGGGCTCCGGAGCTGGGTCTGGGGAAAAGCTGGTGAGCCACAGACATGAAATGGGGGCCATGGGGCAGGTGGGGGTCTGGGTGGAGACGGTGATGGGAGAGAGGGTTCACCGGCTGAGGGGCTGGTGTGGAGATGACCTGGAAAGTCCCTGCGCTGGGGGGTGAGGCAGGGTCACGGCAGAGCAGCTCCGGGGCCATCCGTCCACGCACTTTCTGTGACACATGCTGATGGACACACAGTAGTGTGCAGGGTGGCAGGTGTCCCCACAGTGGGAGCTGCTCTCCTCCAAGAGCAGCACCAGGAAATGCACGGAACCCATGGGACAGGGCTGGTTCTGGGAGGCTTGTGAACCCTCAGCTCCTCCCAGGAGGGCCCCCTGGGTGGCTGCCCAGACCTCCTATGTGGGCCGGGAGACACTGGCTCTGGGTGAGGCACAGGCACGTGCAGACGGCGTGGGACAGGGGCTTGTTTCCTCCAGTGGAGTCTTTGTTTTTTGTGGGAAACCTCTGGGACCTGCCCTGGAGAGCCTGGCAACTGCAGGGCACTGTGGGGCGGGAGGTGCCTCAGCACGTGGGGCCAGGGGCTGGCTGCACCGCGCTGCACAGATGAGGTCGGCGGTGACCAGGCAGAGGTGACACCAGGGACGGTCTCCTTGAGCTGCAACAACTGGCCCGAGGCTGGGGACCCCACATGGTGATTTCATCCCAAACAGTTCTTGATTCTACGTGACCTGATTTGGGGGGTTCAGGTTTAAGGGAGGCCAGGTCTTGGACGGGCCCCCGTGGTTCTCGGTGTGAAGGGGACGTCTGCTGCTCCCCACCAGACCCGCAGTCCCAGTCTGCCGGGTCATGAGGGGTGGAAGTGCCTGATGAGCGCCTTCTTGTCAATCTTGCCCATCTGGTTCCGCGGGATCTCCTCCACCAGCACCAGCTCCGAGGGCACCGCGTACGGGGCCAGGACATTTCTGCAGAGACAAGCACAGCCTGAGGCGCACTGCCCTGACAGTGCCCAGCAGGAGGAACTCAGGCGCCCAGCAGTACGGACAGGTGCCCCTGGGACCCTGCAGCCTTGCCAGGCGCCTCGGCCATCCTGAGGCCAGGCAGGTGCACCGGGCCACCGCAGCTGTCTCTGCCCTAGCAGCCCAGGGGTGGTGACTGCAGGAGGTGCCCGGCATGGTGTTATCACTGGTACCACAGAAGCCATGGTGCGTGCAGGCCTTGGGCGAGGGCACACCTGAGGATAGGCCTGCACAGAGTGGCCTGCAGGGCAGAGGGGCCCCCACACCGGGCCAGGCCTTCCAAGTCCCCGCACTGGAGCTGGAAGGCCCCATTTCACTCTGTGGCCCGTTCCCCTTCCAGAGGAGGCGTGCGGAAGAGGCTGGGGAGTGGGTGGGCAGGTGGGGCAGGGGCAGTCTGCCCTGTATGGGGTATTTGAGATGGGAGTAAATGCCGCACAGTCCTGCAGACACAAGCCTATGTGGCAAGAGGCCTCACAGAGCCCTGCACGGCAGGGACGGCCCCTAAGGTTTGAAACCTCCACTCAGGGTCCCCCTTCCTCATGGGCGAGAACTCGGTGGGTGGTGCCAGGGCGGTGGGCGGTGCTGACACGGGTGGGTGGGGCCAGGGCACTGCCAATGCAGGCGGGCGGGGCCGAGGGCAGTGGGCAGGGACGAGGCGCTGGGATCTGAAACTGAGACTGCAGTGGTGCTCGGTGCTCCTCCATTCACCATTAAAGAAGGGAGGAAAGAAATGAAATTAACCCCCCAAAGGGAGGATGGTTGTGCCGCCCACCAGTGATGCCCTGAAGGCAGCGGCCGTGGCCCAGGCGCAGGAGGGGCTGGTCCAGGGCGTCCAGGCTGCACTGAGCCATGACAGAAACGAACCTTCATGGCGATTGTTCTGGTTACTGTTCCGCGGAAAAGTCCAGAAACCAAGTGTCGTGGTTTCTTGACGCTTTTTGTGGAGAAAGTGTCGCCTGCCGTCCAGACGCGGCCAGAGACCCAGCACAGTCCCCCTGCCCACCTGCCCCTGCCCGTAGGCCTCTCGCGACAGAGGTGGGAGTCGGCCCAGCCCAGTCTCTCGCTCTCCAGGGGCAACTGGCTTCGACCTCGGTGTCGCTGTCAACCTCGACCTCCACATTTCCAAATCGCATTTTTCTTTTTTTCTCTTTTCTTTCTAGGACAGGATCTCACTGTTGCCTGGGCCAGAGTGCAGTGGTGCAGTCATGGCTCACTGAAGCCTCGACTTCCTGGGCTCAAAGGATCCTCCCGAAGTGCTACAGGTATGCGTCACCTTACCTGGTTCCAATGTTCCTATCAAATTTATTTTGGCACGTATATATTTTATAGTTGTATAAAACTATGACAGGCATTTAAATGGAGATGTAATTTACACCCAGCTGTCCTATGTACAGTGTGGTGAGGGATGTGTAGATTTTTTTTTCTTTTGAGACAGAGGCTTGCCCTGTCGCCCAGGCTGGATTGCAGTGGTGCAGTCTCGGCTTGCCGCAACCTCCGCCTCCCGGGTTCAAGCGATTCTCCTGCCTCAGCCTCCTAACTAGCTGGGACTACAGGCGCATACCACCATGCCTGGCTAATTTTTGTATTTTTAATAGAGACGGGGTTTCACCATGTTGGCCAGGATGGTCTCCAACTCCTGACGTCAGGTGATCTGCCCACCTCGGCCTCCCAAAGTGCTGGGATTACAGGTGTGAGCACCACGCCTGGCCTGTGTGGGAATCTAAAGTTTTATTGAAGCAACTGCCCCCTGCTCTAAGTAGCGCCCAGACTGAAAGGGAACATGGCCAGGTTCCCAGAAGCCCCTCTGCCTGCCTGAGCCACTCCCAACCTCCACGTGTAACCAACGTCTCGGTTTCTAACAGGGGACAAACTCTGTGTTGAATGAGACTGGGTGGCAGTGGTGAGGGCAGGCGCCCCTTCCTGGTCACAGGAGGAAAACGCCCAGCAGCTCCCCATCGAGCAGGATGTCATCTGGTAGCTTTTGAGAGACTCCCTCATCAGGTTCAAGGATTTTCCTTCTTCTCCTAGTTTGCTAAGAGTGCTTGTTATAAAAGGGTTTTGACATTTGCAAATGCTTTTTCTGTATCTATTGAAATGATATGATCTTTCTTCTTCATTCTGTAAATATGGTGAATTACCAGTGGCTCACGCTTGTAATTCCAGGACTTCGGGAGGCCGAGGCGGGAGGATTACTTGAAGTCAGGAGTTCGAGACCAGCTTGGCCAACACGGTGAAACCCCGTCTCTAATAAAAATACAAAAATTAGCTGTGCATGGTGGTGCGCACCTGTAATCCCAGCTACTCAGGAGGCTGAGGCAGGAGAATCACTTGAACCTGGGAGCTGGAGGTTGCAGTGAGCGGAGATCGTGCCACTGCACTCCAGCCTGGGCGACAGAGCGAGACTCCATCCAAAAAAAAAAAAAATATATGGTGAATTACACAGACTGATTTTTGAATATGAAAGTAACCCTCTATTCCTGGCTTAAATGCTGCTTGATCATGACGTGTTGTCTTTTTGTGCATTAACTGGATTTAATTTGCTAACGTTTTGTTTAGGATTTTGTGTGTCTGCCCATTGGGAACACTGTCCTCTCGTTTTCTTGTCTGGTTTTGATTTCAGGGTAGTGCTGGTCCCATACGGGGAGTTAGGAAGTGTTCCTCCCCACTCTGTTTCATCAGAGACTTACTTTGCTGTGTCTGGTTTTATTTTTTGCCTTCAATGTTTGAGATAATTTATCAGTGAAGCCTTTTGGGCCTGCTATTTGCTTTGCAGTTTTAAATTGGTAACTCAGAACTGTTCAGTCTGTTTCAGTGTTTGCGTCAGTCTTGGCAATTTGTGTCTTTTAAGGGAGTTATCTGTTTCATCTGAACTGCTGACTTCACTGGATACAGCAGCCCTCCGTGCCGCCATCCTGCCCGTCAGAGCCCGCATGCCTGAGGCGAGGTTTCGTTTCCTTCCGATATTTAGAATGCTGTTTTCTCTCCTCTTGGTTGGGTGTTCTTTCAACCTGAAAACTCATGACCTTTGGTTTGGGGAAATTTGACTGTGAATTTCCTCCCTGGATATCTTCTTGTTGGAACTCCCATTAGACAGTTGGAACATTTGGATTAATCCTCTAACTTACTTCCTCCTGCCTCCCTTCCTGTTCTTCTTTCTTTCATGGTGAATGGACAAGCACTGCAGTCTCAGCCTGAGCCGGGCACAGCAAGCAGGACTCAGGGCTGCAGGGGAGGTAGCTGTGGGCCAGGTACAGCAAGTGGCCTGGACAGCAAGGGCCTGGCTCCAGGGCTCCTGCAGGACTGGCGGAGTCCTGGGCTGTGACCGCATGGCTGGTGGCCTTCCCTGCCCAGTCCTGTCCCTCACAGGCGGCTTCTCCTCAGCGGGCCCTCAAGTGCCCTGCACGCAGCTTCCCGTCTTAGGGTCTTGTCACAGCCACTGTCATAGCCCAAACAATGCTGGGTGAGGAGCCTGATGTGAGAGATGCACAGAGCAGGAGCAGGCGGCCTGGTGTCCCTGGGCAGGGGCGGCCTGGTGTCCCCACGCAGAGGGCAGCCCTGAGGACAGCCAAGGGCTGAGGAGCATCGGGACTTCAGTTCCTGCCAACTCGGACCCTGAAACTCTAGCACAGCTCTCAGCCCTCGACACCTATCTTTTCTTCTCAAGGTAACTGTTTAATGAAAGCAGCAGCTGCTGCTGAGTGGCAGTGCTCCCGCTGTGTTGTGCAAGCCCAGGCATGTGTGGTGCCCTGATGCTGCCCTGATCAAGCAAGCGTTTCTGCTGTCTGTGGAGTCACATCGGACAAGCCAAAAATATCTTCAGTGCTCAGGAGACGGCAAGTCAGGGTGGAGGCAGGAGGGTGCGTCCAGAGAGGGAACAGAACAGAGACAAATGCTCGGTCTTAAATAATTTGCTGTAGGTGAGCTCTTCCTCCTGCTCCACCATGTGGGACATGCCTGCCTCCCCTTCTGTCATGACTGTAAGTTTCCTGAGGCCTCCCCAGCCATGCTTCCTTATAGCCTGTGGAACTGTGAGCCACTTAAACCTCTTTTCTTTATAAATTACCATCTTGGGTAGTTCCTTATGAAAGCAACAGGAAGCAGTCAAATGCCCAGATAGACAGGGGTGGGTCCCTGGTGAAACCCCACCTTCAAGCCAAAAACAGCCTGAAACCTGCAGCCTGGAGTGAGAACTTCTATTCCTGTTTGCCCACTCTTTCCCACTGGTTCTTTCTGAATAATGCTTTTTAACCAACCAAAGGTTACCTTTTCCAGTGCTACCTACAGCCTGCCCCTCCCCATTCTGTGCCCAGAAAAGCCCTAGACCCAGCCACACCCAACTCTGGGCGGTTCAGCACCCTCGCATACCCTCTCCGCTGAGAGCTGTTTCATTGCTCAATAAAATTCTTCTCCACTCTCCTCACCCTTTGAATTGTCAGTGTAACCTCATTCTTCTTGGACGCGGGACAAGAACTTGGGAACCGATGAATGCAGGTATAAGCTATAACACAGGTGGGCTGAGCCAGTGCATAAGCCAAGCATGGCCCAGTGGGTCGAGTGTGTGGGTGCCTTCTGTGGCAGGCCTGGGTTGGGGGTGTCACCAGCCACGGAGGTCCCCGGTTGGCAAAGTGGCTGAGAAAAATCTGGCTTCATTTATAGCAATGCAAGACTGGACTAACACAGAAAACTGGTACAGGGAAGTGGGGCACTGCTGTTAAGACATCTGGAAATGTGGAAGCAGCTTTGGAACTGGGTAACAGGCAGAGGCTGGAACGATTTGGAGAGCTCGGAAGAAGACAGGAAGATGAGGGAAAGTTTGGAACTTCCTAAAGACTTGTTAAATTGTTGTGACTAAAATGCTAATAGCGATATGGACAATGAAGTCCAGGCTGAGGTAGACTCGGAGGGAGATGAGGAACTTATTGGGAACTGGAGCAAAGATTGCTTTTGTTAAGCATGAGCAAAGAGATGACCTGAAACCGGAACTTAGATTTAAAAGGTAAGCAGAGCATAAAATTTGGAAAATTTGCAGCCTGATCACATGGTAGAAAACAAACAAACAAACAATTTTCTGGGGAGGAATTCAAGCTGGCTGCAGAAATGTGCGTAAGTAAAGAGGAGCTGAATATTAATCGCCAAGACAATGAGGAAAATGTCTCTAGGCGTGTCAGAGACCTTCATGGAAGTGCCTCTCATCATAGGCCTGGAGGCCTCGGAGGGAAGAATGGTTTTGTGGGCCACTGCCCTGAGGGACACTGGCCCCTGCATCCCTGTTGCTCTGGGGCTAAAAGGGCTCCAGATAGAGCTCAGGCCACTGCTCCAGGGCAGTGAAGAGGAGAAAGATGGGGTTGGAGCCCCCACACAGAGTCCCCAGTGGGGCCCTGGCTACTGCAGCTGTGAGAAGAGGGCCACCGTTCTCCAGACCCCAGAATAACCCACCGACAGCTTGCACTGTGTGGTGCACCTAGAAAAGTTGCAGGCACACAACAGCAGCCTATGAAAGCAGCATGGGGGCTGTACCCTACAGAGCCACAGGAGCAGAGATACCCATGGCCTTGGGAGCCACCTCCATGCATCAGTGTAGCCTGGATGTGAGACATGGGTCTTAGGAGATTATTTTGGGGCTTTAAGATTTATTGGGCTGGGTGGGGTTGCTCACGCCTGTAATTCCAGCATTTTGGGAATCTGAGGCAGGTGGATCACTTGAGGTCAGGAGTTCGAGACCAGCCTGGACAACATGGCAAAACCCCATCTCTACTAAAAAATACAAAAATTAGCTGGGTGTGGTGGTGCATGCCTATAGTCCCAGCTACTTAGGGAGGCTGAGGTAGGAGAATTGCTTGCAGGCAGAGGCTATAGTAAGCTGAGATCATGCCACTGCACTCCAGCCTGGGCATCAGAGCAAGACCCCGTCTCAAAAAAAAAAAAAAAAAAAAACCAAAAAAGAAGAAACCAAAAAACAATTCAGTGACTGCCTTGCTAGGTTTTGGACCTGCCTGGGGCTCGCAGCCCCTTTGTTTTGGCTGGCGGCTCTCTTTTGGCACTGGTGTATTTACCCAATGCCTGCACCCCCACTGTATCTGGGAAGTAACTTGTCTTTGATTTTACAGGCTCATAGGTGAAAAGGACTTGCCTTGTCTCAGACGAGACTTTGGACTGTGGACTTCTGAATTAATGCTGAAATGAGTGAAGACTTGGGGGACTGTTGGGAAGTAGGATTGTATTTTGCAATGTAAAAAGGACGTAAGATTTGGGAGGGGCCAGGGAGGAACGATATGGTTTGGATCTGTGTCCCCACCCAAATCTCATGTTGAATTGTGATCCCCGCTGTTGGAGGAGCGACCTGGTGGGAGGTGACTGCATCACAGGGGTGGATTTTCCCCTTGCTGTTCTCGTGCTAGTGAGTGAGTTCTCACAAGACCTGCATGTTTGAGAGTGCGTGGCACCTCCCTCTCCCATCGCTCTGTGGCTCCTCCCACCCCCTCCTCGCTCTGTGGCCCCTCCCCCCCCCCCCGCTCACTCTGTGACCCCTCCCTCCTCCCTCACTCACTCTGTGGACCCTCCCTCCTCCCTCACTCACTCTGTGACCCCTCCCTCCTCCCTCACTCACTCTGTGACCCCTCCCTCCTCCCTCACTCACTCTGTGACCCCTCCCTCCTCCCTCACTCACTCTGTGGCCCCTCCCCCGCTCACTCTGTGGCCCCTCCCCCCCTTGCTCACTCTGTGACCCCTCCCTCCTCCCTCACTCACACTGTGGCCCCTCCCTCCTCCCTCACTCACTCTGTGACCCCTCCCTCCTCCCTCACTCACTCTGTGGACCCTCCCTCCTCTCTCACTCACTCTGTGGACCCTCCCTCCCTCTGTGGACCCTCCCTCCTCCCTCACTCACTCTGTGGCTCCTCCCTCCTCCCTCCTGCTCCGGCCATGTAGGATGTGCCTGTTTCCCCTTTGCCTTCTGCCATGACTGTAAGTTTCCTGAGGCCTCCCCAGCCACGCTTCCTGTATAGCCTGTGGAACCATGAGCCAATTATACCCCGTTTCTTTATAAATTAAAAAAACAAAAGAAATTACTGTAGGTGAAACTAAAAGCTTCCTTTCTGAGCTCAGCCTGGCTCTGCCCTGACGGTCCTATGGGATACCCTTCCGTCCTGACGGCCTTTGACAAGGCCATAGCTCAGGTTCAGCCCTGGGCGTGACCACCACCACTGCTGGCAAAAGTGGAGGGTCTGTGGATCCCATGCATCAGAAACCACTGGGGGTGAGACAGGTGGGAGAAAGTCCTTGGGGAAAGGTTCTGGGTAAGGTAAAGGCAAAACAAAAAATGCAGGTGAGTTTAAGGACTGGGTGGTGGCCACCGCTGAGGAACAGGCCCTGCCCTGGACATGGAGGGGAAAGTGAAATGACTGAGGGGATGGTGATGGTGCTGGGGTCTCCGTGGAACTGACTGGAGGTGTGTGAGGCACCTTCAGGACCCACCCCCAGGGCAGGAGAGGGAGAGGCCGTGCAGGTGCCGACGGAGAATGGGTGGGCCTTGCAGTTCTGCTGGGGCCCAGCACTGGCTTTGGGGCGGCAGGTGGACAGGCTGCCTGTGGCCTGGCGGGGAAGGGCCCAGCGCGTGCGGCCAGCTGGTGTCAACCCTGGATCTCAGCTCCATGCACCTCCTGCATGGGCCTGGCCTGGCTCATCCGGGATCTCTCCTGGGACCAGGACGGAACCCACCACAGGCCGTACAGGGCCCTGTCCCAGGAATGTGAGTTTCTGCCCCCTCGGAATATTGCCACCAAGTCAAATCTGAGCACGGCTCCTGCCCCCTGCCCTCGTCTCTACCTGCTGTGTGCGGCCTTCAGGTCTCTAAGGACCCTCACTGCTGGTCTTTCTTGATCCCTCATCTCCACCTCTAAGACGGACGATGCCAATACCTAGGGTGGCCCTCAAGACTGGACCCCCAAGACCCCATGAGTGCTCCCTGCCCGCCCCACCCAGCCCTACCTGGCCCACTCTTTGAGCTCCCTGTGGGACAGTGAGTGTCCTTCTCGGAGGGTCACCACAGCAGTGACCCGCTGGCCCCATGTCATATCCGGAACTCCAATCACAGCCACATCTGCGGATAGAAGAACAGTTTGAGAACATGGGGATGCCTCAGTGACCCTTACAGGCCGAAGAGTGCCTGGACACACAGGAAGAGCGCAGTCTGGCCGCAGCCCTGGAGCCCGTCCTTGGACAGGCCCCACTCCAATCACTCGTCCTGGTGCTGGCTGGGCCTGTGGGGAGGGGAGTGAGGACGGGCTCCCCACGGTGGATCTGGGGACTGGGCACTCACAGGGGCTCTGCCTTCCCGCCCCTTGGCTCTCTGCACTCTCCCTGCCACCTTCCTGCAGGGGAATCATGCAGATGGGAGCTGCGCCCGGCCAGGCCTGGGAGCTCTGGTGGGCACGGGGTCAGTGGCTCCAACACCGAGCAGGCTGCACCCCCACTAGCCCCATGTTCCCTGGCCAGGGCAGGGACCAGAGGTGAGCATCACAGGGACCCCTGCAGGCAGCTGGGACGGCGTCGACTCATCTGCAGTCGTCTAAAACTCAAACATGGAAGGCAGCACCCGTCTAGCCTGGCCTCCCTGGCCCAAGTCCGGCCACGCACCTGTGATGCTGGGGTGGGCCAGCAGGTGCCACTCCACCTCCAGGGCGCTGACCTTGTAGCCTCCAGTCTTGATGATGTCCACTGAGGTCCGGCCTCGGATCCAGTACTGGCCATCCTTAAACACCACGGTGTCCCCTGAGGAAAAGGGGCTCTGGTTAACTGGCCATCCTTAAACACCACGGTGTCCCCTGAGGAAAAGGGGCTCTGGTTAACTGGCCGTCCTTAAACACCACGGTGTCCTCTGAGGAAAGGGGGCTCTGGTTACTACCCTGTGGCAACCCCAACGGAGAAACAGCTATGCCAGGTAAGCCCACATTCCTGGTGGTCACGACGTGCGTCCCAAGGTGGGACTGTGCCCATGATGTGGGGTCTGCCCTTCCTGTGGGGTCCCTTCCCCATGCTCAGCTGTATGCACTTCCTCCAGGGGCAGGTCAGCAGTGGGTCCAGAGCCTGCCAGGAGCAGGAGGTGCCAGAAGCCCTGCTGGGCCTGTGGTCTGCAGACACCCTGCATTAGGAAGCCGGCTCAGGCCCTGTTTCTGTGACAGTGATTGATAACCACTGGCCATGGGTGGGATGCGTGGCCTTTTCTGAGCAACAAGCACAGGGTCTGATGCTTTACCCTCCCTCAGGATGGGTGCCAGGGTGTGCTGGGCCTCCTGGCTGTGCTGCTACTGCTGCAAGGGCCCCCAGACGGAGCCCCTGGGACTGCAGCATAGAGGGGCCGCCCCTCATGCAGGCAGGCTGCTCTGGGAGAGGGGCCGAGGCCCACCAGGCCCTGTCCTGCCATTTCTCTCAGGCCCACAAAAGAATCCAGGCCAAATATTCAGTAAAAGAAGTGAACCAGACACATTACAACATCCCACCACGGTGGGCTCCAGCAGTGAATGCCCAGCCCCTCTGGATGGGAGAGGCACCAAGGCCCACGCAGAGGCCACAGGGAGGGGCTGGTGGCTGAGGAGGACAGGGCCTTTCCTGGGTGCCTGGAGCCTCCTGCTGGTGCCCATCTTGTGCCCTCCACACCTGACCATGCTGGTCCTAGAACAATGGCCGGGGCTGCCCCACGTTTTCCTTCCTAAGGCAAAGCCACGACGTGGCCCTTGCTCCTCCCCGTGCAGTTCCTGGAGCTCCTGTGGGAACCAAGCTTCCTTCGTTTTCTTCCTTTCTCGAGTAGCTCAACACAGACACCACCAGCCACTGAGGGTGGGGAGTCGGGAAGAGCGGGCTGCAGCCTCAGAGCCTGTACTCCCAGCCCGAAGCTGTCTCATGACGCATGGGCCCATAGTGTGCGTGCCTGCGAGCGTGTGTGCAGCTGGGAGGGCGCGGTATGCGTGACTGTGAGCATGTGCACGCACACATGTGTGCCGTGGCTGTGGGAGCATGCAGGGCATGTAAGGGCAGTGCTGAGGCCTCAACTGTCTGCTTCCACATACCCTGCACTCCACATGGGTTATTAGCTGGAATAAATCATAAATACTTCATTATACATCATGCTGTTGGACGCAGAAAGGCCCCATCCATCCACCTCACCACTCCTTGAGACCCATGGCGTGCTCCTCAGTCTATTAAACAAGACGGATGGGTGTGCCCAGGTGGGCTCCAGGCTTATTTATGGAGCTCTGGAACTCTGGAACTCTGTGCTGATGGGTAGCAGAAAAACCAGAGGCTCCCCGACAGGAGAGTGGTCTCACTGCGCCCCTGGGGTAGTCTGGGCGGCTGGAAGGGGGTGTGCAGGTTGGGCTGTGGGCGGGGTTGGACACAGCCTGTCCCAAGTCCCGTGGGACCCGCCATGGCTCCTGCTCCTGCTGTGCAGCCTGGCTTGTGTGTCCCCTCTGGACCAGACAGCCACCAATCTTCCAATAGCATCTCTTAATCGCACCGAGCCACCCCGTCCAGGCTGCTCCTGCCCCACGGATGCCACAGCTGCTGACACCAGGGAGGCTGCCAGGTGCTCAGGGCCCTCCATACAGCTTCTGGCCTGGCTCCACCCTGGCCTGCACCACCCAGAGACCCAGCGCAGCATGGAGCCACTGCCCTGCTCTGGTCCTGCCGGAGAGGCCATCACTGCCTGCCCCCAAGGCTGACAAGTCCCCGGCACCCTCTTGAGCTGCCTGTGTCCTGGCTCCAAGGATGCACCACAGTTACTCACGGGGCTGAGGCTGCACCACAGCTACGCACGGGGCTGAGACTGCACCAAAGCTACGCACGGCACTGAGGATGTACCACCGTTACACACCAGGCTGATGCTGGGAGAAACTGGGGGGACGGCACAAGGAACCCCTGTGTGTTATTTCTAATTTCCTGCGAATCTTTTTTATAAGTTTTAAAATGTTGCTTTTTGGTTTATGGAGCAATTTTCTTCCCCATCTCCAGCAGCACCAGCCCCGAGTGGGCTCATGACATGGTGAGTCACGCCAACGTCGGCAATGGATTATGATCGCGCAATAACTTGTTAAAGAACAAACTCACATGAGCTTAATTTATGAATACAAGGAATGAGTGCCCTTCACAGGAGAGGCCCATCAATGGCTGATTAGATGCAAGACCCAACCTCTCCGCCCACTGCGAGACCCCGTCTCCTTAGGTGTGGGTGTGTCTGCAGGTGTGGGTGTGTCTGCAGGTGTGGGTGTCTCTGTAGGTGTGGGTGTGTCTCTGCAGGTGTGGGTGTGTCTATAGGTGTGGCTGTGTCTCTGCAGGTGTGCCTGTATCTCTGCAGGTGAGGGTGTCTCTGCAGGTGTGGCTCTGTCTGCAGGTGTGGGTGTGCCTGCAGGTGTAGGTGTCTGCAGGTGTGGGTGTGTCTGCAGGTGTGGCTGTGTCTCTGCAGGTGTGGGTGTGTCTGCAGGTGTGGGTGTGTCTGCAGGTGTGGGTGTGTCTGCAGGTGTGGGTATGTCTCTGCAGGCGTGGCTGTGTCTCTGCAGATGTGTTATATCTCAGCAGGTGTGGGTGTGTATCCCCAGAGGTCGAAGCCCTGGTGCTGAGATCTCCCAGGAGTGGTGGCACTGAGTATCTGCCCATCCTCTCTGGCTCTGGGCTGTTTCTGGCATGGTCAGGCCCTGAGACCCTGCTGTAGGCCTTGTTTGGGGGTCTCTCCCTGCCTGGGCCTGGCTGCCTCTGCCCCGAGATGCTTCTTCCAGAGCCAGTGCTCAGGAAGGACTGGTGGGGGCAGCTTGGGGAGTTGTCCATTCCCTGGGCCCCAGGCCCCAAATCCCTGCTTCTCAGTGATAGCCCTGCCTGGCCTCCAACCCCAGGGTCGTCACAGGCCCCAGCTGCCTGCTGTGCTGCACGCACGGTTTCCACTGAGCCATGCGGAGGGAAGAACCGTAGGGGTCGGCGCGCAACATGGTGCCATTCCCAGGGCCCCAGGCTTCTGTGCCGGAGAAAGTGGCAGCTATACCTGTCGGAAAAAGGCTGTGTCTGAGACTCCCCCAGCAGCACTGGGCGAAGCCAATCAGTGCAGGACTGAGACCTGTCTCTGTGATGGACGCCTGTCTCGGGGATGATTCTGAGAGGTGCTTCTGTGCCCAGAACTTGTGCGTGGCATGAGGGGACCCTCAGTGCTCAGAGCACGTGTGTGGCGTGCAGGGCCCTCAGTGCATGGTGGCAGTCGTGTGTCCTTCCCACCCTGGGCATCAGAAGGTGGTGCCGCTCTCAGCCCAGCCAGCACCACAGGGCCGGCTCCCCACTCCAGTGTCAGAATCCCCATCCTCACTGCTGCCTGGAGCTCCTTCCAGGGGTAGGGAGAGACTTCCCACTGCCCACAGAGGAAAGCCCAAGTCCCACATGCGTCTCCCGGGCCTGGATGCCTTTGCCCGGACGCCTTGGCCTGGACGTTCCTGGCATCTTCCTGGCAAAGGCCCCCTCTAGGCCGGGGCCCTCCAGGGTCCATCCTGCTGCACAAACATGGCCCCTCTGCCCCAGTACCCCTGCTCCACCTCCTCTGGCCAGTGTCTTGTCTGCAAGGCCTGGGCACCCCCACCCAAAGGGGCGGCCCCGCTGCTTCCCTCCCAGCCCTGAGCTTGCCCCTTGGAACATGTCAGGCTTTGTTCTAGCTTCTCAGCACAGAGCAGTCTCAGCTCCGAGGGTCGACATCTCCCTGCCCATTCCCAGACTACTCAGCGCCCGCCTCACCCGCCTTGCTGTGCCTTTGCCAAGGGGAAAAGTGGCTGGTTTTGTTCTTCCAGGCTGGGACGCTGCTATCAAGGGCTCAGAGGCATCGGAGCCAGGGTTTAAACAAAGTCTCAGCCAAGCAAGAGCGGGTCGGACACCCCGCGGGAGGAGGTCCTGCGGCAGCGAGGGCGACTCAGAAGGTTCAGAGGGCTCCAGGGCAACTTGCGATCACTGTGAAATGCAAGTCAAACAAGTTAAATAACCTTTACTTTCCATAACAACCTATTTATCAAAATGCATCGATTCTGGAATCGGAGTCGGCTGCCAATGGGCTGTGTATGTCCTCGGCCTGATGTGTTCATTAAAGGAGTTTTCTTCTGACAGATACAATGTAGCAATCAATAAACTCCTATTACCTGGATTTATGAGCTGCTTTTGAATTTGGTGCTATTTCATGTCTCTGCCTTCCACTGTAACTGAAAATAAATCTTCCAATACTCAGATTTGAATTCTCTAGAGTGTAGGTGGAGTGAGGTGCTGTGGTCCCCAGTCCCCCAGCGAGAACTTGTCTGTGGGCCTCGGAGGAAGCACTCCTGGCCGGGGGGATGTCCTGACCCGCACGCAAGATAAGAACAGCGCCTGTTCTGCTGTGCAGATGTGGTTCCCGAGCCTGGATCTGGAGTGACACCAGCACCCAAAGCGCGATCCCAGGAAACAAGGTGAAGAGAGGCCCAGACCCAGCCTGTCGGACTTTTGCTCCCAAATGGCACTGATGCCAGCAACAGAATGTGAAGCTTGGCCCCAGTCCTTGAGGAAAGTGCCGAGGGAAGCCCAAGGCCCTGCCCAAGGACCCCGCCCAAGCCGATGCCCTGAGATCTCTGCCCCCAAGTTCTCAGCCTCCAAGCCTGGAACAGGTGCCCGTGTGTGTGTACAGAGAGGCCAAGCCTGGAACAGGTGCCTGTGTGTGTACAGAGGCAGCTGGAAACCAAGTTACGTGAAAGCCTCCACCAGTTACCCCGGGGCACCTGGCCAGGGGAGGTGGCTGCAGGGAGGACAGACTGAGGCTCAGAGGGGCAGTGGGGAAGGCGGCCTCCATTGCGGCCAGGCACAGGCCACCGCCCAGCAGGAGGGAAGGTGCTGGAAGCTCAGGTGCCCGTGGACACTGGAGGCTTCTGCACCTGGACCCCAGTGCCATCCAGGTCTCCTCTGTGGGCCAAGGGTGAAAGAGGCTTCTTGAAGGCAGAGGGAGTCCCAGTGACGGCCTGAGACCCAACTCCCTGACCTGGGCTCAGCGCTCACCCGGCAGCTCCGTGACCTTGGCTCCGTCCTCAGCTGGTGGCTCCTCAACCTGGGCTCAGGGGTCTGGGGACAGAGGACACCCTGTACGTTAAAAAGAGGGGGTCATGGTTGGGTGCGGTGGCTCATGCCTGTAATTCCAGCACTTTGGGACGCTGAGGTGGGGAGATCACGAGGTCAGGAGATCGAGACCATCCTGGCCAACATGGTGAAACCCCGTCTCTACTAAAAATACAAAAATCAGCCAGGTGTGGTGGTGGGCGCCTGTAATCCCAGCTACTCTCGGGAGGCTGAAGCAGGAGAATTGCTTGAACCCGGAAGGCGGAGGTTGCACTGAGCCGAGATGGCGCCACTGCACTCCAGTCTGGCGACAGAGCAAGACTCTGTCTCGAAAAAAAAAAAAAAAAAAACAGAAAAAAAAAGGAGGGGGTCACCAAGTGCCAGGATTCAGCACGGCTGTGGCAGCAGCAAATCTGAAGGCCAGAAAATGATAGAGAAGCGACTTCTAACCCTGAACCCTATACGCAGCCAAACCGACAAGCAAGGCTGAGGGCAGAACGAAGACCCGGAGAGACACGCAAGTCTCCAAGTACGGACCCTACACACCCGCCTCAGGAAGCCCCAGGGGAAAGCAGTCCCCACAGCTGGGGGCGGAAGAGGGAAGACGAGGATGCTGTGGGCTGGGAGCCGACGTCCTGACCCGGTAGGAGGGAAGGGGTGGTGGTGATGGGGAAGGAGGCGCCATGGGGAGACCAGCCCAGCCCACGAGGAATTGGCACCAGGAGACCAAGAAAACCAAGACTTTCCCGACTCTGGAAAACAAAGAAAGAGGAAAAACCTCAGTGTCTCCTGGGCTCAGTTCTCAGCGGCGACTCCATAGTCTCAATAGTGCAGATGCCATACGGGACTGAGCCGGGCCGTGCCTGAGGAGGGGCCTCCTCTGCGGGACTCAAGCCATGGCAGCAAAAAGGAGCCTGGAGGTGGCGGTGCTGGCGGCCCTCGGGATGCGGGGACCGCACAGAAGCAGCAGCCGGCGAGTCTGGGGAAGGGGCACGGCTGTGATTCTTCTTCTCAAACTGCTACAACTACTTGGGTGTTTAAGCCACAGGTGTGTAACTTTGGCTTAAAAATAAAAATGTAAAAACACTCAGCCTCTGCCCAGAGTCCTCATGTGTTTTCTAGGGAACCCAGGCTAAGACACATCTGAAGACCATGGCCGCCTCGTGGGCCTGGTGGCCCTGCAGGCTGCACAGAAGGGCATCTTGCAGGAGGGCTGGGGCACCCTCCTCAGCATGGCCCATCAGTCAGCTTGGCACCTGCAGGCAGCAAAACATGGTCCCTCTCAGGAGCTGTCAGCGTGGACATATGGCTCTGAGAAGGGAAGAGAGGGGCTTCACAGCACAGCCTGGCTGAGCGTGGCAGGCCCAGCGAGGTCCCTCTGCCGGATGAAAGGGGCTGGGGCAAGCATGGCCATTTCGGCACCTGTCATCCCCGCGATCGGCTCTGACCTTGGTCGGCACCCTTGGCGCAGAGGCTGGCACCAGCCAGACGAGCCTTGGTTGGGTCTTGGGGCCCCACCAGGAGGCCTGTGTTCCTTCCCTTGCCCCACAGAGATGCCCAGTGTCCTGTGAAGGCAGCATGGCCAGGAGGGTTTTGGTCAATGAGACAAAGGCCCCAGGGCTTCTGAAAAGGTCCCTCCCCTGGACGAGGGGACAGCTACAGGAACAGCCCAGGTGCCCCCACCTGACCTCAAATGTGCCATCAGGCCTGGGGCTCAGCGTCCACCTCGTTACCACAGGGAGAGGCTGTGGGAGGCTGAGAGGCTGTGGGCCGGGACCACGACACTGCCGGTCCCCACTTGGCCTCCACAGTGCCTGCCGGGGAGCTCTGGCGCCACAGGGAATCCCCGGCGGCTGGGGCTGCTGTCCCTCTGATTTTCGCTTCTTGAGGCCAGTGAGTCCCAACTAAGTCACAAGGTCCCTTTAACCCTTTGCCACTGGCCCAGATGTAAGAACCCAACGGCTGAGACCCAGAGGGTTCTGGGGTGCCCAGGGACACATGGAGCCCCAGCTGGGCCCTGGAAGCAGCGGACTCTTGCTCCTACCCCAACACGCCTCAGACAGGGTGACAAGTAAGCTAGTGCCCGGCAGTGGTGCCCATGAGCACGTGGAGGGCCTGGGAGGCTGGGCTGATGTTCAACCTTGGGGGATGGGGCCACCTGGGCCCAGCTCCCTTCTCGCTCCGAGCAGAATTTCTCAGTCTGGGGGTTCTCCAGCCCCCCACTCCCCTCTCCCCATCCTTCCCTGTGAGCTCCTGGTGGTCCTCCTGGGACCTGGGGCTCTTCCCCTCAGTCCTTCCCCGTGAGCTCCTGGTGGTCCTCCCGGGACCTGGGGCTCTTCCCCTCAATCCTTCCCCACGAGCTCCTGGTGGTCCTCCCGAGACCTGGGGCTCTTCCCCTCAATCTTTCCCCGTGAGCTCCTGGTGGTCCTCCCGAGACCTGGGGCTCTTCCCCTCAATCTTTCCCCGTGAGCTCCTGGTGGTCCTCCCGAGACCTGGGGCTCTTCCCCTCAATCCTTCCCCGTGAGCTCCTGGTGGTCCTCCCGGGACCTGGGGCTCTTCCCCTCAATCCTTCCCCGTGAGCTCCTGGTGGTCCTCCCGAGACCCGGGGCTCTTCCCCTCAATCCTTCCCCGTGAGCTCCTGGTGGTCCTCCCGAGACCTGGGGCTCTTCCCCTCAGTCCTTCCCCACAAGCTCCTGGTGGTCCTCCCGGGATCCCTGGCTCTTCTCTAAGGAGTTCGGTTATCAGGTTTCCTCACCCGGCTGGAGCCTAAGACGCCATTCACCCCTGCAGGGATGCCGCCCTGCCCTACCGCCCCTCTCCTGACCCCTGGATGCCCCCAGGAGGGGCTGCTGCTGCTGCTGCTCCCGCATCTGCCCGGCAGAGGTGCCCACCTCCACGTCACCTTCCACTCGCCCCAGGTGGCAAATGTGCGCGTGTGTCTCTGAGCGAGGGCACGTGGAGTCAGAGCATCTGCAGAGATCATTGTGGCCGTCAGAGGAGTTACCTGAGACAGACCTTTGACGTCTGAAGACATCGTTGTGGCCGTCAGAGGAGTTACCTGAGACAGACCTTTGACGTCTGAAGACATCGTTGTGGCCGTCAGAGGAGTTACCTGAAACAGACCTTTGCCATCTCCTTGAGCAGCAGCGGAGACCCCTGGCCTCACAAGCCCGCTGTGTGATCTTGAGGCAGAAGCGGGCTGTAGGCACAGAGGCAGGTGGGGGAGGCAGGAGCGGCTGGCATCAAAGCTGGCAACCTCTCCTCTCATCCTGACCCGGAGGAGGCCGTTGGGGAGCTGCAGGCCGGCCTCGGCCATCCTCAGCTGTGTCCAGCCATCCCTGGCTGTCCCCTGTGCCCGCCGGCTTATGCCAGAATCCGTGTGGCAGGAGGGGCTGGCCAGGGAAAGGGTTAAGTTTAATTTCTCCTGATTTCTATTTAATATCATGCTCTCCCGGCAGGAGCGGCAGCTGTGAGCTGATTGCAGGCTCTCATTATGCAGCAGCATCGCTAATGGCCTGTGACAAAGACATGCGGCTTCCAGGCCTTACCCCCGAGAGCCAATTAAACACACATACTCCCTTCCTGTTTGCAGCACATTACAATGAAATTAAACTGAATTTCAAAATCATTTTCTACTAAAGACATCTCTGTACAATAATTAATGCATGTGATTCCGCCCCGGCTGAAACATGCCTCAGCACTGGCGACTGCGAGTGTTTCCACGCTCGCAGCCCCGCATCTCACACGGCTGCCCTCCCAGCGGCTCCGGGAGCCCCGCGACTCGCAAAATCCACAGGGCTGTGGTTCCTGTGCTTTCAAAGAAGAAAACGTCTTCAGCTTTTACCTGAATTTAAAAATACAAGAACCGGCCAGACGCAGTGGCTGACGCCTGCAATCCCAGCACTGTGGGAGGCCGAGGCGGGCGGATCACCTGAGGCCAGGAGCTCGAGACCAGCCTGGCCAACATGGCAAAACCCTGTCTTTACTAAAAATACAAAAATTAGCCGGGCGTGGTGGCGGGCGCCTGTAATCCCAGCTACTTGGGAGGCTGAGGCAGGAGAATTGCTTGAACCCGAGAGGCAGAGGTTGCAGTGAGCTGAGATCGTGCCACTGCACTGCAGACTGGGCGACAGAGCGAGACTCCGTCTCAAAAATAACTAACTAAATAAATAAAACAACTGCAGCGTGAGTCGGATTGGGGTCGGGGCATTCAGAGGGCACTGGAGGGATGCTCAGAGCAAGACCTGCTCAAGTCCGGTTCCTGTAATTCTGCATTTGAAGGGAAGTCATGGACAGGCTGTTTCCCCAGATCAGCATGCGCTAATGGGGATGTATAAAAAAGATAAATTGGGAGGGAGTGTTTGATGTGCTGACCACGTCCTGTCACAGAGAGGCTTCTAGGGCCCCAGCCCTGGGTCCTCTGCTGATGTCCAGCCCACGAAGGTGCCTCCCAGGGTACCTTGGGAAGCCTATGAGATGCTGCGTGGGGCACTGGCCTCTGCTCTAGGGGCTCACGGAGCCTTCACTTTGCAAACGTGCGGAACTGCCACACACCTAGCACACCTGCCTCACAGCAGCACATGCTCCAGGGCCTCTGGGACCCACAGGATCAGGCCATGAGGCGGAGAGGCTGCAGGCCAACATTGCCCCTTCCAGCATCCCTCAAGGAGCCCATCCCGCCTGCACGCTGCAGCCCCCCGCTCTGCTCCCTGTGGAAGGGCATGGGGCAGATGCGTTTCTGATTTTGGGCCAGCAGATTCTGATGCATGAAAATGGGCCTCTTTTTTTTGGAAAATATTACTTAAAGGTTATTATAAAATAATGATGTTCAGCATAAAATATAGACAGGCCAAAAAAAAAAAAAAAAAAACCAGGAAAAGAAAAACCACCGCAATCTCACCACCCAGGGGTCAGGAGCAACGTGCACATCTTCCGGATAAATACACTACAGTGAGTACCTGCAGCCACACAACCACGTGTGTCCACTCTCCAAATGTCCACCCACGCACGTCTGCTATCCAAATATCCATGGACATACGTCCACTATCCAAATGTCCATCTGAGAGACAGGACTAGCTGGATTTCCTAGGCCGACTAAGAATCCCTAAGCCTAGCTGGGAAGGTGACCACATCCACCTTTAAGCAGGGGGCTTGCAACTTAGCTCACACCCGACCAGTCAGGTAGTAAAGCGAGCTCACTAAAATGCTAATTAGGCTAAAACAGGAGGTAAACAATAGCCAATCATCTATCTCCTCAGAGCACAGCAGGAGGGACAATGATCGGGATATAAACCTGGCAACGGCTGCCCTCTCTGGGTCCCCTCCCTTTGTATGGGAGCTCTGTTTTCACTCTATTAAATCTTGCAACTACACTCTCTTCTGGTCCGTGGTAGTTACGGCTCAAGTTGAGCTTTCGCTCGCCGTCCACCACTGCTGCTTGCCGCCGTTGCAGACCCGCCGCTGACTTCTATTCCTCCGGATCCCGCAGGGTGTCCACTGTGCTCCTGATCCAGCGAGGCACCCACTGCCACTCCCGACTGGCCTAAAGGCTCGCCATTGTTCCTGCACGGCTAAGCACCCACGTTCATCCTAATCAAGCTGAACACTAGTCACTGGGTTCCATGGTTCTTTTCTGTGGCCCACGGCTTCTAATAGAGCTATAACACTTACCGCATGGCCCAAGATTCCATTCCTTGGAATCCATAAGGCCAAGAACCCCAGGTCAGAGAACACGACGCTTGCCACCATCTTGGAAGCAGCCTGCCGCCATTTTGGAAGCTGCCCGCTACCATCTTGGGAGCTCTGGGAGCAAGGACCCCCTAGTAACACATCCACATACGTCCGCTATCCAAATGTCCATCCATATACGTCCACTATCCAAATGTCGAAATATCCACTGTCCAAATACGCCCCATGGGGCGGGATGTGGGATCCTGGGACCAAGCCAGCTTCTCACAAAGGAGGGGGGTCAGGCAGCAGCAGCTCAGGGCAGGCTCAGGGAGAGCAGGAGGGTGGCAGTGGGGGCTGCCAGCAGGCTCCAGGGGCGCCGCCGTCTCTCCTGACCGCCACAGGCTTCCTGGGCCACCTCAATCAGGTGGGCAGGTTCCCACTCACCCACAGGCCTGTTCTGGCAGGCAGAGAGAATGTGCTAATTTGTGGAACAGTAAACAAACAGCCGCACTGCAAACCAACCGCACTGCGTCAGCTGACTTCTGACTCTGGTGGGGAGAAGGATGTGGAGGGCACAAGTGTGGCTAAGCGTGGGGGTGGTGAGGTCTCTGGGTACAGGGGTACACCTCGGAGGTGGAGGGTGCCCCAGCCCACGAGGGGCAGCAGGGCCACCAGGAAGGGCTGCGTGGGGCCCGGCGTCTGTGGTCAGGGTGCGTGCGTGCCGGAGCGGCTGTCGCGCTGAGGGACAGTGTAGAAGCCTTGTCATGGGGCACTGGGGCCCCTGGCACTGAGGGACAGGGCCAAGGAGCCCACTCTAGAAGCCGGTGGGGAGGCCGGGTGCTCAGGAGGCAGTGCCGTAACAGTGGCCCCCAGCCCCACTCCACCCCATCTTCTGCCTTTGGCTGAAAATTCTGGGAACTCCCAGCCTCGGTGTCACTCAACGTGGGCAGCAATGAGTTCCTGCCTGTCCCCTCGGGGTCTCCTCCACTCCCATGGGGCTGGGTCCTACCTGTCTTAAACCAGCCATCCAGGGTGAATGCACTCTTAGTTTCTTCTGGTTTATTCCAGTATTCTCGAAACACGGAGGGTCCCCTCACCAGCAGCTCCCCCTCCTTTTCTTCAAACCCTGGGGTCACCTGTGGAGGATGAAGAACATGGAGGTCAGAGCTGGGCACACCCTCTTGGGATTGGTGCTTTCTGAAACTGTGGGCTGCTCCCTGCCCACCCAGGGCCCACCCAGGGCCGCGTGCTTTCTGAAACTGAGCGCTTTGTTGGAATGCTTGGAAAACGCAGCTTTGACAGGTGGAAGCCAACCATGCTGAGCTAAGCATTCCCGCCGTCCTCTGTGGGCCCTGGTGCCCTGGCCGGGAGCTGGGTGTCCTTTCATTCCTCCCAGAACAGCCACAGAAGAACGTGCTCCTACCCCATCCTCTAGACTTGAGCATGTTACCGGCCCAGGCCTCAGCACTCAGAGCCTGGGCTGGATTCAGGCAGCCTGTCCACGTCTAAAACCTGTGCCCAAATCCCATCTTCGGGGGCGTTTCTCAAACCAGGGAACACAGCAGCGGGCACCTGTCCACACCTTGCCCACAGGGGCTGGGGCAGCTTGGAGCGGGCAGCGCCCTCCACAGGGCTGAGTGACCAATTACAAGAGGGAAGACTCCGTGGGAAGGGAAGGTGGGGCCTGAGGGTGGAGGGTCCCTGGAGGCCCCTGTTAAGCATGCAGGCACTGCCATGGCCCCAGGAAACACAGCCTCACTGTTCTTCTATTGTGACCATGGAGAGGGCGGGAGGGAGGCTGGGTTATATGAGCCTGGGCTGGGGGTCCCTGCAGCACCAGGAACAGATGGCACGGGAGGCCCTGGACACGGTGGGTCTGTGAAGACACCGGCCGAGCCCTCGGCTCATAGGTCAGGAGGGTCTGGGGAGGGCAGAGAAGGAGCAGGGGCTTCAGATGAGCAGCTGCCAGCTCCACGACCCTCACTCTTCTCTACTGTGAAAGTGACTGGCTGTGACCCCGGAGGTCAAGGGATGCGTACAAGAGTCTCACTGAGGCTCATCACCTGCCATCTGGAATGGACTTCAGAAAACCAGGGGCCAGGGAAGTAGCTGCGAAATAGCAGAACACACTGATCTGATGTGGAGAAAGGGCGCTCAAACGCCGTGGGGCCAACACTGCCCCATGGCAGCCTCTGCCGAGTGTGTCGTCCTGCTGCCAACCCGCCAGCCTGGGCTCCTCCAGGAGGGGCTGACGCCACCCACGGGGGTGAAACACCTGCCCCACATGATGACGGGGCTGCCAACCCGCCAGCCTGGGCTCCTCCAGGAGGGGCTGACGCCACCCACGGGGGTGAAACACCTGCCCCACATGGTGACGGGGCTTTCCGTGCAGTGCCCAGCCTAACTCCTGGCTGCTCAGAGCCTTGTGTTTGTTTTTTCAAAGAAACCACGGACTTTATCTGAATTTCGTGAATTTTTCCACTGCTGTCCTTTATCTGCTCCACTGACGTGGTCAGACTGGCCACTGGTCAGTACACTTGTGGGACATGTAGAGACAGCAAGGCAAAGGCCCTACAAATAAAATGACAATGAGACCAATCCCAGGGAAGGAGGGTCAGACTTTGTAGAGTTAAGCCAACCAAGTCACAGTAAAACAAACACCTCAACATCTTCACAGAATGTCAACAAGACCAAGAATCTCATCCCTAACATTAAAAATATCCAGGGTACAATACAAAGTTACTCAACACGGGAAAAAACCAGAAAAATAGCAACTCATATAGAAAAAGAATACAACAGCACTGAGACAACACAGTTATTGGAATTATCTGAGAAAGACTTTAAAGCACTATTATAAAAATGCTCCAAAAAGTAAGGGCACACTTTGGGAGGCTGAGGCGGGCAGACTGCTTGAGCTCGGGTGTTTGAGAACAGCCTGGGCAACATGGCAAAACCCTGTCTCTACAAAAAAGATAAAAACTAGCCAGGTGTGGTGGTCAGTGCTTGTAGTCCCAGCTACTTGGGAGGCTGAGGTAGGAGGATCGCTTGAGGTGGAGATTGCAGTGAACCAAGACTGCAGCCCTGCACTTCAGCCTAGGTGACGGAGTGAGACCCTGTCTCAAAAAAAAAAAAAAAAAAAAAAAAGAAAAAGAAAAAGAAAAAGAAAGAAAGGGCAAACACTTGGAAATAAATGGAAAAACAGAAAGTCTCAACAAAGAAATAACAGATATAAAGCAGAACCAAACAATAATTTAAAAACTGAAAAATACAGAAATAAAGAATCTCATGGATTGGTTCAGGAGCAGGACGATGAAGAAACGAACGTGACAACTTGAAGACAGAGCAACAGAAATGACCCAAAATCTGAACAGCAGAGAAAAATCACCAGGAAAGTCAACACACAGAGGGCTAACGTTCATGCTACTGGAGTGACAGAAGAAAAGATAACACTTAGGTGCACAAAGTCGTTTGATAAAATTTGGCTAAAAACCCAAAATTTGGTGAAAACATAAGCCTATAAACTAAAGAAGCTGAGAGAATCCCAAACAGGACAAACCAAAAGATGTCCAAGCCCAGACACATCATAATCCAATCACTGACACACAGAGAGGAACAAGGGTTCCTGCGCCCACTGATTTCTCCACGGAAACAATGGAGGCCGGAAAGAAGTGGAGTTATATTATTAGTAGTATTTTTTTGAGACAGACTCTCATTCTGTCACCCAGGCTGGAGTGCAATGGCATGATCTCGGCTTACTGCAACCTCCACCTCCCAGGTTAAAACAATCCTCCAGCCTCAGCCTCCCAAGTAGCTGGGATTACAGGTGTGTGCCACCATGCCTGGCTAATTTTTGTATTTTTAGTAGAGACAGGGTTTCCCCATGTTGGCCAGGCTGGTCTCAAATTCTTGACCTCAGGTGATCCACTCCCACCTTGGCCTCCCAAAGTGCTGGGACTATAGGCATGAGCTGCCACATCCAGCCAAGAATCATATTTTTAAAGTGCTGAAAGAAAATAGTTGTCAACCCAGAATTCCTAATCCAATGAAAATATCCTTCAGGAAGGAAGATAAAGACATTCTTAGATGAGGAAAAATAAGGTAATTTGTTGCAAGCAGATCTGATCTAAAAGAATTCCTATAGAATGTCCTTCAGACAGAAAGAAACTGGTATCAGAAGGAGACTTGGTATATTGGGAATACAGGAAAAGCAACAGAAGTGGCAAATATTTGGATGAATGAAGTTGAGTTCCTTTCTTCTCAAGTTCTCTGAAATATTTTTGACTGTTGAAAGCAAAAATTACCATTTTGTCTAACGGAGTTTACAACAAATACAGGTATTACACTGACTACACTCTAAAGGCAGAGGGTAAGTAACCGATGTGGAGGCAGGGATGTGGCTCTACATTCTTCTGGAAGTGTTAAAATGTTGACTTTAAGTAGACTGTAAAAAAGGAAGTATGTATATTGTAGTTTCTGGAACTACTACTAAAAAAACTATGCAAAGACATTTATGGTCAAAAACTTAAGAGACAAATTAAAATGGAATATGAAAAAATAACCTCAAAGAAGGCAGTAAAGTTGAGCAATAAAACTCTCAGGGAACAATAGTAAACACATAGTAAAATGGTAGGCTTAAATTCAAGCACATCAATAATTACATTAAATGTAAATGGTCTAAACATACCAATTACAAAGCTTGTCAGGCTGGATTTAAAAAACACACATAATCCAACTGTATGCTGTGTATAAGAAACTTGCTTCAAATACAATTACACAGGTAGGTTGGAAGTAAAGGGATAGAACAATAAATACCATGCAAACTCCAACCGAGAAATTAAAATAGCTATAATAATATCAAAGTAAACTTAAGAGCAAAGAGCATTACCAGAGCATTAAATGTTAATAAGAGTCAATTCACCAATAAGACACAATCATTATAAATGTGAATGTACCAAACAACAGACTTTCAAAATATATGAAGCAAAAACTGAAAGCAGAAACAGGCAGTTATAGTTGGAAAATTCAACCCCTCACTTAGTAACAGAACAAGTGGTGAGAAAACCAGCAAGGATATAGAAGAACTGAACAACACGATCAAACACCTTCATCTAATTTACAGAACAGACATTTCCTAAAACGAGCAGGACACACACTCTTGCTCTGTCAGGCTGGAGTGCGGTGGCATCATCACAGCTCACTGCAGCCTCAAACTCCCAGATTCAGGCGATCTTCCCGCCTCGGCCTCCTGTGTAGCTGGGACCAAAGGCATGTAACACCATGCCCAGCTATTTTTTTTTTTCCAACTTTTTGTAGAGATGGGGTCTCACTATGTTGCTCAGGCTGGGCTCAAACTCCTGGGCAGTGATTCTCCTGCCTTGGCCTCCCAAAGTGTTGGGATTACAGGTGTGAGCCACTGCGCCTGGGCAGAATATATACTCTTTTCAAGTACACCAGAACATTCCTGAAAAGAAACCACATTCTGGGCCACAAAACACAACTTAACAAATTTAAAAGAATTGAAATATACCAAGTGCGTCTTTTGACTGTAATGGACTTAAACTAGAAATCAGTAACAGAAAGATAATGGAAAAATATCCAACTATTTGGAAAATATGTGCTATACTTCTAAATAATCCACAAGTCAAAGAGGAAGTCTTAAGGAACATTAAAAATATTTTGAACTAAATGAAAATAAAAATATATCAAAATTTAGGTCAGGCGTGGTGGCTCATGCCTGTAATCTCAGCACTTTGGGAAGCCGAGGTGGGTGGATCACTTGAGGTCAGGAGTTCGAAACCAGCCTGACCAACATGGTGAAACCCCATCTGTACTAAATACAAAAAATTAGCTGGGCGTGGTGGCGCATGCCTATACTCCCAGCTACTCAGGAGGCTGAGGCAGGAGAATTGCTTGAACCTGGGAGGCTGAGGTTGCAGTGAGCCAAGATCATGCCATTGCACTCCAGCCTGGGCAACGAGAGCGAAACTCCGTCTCAAAAAAAAAAAAAGAAAAAAGAAAAAAATATATATATATTATATATAAATTTGGGGATGCAGCTAAAGCAATGCTTAAGGGCAACGTACGTCATTAAATGTACACATTATAAAGAGGAAAGGTCTCAAATCAATAATCTAAAGCTTCACCTTAAGCAACTAGAAAAAGAGAAAAGCCAGAAGCAAGTAGAAGAAACCAAGAACTAGTGAAACTGAAAACAGAAAAACAGTAAAGAAAAATCAATGTATCCAAAAGTGACTTCTTTGAAAAAAGAGCCATAAAACAGATAAACTTCTAGCAAGGATAACAAAGAAAAAAGAAACAGAAGACACAAATTACCAACATGAGGAATGGGAGCCACATAACTTCAGGCCCTGAAACCATTAAAAGGTTAAGATGGGAATTCCCTTATTAACCTTTTAATCAACCTTTTAATGGTTTCGTGGCCTGAAGGGAAACTCTACATAAAGAAACTTAACAGATTAAATGAACCAATTCCTCAAAAATGATATGTACCAAAAATCACCCAAGATGCAACAGATGACCTGAACAGTCCTATAAGCACTAAAGAAATTGAATTCATAGTTCTTTTTCTTTCAAAAAAGAAACGTTGGTAGGGCACAGTGGCTCACACCTGTAACCCTAGCACTTTGGGAGGCGAGGAGGGAGAATCACTTGAGGCCAGGAGTTCAAGATCAGCCTGGGCAATATAGTGAGACCCCCAACTCTACAAAAATAAAAATAAAAAATTAGCTGGGCATGTTGGCACATGCCTGTGGTCCCAGCTACTTGGGAGGCTGACGCAGGATCACTTGAGCCCAGGAGTTCAAGGCTCCAGTGAGCTATGATTGCACCACTGCACTCCAGCCTGCGTGACAGAACGAGACCTTATCCCCCACACACAAAATAATAATAATAGAAAAGAAAACCTCTAGGCCCAGATGATTTCATTGGTGAATTCCACCAATCATTGAAAGAAGAAATAATACCAATTCTACACAATCTCTTCCAGAAAAAAAAAGAGGAGAGAACACTTCCCAACTCATTTAATGAGGCCAGCATCACCCTCAAACACAACCCAAAGAAAGTACAAAAATGGGAAACTACAGACCAAAATTTCTTATGAATACAGATGCAAAAATACTCAGCAATATGCTAGCAAATCAAATCCAGTACTATATATAAAAAAATGACCCACCAGGACCAAGTGGGGTTTGTCCTGGGAATGAAAGCTTGGTTCAATGTAATCTACCATATTAACAGCCTAATAAAGAAAAGTCCATCAATACCGAAAAGCTTTTTGAAAATATTCAACATACATTTAGTGATAAAAAGTCTAAGCACATTATAGATAGAATGGAATCTGCAAAAAGCCAGTAACTAACACACTTGCTGAAAGACTGAATCCTTTCCCTAAGATCAGAAATAAGAAGGTCCACTCGGACTGCTTCTGTTCAGTATCGTATTGGAAGTCCTAGTCAGGGCTTTGGTCATACAGGTTGGAAAGGAAGAAATAAAACTGTTTGTATTTGCAGAAAACATGATTGTATTTGTAGAAATTCCCAAGAAGTCTATTAAAATCTCCTAAAACTAGTAAGTTAATTTAGCAAGGTAACAACTAAAGTATTTGAGGCCAACACACAAAAATCAATTCTATTTCTACCTACTAGCAATGAACAGTTGAAAACTAACAACAGCAACAAAAACGTGACTGTGTGCAGAGGCTCATGCCTGTAATCTCAGCATCTTGGGAGGCCGAGGCGGGCAGATCACTTGAGGTCAGGAGTTTGAGACCAGCCTGGCCAACATGGTGAAACCCTGCCTCTATTAAAAATACAACAATCAGCCAGGTGTGGTGGCACACATCTGTAATCCCAGCTACTGGGGAGGCTGAGGCATGAGAATCACTTAGACCCAGGAAGTAGAGGTTGCAGTGAGCTGAGATCGTACCACTACACTCCAGCCTGGGCGAAAGGACAAGATTCTGTCTCAAAAAAACAAACAACTCTCCCCCCATACCCACCTGCCATACTTACAATAGTTTAAAAAGGAGAGGAAAAGGAGGAGAAGAAATAGGAGGAATAAAGAAAAGAAGAAACATTTACTTATAAATTTAACACAAGTACAGCATCTATATGCTGAATACAACACAGAAGAAACCAAAGTATATCTAAATGGAGAGACACACCATGTTCACTGATCTAAGTAAATGGAGAGACAGACCGTGTTCACAGATCTATGTAAATGGAGAAACATACCGTGTTCACGGATCTAAGTAAATGGAGAGATATACCGTGTTTGCGGATCTAAGTAAATGGAGAGACATACCGTGTTCACGGATCTACGTAAATGGAGAGACACACCAGGTTCACGGATCTAAGTAAACGGAGAGACACACTGTGTTCACGGATCTAAGTAAACGGAGAGACACACCGTGTTCACGGATCTAAGTAAATGGAGAGACATACCATGTTCATGGATTGGAAGACTCAGCATAGTAATTGTTAATTCTCCCCCAAGTGATCTCCCCGATCAGAATGGCTAAATTCCAATCAACATCTCTCTCTCTCTCTCTCTCTTTTTTTTTTTGAGGCAGTCTCACTCTGTTGCCCAGGCTGGAGTGCAGTGGTGCAGTCTTGGCTCACTTCAACCTCCACCTCCCAGGCTCAAACAATTCTTGTGACTCAGCCTCCCGAGTAGCTGGGATTACAGGCGTGTGCCACCACACCTGGCTAACTGTATTTTCAGTAGAGACAGGGTTTTACCATGTTGGCCAGGCTGGTCTTGAGCTCCTGGTCTCAAGTTGATTAGCCTGCCTTGGCCTCCCAAAATGCTGGGAATACAGGCATGAGCCACTACACCTGGCTTTCCATTCAAGACCTCAAAAGAACTTTTTGTAGATATAGACAAGCTAATTCTTTTTTTTTTTTTTTTGAGACAGAGTTTTGCTCTTGTTGCCCAGGCTGGAGTGCAGTGGCGTGATCTCGGCTCAGTGCAAACTCCGCCTTCTGGTTTCAAGTGATTCTCTTGCCTCAGCCTCCCAAGTAGCTGGGATTACAGGCACCCACTACCATGCCTGGCTAATTTTTGTATTTTTAGTAGAGACGGGTTTCATCATCTTGGTCAGGCTGGTCTTGAACTCCTGACCTCAGGTGATCTGCCCACCTTGGCCTCCCAAAGTGTTGGGATTACAGGTGTGAGCCACCAGGCCCGGCTAGACAAGCTAATTCTAAAATTAATATGTGCACCAAAACAACTCTGAGAAAGAATAAAGCTGGTGAAATCACACTACAATTGTTAAGACCTACTATAAAACCACAACAGTCAAGATAATGTGGTGTCGGTAGAGGAATGGAAACATAGATCAAGGGAACAGAACAGATAACCTGTATGTAGACCCTCTCAAATATGTCCAATTAATCTTTGGCAAAGTGGCAATGGCAATGCAATGCAGAAAGGGTAGTCTTTTCAACAAATATCACACACACATGCAGTGTGCGCACAGGTGTCACATACACATGCAGTGTTGCACACAGGTAACACACACGTATATGCAGTGCGCACATGGGTATCACACACACATGCAGTGTGTGCATATGTGACACACGCAGTGCGTGCACAGTTATCACATACACATGGTATGTGCACAGGTATCACACACATACACGCAGTGCATGCATGGGTATCACACACACAGTGTGCGCATGGGTATCTCACACACATACATACAGTGAGCAGATGGGTAACACACACACATACATGCAGCATGTGCACAGGTAACACACACTCAGTGTGTGCACGGGTATCACACATGCGCAGAGTACGCACGGGTATCACACACATACGCACAGTGCACGCACGGGTAACACACACATGAGCAGTGCACACACAGGTATCACACACATGCAGTGTGCACAGGGGTATCACACACATACATGTAGTGTGCAAACGGGTCTCACACACACATATATGCAGTGTGCACACGCGCCCCCTCGTCCTATGACATCGTCAGGGAGTCCGGCCTGGAGCTCAGCCATATTGACTTCTGGGGTTTCCATCAGGTCTTTTTTTCTGTATTTATGTGTGTAACAGCTGTGCACACACAATGTGTATGTGTGTGTGATACTTGTGTGGACACTGCATGTGTGTGATACCCATGCGCACACTAGGCATGTGTGTGATACCCATGCGCACACTAGGCATGTGTGTGATACCCGTTCATGCACTGCATGTGTGTGATACCAGTGTGCACACTGCGTGCGTGTGATACCTGTGTGTGCACTGCATGTGATACCCATGCGTACTACGTGTGCTATCCGTGTGCACACTGCGTGTATCTGTGATACCCGTGCGCGCACTGCATGTGTGTGTGGTACCTGTGATATGTCACAGGATGTGAGGGAGTGGTAGGAGCCAGCCCCTCAGCGAGGTGATGGAGGAGGCTGAGCCCTGGGCCTGGCAGGCCAGCTGCCACCTGGGGAGGGTCCAGATACTCTGGCCCCGGGGATGATCCTGGGAAGGTGTCCTCCCATCCCCACAGGGCACATTCCTTTCTGCAGGTACTTTCTGTTTCCTGACAAATATGACACCAAGCCTCTTAATTCAGCTCTGAAGGCCTGGCTGATCATCTGCCCAGGAACAGTCATGAGTCACTCCACAGGCCTAGGGATGGCCATTCTCATGACTAGTCCTGAGGGAGACCTTCTGGGGAGGGACGCTGGCCGGGACCCACGCCTCGGCACAGACAAGAGTGGATCGGACAGCCCAGCTGTCGGCCACAGCCTCACTTGAGCCACGTGGATCCGGGACCGTGGTAGTGAGGGGCACCCTCGGGTTCTGGGATGCTGTGGAGAGAAGGGCTACTGCGTGAGACTCAGATGAAAGTACCAAGTGCGTCTGCGAGTGTGAGCGTGGGGTGGGGAGTCCCTTCACATGAGAGAGCAGCAGGTCTCTGATGCTGGGGCTTTTCAGAGTTCACAGCGCCCATCATCACCTGGTTGTCCTGGGGCGCCCACCCACCCCTCTGGGAGCCCTGAATCTCAGGTGTCGGAGGGCACAAACCCTGAGGCCCTCAGGCTGTGCTCCTCCCCACGAAGGGTCTTGGCCCCTGGTGGAGCCAGGCCCCGCAGGGCAGCTGTACTCCACCTGCTGCACCGACTCCTTGGCTGAACTGGAAATGTTCCCGGGCCTGCTGTCAGCAGATGCAAACCCCCCGTACGCTGAGATTTAAGCAGCCCCAGAGCATCTGTGCGGCTTCACCTTGCAGGGTCTGCCTGCATGCCTGTCGCAGAGGCCCCTGTGCGGTGTCTCTGACTGTCAGGGTGCCCAGGTAGCTGAGGCTGCTGCTTCTATTTCAAGACTGCTTCAGGGAAGAAACCAGCAGACACAAATAATTAAAGAAACTCAGGCAGGAGCAATCAGGTGGCGCGGCAGCCAATGCAGGTGTGAAGCAGTTAAGTTTTGTTTTAATTTAAGACAGAAATGCTCCCCACCCCCGCTCCGCCCCTTTCTCTGGCAACATTTCTGCCATTTCCGGCAGAGCAGGTGCTCAGAGGCAGGAGTGTCAGCTGACTGACACCTGGAGAGGGCTGCACAGCCACGGGGCGTCTCACTCCTCCACACGCCACTCACGTTCTGCTCTCTGCTGGGGACATTTCTGACTAGATGGTGTCCCCAACCCAGGCACAGGCTGAGCCCCGTCCCTGCAGACAGGGTTGGAACTGGCTGAGCTGGGAGGTCCTCGAGTTGGGGGCAGGGGCACTGCAGGGCACAGACTTGAGAGCCAGGAAGGGCCGGTGTATTCAGGAACCTGAGATGTGGGGTGTGGCCAGCAGCCTAGTACCAGCAGGGCAGAGGCAGGAATCCCAGGAGAGGCATGTCAGGACAACAGCATGGGCTGGGGCCCTACAGAGGGCAGGGGAGGTGGGTATAGCAAGGGGCAGCCACCCAGGTGGGTTTCAGCAAGTTGCCCCATGGCTCTGTGGGGGCCACAGGGATAACAGCCCACTGCGGGGGGCCCAGGCCAGGCGGGACACACTGTGCGGCCCTCCACACAAGGTGCGGCCACTGCAGGTGGCCCCAGGTGAGAGGTTTCCATGGGGAAACAGAATACCCACTTCAGGGCCACGGGGGATAACAGCCCACTGCGGGTGGCCCAGGCCAGGCGGGACACACTGTGCGGCCCTCCACACAAGGTGCGGCCACTGCAGGTGGCCCCAGGTGAGAGGTTTCCACGGGGAAACAGAATACCCACTTCAGGGCCACGGGGGATAACAGCCCACTGCGGGGGGCCCAGGCCAGGCGGGACACGCCGTGTGGCCCTCCACACAAGGTGCGGCCACTGCACCTTTCAGTGTCATTTAATGACACTGAAAGCCACCCACATCCTACTTGGTTGCTGGAGCTAAAACGTCCAACCACGACCATCGCTCCAACCCTCACGTGGTCATGTGTGGAAACCAAGGTACAAGGAGGGCGTGTGGCTGTTCACTCACGAGAGCAAGGCCCACGGCCCCTCAGCCTCTGCACAGGGAGCTCAGTTGTGCCCGTGAGGGCCAAGATGGTGTCACAGAGAAGGAAATGCACAGAGATGAGACTCAGGATCCCTCGATCTTTGAAAACCTCAGGGCAACACAGTCAATCATGTGTGGTATCAGGTGTGGATACTGGCTTCAGAGAAAATAATTTCCTTTTAAATCAAGATTCCATTTCCCCATAATCCCTAAACCTTTCTCTGTGATGAGTTCACGTGTGATGAGCAGACTCTCATGTTAAAATCCTCACAGAAATGAGACAATGTCCTTTGTTCTTGTTCACCCTTGTCAGCTTTAGAATAACGCACAAGACAAGGAGGCAGCCACAGAGCACTGCACAGGCACCCACCTCCGCGTGCAGGGCCCCGTGAATCTCCCCACACCTACTATGGGGGCCTGTGGTCAGCGTCCCCTCAGGACGGGTGCCAGGGTCAGGCCAGTTCATATTTCTAACCAGATTCCCATCAACAACAACGGCCTCTGCTCTTTATCTCTTCCGCTTAGCCAAGGCCATCATGGCCCACGTCAGCCTGTCCCCGTGGACAGGGCCCCTGGGAGGAGCTGTGTGCCCGGGTGTGAGTCCCTTTGGCGTTCCGCCCTGGGCTCCCTCTGCCCACTGCTCTGTGAACGCACAGACGGACACGCAGCAGGCAGGGCCCAGAACACCAGCCAGTGCCCTTGCAACACCAGCCAGCACCTGCAGTGTCCAGGGGGCTGGTCCCCTGCGTGGAGGGGAGTCTGCCTCCAGGGGAAAGATGCACCAGTGTAACCACCCTGGGGGGCCTAGACTGGACACACGGCCGCCCACCTGCCAAGAGCAGAGTGGCTTACCTTGGTCCCCCTCTCGTCTCCCTCTGCGTGGATGGTGTAGGAGCAGGCTTCCCTCTGTGGGTTTTCTGAGACAATGCGCACCTGTACTCCAGGCAGTGGGGTCCCCACGGAACCTACAGGAGAGGAGAAACACTGAAGGGGAGGCTGGAGTGAGAGGAACCTGGAGGAGAGAAGCACACACTGAGCTCGGATCCCGCTGAGCTCCCGTGTGCCACGTGCGGGAGTCTGTGTGGAGGGAGCGACGTGCCCTGTGACCCAGAGAGAAGATGGTGTAGGCACCAGCAGGTGAAAAGCCACACGATACGTGGCTGGCAAGCACGGTGTGCTCAGGCCCAGCCGATGCCACAGTGATGGCCATGTGGCACAGCAGGCACTCACGTGGCACGCTGGGCCTGGCCTGCCCTGGGCCCCTCATACATCACTTTCCCAGTTACTTCCCAAAGCCTCACAGCTGCCCACAGATTCTGGTGTCATTCCCACTTTTACACACTTGCTGGCCAGGGAGGGCTGGCGCCTTGCCCTGATGGCCCCGGGGCTGTCCACGATGAGGGGACCTGTGTGTGCCCGGCACACGACGGGCTAAGGCAGGATCTGCCCTATGTCCCCAGGAGGGGCTGTCCTGAACTCTGCATGGCAGGTGGACCACACTTTGTACTGGCTCATTTATTAGACACCCATGATTTGCTCAGTGTATCCATCCCACCTGCACAGTCTCAACGTGGCTAAAATCATATCTTACACTGGCCGGGGTGGGGGCAGAGCCCAGGTGGCGAGACGTGTCCCGCCGGCACACGCAGGGCTGCCGCAGCCTCGCTCTGCCTGTGGTTTAGGTTGCTGGTGGGACGGCAGAGGCTGCTCATGGAGTGCGGCCCTGGCGATGTGGCGTCAGCACGGGCATGACCTAGGGGCAGAGCAGACGTGGGACTTCCTGTCTATCCCGGGGCGTGAGGCCTTTGCCCTGGCCTGCGTCAGGGGAGTGCCTGAACGCTTATCATGTCTGAGTCCACGCTGAGATTTCCGGCACTTCAAGGGTCAGCATCGAGGGTCAGTGCAGTGAACTCTGCAATCCATGGGGCGTCCCGGCCTCCAGACGCTTGGTGAGGGGCTGTCGGTGCCCGGCTCGGTCTTGCTGATCCTGCTGGGCCTGTCCACACCTGGGGTCCTGCAGGCGAAGCCGGGCTAGTGTGGTGTGCGGAGTGTCACCTCGGGAGTTCTCTGTGGTTCCAGGTATGCAGACGCCCCGAACCTCCACTCTGGTCAGAAACCCGTGTCACCACTATGGGGGGTGTGGCGGGGCCAGCTTCAGCCCCCTTTCTTCCATCCTTTCTCCTCCTTTATGTTTTGCTTCTGAAGATTTTTAAATGGGGGTGAAACCCGCATAACACATGACTTCCCATTTCAGTGCGCGGCACGGCGGTGTTCCGCACACACATTGCACAGCCCCCCACTTCCCCTAGTCAGAACTCCCGCACAGCCCACGACCGCCACACCCTCCCTCCCCAGACCTGGCACCAGGTCTGCTGTCCGCGTCCGTGGTTTTTCTGTTCTGGGCGTTTCATAAGAAGAGGACCATCACAGGCGGCCTTTCGCCTCTTCCTGGTGATGCCTCTACTGGGGCGGGGACGCAGCGCAAGGACACGGCACGGCTGGGGTAGGGGCGGGGGCCGCAGGTGGGGAGGCCGTGTGGCCGTCCCACACCATCTGCAGAGGCTGAAGAGGCTCTGGGATGGTGTCTGGATTCTGCAGCAGCCAAGCAGTGGTATTGTCCATGAGAGCTCAAGGAGTGGCCCCCACACTCCAGGTGCCGCCCGTGAGAGCTTCAGGGAGGGGCCCCCACACTCCAGGTGCCACCCATGAAAGCTTGAGGCAGGGGCCCCCACACTCCAGGTGCCACCCGTGAGAGCTCGAGGGAGGGGTCCCCACACTCCAGGTGCCGCTCGCTGTGCCCCGGGCATGTGACAGTGTGGACATGAGAGCTCAAGAGAGTGGACAGAGGCTGGCCCCGCAAAGGCCAATGTAGATGGGAGCGCAGCTGCAGGCAGGTGGGGGGCACTGCCTTCCTGCCACAGCCCACCTCTAAAATCGCTGTCAGCCAGCCCCTCCCTGATAACTCTGACTGGGGACTGGGACCCAGGGAACGGAAACCGCCAATGAGGCCCTGGAGCTCCCTGTCAATGCCACAGAGTGGCCCAGGAGCCGTGAGCACCTCTGAGCTCAACCTCCAATTAGAGTGTGACGAGGCCCAGCAGTGGTCGGCCATGAATTATTCATCTCCCTCCACAGGAACCGCACGGAGCAGGCCTGTAACCATAACACACGACAGAGCTCACCCTCCACCCAGCTTCTCTCTCTTCCGAGCACGGACAGTGCACTGAGCAGCGAGGCCAAGCATGAGCTCAGAGCCTGTGGCTGGAGCCGACCCAAGGGTCAAGGCCATGGCCACCAGGGTGGGGGTTAGAGCCTGAGAGTGAGGAAAGCTCTCCTCCACCGTGCCCTCTAGAAACATGGCTCAGGAGGCTGCATTTTGGAGTTTTTGTGGGGCATATTGGATTTAATGCTGAGGTGACTTTACTTACTTTTTTCCAAACCAAAGAACTCACACTGCTGGTGATTTAAAGGCAAGGATAAAATCACAGATATTTGATTCTGCCTTAGAGAAGAGGGAGCGTCCCCGGCGCCCCAGGGAAACTGCCGTATGCTCTGCCTTAGAGAAGAGGGAACATCCCTGGCGCCCGAGGGAACCTGCCGTCAGGCTCTGCCTTAGAGAAGAGAGAGCGTCCCCGGCGCCCGAGGGAATCTGCCGTGGGCTCTGCCTTAGAGAAGAGAGAGCGTCCCCGGCGCCCGAGGGAACCTGCCGTGGGCTCTGCCTTAGAGAAGAGGGAACGTCCCTGGCGCCTGAGGGAACCTGCTGTGGGCTCTGCCTTAGAGAAGAGGGAATGTCCTTGGCGCCTGAGGGAACCTACTGTGGGCTCTGCCTTAGAGAAGAGGGAGCATCCCCGGCACCCGAGGGAACCTGCCGTCGGTAGCTGAAGACTCGGGGATTGGTGCACTCAGGTTTCTTGCCCAATAACCCTGAAGCTTCAGGGTCTCTGGATCCCCCTCCTCAGCCGGGGACTCCTCTCCCTGTGCCATCTGTCTGGGGCTCCTTCCTGTTCGCCTAGGAGTTCTGATTCCAGCGTGGGGAAGCTGAGCCTCCCCTGGGTCTCTGGGCTACTATCTGCTCCTTGGCGCCCTCGGTGTGGACGGCGGTCCCTGGGCTGCTCCTTGGCGCTCTTGGTGTGGACGGCGGTCCCTGGGCTGCTCCTGACGCTCTCAGTGTAGACAGTGGTCCCTGGGCTGCTCCTGACATCCTCGGTGTAGACAGCAGTCCCCGGGCTGCTCCTGACTCCCTGGGTGTAGACAGTGGTCCCTGGGCTGCTCATGACTCCCTCGGTGTAGACAGTGGTCCCTGGGCTGCTCCTGATTTCAGCTTCTCAGCCTTGTATCTGTTCCAGTAAAAAAGGCTAGGGGGGCACTGTCCATCTTCTCTAGTGAGGGCCATTGAAGAGGTCACCGTGCTCCTGGGAAGTGCATCACTCACCAGCCGCGTGACCGTGGGCAGGCTCATGGGTTCTTGTATGTGAGTGCAAAATATGACCCCATCGCAGGGGCTGTTTCGAGAAGATCAAAAGAGAGGACGCCCACAAAGCAATGCTGTGGATGAACAGTCATCATGAACTACAAACTGTGCAGACAGATTCTGAATACACAGAACTTGTCCTGCTCACATGTCCGGAACAAAGAGAGGACAAAGCCCAGAGCCCGTTACCCTTTCAGTCCTCACTTGCCTGCAGCCTGCAGCCTCAGCGAGCCGGGCTTTGCTCATTCCGTCCATATTACGTGGTGACTGTGGCCGGTGGCACTGGACAAAACCAGCACATCCTACTAAGAAGGACAACGATAAGGACAGAGACTCAACAGACCAGTCACATTTGATTTCAAGGTCCCCATCTTATTTCCACCAGAGAGCTTTAGCCACCGAAGAAACAGCTGGTGCCGCAGCCATCGTGGAGATGCGCGAGTCAGCCCAGAGCAGGGGCCGCTAGCACTGACGGAGGTGGAGGTTTCCTGGGGTCTGAGACTAACGCGGGAGCCGGCCCAGGGCAGGGGCCACCAGCACTGACGGCGGTTTCCTGGGGTCTGAGACTAGGATGTATTTCTCATCACTCACACTGACTTCTTTTCACAACATGCCCCCACCCGCCCACTGCCCTGGGCACTGTTGCAGCAGGCACTGCACTCTGTGCGGCCACCCCACTGGCAGCTCTGCACGGCAGCTGAGGATCTCGCTGCCATGGCCCTGTCATTCTGCTCAGGATGCCCCAGCCAAACCGAGACTTTACACTCAGAATACACTTAACAGCCCCCATGGCTCCCCAGGCCCAGCAAAGGGGCGTGAGCCTACAGTCTCTCCTCCTCCCAGCCCAGCAGCCAGCCAGCCCTCACACTCACCTTGCAGGCCCCAGCACCGTATCGCTGCCTGGCACCAGCTGGTCCCTGCCTGGGCCTGAACCCCCATGTCCACGCTTACCCTAGAGTCCCAGGAACCAAGCAGGCATGGAATGAGCCAAAGGGCACACGGAAAGCAATGGGACAGAGCAGAGCCCAGGAGCCGACCCCTCAGGAGTCGACGGACTTTCAACAAAGATCCAAAGGGCTGTTCGATGGAGAAGGGAGTCTTTTCAACGAACAGTGCTAAAAAGTTAGACATTCACACACTAAAAAAGAACTGTGGTCCGTATCTCGCACTATGTACAAACATTAACTCAAAATGGATCATGGTCCCAAACGTAAGAGCTGAAACTATTCTCTGTGACTTTGGGCTACGCAAGGATTTATTAGATATGACATCAGACAATTCACAAAACAAATTGATAAACCGGGCCAAAACCTAAAACTCCTGATTTTAAAGACGCTGTTAGGTGAATGGGAAGACAAACCACAAGCTGGGAGATGATATTTAAAATCGCACAGCTGACACTTGGGTCCCGAATTTTAAAAGCTCTCAAAACTCAAGAAAACAAAGGCCCCAGTTGAAAACGGAATGACACGAACAGGAAGAGGTGCTCAACGCCACCCATCATGAGAGAATCATGAACTCAACGAGACACCACCACCGCCCGCTGGAGCAGCAGGTGCTCGTGACCTCCCACCCATTGCAGGGGGAAGGGGATGGTGTAGCCGCTCTGGAGAACAGCTTGAAAGCTTCAGACAACACAGCAATCTCTCTCCTAGGTATCTGCCCAGGTGAAATAAAAAACCACGTTCGCACAGAAACCTGCACACAAATGTTGATAACATCTCACGTGTCATTGCTTAAAACAGGGTCACAAGCGGTGCCGCACCCACACCACGGATGCCACTCAGCAGGGAAAGGCGCGGGCTCTGACGCACACAGCACAGGCAGTTGACTGTGGGCGGAAGCCGGGCGGAAGCAGACAGGCTCAGAGGCCACGTCCTGCAGGATTTAGCCACGTGGCCTCCCAGAAAAAGCAAAACCACAAGAAGAGAAACAGGAACAAGGGGCCAGGCCTCGGGGGTGGAGGAGGTGCTGAGCACTAGGAAGGGAGTTTCTGAGGCGAGGAACCCTTCTCTATTTTGACTGTGATGATGTTTCTTAAGACACACAGAGCTGCACGCCAGAGGGGTGAATTTTTACTGGGTCTGCAGGTAAGCAGCTGCACAGACAGATGTGCGGGATGGTCTCACTTTAAGTCTGCACTGAGATCTCTCTTCTACTCTAGACAGACTGGAAGGGCTGCGCAGAAAGCAGCAGGGTGGCCCCCCAGCTGTGGGCTCTGTTCCCAGAAGTCCCAGCGGAGGACCCAGGGCTCAAATGGTTGGGTCAGATGAAAGTCAGAATGGGATGTGTTAGGGAAGGCTGGACAAGAGGGGCCCGGTATCAGGAGCCCACATCTAGAGAAGGAAGACAGGTGCTTGACTCATCCCACCCTGCCCACCACACCCACCTCTCCTGGCACTGCTGCTGGCGCTGTGTGGCACCCGGACTCCAGACAGACGGAGGCTGCCACCACTGCTGATGTGGTCTGGAGCCAACAGCATGGCCCCCCGCCTTCCTCTGAGACATGCACTGACGCCTGCATTCCAGGCATTGCTGTTCTTCCCATTGTCTCCCCAGTCATACAGCCAGGGGCCAGCACAGACACCTCCCCCATCCACCCGACTGAGACTTGGGAGAAGGCTGATCTACCCAGAGGGGACAGGTCGCAGTGCATCCTGAGTGCTCTCCTGGCCGAGTGGCCTGTCCCACGGGGGAGCATCCTCCATGCCGCCCTTCAGTCCGAATGTGGGTGGTTCGAGACTGGCCCACCTTGGGGGGCTCAGAGCACAGTGGAAGAGGAACGCAGCTGTGGGAAGTGCTCGTACCTGGCAGGCGCACGGCAGTGGTCAGGGGCCCGGACAGAGCCATGCCGATCTCGGTCATGCCATACCGCTCCAGCAGGGTGTGGCCCGTGATGTTCTTCCACTTCTCCAGCACTGGGAGGGGCAGGGCAGCTGAGCCTGAGACCATCAGCCTACGCGGCACAACCAAAGGCAGGTTTAGCCCCTTGGGACGTGGCTCTCGCGTGCAAAGGTGGCAGGTTTAGCCCCTCAGGAGGCGGCCCTTGCTTGCAAAAGTGGCAGCTCCTTCACGAGTGCAGGAGCCCCAGGCCGTGGGTACAGCACCACTGTGCGACACCCGGGACCAACGCTGCAGTCTGCGCTACGGCGTGACTTTGTTTTTTGAAAACGATCTGTTGGGTGTATTTTAGAAGGAAGCAGGTCCAACAGCTAATGAGGGTAAACAATGTGCTTAGGGTCCGCGGTGTCCCCTGCAAAGTTCCTGCGCTGTTCACAACCACGCTCAAGAACAGCAGTGACCGTGCAGCTGCCGACCACGGAGCTGATCACGGGTGAACAGCCACGGCGCTGCAGGCTGCGGCCAGGCACATCCGGGGACTACAGCCGGCTCAGCTTGCAGGCTCTGCAGCAGAACGCGGACATGGGTGAATGGCCGCGGCACCCAAGGGGTGGGGCCGGGCACACCCAAGGGGCTCAGAACCACCCGCAGAACTGCAGCCATCTTGGCCCACAGGGTCAGCTCAGGCTTGGCAGGAGAACACGGGCCCTGAGAACTCCGAGTCCCCGCGCTCTCACACAGCATTTCCCGCAGCCTCACGGGCAGTAGGGAAGGCGCTTTTGTTTGCGGTCTGAGCGGAGTGGTCCCTGCTGCTGCCCCTGCTTTACGAGGAGGCACCACTGACAGGACCCCCGCTGGGAGATCCAGATGGCCGAGGTCTCATTGCCTCTGTCACCCCAGAAATCACCTGATCCTCTCCTTCACTGACCTCGTTCTTGCCCTTGGTTCCTTAGATTTGGTAAAACGTTGTGCTCACCCTGCTCAGCTTGGGGCCTGCCCAGCCCCAGGGTATCCCAGCAGTAGCAGCAGCAAAACCATGGGCTCCGGTGGCCTCACAGAAAAGGGGCAAGGGAACGGCAAAGAGAGCGAAGCGGTTCAGACATGTGCCTTGGACAACCCGGAATTCTCTCCAGGAACAAAGGTGCCGCTTCCCTGTGCACTTCCTGGGGACTGGGAGGAGCGCGCGGCAGCCACAGACACACACATCCCACTGGAAACTGGATGGCAGTGGAGCCTTCAGTTCCTGCAGTGCACCCTCCACGCCACCCCTCCCTCTCACAAAAAGAAAAAATACCCCACCCACGACTCTGCTGGAGGTGCGGGCCTGTGATGCGTGTGAAGACTCACTGAGCCACACGTGTGCGTTTCCAGTTAGTGAACCACACCTCAACAGCCACGAGGGAAAAGAAACGTTCCCACGCCTGCAGGTTCATGGGAGAGTGCAGAGCAAACACGCCCCTGGGTGGCCCAAAAGACCAGCTTGTCCTGGGAGGGAGGGGTTTATCCAGGGAGCTGGGAGGGGAGGAGCGGGGCTGAGAGGAAAAGCAGCAGAACGTGCCCCAGGCAGGAGGCCTCACAGGGCTGCCCACGAAGGCAGAGAGACTGCATAGGAGAGGCAGGCGCCGTGGGACATGTGGGCAGATGAAGCAGGAGCAAGCGGGTCAGCTCACTGTCCTCACCCTTGTCCTTCAGACGCCATGACAGAGAGAGAGAGAGACGGACAGGAGAGAGAGCAGACAGACAGACGGAGACAAAGACAGATGGAGAGATAGAGACAGATGGAGAGACAGGAGAGATAGAGAAAGAGAAGACGGAGAGACAGATGAAGAGCGATGGAGAGAGACAGAGAGAAGACAGAGATGGAGAGTCTGACAAGAGAGACAGAGAAGACAGATAGATGGAGAGATGGAGAGAGAGAGACAAAGAGAGACAGAGAGAGATAGAGAGACAGAGTGTGACAGAGAGAGCGATACAGAATCCAGGCAGCTATCGACGTGGAAGAGATTACAGATATACATACAGACGGGTAGAGAGAGAGAGAGACAGTTAGAGAGGTAGAGACGGAGACGGGTAGAGAGAGAGGGAACATTGAAAGGAAATGGAAAGCACTGCTTCCCAGAACTTAGTAGGAGTGATTTATTAGAAATAAGTCGTATCTGTTGATCTTTAAGACTTTCTGAACGAGAAAGTGGGCTCTTTTCACTTACCTAATTTTTTCTTCACAAACTGCACGCAAGAAATCCTGGGCGTGCGGCTGGGTAAAATGCCTGTCGTAGTACTCCATCAGCTTGGTGTATATTGTAGGCACTGCCATAAAGACATTGATCCGCGGCGTTTCAGAACTTAAGAACTTTTCCCAAACCTACGAAGGAAAGGAAGCACTCGGTAGGAAGATGAGCAGGCACTGGGGCCCGTGGCGGAGGCTCCTGGCTCCAGGCACAGCGTTCTCATGGTTCACATTCAAGAGTCTGCAGCGCCTCCCTTCTAAAAGGGGTGCCTCAAACTCTGACCCCTTCCCACAGAAGCCATGTTGCGCGGGACAGCTGCGTCTGGCCTGTGAGGGGAAGAGCAATCGTGAACAGAGCTAGAAAAGGGCTTCGGGATCTGTGGCCTGGAGAGACGTGAGTGGTCAGGCTCTTCCAGCTACACAGAGAGGGCGGATGTACACCTTGGGGAAGCTGGCAGGAGGGCCTGGCTGCCCGCAGACCTGAAGTCAGCATGCTTCCCAGTATGGACAGGCATGCAGTGACTAGCGAACGGGTGAAGTCTTTTATTTAAAAGAGTCATGTGAATTTTATATTTTACTCCATAATAAACATTTCTTGCTTACATATAAATACGTTTTAAGTTCCTCACTCGTTAGCGGGTTCTCGCGTCGCCCATAAAGCTTCAGGAAGAGCTGGTGAGCCGCATTCCTTCCATGGCCCTCTCTACCCGCGGTGTTCCACACGGAGCACCGAAGGGTGTGGCGGAGGGAGGAGGGCACTCTTCGTGCTGTGGGGTCAGCACCTAAGGGAGGCCCAGGACACACAGGACAGATCTCGCCCACACGGCGTTGAAACTGGGGTCGACGGATGCCGATGCCACAGTCCAGCCCCAGCCCATCTCATCTCCTCACTGGACTGCAGTGACGAGTGCCTCACCGCAGCTGCCTGGCAGAGAAAGGCAGGAATCTCCGGGGAAGAAATAATATCATTCTTTCAAAGACAAAGACTGGAACCCTTCAAAGTCACAAAGCATGTAAGGACACAAAGATGTGATCCCCAACTGAAGGGAAGAAGTCTCAGGAAATCCAAACGTCCGAATCACCAGACAAGGCCCTTCAAATCACTGCAATAAGCAGATTAAGGAATTTCAAAGAAAAGATGAACAACGTGGGGAAGATGGAGAATTGCAAAGAGAAGTGGAACTGCAAAAAATCATAAAACTGAAAAACACAAGATCCAAAATGAATTCATTCAATAGACCTAATAACAAACAAGACGCAGCAGAAAAGAGGAAAAAAGTCAGACACAGTCAACGGGGGTGATCTAGGCTGACCCACAGACGGGAAAGCAAAGACACAGGCGACCAGAGTGCGGGAGACAGCAGCACCGCGGAGCAGCACCCACAACACTGCCATCGAGGGAGGGAGGGGAACAGATAAGCGGGTGGAGAGAGGCCAGGCTCGCAGACGGGAACACTCCATGTTGTGAAGATGGCAGTTCTTCCCACACTGAGCTCCAGCTTCAAAGCAATCTTCCCAAAATTCCGGCAAGCTTTATTTTGCAGAAATTGATACACTTATCCTACGTTTTACACGAAAAGGCAAAGGACCCAGAAGATCCAAAATAAATTTCAAAAGGCAGATTAAAGGTGAGAACACACAGTTCCCAACTCCAAAACTGACGTAAACCAGAAGTAACGAACACAGTGTGATGCTGTGTAAGATTAGACAAGAGACCCACAAAACACAATGGAGAGTCCAGAAATAAACGAATGCACAGATATCTGGTCAAGTGATTCTTGGCAAAGAAACCAAGTCCCCAATAGGGAAAAGGACAAAAGGATAATCTTTCTCACAAATGGCACTGACACACTGAATATCTCCATGCAGAAGGTGACTCCTAGACCCTACCTCACACCATATGCAAAATTAACCCAAAGTGGGTCAGAAACCTCCACGTATGAGCTAAAACTAGAAAACTTCTAAGAAAAAACAAAAGGGAATATCTTCATGACATGACCTGTGGTTTGGCAAAGACTTCTCAGATGAGATACCAAAAGCACAATCTATAAAGTTTAAAAATTGATAAAATGAATTTATTTTTAAAATTTTTTTTATAAAATGAATTTCATCAAAATTAATGTGTGCTCCAAAAGACACATTAAGAAAATAAAAAGACAAGCTGCAGTTGGAGGAAATATTTGTAAACCGTACATCTGAAAAGAGACTCGTATCCGGAATACACATAGAACTCTTACAACTCAGTAAGAAGACAAACAGCCCAATTTAAAAATGGCCAAAGATTTCATTAGACAGTTCACCAAAGATTACATACGGATGCAAACAAGAACGTAAAAAACAGCACTGGGTGCAGTGCTCATGCCCGTAATCCCGGCACTTTGGGAGGCTGAGGCGGGAGGATCCCTTGAGCTCAGGAGTGTGAGGCCAGCCTGGGCAACATAGGGAGGCTCTGTTTCTGCAAAAATAATTTAAAAGGAAAAAAGTAAAAATAAACACAAAAAATGCTCAACATCTGGCCGGGTGCGGCGGGCTCACGGCTATAATCACAGCATTTTGGGAGGCTGAGGCAGGCAGGTTACTTGAGGTCAGGAGTTCAAGACCAGCCTGGCCAACACGGTGAAACCTGGTCTCTATAAAAATACAAAAAATTAGCTGGACCTGGAGCTGTGCGCCTGTAATCCCAGCTGCTGAGATGGCTGAGGCAGGAGAAGCGCTTGAACCCAGGAGGCGGAGATTGCAGTGAGCCGAGACTGAGCCACTGCACTCCAGCCTGAGCGACAGAGTGAGACTCCATCTCAAAAAAAAAAAAAAAAAAAAAAAAAAGCTTAACATCAGTAGTCATTAGGGAAACGCAAACTGAAGCCAGTGACAAGTGTTGGCAGGACGTAAAGAAATGAAAACTCTCATACGCTGCTGATGAGAACGTACAGCAACACAGCCATTTTGGAAAACAGTTTGCCAGTTTCTTTTCTTTTCTTTTTTTTTTTTTTTTTTTTTGAGACAGTCTTGCTCTGTTGCCCAGGCTGGAGTGCAGTGGTGTGATCTTGGCTCACTGCAATCGCCGCCCCCTGGGTTCAAGCAATTCTCCTACCTCAGCCTCCCGAGTAGCTGGGATTACAGGTGTGAACCACGGTGCCTGGCTAATTTTGTATTTTTAGTATAGACAGGGTTTCACCCTGTTGGTCAGGCTGGTCTCAAACTCCTGACCTCAAGTGATCCACCTGCCTCGGCCTCCCAAAGTGCTAGGATTTCAGGTGTGAGCCACCGTGCCCGGCCAGTTTGACAGTTTCTTAAAACATTAAACAGAAAGTCACCATACAACCCATCAATTCTATCCCTCTGTGTCTATGTAAGATGAATGAATGTCTACAGAGATTTATATGTAAATGTTCATAGCAGCATTATTCATAATAGCTCCAAACTGAAACAGTCCAAATGCCCATCAGATGGTGAATGGATGAGGAAAATGTGGTATATCCATATGATGAAGTACTATTCAGGAACAAGTTATTAATACACACAGTAGAACATGGATGAAACTCAGAACCATCCTGCAAGTGAAAGAAGCTGGAATAAAAGACTGAGTGTGACACGCCCCATTTGCACACGCTGCCATCTCAAACAAGGAAATCCTAGAGGCAGAAAGCAGATTCGTGGTTGCCAGGGGCTGGGAATGGGGGGAAATGGACACTGGTTTGAGGTAATGGCTACTTAATTCAAAATTTACAATAATGAATTTTGCGGTGTGTGAACTGTATCTCGATAGAGCTGTTTTTGAAAAGGGAAGGTGCAATAAAAACATTTTCAGTGAAACAAAATTGAGGGATTTGTTGTCAGCAAAGCTGCACTACAAGAACTATTGAAAAGAAGTTCTCCAGGCTGAAGGGAAACAAGTTGGGGGAAGCACAGTGCTTCGCGGAGAACCTCTGTAGGGACAAATGAAGGCACCAGAAGAGGAGACATGTGGGGAATTTAACAAATTTAAGGACTCCTGATATGGTTTGATGGCATCCCCACCCAAATCTCAACTTGAACTGTATCTCCCAGAATTCCCACGTGTTGTGGGAGGTGCCCAGGGGGAGGTAATTGAATTATGGGGGCCGGTCTTTCCTGTGCTATTCTCATGATAGTGAATAAGTCTCATGAGATCTGATGGGTTTATCAAGGGTTTCCGCTTTTGCTTCTTCCTCATTTTCTCTTGCCACCGCCATGTAAGAAGTGCCTTTTGCCTCCCACCATGATTCTGAGGCCTCCCCAGCCATGTGGAACTGCGAGTCCAATTAAACCTCTTTTTCTTCCCTGTCTTGGGTATGTCTTTATCAGTAGTGTGCACACGGACTAATACAGTAAATTGGTACCAGCAGAATGGGGCTGGGGGCGTATGAAACATGCAGCCACATTTGGGGCTGGGGTGTGTGAAACATGCAGCCACGTTTGAGAACTCTTCCGCAGTTTCCACTGAAATGAAACATACATCTAGCCTGTGAGCCGGCACTGGGAGTTGCGGATCCAAGGGAACTGTCCACAGGGACATCTGTGTGAGAATGTTCATAGCAACCGTGACTTCTAATAGCCACAAACTGAAAACAATCTCAAGTCCTTCAAGAGCAGAATGGATAAGCGCACTGTGGCTTCTGCACACCAGGAAATACAACACAGCAACGTAAAAAGAACAAACTGCATTTGATGTAACACACAGATCAACAGCACAGTGAACCAGAAACACAAACGTGACACTGAGGCACGGAAAACGGAGCACGCGTGTAGCAGGATGGTGCCGAGGCGGGGAGAGCACGCGTGTAGCAGGATGGTGCCGAGGTGGGGAGAGCATGCGTGTAGCAGGATGGTGCTGAGGCGGGGACAGCATGCACGCAACGGGACAAGGCTGAGGGGCAGGGAGCAGGCGCGGAGGTGAAAGACACGAAGGACGGTCTTTCTTGGAATTCATCCAAATCTTCAGAGGGCAGCTGCTGCCCTAAAGAAGGGCACTGAGAGCCGAGGGTGACCTTCTTCCTCCAGCACATCCCAATGTGTTGCCACACTTCCAAGACGTGAAAGACCTGGAGGCCCCCTGAAGGGCGCCATAACATTTGACTAACTAGCAAGTGCTTCTGAGGTGGCAGGAGCAGGCCTGTTGCTCTAACCTGAGCTGCCACAGCACAGACCCTGCCAGATGGCAGCCCTCCTGAGTCCATGCTGCGATCCTGAGGAAGTCGGCCAGGGCAGTGCTGTTGGAGACGAGTGACTGATCTGAGCCTCTGGCTGTCTCGTCAGTGGTGACTTTGATCTCCAGAGGCTGTGGCTGCACATCCATCTTCCGGCATCCTCCTCCTCTCCCCCAACCCCATCCGTCACCTGCAGGCACTGACACCCACGGCCCTCTGTGCAGGATGACTTGAAGACACCGCGTCTGAGATCGTTCAGCACCACCGCAGGTGTCTGGTCACCCCACACTTGTATCCTACACATTCTTCCACACAATCTTAGACAAAATCCCAAAGTTCAATAACGCTGACAGCTGGATTTTACACATAGAAATTCCTAAAGTTGGAAAACCCTGAAACTTGGAGTTTATGGAAAAGAGTTGCAATCCTTTGTAGCCACAGCATCAAATTTGTTTAAATATTAAGTTTTCAGCTGGGCATAGTGGCTTACGTCTGTAATCCCAGCACTTTGGGAGGCTGAGGCAGGTGGATCATGAGGTCCGGAGTTCTAGACCAGCCTGGCCAACATAGTGAAACCCCGTCTCTACTAAAAATACAAAAAATTAGCTGGCTGTGGTGGCAGGTGCCTGTAATCCCAGCTACTCAGGAGGCTGAGGCAGGAGAATCGCTTGAACCCAGGAGGCGGAGGTTGCAGTGAGCCGAGATCGTGCCACTGCACTCCAGCCCGGCTAACAGTGCGAGACTCCATCTCAAAAAAAAAAAAAATTAAGTTTTCACAGCATAGTTTAAAGAAAAATCCCAAGTAAGTGTCAAAAACGGTGAAGGTCTGAGGCTTTCCCGTGTCCGTTGAAGGTCTGAGGCTTTCCCGTGTCCATTAATGAGCCAGTCTGCAGTGTCTGGAAGATGACAGCAGATCCCCAGGCAGAGACCCCAGGGTAGACACTCTCGGAGCAGAAATCCCTGGGCAGACGCCCTTGGGACACAGACCCCAAGGCAGGGACCCCCTGGCAGATGCCCCTGGGCAGAGACGCCGCAGCAGCAGCTCCCAAGCCGTGTGCCTGTGGGCACTGGAAAGGGCCAGGTGGTGTCATTCATGCAGTGCTGGAGAAGCAGCAAGACCAGAAAGCCCAGATCCTTGACAGCTGGCCTGCGCCAGCACCCACACCCACCTGCCTCTCGCCCTGAGGGTAACACACTCTTTACTTGGGAGGATGGAACCAACCTGCCCTCCGGGACGATGGAACCAACCTGCCCTCAGCTCCCTGGGAGATGTTCTGCCTCTGCCCCTGCCAGCTGCATCTCGCCCTGGCACGGTCCACGACAATGGCCGTTGCTGCCTCTGCCCAAGTGACCATGGTAGACCAGCCACCGTCAGCGCCCGGGCAGCCCCCAACAGAGGTTCAGGGCCAGGCTGCCAAGGAGCAGAGGCCAAGGTGGGGCAGGTTGAGGGGGCCCAGTCACAGGCACAGAAACTGACACCCTGGACAGAGCTGACCGCCAAAGGAAAGGAGGAGCTTAAGGCGGAGAGGAGGGAGCTGCCCCGTCAGAGGAGCCCCCAGAGACACAGCAAAGGCATGGAAGTTCCCTACACACCAGGCGCTGCACCACCCACACAGTGCACTCACGGGGAACTCACTGCAGCAAAACCACTTTGACTCAGCAGACGTTCACCAAGGACAGCTGTGTCCATGCAGGGCGCACCCCAGAGAGAGCCGCAAGGAGGGTCGGGTCACTGAGCCAGATCCCTACCAGGGGAGCCAGGAAGGCCTGGAGCAGAGCGCCAGGCAGATGTCTCCGGGATGGACCACGCAGATGAGGCAGCCGCAGTGTCTGCCATCTTAACAGACTGCTGTGTCGCAGCTGGGGTCAGGGCTGAGATGTCTGTGAAAAATAAGGACTGAAGCCAACAAGAATGTGGAATGTGTTAGGGAGACGGGGCCCTCAGGGAGGCTCTTCAGGGGGTGACCCTGGCGACGGGGCCCTCAGGGAGGCTCTTCAGGAGGTGACCCTGGCGACGGGGCCCTCAGGGAGGCTCTGTGGCTACAGGCGTCCTGAAGAGCAGTGGAGGGAGCTGACGGCTAATCACGCAAGTGTGCTGGCAGCCACCTCTCTTTGGCACGGTAGTAACTGCTAGATTTTAAAGAGGTCTTTCTCTAAAGCCCAATGTTATCATCTGTGAAGAAACAGGCTCACTTGCTCGTACAAAGCTGTTCTACATACTGGCTTCTCTTGTGAGACCTTGCCTCCAGTGGAGGCTAGAGAAGAGCCCCTTCTCTTTTCCAAGTTTGTGCCCACTGTGAGCCGGCCTCCAACCTTATTTTCCGGGGATGAGACTGAAGGTCAGAGAGGTGGAGGGCCAGAAAAGCTGCCTTCTCTCCACCTCCAGCCACCGTGTGGGGCTGGATGCCCTGCAGAGAAGAGGATGGGCCTCTCAGCGGCAGGAGAAGCAGAGGGAAGGTGGGCAGGGCTGACTGCTTGCAGGGACCCCTTCCTGGCGAAATTCACACCTGACTAGGGTTTGGGTCCTGAGCTCCCGGTCAGAGGCCTCAGAGCTCCACACAGCCTTCGATGGGGCCAGAAAGACTTCAGACAGGAAGAGTCCTGGCAAGAGCGGTGAGTGTGGGGCCGGCCACTGGTGGCTGCTGTGCTCTGGGCTTTAGGGCTGTGCCTCTGCTGGCCGGGACGTCTGCCCTGCAGAACAACCCCGCACAGACCAAGAGCCCAGTCCCAGGCATCTGGCCTCAGAGATGGGCTCCTCTGTGCTGAGAACCATCATGATACGATCCAAATTCTAAGGGCTTTTCCATACATTCACGTGTTAAACTTTTTTTCCTGTGAATAAAAGGCATATTCATTATACGGGCAGAGGCTGGTAAACGTCCATGGCCTCACCGGAGGGCTCTGCTTCACCACACCTGTGACATACGCACACCGTGTCCTTCCTGTGGGCTCAAGGCCTGCCCCTCATGCCCTCTGCAGCCTGGTGAGTGACTCTTGCCTGCAGTCAGCTAGAATGCACACAGGGCCACAGCAACTCCTAAAAGCCACCGCCATCCCCAACTGACAGGCGAGGCCCGATGCTGTGCACAGGGTCCCGCCTCGAGCCCAGGTCCTTTCCCTCCAAAGCAGCATCCCTGATCTGCCTGGAGACAGCCCTGCACAGGCAAGGCTGCGCGCAGCAGCTCGGCGATGACTGCTCCCACCCCAGCGCTCTGTGTGACCAGCACCGCGTCCTTCCCTCCCTGCCTGCTCCAAGGGAGACGCTACAGAGGAAGCCATGCAGAGAGGGGAGACAGAGACTCCACAGCAGCCCTTCAGCTGGGCCAATACTCCAAAGTAACCCTCCGCAGCAAGCAGCTCTCCAGCTGGGCCAGTACTCTGGAGTAACCGAGGGCTGCCACAGTGGCCACATCATAGCTCAAAGGGTCACGCCCTACGCCCTACACCCCGAATGTGTCACCTCTCGCAGTGGTGGGAACTGCAGGTGGATGAAGCGAAGGACCTCAAGATGGGAGATGATCTTGGAATATCCGCATAGGCTGCACAAAGGGAAGCCGAGGGAGCCCTGACTACGGAGAGAAGGCCGTGTGCCTGCAGAAGCAGAGCTGGACGTGAAGCAGCTGGAGCCAAGGGCACAGGCGGCCTCCAGAGCTGCAAGAGGCAGGAACGGACTTTGCCCTGGAGCCTCCTGACGGAGCAGCCCTACCACACCCAGCATCAGCTCCGCAAGACTCGTCTCAGAATCCTGGCCTCCAAGCATGTAAGAACAAACTCGCATTATTTTAAACCAAGCGCGTGAGCATTCGCCGCAGCCGCAGGAGCTCGCGGGCAGCAGGGCCTGTACAGTCACCTCCGCTCATCCAGTCTCACTATTCACGGTTTCAATGACGCGTGGCCCACTGCAGTCTCACAACAGACGAGCACAGTACCGGAAGGTATTTTGAAGAGAGAGAGCACTTTCACATAACTTGATTACAGTACATGGTTATAACTGTTCTGTTATTGTTAACCTCTTACTGTGCCTAACTTATAAATTAAGCTTTATCATAGGTACGTATGTATAGCAAAAAGCATCGTAGGTACAGGGTTCCATGCTACCCAGGGTCTCGGCATTGGCACGTCCCCTGTGGATAGGGGCGACTGCACACCAGGAAAAGATGCCTAGTCTGAGGGCGCGGCCGAGAGCCCTGACCCCAACCAGCGAAAGGCGCTTAGGCTGAGGGCGCGGCTGAGAGCCCTGGCCCCGACAGGGGAAAGGCGCCTAGTCTGAGGGTGCAACCGAGAGCCCTGACCCCAACTCACCTGCTGAGGGCTGAACTCAGGCATCATCACACAGGTGGCTCCCACCCAGAGAGGACAGAGCAGCGCGTTGACCACACCATGGACGTGGTGCAGCGGGAGCACGTGGAGGATCACGTCGTCTTTGGTCCATGCCCACTTGTGGACCAGCCCGGTCACCTGCAGGGGACGAGAGCACAGCTGAGAGCAAGAGCAAGACTGTGGCCCGCAACAGCACACACAGACCTCGGGCTCACGGAAAGGAGCTCTGGGCCTCCCCACTGAGGAAGGGGAAGGAGAAGGCTGGCTCTTTGTTGCTCCCCTTTAGCAGCCTCTCAAGATGACGACAAAACCACAGCAGATCTGCTGGGTCACTCACTTACCCTGGGGACAGAGGACAGCGCCACACACAGCCAGAGGCTTTAGGGAATTTAGAAGGTCGGGGAGTGGCTCTGCAGACACCAGGTCGACAGAGCTCCGCCCCTGCCCAAGCCTGGGACTCAGGGACCCAGCGCCATTCAGGCTGGAATCGACTCCCAGCCCAACCACTGGCTCAGGTGACAGCACTGCCCACACAGAGCTCTGCCGATTCGTGAATTATCGTCACCTGCTCAGCCGGGACAGAACCCAGGCCAGGCTCCAGAGCACACCCTCAGCTCTTACTGAGAAGCAGCGTGAGGCACGGCCCACTGAATCCTCTGTCCAATCTCACGGAGGACACTGCCTGCTGCCTGCACAGGCTCCAGGGAGAAGCACATGTGCATGTCACTCCCCTCAGCAAGGACAGAGGAGTCCAGAGCCCGTCCCTCCCGACAGGCGCGCCGCTTCCAGGAGTGACGGCGCAGGCCACCCAGGGCCCAGCCTGCTGTGTGCTCATGGCGCCTCGTCAGCCCACGACTCCGTGGGGTACACTTCCTGCCTTCCCCTTCCTGGCTTTTGGTTTTCATTTTTACTTGATTGCTTCAAGTGCATAGGAGACGTTATGACACTGTACAAATGCCAGGTAAGTGATGTGGTTGGAGAGTTCTGTGAAGATGTGACTGAGGTCACAGGACACACAAAAAACGAGTAAGACCCGGGTGTATGTGGGGTCCTGACCACGCATCCTAACACGTGGCTGGCCTCCGAAAAGCCCCTCAGCATCACAGGCAGTGAGTGGTCCCTTCTGACCTCATGCCGCATGGTCCTGGCAGGGTCACTCGGCGGCCCCTCAATCCCTCTACACCTGGACGCTCCCAGAGCCGTCCTGCGTGGCCAGTGAGGCCAGCGGCCACACCCCGAGGGCCTGCGTCCCTGTATCTCACACGGGTCTGCAGGATGGTGACAACTGTGAATGACTCCACAGAAAAGCGAATGAAAAGATGTGCTTCTGGCCCGGAGCCCACCCGGAGTGCTGTGCGGTCACCGAAACCATCACGGCGCCAGGCGGCACTCACCACAGCCCTGATGTTTTGGTGCGTGCTCAGCACGCCCTTGGGCCTCCCCGTGGTCCCACTGGTGTAGATGATCATGGCGCCCTTGTTCCTCCATCCCTGCTCTGGGACCGGGACCTCTGCCGGTTCCTCTACTGCTCCAGTGTAGATGGCTGGTGTGAGCGGCAGCAGCGGGACCCCCAGCTTCCTGACCACCGGGCTCAGGAGCTCCAGGTACTCCTGGCTGGCAAGGACCACAGAGCTCTGGGAGTCGCAGATGACATACTCCAGCTGGGCCGCGGGATGCTTCCTGTAGAGGGGGACTGCCACACCGCCACTCATCCATGACGCCCACTGGGCCACGACGTAGGAGGCATCGTTAGCGCATAGGAAGGAGACCCTCTCCTCCCGGAGGTCCCCGCCGACACACCCGCAGAGCCTGCAGATCTCCTGGGACAGGCGAAGGCTGCGGGAATAAAGCTCCCTGTACGTGTGGCGGCCGTGCTGGTCAACCAGGGCGATTCTGTCCCCAAAGGCCAGGGCACGGGTGAACACCGGGGCGCTCCTGTCCGAGCGGGCCACTGGGGCTGTGTGCAGAAGACCACTTCCTCTGTGTCTCGCAGGCGCCAGCCGGCAGGACGCCAAGGCGCAGCCCAGGCGCCGGAAGGTGAGCACCACATGGGGCAGCATTGCACTGACAGGCGGCCGAGCTGGAGAAAGGCAAGGCACAGGACGTGAGTGCCCAACTGTCCCATCCAAACGTGGCCAAGACAGGATTTAAAACACCTCCCCAGTACCCAGCCAGGTACGCCTGCTGCACCTTCAGTCATGAGGCAGCGCACCAGACAGGCCACGTCCAGCCTTTCTCACCCACACTGCTGGAACGTTCCGTACGTGCCCAGCATCTCAGCTTTCTATTTCACTTCATGAGTTTAAGGATTCCCAAACCACACAAAATTCTAAACAATGAAATAAACTAGGTAAAACCAAGGAGAAGCATATAAAATTCAACACACTTAAGGTACATCTGAATAATGGGTTTTAGAATCCTGAGCCTGGAAAACCACCCGTGAGAGGGGGAAGTGCAGAGAAGAGCTCAGCACAGCCCCCGCTCACAACAGGCATGGCCTGGAGACCCCGCCCCCGGGGCAGACACGGCGCTGCCTCTCTCAGACCCTTCCCACACTGGTGCGCAGTGGAAATGTGGTGAGGTGCCAAGGTTCGTTTTTTTGAGACAGGGTCTTGCTGTGTCGCCCAGGCTGGAGTGTAGTGATGCAATCATGGCTCACTGCAGCCTCGACTTCCTGGGCTCATGCCATCCTGTGGCCTCAGCCTCCCGAGTAGCTGGGCCCACAAGCATGTGATACCACACCCAGCTTTTTTTTTTTTTTTTGGTAGAGACAAGGTCTCACTGTATTGCCCAGGCTGGTCCAAAGTCCTGGGGTTATGGCAGGTGTAAGCCATGCTTTTTTCCTTCTTTTCTTTTCTTTCTCTCTCTCCTCTCTCTCACCTTTTTTTCCTTTCTCTCTCTCTCTTTATTATCTATCTGGGATGGAGTCTCACCCGCTCTGTCTATCTATCTATCTATCTAAGATGCAGTCTTGGTCTGTCACCCAGGCTGGAGTACAGTAGTGTGATCTGGGCTCACTGTAACCTCCGCCTCCTGGGTTCAAGTGATTCTCCTGCCTCAGCCTCCTGACTAGCTGGGATTATAGGTGCGCACCACCATGCCTGGCTAATTTTTGTATTGTTAGTAGAGACGAGGGGTTCACCATGTTGACCAGACTGGTCTCCAACTCCTGACCTCCGGTGATCCACTCACCTTGGCCTCCCAAAGTGTTGAAATTACAGGTGTGAGCCACTGCACCCAGCCAAGCCAAGCTTTAAATCAGGCAATTCACAGAGCTAGAAAACGTGTTTTAGGTTGAACTATAATTCTCTCCTTTCCCCCCAAAAACTTAACTACTAAATAACAAATAAATCAGCAGGAAGCGAGGGCTCCCTGGGAGGGGTCGCGCGGGCCCGCCGTCCACTGGAATTCTTCATTCAGAGAAAGGAGACCGAGAAGAAGCCAGGGTGCCTCCGCCTGTGGGCCCAACGCTCCTGACGCGTGAGGGCTGGTCCAATTCTGCAACATGCATTCTGCAGCCAGAGGACACTGCCCACGGGACACCGCCCCAGGATGCGGACACAGGCCAGGGGCACAGCCCCCGCATTCCAGAGCGAGAAGAAGGGGTGGCACTCTCCACGAGGCTCCTGCATCCCTGGCCCTTTATAATCAAAGCTTTGCTCGACTCACAGTAAGAATAGGCTGGTCTGCCTCCCTTCCTGGGGGAAGCACCCTCTGGGCTCTGCTGCCACTGGGCACTCAGCGGCCCTCGGTCTGACAGCGTCCCAGGCCTGTGGCCGAAGCGTAGTCAAGTTGTCCGTTTGGTTTTCAGGGACTTTGAACAAGTATTATTTTGACAATGATGCTACCGTCTAATACACACATATTAGGTTAGGTTTCATCTCAGCATTTTGCCTCAACCACACTCTGTTCAGTAAACAAACAAGGCAACCACTTGTTCGCACACAGAAAAGCAAAGGAGGCCAAGTTCAAACTCACCCAGCTCCCGAGCCAGAGAGAGGAGGTAAGGGGAAGTTCGCAGTTCACAAGAGCGGCAGGCACAGCTGCTTCAGCAGGTGGAAGGGCACGATAAGGTGCAGGCAATGCAAATGCTCATCCTCCTGGGGCAGGCACCAGGCCTGGCGCTGGAACCCGGAAGGCCGGTGGGACACCTGTCAACGGGCATCTGTGCTGAGGTCCCAGGCTGTGTGTATAACGCTTCCCACAGGCACAACACTCAACACTCAATGGGGGAAGGGAAGCATGTTCATTTACAAGCTAAAGACAACATTATCAAATAAAGCTGTGAGCCTTATCTCCCGACAACGGGCAGCAGTGACCCCATGACCCTGTCGAGTCTCCTCCCACACACCACGCCCCCTCTGTGGGATCTGTGCCCATGTTCAGCAGGTTCTCTCTCTCCAGCACATCTCTTTCATTAACTTGTGAGGGGAAAGCTACTGTGTTATTGTCTGTGGTTTGTACTAAACAGTTTTGTTTTCTGCTCTTAGTTTGAAACCGTCACAACACTTCATAGTTGTCTAACAAAACAAACTTCATGACAATGAAAATTGTCAGAGCCAAAGTATGTTTTGTGCTTGAGACCCTCAACTACTGGCCTTGGTTTTTGCTTGTTTGATTTGGGTGTCTGGTTTCCCCACTAGCCTGGGGCTCTTTTGTTTTTTTTTTGAGACGGAGTCTCGCTCTGTCACCCAGGCTGGAGTGCAGTGGCACGATCTCGGCTCACTGCAAGCTCCGCCTCCCAGGTAGCCTGGGGCTCTTAATGAAGTCCCCTGTCCCAGCCAGCTGAGGGATCTCCTGCCTCTGGCCCAGGCAGGAGGAAAACGAGCCACGCAGGGCCCTGAACCTCAGCACAGCTCCGCGGGCTGCTTGGACGTCCTGTGTGAGTCTTCTCTGAATCCTACCAAACGGTCAGTCCTGCAGGCCACATCATCTCCTGACGCGAGGCACCCATGTTCTAGAAGCCCTCCACAGCTGTTCAGAGGCAGGGCAGTGGCTGGTCCGCCCACACACCTGGACTCTGCTACCATAGAGAAACCCAGAGAATGGCAAGAAAACAACTGGGCTTCACCAGACACAAGACACGAGATCGGCACGTGGGCTGTGCCAGCTTCAGAAAGCAGCAAACCAGGGCGGCCCCACCACGCTTCCTTCCTCACTTCCAACCGATCCTGCACTGCTTTACAGGTGTGAGGGCACAGAAACAAGGAGAATCCACACACAGAAAACCGACTGGGCACTGGGTGCTCTGGGTTACGGCCCCGAGGCCAGACTTCCGCTGCTGAGAGCCACAGGGAGTGCCTTGGGTGCTCGGAGCAGGGGACGGTGCTTTCTGGGGTGCTAAGGAGCGGAGCACTAGGACGGCCGGCGACACTCACTCAATATAGAAGGTGCCTGTCATTGTGTGTAGCTGTTTCTCAATATGACAGAAGCACATAAAAGGGGGATGACGGCTTCCCTCTAACTAAAGCTGCTGCTCAGAAAAGGTTTCTGCAGACCACAAAGAACCGAGTTCTGACAAAGCGAGTTCAAGCTCGTGCTGTGCACACGGTAACCACACGCTGAGCACACGCTAACCACACGCTGAGCACACACAGCACACACTACCAGAGCACAGCCCCCCTTTTGGCATTTCTACAAATTCCTGAGTCACCCCGCAGGGCGAAGCCACGGAAGAATAAGAGTGGATTCCCCACAAAACCCAGAGCTCAGCAGAGCTGGTGATGCTGACGTGCACAGCTGGGCTGGGCAAACTCAAAGTGCAGGCTGAGAAGAAACTGCTGTTCTCCTGCGCGGAATCCAGAGCGCTGCCTGTGGGTGGGCACTCCTGCCACCAGCCCCTGGGAGGTGACAGATGTGACTGGCCCCGTGTGACATGGTCCCAGCTCCCAGAGAGCCCACGCGCTATGAGGAGAGGCCACGGGCAGGAGGAACGGACGGGGGCCTGGTGGGGAGGCTTCCTATGGAGGGTGAGAAGGGCCTGGCCTAGCCAGAGTCGGCCGAGGGAAGGGGGGAGTCCTGGCACCTACAGCTGTGTTCACTCGGGGTGTCTAGGGCACAGATGCCGGGAAGTCACATTGCTGGGTCATCTTTAATTTTGAGAAATACTGACAAAGTCCCCTCCAACGAGGTGCTGATTTATTCTCCCACCAAGCATGTGGAAAACGGAACCAGCCCCATCAAACCAGCTTTTCAGTCCCTCAGGCTTGGGACAATGAAGTGCCCAGTCATCAGTTCTCTTCAGCACAGAGGTTGAATCTTCACGGTCATCGGATCAGAGCCCTGCCTCGAACACGCAGACAGAGCCTACTCAGGGCAGATGGCTGTGCGCGGTCTTCCTGCACACCTCCCGGTCCAGAGGCACCCCAGCTTCCTCAGAGAGAACCTCACCTTTCAACCACTGGGACCCCTTCTACCGTGGGGCTCCCCATCACCACCAGGAGCACAGTGTGGAGGGACACTGCCCACCAGACAAATGCAGTTCAGTCAGGGGCTTCCACCCTCAGCCAGCTTCATACCCCTGCTACGCAGCACCCTGATAACCCGAGGTCAGCGGCGTCACCACGTGGCTGGGCAAGGACTCTAGTCAGAAGCTGAGAAAGGTGCCTGAGCCAGGACAGCCTCCTTGGTGAAGGCGTACTGGAACCACTGAAAACAGTGGCTCTCCAGCCCTCGGGGAGGGAGGCAGGACCTCTCGGTGTTCTAGCCATCAGGTTCTGAGATCAGACCACTAAGGCACTGGGGCTTCTCGGGAACACACATGCAGCGCAGCGGGATGCATCTTTTCCCTCCTAACTGGAGTGCTGGTTAATGGCAGAGTTAGTCACCACAGGCTTCGACTTGAACGGCTGCTGCCTTTGTCCTCATTTCCTCACTGGCCTAGCCCTTCACTTCCCACCGCTAAGATGGCACAGTAACAAGACCTGCCTCACAGGCTTCACGTGAGAATGTACGAATGGCCCGGCACAGGCCAGGCAGAAGACAAACGGCCGCGCCGTGCTCAGCAGGGTGCTCCCCATGGAGCCTCGCAACAAAAATTACTAGATGAGAATGACACTCGCATTCAAATGAAGGGCTGCTTTCAACATGAATAAAACGACACCTGACCTGTTCACCACCACACCTGACACCCCCGCCCCCCCAGACCTTGTGTTTGAAGTGGATGCCGGCACTTCCTCCTGTCGGCTGCCCCGATGAGAGCGTGGGGCAGAGGAGGGCTGTGCTCGGCCTGCGGGGCAGGATGCGTTTCAGCATCACACCTGTGGTTTGGAGGGTTATTTTCAAAATTACATTTTTAAGTAACAGACATTCACATTGCATTCATGAGCAGTACATTCAAATAAAAAAAACCAAAAAGGAAAAATACACTTGAAACCCATATCCATTTTAGGAAGAAAAATACTATTTTAAAAATGCCATCTGGAAAGGTGACACTTACAACTATCCCAAGCCCACAGTTTAATCCGCCATTTCTGTCTGCCTTGAGGAGATGGTTCAGAGCCAAAGGAGCAAGAGCAAGGGAAGCCTCATCTTATGTCCTCCAACACCTGCGGAGAGGACACCAGCCTGAGCCAGGCTTCACGCTACAAAGCTCGCAGGGTCCCCAGGGTCCACCGGTAGTAACACCCGTGCTCCTGGGTCCACCATGTGAACCCCCTCCTCAACAAGGTCTCAGCCTTGGGCCCTAACACGAATGTCTGTCCTCCCAGGATGGGAAAGCAACAACTATGCCCCAGACACAATTCGTGTTCCTATCTCTAAACGTGTTCCCTTTCTAGCAAATTCCTAATCATTCTTCCAAGCCCAGTTCAAATATCACCTCTTCTTTTTCAGTTTTATTATTTATTGAGACAGTGTCTTGCTCTGCCACCTAGGCTGGAGTGCAATGGTGCTGTCATGGCTCACTGCAGCCTCCGATTCCTGGGCTCAAGAAATCCTCGTGCCTCAGCCTAACCAGTAGCTGGAAGTGCAGGTGTACGCCACCACACCCAGCTAATTTTTACATTTTTTTGTAGAGATAGGGGTCTCACCATGTTGCCCAGGCTGGCTTTGAACTCCTGGCCACAAGTGATCCTCCTGCCTCTGCTGCCCAAAGCGCTGGGATTACAGGCATGAGCCACTGCACCTGGCCTGCCTGGTGGAATTTAGACTCAGGACAGCAACATCAACTCCTGACTGCACCGGGCCTCACCCCTTTAAACCTTCCCTCTCTCCAGGGAATGGGCTGCCTGCAGTACCTTCCAAATACTTCACGGCCGGCCGCACGTCTCCATTGCTTGCTCATAGATCTACATGCCCTCAGGGGCTAGGCCGGCTGTGAACCTGTGCCCCACGCGCCCAGCAAGGTGCACGCAGCAAACAACTAAAACGGGGAGTACTTCAAGGGTGACTTCTGAAGCCCAATGAGAAATGGAAGTGAATTTATTCCAAACACAACCAAAGACGATTCGTTCTGAGGATGCCTGAACACGGACCCCGCCGGCTCGACGGTATCACCGGGCCCGGCGTCCGCACAGCTTCTCTCCCCGCACCCCGCGCGGGGGCCCCGCTCCCCACCGGACACGAGAGGCTCGGCGTCCCGGGAAGGCCGACGCCCGGCCCCAGGCGGCTCGCGGGGAAGCGACCGCGCCACGGGCCACGGCTCAAGCCCAGCTGCGACCCAGGGGCGGGCGCCGGAGCCCGCGCCCCCGAGAGCTCTGCGCCCGGCCGACCCCGCCGCGGTCCCGTGGGCCCCGCCGCCCGCACCTACGAGACGGCCGCGGCCACGGGGCAGGATCTGCCTCGCCACAACTCTTCCTCGTCCTCCGCCGCGCGCGCGCCGGGGTCGGGCCGGGTTCCGGCCGGGTCCCGCGGGGTCGTGAGTCGGGCCGGACCAGTTCCGGCGCCCAACAGCTTCCCCGGCGCGGCGCGTCCGTCGCCCAAGCGCGTCCCCCCGGCGCGGCGCCGTGGCGGCGGGTTCCGGGCGCGCGTGTTCCCCTGTCCCGCCCGTCCCGTCGTGGCGGGGTCGGGGCCGCGGGCGTCTCGTGAGCCGTGGCCGAGGCAAGGCGCCGTGGTCTCCGCTAGCCCAGGGCTGCCCAGATCAGAACGGCGCGCGGGACCACTCCCAACGCGGATTGCTGGGCCTCGCCCCGTCCTCCCAAAAGGGGCTCTCTGGGCTTTGCGGCTGGGGGTCTGCACGCTGAGCTCCTGGGTGATTTTATTATTATTATTATTGTTGTTACTTTTTCTTATTATTATTATTATTTTGAGATGGAGTCTCGCTCTGTCGCCCAGACTAGAGTGCAGTGGTGTGATCTCGGCTCACCGCAACCTCCGCCTCCCGGGTTCAAGTGATTCTCCTGCCTCAACCTCCCAATTAGCTGGGACTACAGGCGCCCGCCATCATGCCTGTCTAATTTTTGTATTTCTTGGGTGATTTTAAACGGACCGCATTTGAGAATCTCTCCTCGAAGGGACTTGGGAACCAGGATACGAATATGAAGCGAGACTGTTGGATGGACAGTGGCGGAAAACATTTAAAGCCAAACACAAAGTCCAGTTGGCTGAAATTTGAGGGTTTTTCCCCTAAAATGAATACTAATAACACAAAGACATGTACTGGCAAACAGTAGTACAAATTATCTGCAGAACCGTCCTGGTGTGATGGCTCACGCCTGTAATCCCAGCACTTTGGGAGGCCGAGGTAGGCAGATCACGAGGTCAGGAGTTCAAGACCAGCCTGACCAACATGGTGAAACCCTGTCTCTCCTAAAAATACAAAAATTAGCCGGGAGTGGTGGCAGGTGCCTGTAATCCCAGTTACTCGGGAGGCTGAGGCAGGAGAATCTCTTGAGCCTGGGAGGTGGCGACTGCAGTGAGCTGAGATTGCGCCACTGCACTCCAGCCTGGGCAGCAGAGTGAGACTGTCTCAAAAAAAAAAAAAAATTATCTGCAGAACCTTGCACAGTTTTTTTGTAAGTGTATTATTTTCCATGCCCATCTTCCTCTCTTGTGATGATTGCTGGGGCAGCAGTTGTGTCCTTGGAAAGCTCAGGAAAGGGCACTTCAGGAGCCCGAGGATGGTTTTCCTGGGAGGAAGGAGCTGGATCTGGGGGAAGTTTGTAACACAGAGCGTGGGAGAACAAACCCAAACTTCTAGTGCCTCTGGTTGCCACCCTGCTAGGTATCATGCAGAAAAAGCAAGTCCAACCCTCTGCCACTGGGACAGGCTTGATCTGGTGTCAGAATTCTGTCTGCTTCCAGGACTCAGCAGGCTGAATGGTGTTTCCGACGAGGGCAGTAGGAAGAGTAAGGAGGGCGTCTAACATCAGGATTCAGCCCCAGGACGTGTGTGCGCAAATTTCTATCCCTGGGAAGTTGAAGAGCTCAGGCTGCGTCACCCACCTAGAGACAGGACTTGGGACAGGGTGACAGCTCCCGTGGTCCTTGGCCATGGCTCTGTGAGGGTGGCAGTGGGGGGAGGGTGCAGTCTCCGAGAAATGGCCCAGTCATCCTATGAGCAGGGGTCCCATCTGTGCCTCGGCTCTGGTCAGCATCATAGTGGCAGGTGGGAAGCAGGAGCAGTCAGGGATTAGCAGACATTGGAGGACAGCCTCTAGCCAGAGAGACGTGGGCTGAAACAACCAGCAGAACAACTGCAGGCAGCCAGGCTGTGCAGAGTGAAGAGACCCCCAAAACCACCCCCTGTTAATACCCTCAGGGAGACAAGGGAAGCGACAGCCCCCATGAGTCCAGAGCGAGATGCCCCGAGAAAGAGCGTTCCAGTAACATAAAGGGGGGCTGGAGGGGTCAGAATACAACAGCCTGAGTAAAAACCCTAAGGGAAGGGCTAAAGGACGTCTCCTAGAAATAGAACAGAAAGACCGAGAGATGAAAAACAGGAGAGGAAAGATAAAAAAATCAGTGGGCTCAGGCAGGCATCCAATATGCTAAATACGGTAGTTTCAGGAAGGGAGGGCAGAGAAAACAGAGAGAAGTCAGCTGTCAGGTAAACTCGTGGACATTAGCAGACGAAGGGCTGCAGAACATCCAGCGCAGGGAGTGAAAGTGGCCGCACCAACCAGGCAGACGACGTCAATGTAGTTTAGAACATGTGGACAGGGAGGGTCCTAAGTGCCCACCTGGCATCTCACTGGGACATCCAAGAGACATCAGACCCCGATGTGGCCCCAGAGGAGCTCAGGTCTCCCCCGCAGCAGCGCCCCCACCCTCACACTTTGCATCTCACCCTCGATCCTGGGGTTCAGTCTATGGCTCCCTGCTTCCCTCCCACACCACATTGAGTCCTACTGGTTTCTCCTGCAAATTCTGTCAGAGACTGTCCCACCAGCGCTGCTGTAACCACCCAGACCAGGAAAGCCTTGTTTCCTAAAGGAGTCCTCACTGGATTCATGAAGAACCCAACAGTGGCTGGAGTAGCCCCATTAAAACCTGAGTGGGATCCTGCTCAGAACCCACAGGGGGTCCTGCCCAAGCCCTGTTGTGGCCACCAGGTCCCCGAGCCCCGCCCTCCTCCCCTCTGGCCTTGTTTCCTGTGACTCCCGGGAGTCCTGGCCTGGCAGGCAGGGGCAATCCCCCCGCGGGAAGATGGTGGACAGAGTGTCCTGTGTGTTTACCATGTTGAGAGGAGACTTGAACAATGCAAGCAAAGTTTAGGGATAGATGATCAATACATAGAAAACTAATCAAGAAAAATAAGGCAGAGATTAAACACTGGGAACACAGGAAGATGTGTTTGCCAGCAAAGGGCACGTGATCATGTTGCTGTAGGAGGCTCCGCTGTCCATAGCATTTACTAAACTACGATCATTTCAACATCTACAGTGTAACCATCAGCATGCAAAACTGCCGCTGATCGAACGAGTTTATCGCAGACGACGGGAGGGACCCGGGGTGGAAGGTGTGTGGTGTGGCCTGGGCAGGCCTGGCAGGAGACCACAGGAACCTCCAGGGGGTAAACACCAAGAGAATCAGAACAAAGGTTCACCTCTGGTGAGCAGGAAGGGGAGGGTAGTTCTTTAAACTTTGTGGACGTACAACTGATAAGTATAAAAGTTAAACTACACTATGAAATAGTTTTTAGAGGAAGAGGAAAGGAAACACTCCAGGTGACCACGTGAACTCGGCCACTTTCAGCTGGATTCTTGCCCCTGTTCCCTAAATAAACCAAGAGGATTCCGGGAAGTCGCCTTCCAGCAGGTGCATGTCATGGAGAGGAACAAGATGACTCTCCATGGGCCAAGCCTTATCATCGTGCCACCAGCTGCTACTGTCTAATACCAGACACGGAACACCCCCACGGCCTCTCCTGGCCTCCTGCCTTTCAGGAGACTCGCTGGCAGGAGTGTCTGTGCAGGTGCAAATGTGCCCTCAGGCACGTTCCCAGCACGAGGGTGCAGGTGGGAGGAGAAATACGTGCCGTGTGGTGATAAGCACAAGAGTGCTGCAGGAGCACACGGCCAGGACTTCAGACACGAGTGCCAGGGCCCCTCTCTGCGGTGCATGGAGCTGGGCTCTGAGGGCAGTGACAATGACTCTCGGGCAAAGGATTGCATTGTGCCGTTTTACGAATGAGGAAACTGAGGCTCGGGGAATTGATGTCACTTGTCCATGCTTACGTACCTAGAAAGCGGCCGAGCTGGGATTTGAAACCAGAATTTGGCATCCTTTACCCCCACCCCTGCCCCCAGACATGCCTCTCTTTGCATCGCTGTGAGATTCAATGAACAAATGACACCCCCCTCTGCTGAAAACCAAACTTTTCTGCATGCAACACCAGACCAACTCCTTCATAAAGAACAAATGATCTGCAAAGCTGGATCCTCAATGATGTTTGTGCCAGGGTGGTTTACAGCAGCCACAAATCAGGAAACAGCCTGGATATCCCAGCACAGACTTTAGTGAATCAGGAGATGGCCAAATAAGAGCGGCTCTGCAGCCATTAATCATGACGCCAAATAGAAACGTGGGAATTGTGTATGACGGTCTAATGTTGAATGAGAACCTCAAACTTAAAAATCAGCACACGAAGTTATCTGTGCACTGGGATCCCCAACTCTGCGGAAAGAAGGTCTGCAGGACCCCATGGAAGGGGATGCAGCTGCCTCCAAAGAGAACTCTTGCCTGGCTCCCAGCTCAGCCTTGTGGCACTGCCCACTGCAGCCTCCGGGCCTTGGCTTGGCGGGGAGCTGGCCCCCACGTGAAAGGGCTTTGAGCTAGGGAGGTCTAGGAGCCCCAGGGACTCACTGCTCCTGGGGCTCTCTGTGGCCCTCTCGCCTGTTCTTTGAGTTCAGGATCCGATCCTCAGAGGAGAGGTGCCCTGGGGAGGGGCCTTGGGCGGGGGGGCCCCCGAATGGGTGAGATGCTGCATGTCTTGGTCCTGACTGCTCAGCCCGCTCCTGCTTCCAGCCGGGAGCTCCCTGTGTTCCTCCTCCCGGTTGCCCCTCCCCTGCAACTACGAGGGGGTAGTAACAGCTCCCACCTCAGGAGTGCGGTGAGGAGTCGAGAGCCAGGCCAATGAGGCTGTCGGTGAATATTAACTGCTACTCTTTCTCGCTCCTGTCATTTTTAGCATCTCCATCCCCAGCCCCTGAAGCAGATGCTCAGGGAATGGATGTTTCGCCGGTGAGCAGACAGCGTCTGCAGCCACTGCAGCCTCTGCAAGAGGTGCGTGGTTTCCGTGGACCCTTCCAGGAGCCAGCCATACCTCCTTGCCTGACAATGTGGGCATAGCTCAGCCTGCCCCAAGGTGCCCCCGTCCACCCCCAGCCTTTCCCGGAGGAAATCCTCCCAGCTGGAGGCCCCTGGAAACTGGCAGAGGCCAGGTGGGAATCACAAACCCCCAGCTCCCTGATGCAAACACCACCCCTCCCTGATTCAGTAGCCCCACTCTCTGATCCAAACCCCCTCCCTGATTCAATCACCCCCTCCCTGATCCAAACCCCCTCCCAGATTCAGTCACCCCCTCCCTGATCCAACCCCCCTCCTTGTTCAGTCACCCCCTCCCTGATCCAACCCCCCTCCCTGATTCAGTCACCCCCTCCCTGATCCAACCCCCCTCACTGATTCAGTCACTCCCACCCTGATTCCGTTCACACCTCCGGCTTAATGGGGCCCCCTGGAAACTGGCATAGGTTGGGTGGGAATCACCACCCTCCTCCCTGACCCAATCACCACTCCCTTCCCCGATTCAATCATCCCCTCCCCGATCCAATCTCCCCCGCTCCCTGACTCAATCACCCTCCTTCCTTGATTCCGTTCACACCTCTGGCCTAATGGAGCTCCCTGGAAACTGGCAGAGGCTGGGTGGGAATCACCACCCCGCCACGGATTCTGTCCACATCTCCCTTAATGAGCCCCCTGGAAACTGCTGGGGGCGTGTGGGTCACACCTTTTCATTTGATTAAAGGAAAACACGGATCTGCCTGGCAGTGTTTGCTCACAAAGGTGCTTCTGTGAGCTGTGAACACACTGCCCTCCCACTGCAGGCTCTGCGGCAAGCTGACCGGGGAGTGGTGGTGGTGGGAGGAAGGGATCCCCCTGGAAGGACCCATATATGATTTGCTCGTCAGCAGCCACTCAAGGTGGAGGCCCAGGGCCCCGCGATGGGGTCAGGCGAGTCTAGGTTGACCCTGCCCGTGGCTGCTGGCCTCCAGGATGGCCCTGGGGGACCCTGCCTCCTGGTGTCTGTCCCGTACTGAATGAGGCTGCCCTGTGTCGGCAACAGGAGGCTGAAGGGATGGCTGTGTGTGACTTCTCGGGGGGTGGTTCAGCTTCCTTCTTGCTGCCTCTTGTACCACACACTCAGGGAGGTGGCTGCTGTATCATGAGGTCACTCAAGCAGGCGTGTGGAGAGGCCTACATGGTGAAGAGCAGACGCCGCTTCAGAAGCAGCTCTTTCAGCTCCGGTCAAGCTTCAGATGAGGCTGCAGCCCCACAACACTGTGGTTGCAACCTCAGGAGAGACCCCGAGCCAGAGCCACCCAGCCAGGCTGCTTCTGGATTCCACATTTACAGAAACTGTGACATAATAGATGTTCATTGTTTAAGCCACTAGGTTTCGCGGTAATTTGAAGACAGCAATAGAGAACGAATACACTGCCTCAGCCAGTTAGTAGCTGCATGATACTGGGAAACTCATCTCTCTGAGCCTCAGTTCCTCACCTGAAGATAAGAGCACCTGCTGCTAATGGATGTTATAAAAATTAAATAAGGGCCGGGCATGATGGCTCATGCCTGTGATCCCAGCACTTTAAGAGGCTGAGGTGGGCAGATCACTTGAGCCCAGGAGTTTGAGACCAGCTTGGGCAACATAATGAGACCCCATCTCTACAAAAAATCCAAAAAAAAGTAGCCAGACATGATGGTGCGTGCCTGTAGTCCCAGCTACTCAGGAGGCCGAGGTAGGAGGATCACCTGAACCTGGGAGTTTGAGGTTGCAGTGAGCTGTGATTGTGCCACTGCACTCCAGCCTGGGTGACAGAGTAAGACCCTATCTAAAAAAAATTATATAAGATATTCCAGGTAACATTCCTAGGACAGTGCCTGGAATGTGCCTGGACAGTGCCTGGAATTTACGGAACATTTGTTCAGTAAATATTTATTTTTGAGATGGAGTCCCACTGTCACCCGAGGTGGAGTGCAATGGCACAATCTCGGCTCACTGTAATCTCCACCTCCCAGGTTCAAGCGATTCTCCTGCCTCAACCTCCCAGGTAGGTGGGACTACAGGCATCCACCAGCACACCCAGCTAAGTTTTGTATTTTTGGTAGAGACAGAGGTTTCACCATGTTGGCCAGGCTGGGCTCAATAAATAGTTATCATCGCTGTCATAAAATATCTATATTGCAAAATGGGAAGAGTTCAAGATGATCTTAGTTCAACCCGGTGGGCTCAGGAATGCTTTGTGGGAAAAGTAACATGTGAATTGGCCTTTGAAAGAGAGGCAGGATTTGGGCCTGGGGCGATAGAGGACCAGTGTCCTCAGAGAGGGGACAGCATGGACAAAGGTGTGGAGGCTGAAAGGCCGGAGCTTGCTGAAGGCCATTCATACTCAGTTGGAGCTGGGGCCCAAATGTACGATGGGTGGGCAGCTGTGCAGGTGAATGGATCAGGCCAGGAGGTGCTGGAGTTAAGGGGTCTGGAACCTAGATGGAGGGAGCTCAGGAGCCTCTGGAGGGTTCTGTGTCAGCTGTGGCAGGCTGGAGCAGGGAGCTTCGAGGCTGTGGCACCATGTGGCAAGGCCATTCTGATTCTTGCGGGATACCTGGCCTGTGGTAGGCGTGCAGGGGCTGCCGGAGACATGGATAAGCAAGAGTCTTCTTACTCTTGAATCTGATCACCCTGATGCGTCAGCTCACGGATTCTCGCAGGATCAGATATGGCACAGACTGACTCACATTGGAAGAGCTGTTGGCAGAGATGCTGCTGCTGTCGGACCCACATACTCCACGAAGGCGGGAATCGAGCCACGGCAGGAGCTGACGGCACCCGTTCAACAGTCACCAGTCCTCCTTCCTCTCTTCGGACCCTGATCCGGTTCCCATTCCCATCGGCCCTGAGTAAGGGGCTATGGGGAGGTGGGCCCCAGAAGGCGAGTGCTGAGTGGTTGAGGCTCAGTGATGGCTTTGCTTTTTCAGAGACCCTGCCCATGAAGGTGAGGACAAATCCAAGAAGGTTTGTTTCACCACAAAACAAGAGATGCCTCGGGAGAAACAGCCCATTTTCCCCGGTGACCACAGTGTCGTGTGTGATGTCTGGAGTCACTGCAGCCCTCCTGTAGCCGTGAGGACGACAGGCAGATGGAGCCCGTGTGATCCTCAGCTGTGTGATCCACACTCACTTTATCTGAAGCCGCCTCCGCACTTCTGAGTCAAGACATCTTCCTTATTGCTGTGGTTGCTTTTAGTTTGGATTTTGTTACAGGTGAAGGTGCCTAAAGGTGGGGTGGGAGGAGGGAGGGAGTCCAGTGAACAACCAGCCAAGTAATCTGCTTCGTCAGTGAGGAAGTGAGGAGGCATAAGGGGACACCACTCAAGGACCGTTCCACCCAGCTGGGGTTCAAACCAGCACCCTACAATGCGGTTCAGAGTGAGTGAGCGTGGAGCCGTGAGGCCGAGGCGATGGTGAGGGGGCTCCCTAGAGGCAGCAAGGGAGGGGCAGGGGCAGCGCCCGGTCCAGGCACAGGAGGGGCAAGTTTGAGACAGGTGGACGCTGCATCACAGCTGTGGAAGCTGTGCCAGCTTCCTGATGCCAGGCTGGCATCAGGGCATGTGATGGCATCAGGGCATGGCATGGCGTGGGGTCCCCGTCTGCTCCATCGGGAAGGCGTGGAGCTGGACAGGGGCTGTGAGCTCTGTCCTCTGCCAACGCATCTCGAGTGCTGCCCACGCCCCAGGGGCCCCAGGGCCCTTTCCCGGCTCCATGAGTTCAAAAGTATTTTCATAATGATATGAAGATGCTGCCCGTGTTTCCTGTGTGTTGACATTTGCACAGACTGTACAGAAGACATGTGGGTAACACCGCTGCTGCCTTCACCCTGTGAGGCTGCGGCCCCAAACGGCCACCCCCAGGGGCTGTGTCCTCAGCCCGCAGTCGGGGGAGGGCCAGCTCCACCTAAGAATGCCCTTGATGGAGCAGCAACAAGGCTGTTCACGTCAAATCCCATCACGGGCGGCACACGCCACCCACTGCTGCTGCGTTCGGAGGCACGAGGCTTGTCCTGGGTAAGGCCCAAGCCCCTGTCAGAATCAGCTGCTGTTCATGGCCATTTTGACTGGAAAGAACCACAGACAGATGGAGGACAGCGACCCAGACTCGGGTGTTTGGCAGAACGGAGTGAGCCTGACAGTTCCAGAAAAACAGCCAAATGTATTTGTCCTCCTGTGGTACGATTTGACTTTCAAGAAAAAGTTAAGAGACTGAGATAAGCATGTTCACCTCTGTGAACTCAACAGCTGCCCAATACTTACAGAATTTGCTGATATCAGTGATCGTTATTAATTCATGTGAATTTTTACACAACACAACCCGTCAGTGTGTGCACACGCAGCTCAGTGAACCCACGTTTCTCACATGACCGATGTGGGGTGTGGCGGAATCACGTGTGGTGGTAAAAGACCGGTTCAGAGTGCAAAAGAGAACAGCTTTAACGTGCAGCAGGGAAAGCTCAGATTTGGTTTTAGACACCACGGTTCAGCAAACCTTTAAAAAAGTGGCACTCTTCCAGTTTTGGTGTCAAAGAATTCCCATGGTTACTGAAAAGGCAAAATTACAATACCCCTCCCCCGGGAGAAAAGGCTGTTACAATACCCCTCCCCCGGGGGAAGAGGCTGTTGCGGTACCCCTCCCCCGGGGAAAGAGGCTGTTGCGGTACCCCTCCCCCGGGGAAAGAGGCTGTTGCGGTACCCCTCCCCCGGGGGAAGAGGCTGTTGCGGTACCCCTCCCCCGGGGGAGAAGAGGCTGTTGCGGTACCCCTCCCCCGGGGGAAAGAGGCTGTTGCGGTACCCCTCCCCCGGGGGAAGAGGCTGTTGCGGTACCCCTCCCCCGGGGGAAGAGGCTGTTGCGGTACCCCTCCCCCGGGGGGAAGAGGCTGTTGCGGTACCCCTCCCCCGGGGGGAAGAGGCTGTTGCGGTACCCCTCCCCCGGGGAAAGAGGCTGTTGCGGTACCCCTCCCCCGGGGGAAGAGGCTGTTGCGGTACCCCTCCCCCGGGGGAGAAGAGGCTGTTGCGGTACCCCTCCCCCGGGGGAAAGAGGCTGTTGCGGTACCCCTCCCCCGGGGGAAGAGGCTGTTGCGGTACCCCTCCCCCGGGGGAAGAGGCTGTTGCGGTACCCCTCCCCCGGGGGGAAGAGGCTGTTGCGGTACCCCTCCCCCGGGGGGAAGAGGCTGTTGCGGTACCCCTCCCCCGGGGGGAAGAGGCTGTTGCGGTACCCCTCCCCCGGGGGAAGAGGCTGTTGCGGTACCCCTCCCCCGGGGGAGAAGAGGCTGTTGCGGTACCCCTCCCCCGGGGGAAAGAGGCTGTTGCGGTACCCCTCCCCCGGGGGAAGAGGCTGTTGCGGTACCCCTCCCCCGGGGGGAAGAGGCTGTTGCGGTACCCCTCCCCCGGGGGGAAGAGGCTGTTGCGGTACCCCTCCCCCGGGGGAAGAGGCTGTTGCGGTACCCCTCCCCTGGGGAAAGAGGCTGTTGCGGTACCCCTCCCCGGGGGAGAAGAGGCTGTTGCGGTACCCCTCCCCCGGGGGAGAAGAGGCTGTTGCGGTACCCCTCCCCTGGGGAAAGAGGCTGTTGCGGTACCCCTCCCCGGGGGAGAAGAGGCTGTTGCGGTACCCCTCCCCCGGGGGAGAAGAGGCTGTTGCGGTACCCCTCCCCCGGGAGGGAAGAGGCTGTTGCGGTACCCCTCCCCCGGGGAAAGAGGCTGTTACAGTACTCCACTATACATTATCGGTGTGAGGCCAGATTTTCTTCATATAGTTCAATCAAAACAACATATCACAGTAGACTGGATATGGAGGCACACAGGTTCCCCTCTGGCCCACGCAGCCAAGTGTTACAGTGACAGCGGACACATAAAATCATGCCCTAGTTTCCAGAGTTGTTTTGTTTTGGAATTTATAGATATCTTCATAAAAGATGTCGTTGGCCGGGTGCGGTGGCTCACATCTGTAATCCCAGCACTTTGGGAGGCTGAGACGGGCAGATCAAGAGGTCAGGAGATCGAGACCATCCTGGCTAACACAGTGAAACCCTGTCTCTACTAAAAATACAAAAAATTAGCTGGGCGCGGTGGCGGACACCTGTAGTCGCAGCTACTCAGGAGGCTGAGGCAGGAGAATGGCGTGAACCAGGGAGGCGGAGCTTGCAGTGAGCCGAGATCGCACCACTGCACTCCAGCCTGGGTGATAGAGCGAGACTCCGTCTCAAAAAAAAAAAAAAAAAACCAACAAAACGTGTTGTTTATGTTAACATTCAGTGAGTTTATTGTGGTTACTATTGACTTGATAAATATTTTTAGATAAATATTTTTAAATGTTCTCCAATTTCTTTTGAATTTGGTAAGTATCAATAACCATTACCGACATAAACAGAAGCTCTTGGGGTCCTGAATGACTTTTAAAATCTTTAATTCTAGCCGGGCGCGGTGGCTCACGCCTGTAATCTCAGCACGTTGGGAGGCTGAGGTGGGCAGATCACCTGAGGTCAGGAGTTCAAGACCAGCCTGGCCAACAAGGTGTAATTTCTACTAAAATTACAAAATTAGCCGGGCGTGGTGGTGGATGCCTGTAATACCAGCTACTCGGGAGGCTGAGGCAGGAGAGTCACTTGAACCTGGGAGGTGGAGGTTGTAGTGAGCCAAGATCACGCCACTGCACTCCAGCCTGTGCAAAAAGCGTGAAACTCTGTCTCAAAACAAATAAAAATTAAAAAAAATAAAATGTTTAATGCCTATGGGTACATAATTATCTGTGTCTATGGGGAACACGTGACGTGTTGATCACACCAGGGTAATCGGGGCCACTGTCACCTCGAGCCTTTATCATTTCTTTGTGTTAGGAGCATTCCAGTCCACTTTTCAGTTATTTTAAAATATGCAATAAATTCTTGTTAACAATAGTCACCCTATTGTGCTACCAAATATCTGATCTTATTCCTTCCATGTAATTATGTTTGTACCTATTAACCATCCCCTCACCACCCCCCTACTCCCCACCGCCCTTCCCAGCCTCTGGGAATATCTCCATCATTCTAGTCTCCATCTCCATAAGTTCCACTGTTTTCCAGCTCCCACATATGAACTGAATGATCTCTAAGACTGGGAAAGAGCCCTGAGACCCCACGAGAACAGTTGCTCTGGGGCCACAGGGAGCAGCTGCAGGTTGCAGGGCAGAGCTGGAGACAAGGCCATGGCTCATGAAGATGCCGACCTGGAGGCAGAGGCAGAGGACGTCGGGTGCCGCTGGGGCCATGCAGAGCCAGGACCATGGCTCTGGGAGACGGAGGTGGACGAGGCCGGGAGATACTGAGCGGGTGGCCACAGGATCCACGAGGGGTGGCAGATGTGTTGCGACAGAAGCAGGGCCCCACGATCCAGAGCCTCCTGGGGGGAGAAGTAAGAAAAGAAGGGTCAGCAGTGGGCAGAGACAGCGAGGGGCTGGCAGGAGGGCAGAGTGCACCCTCTGGAGGAGACCAGGCTCTGCCCATTGGGCCACTCAAAGTCATGGGTAGGGAGCGCATCTTCCAGTGCCCAGGGTCTTGCTGTGAAAGTAAGTGGGGTCCAACTGAAGCCCTCTAACTCCAGGAGCTCACGCCAAGCCCCGTCCACTGACCATGTCCACGCCTCACCCGTGTGCCCCCCGACCACATCCGTGCATTACCCGTGTGCCCCTCTGACCACGTCTGTGCCCCATGGGGCCAGAAAACAGCTGCTGATGCCCCAAAGCCCAGAGAAGTTCCTTGTGGCTTCATTTTCCCTCGTCTCTAGGAGGCTGGATCCAGGCCAGTTCTCCGTGGGCAGGAGGCTGCCCTCCCACCTGCTCCTCCACAGTCCTCATTTTGGACAATTGCATTTTTAAAACTTTAAATTATTACAAGTAATATACTCACTGTAAAGAAGACAGATGGAAAAACCCAGATAAACATAAACAGTCAAACACCCCAAACCACCCAGAACGCTTGCCTTGCCCCAGTCGTGCTCCCTGACACGCGTGTGCATGTACGTGAGCATGGTGCGTATGTGTGCAGGTCATGGATGTTCGTGTGCGTCTTTGCACTCTCTTCCACCCCTGCGTCTTCCTTTACTGCCTAAGGCCCATGTCATGGGGACAGGAATTTTGGCATTTGACCTGGAAGCGTTTGCCCCACCTGGGCTTGGAGAGAGTTCTGGGCAGGCCCTCAAAGTTTGCAGGAGCCTCCAGAGGGCCTGACCGTAGCTTAGATGCTGAGTGCATTGCACACGCACACAGAGCCATACACACAAGCTCCGGGCCATTGGCCCCGAGGCCGACCTCCCTCCCAGAAGGTGACGTCAACAACGCTGACTGTTGGGGCCACACACTGGACACGGGCACGATGGGGGCCACGCGCTGGACACGGGCACGAGGGGGGCGGGCCCAGATCATGGGCACGATGAGGGCCATGTGCTGGACATCGGCACGATGGGGCCATGTGCTGGACACAGGCACAATGGCAGCCACGCGCTGGACATGGGCACGATGGGGGCGGGCCCAGATCATGGGCACGATGGGGGTGAGCCCAGATGGAAAGAATGCCAGGCATGGGCATGTGGTGACCCCAGGCCTGGACATGACACGCTCTCCCCACAAGGAAAGAGACGCACAGGCCTCGCTGGGCGGAGTTGTCCAAGTGCCAGACACATGTGTCCCGGCAGCTGGCACTGGCTTGGCACAGACCCGGCTCCCAGGGTCTGGCTTCTACATGTGGAGCGGCGGGCACAGATGCCAGCTCTGCACAGCAGCTGCGAGGGGAGGCCTGGCTGCCGCCTTCTGGGACCTATGGTGGGGACGCTTTTCCTGGAGCCTAGAAACCTTTCCAGATCCTCCCTCTTCCCACCACACTCCTCCTCCTCAGGCCCTCCTTCCTCCCTCTGCTTTCTCCAGCAGTCCCGAGCCCCACAAGGTCCTCTCATCACTCAGCGCCAGGCCTGAGGCACCACCTGCACAATCAGAGCAGTGGCCTCTCCCCATGGCTTGTGCCAAATCAGGGCAGACACAGCATTGTCTGGGTGTGTGGGCCGAGGTCCTGTTGGCTGCATTGTTCCCAGGGTCTCCAAGCCTCCATTTAGACCCCAGAGAGTGAGCCAGCTGGTGCCACCAGTGGGAGGGACCCAGAGTTTCTGAGAAACCCAGAGGCTGGAGGCCTGTGTCCGAGCTGCAACAGCTCCCAAGGGAGAGAACCCTGGGACATGGTGAGGCCCCACGTGAGCCAGGGAAGGCCTGGCCTCGAACAGCAGAAAACACAGAAGCACCCGCCTAATGGAGTTCCCGCAAAGTCGCGCTGTATTCCAGCAGACGGGCCCGCCAGCCCAAGGAAGTCACACGTGCGCCCCTCTGTGCTTGGCCCTGTTGGGTTTATGCACCTCCTCCCAGATGTCCTGCGGCTGGCACAGATCTCTGGTGCGGGCATCGCCTGGCTCTGCAGGAGGGCGGAGGAGGGGTGCCGGGGAGCATGTGGCATGTCTGGGTGTAGTGGTGGCATTTTAGGAGCCAGAGTCCAGGGCCCGGGCGGGACAGATTTGGGGGTGTTTCGGGAGCAAGGTGGATTCATCCATCCACACTGCCTCACCAAAAACAGAGGGTACATGAGGTGAGGACGAAGATGAAAACGGGGAGAAAATGGGGGGTGAGGGTGGGCCCGCAAGTAGGCAGGCCTTGAAACCATCTCACCACAGAATGTCCTCGGGGTGCCCCGGCCACGGGTCCAGGAGGAGCCACCTCCAGGGGAGGCTGGCTTTCCACAGGCCCTAGGTTCCTGGGGCTGGGAACCCAGACGACGGGACTGAGCCACTGAGGGGGACAGAATCCATTTGGTGGAGTGACATGAAGCCCTGGAAATAAAACCGGGTGGCTTTTTAAAAATAAATAACATAAAAAATACACTTAACATAAAAATGACACTAAGGAGGAGAAAAACCATACAGCCATCTTGTATACAAGGGGGTCACATTCCCAGACCCCCAGGGATGCCTGAACCCCACATATCCGATGTGTTTTTGATCTGACAGCAGAGGCAGCTCCTGGAGGACTCACCGGTGCGGAGCGTCCACAGCGTGGACTCGCTGGACAAATGGAGGATCCCCTCCCGGGCGGACAGGGCGGGAGGTGTCAGAGTTCATCAAGCCGTGCATAATTTAAAACTTATGAATTGTTTAGTTTTAGAATTTTCCATTTAATATTTTTGGAGCTCTGTTGACCATGGATAACTGAAACTGCAGAAAAAGGGAAACCCTGGGCCCGGCACACCGGCTCACGCCTGTCATCCCAGCACTGTGGGAGGCTGAGGCAGGCAGATCACCTGAGGTCAGGAGTTTGAAACCCGCCTGGCCAACGTGGAGAAACCCTGTCTCTACTAAAAGTAAAAAAAAAATTAGCCGGGCGTGGTGGTGCATGCCTGTGATCCCAGCTACTCGGGAGGCTGAGGCAGGAAAATCACTTGAACCCGGGAGGCCGAGATTGCACTATTGCACTCCAGCCTGGACAACAGAGCAAGACTCTGTCTCAAAAAAACAAAAAGAAAAACAAACCCTGCTTAAGCGGGGATGTCTGTATTTTCCTGTTTCTTTTTCAGACCTTCATGTCCTTGGAGATACTGTCGGAGCTTCCTGGCAGCGTTGACCAAGCTGCCCCTCCCTTCCTGACAACCTTGGCCTCATCGCTCACCCTCTGGGCTCATCCTGCTGCGGGGTAACCAGGAGAGCCCCGGGGCAGGTGCCAGCCTTCAGGAGGAGCTCTGCCTCCTCTGTTCCAAAATCGGGGGAGGGTCCTTCCCACCAAGGGTGCCAGTCTTCCTTTCATCCAGGGCTCCTGGTGTCTCTGAAAATGCTGGAGATTTCAGTGAAACCCCAGAGGGGGCTCGATCCGACCTGAGGTGAGCCCTGGAGTTTGCCAGGGGTGGCTTATAGAGGCCCTCCGACAATGGAGTTCACCGGGGCGGCTTATAGAGGCCCCCCGACAATGGAGTTCACCGGGGCGGCTCGTAGAGGCCCCCCAGTAATGGAGTTCGCCAGGGGCGGCTCGTAGAGGCCCCCCGACAATGGAGTTCGCCAGGGGCGGCTGGTAGAGGCCCCCCGACAATGGAGTTCGCCAGGGGCGGCTGGTAGAGGCCCCCCGACAATGGAGTTCGCCAGGGGCGGCTGGTAGAGGCCCCCCGACAATGGAGTTCGCCAGGGGCGGCTGGTAGAGGCCCCCCGACAATGGAGTTCGCCAGGGGCGGCTGGTAGAGGCCCCCCGACAATGGAGTTCGCCAGGGGCGGCTCGTAGAGGCCCCCCGACAATGGAGTTCGCCAGGGGCGGCTCGTAGAGGCCCCCCGACAATGGAGTTCGCCAGGGGCGGCTGGTAGAGGCCCCCCGACAATGGAGTTCGCCAGGGGCGGCTCGTAGAGGCCCCCCGACAATGGAGTTCGCCAGGGGCGGCTCGTAGAGGCCCCCCGACAATGGAGTTCGCCAGGGGCGGCTTATAGAGGCCCCCCGACAATGGAGTTCGCCAGGGGCGGCTTATAGAGCTCCCACCCCCACAGCGGTCTTGCCAATGGCTGCGCCCTCTTTCAATTTCCAATGAGGGTCCGAGAGGTGCCGCGGTCACAGTGATGAAGGTGGGACCTGGGACTGGAGCCCAGCAACCTCCTGGACCCAGCCCTGCGAAGTGTCCTTGAGGCAGGAGCTGGGCTGGCTGCATGGGGGCCACCTACAGAGTCATTTCTGGCTGCCTTGCCCCGGGTCCGGGGCCCGACTCCATGAGTGTGGCTGACGGAGGCTCCAGGACGTCCTGCAGGGGGTGCAGACACGCCGGGGGCGCCCATCTCAGCGTCACTGAGTCCTGGGGCCTCTATCCTCCTGGAGAACCCCAGGGAAGCCGAGTGATGCCACACAAGGGCAATGTTGAATTTTGTTACTTTTAAACGTAGTTTATTTGCAAGCATGGACGTTATTATTGGTGACAAGTGACTTGGGAATAGTAGGTGGGAGCCCCTGTGGGCTCCATCCTCTGCTTCTTCTGTTCCTTGGCCGACAGGAGGCCAGCCTCCCTGTGGGCCCGCCCGGGTTTCCTAGGCCTTCCTCCCTGGGTCCCCAAACCCCTGACAAGTCACTCTGGGCTCCAATCCTCAACTGCCAACTTGGAGCTTTGCTTTGGGGACTGAGTTGGCTAACAGCTCGTCGGGAGCCTGGAGACCTGAGGCCATGGGTGTCCCTCCACGGGCTGGGCTGGGAGTGGAGCCTCCTCAGGATGTCTCCTCTGCTCACAGGTAGCACAAGCAGGCCCCAGGGCAATGGTTCACATCTGTGCTTGTATGAGTGTGCACGTGCTCACACAATCAAATGCTCACACACAGACGTGTGCACTCACACACGGATACAGCCAGACACCCATATTCCACATGTGCACACACTCACACAGCCACATATGACACCAACCACATGCCCACACGCAGATATGCATGAGCACACACAGACAGTGGACAGACATGTGCGTGCACAGCCACCTGCCCACACACACACACACATTCACATGCACAGTGAACGCACACCACGTACGCTTGTATGCCTGTGTTCACACACCTATGTACACGAGTACACATGCTCACAATGGACAAAGCCACACACACTAACACATGCAGACACTCACATGCACTCATGCATCCGCTCACAGTGACACATGTCACATGTACACATGTGCACACACACGTGCTCATATGGACACACCCACATACATTCACAGACGTGCTCAGTGTACACACTCGCATGCCTGCACATACACAATGTATGCACACACATGTATACACCCTCACACGGTCACACGTGCACACACGTGCTCATATGGACACACCCGCATACATTCACAGACGTGCTCACAGTATACACACTCACATGCACGCACACAATGTATGCACACACATATACACCCTCACACAGTCACACATGTGCACACACACGTGCTCATATGGACACACCCACATACATTCACAGACGTGCTCACAGTGTACACACTCACATGCGTGCACATACACAATGTATGCACACACACATATACACCCTCACACGGTCACAGGTGCACACACACGTGCTCATATGGACACACCCACATACATTCACAGACGTGCTCAGTGTACACACTCACATGCATTCACATACACAATGTATGCACACACACATATACACCCTCACACGGTCACACGTGCACACACACGTGCTCATAGGGACACACCCGCATACATTCACAGATGTGCTCACAGTGTACACACTCACACGCATGCACACAATGTATGTACACACACATATACACCCTCACACAGTCACACATGTGCACACATTAACACACCCTCGCACTCGCATGCATCAACTCAGCTCTCACCATGAACCCACTGCAGCTGGCAGCACAAAAGGTAAAATTAATCGGCAGCCGGGAGGGTGGGTTGCAGTCACGTGGCCGTCAGCCGCAGACATTGCATTTCAATCAAGGGTGCAGAGTTGTTGGGAGGTGCCCCGGCTGGAGGCCTGTCTTTTGCTCCACTGGGCCCAGCACAACAATGAGCCCAGCAAGAGCGTCAGTGGCGAGGGCGGTGCTCTCACTGGTCTCCTTGGCCTCCTGGCTGCAGCCACACTGGGCCAGACCTTCTTTGTTCAGCAGGCACTGGTGACGCCTTCTCGACGCGGACGTGAGGTGTGTTTACACACTCAGTGACCTGGGCTGGACATAGCTACGGCAGGTACCCGGTAGCAGGGATGAGGCCTCTTGGGCTGGCCGTGACACCCTCCCCTGCAGCTCCAGCTGCCTGCCTGGGAGGAGGGGCTGGCCTGGGTCTGTGACAGCCACCCAGCAGCACTGCAGGGCCATGGGGCTCAGAAAATGCAGAGGCATCCCCCGCCCTGCCCAGGCATAGGATTGGCTGAGGCATCCTGCCTTCAGCCGGGTCCACACGTGACACGTCCACACGTGACAGGCCCACAGACGACAGGACCACACAACAGGTTCACACGTGACAGGTCCACACGTGACTGGTGCATGCATGACAGGTCCACACGTGACAGTCCACACGTGACAGGTCCACATGTGACAGGCCTACAGATGACAGGACCACACGACAGGTCCACACGTGACTGGTGCATGTATGACAGGTCCACACGTGACAGTCCACACGTGACAGATCCACACGTGACAGGCCCACAGACGACAGGACCACACGACAGGTTCACACGTGACAGGTCTACACGTGACTGGTGCATGTATGACAGGTCCACACGTGACAGTCCACACGTGACAGGTCCTCACATGACTGGTCCACACATGACAGGTCCTCACGTGACAGGTCCACACGTGACAGGCCCACAGACGACAGGACCACACGACAGGTCCACACGTGACTGGTGCATGTATGACAGGTCCACACGTGACAGTCCACACGTGACAGATCCACACGTGACAGGCCCACAGACGACAGGACCACACGACAGGTTCACACGTGACAGGTCCACACGTGACTGGTGCATGTATGACAGGTCCACACGTGAGAGTCCATACGTGACAGATCCACACGTGACAGGTCCTCACGTGACAGGTCCACACGTGACAGGCCCACAGATGACAGGACCACACGACAGGTCCACACGTGACTGGTGCATGTATGACAGGTCCACACGTGACAGATCCACACGTGACAGGCCCACAGACGACAGGACCACACGACAGGTTCACACGTGACAGGTCTACACGTGACTGGTGCATGTATGAGAGGTCCACACGTGACAGTCCACACGTGACAGGTCCACACGTGACAGTCCACACATGACAGGTCCTCACGTGACAGGCCCACAGACGACAGGACCACACGACAGATCCTCACGTGACAGGTCCACACGTGACAGGTCCTCACGTGACAGGTCCACACGTGACAGGTCCACACGTGACAGGTCCTCGTGACAGGTTCACATGTGACAGGTCTTCACGTGACAAGTTCACACATGACAGGTCCACACTCAACTGGTGCATGTATGACAGGTCCACACGTGACAGGTCCTCACGTGACTGGTGCATGCATGAGTCGTTCATGACATGGCTCATCCATGACATGACTGGGCCGTGTCAGTCCCAGCTCCCTACGGAATTTCGCTGACTGTGCTGGCTTCCAAGGCCGTGGCGCCTGCTCCCTGCGACACGGCTGCTGTGAGGACTCCTGCACACATACTACTCAGGAAAGGCAGCAACAGGGTGTTGTGAGCACACAGTGTCTGTCTTGGGAAGAAAAACGTAGGTTTTCTGGGAGGGAAATAGGTGGGTGTAGTTGTTTCCCGCATGGGCCGTGACCAAGTGCCACACGTGGGTGTGGAAATGGTGCTGCCGTTCTCCACAGCAGCAGCTCTCATACCCGCTGGCGTCCTGCAACTCGATTCAGTCCCGTCACCACCCGTGTGAAAGATCTCAGCGTGTCACACCCTCTCTAAATAGAAGCTGGAGGCCACGAAGGAGGGGTCCGCACATGTGGGGAGCGCCCGTGAGAAGAACCATGTGAGAGGCCGGGTGCGGCGGCTCAAACCATGTGAAGGCCGGGTGTGGCGGCTCACGTCTGTTATCCCAGCACTTCGGGAGGCTTAGGCAAGTGGATTGCTTGAGCCCAGGAGTTTGAGACCAGCCTGGGTTGGTCCAGGTCGAGACCCCGTCCCTATAAAAAAATTTAAAAATTAGCTGGGCGTGGTGGTGCCCACCTGCAGTCCCAGCTACTCAGAAGGCTAAGGTGGGAGGATTGCTTAAGCCCAGGAGGCAGAGGCTGCAGTGAGCTGAGATCCTTCCACTGCACTGAAGCCGGGGTGACAGAGTGAGACTCTGTATAAAAAACAAAAAAAAAAAAAAAAAAAAACGAGATTCCTCGGGGCCACCGCACTCCAGGTAAGTGCCCTGCACAAAGGCAGCTGCCTGACACCTTGACAGCCAGGGAAGGCCACTCCCGATGCGCCTGGCCGTGCAGGACCCGGCTCTGCTGTGCCTCTGAGCCAGCCTGCGCCAGCGTTGTCCTGCACCTCACCTCCTGCTTTGGGAAGCCCAGGAGGACACCCATCGGAAGCCACCACAGTCAGGCTTGGCGCGGGGCGGAGGCTGCGGTGAGGGTCACGACTTCAGCTGACTGGGGGGGCCACACGGAGCCTTGGGCTCTGTGCTTCACCCGCTTTTCTTACTCGTCCTCCCAGCAGCCCTGCGCGCTCAGAAGCCTCAGGGCCTCCACTTCCAAGAGAGGAAATGGGTGCCAGGTTGCCCGGCCCAGGCTCCCGGTGTGACAGACGTCACTTATCATCTGTGATAGTGATAGGGACCACTCTCACCCACCAGCACCCACCCCTGGGCCAAGCACCCAGTCACTTGCAGGTGCAGCTCTCCTGGGTGCCCGGTGACATGGTGGGGAAACAGATTCAGGGAGATTTGCAGACTCGGGGGGGCCCCAGCAGGTGGCCAGGAGGTTGGTGGGTGGAGGGGAGCTGTGTCCGGTCACGGACTGGGCCACCTGCTATCGGTGTAGGGACAGGGCCCACTCCTCCCTCTCCCTGGCTCCCCATGAAACTGGCCCCTGGGAACACCTCTGATCCTTGTGTTTTTATTTAAACGCTCCCCAGAGCACATTTGTCTCGAGTACCAGGGGCATCTGGATTCAATCAAAACGACAGCTGCGCAGTCTGGCCCCGGCCATTCCAGAGTGGGCGTGGAGGCAGCCAGTCTGCTGCAGCACAGCCATCCTTGTACCCCCTCCCCAGGTCCTGCTGGGCCCTTGGTGCCTCGGTGTCCCTTCCTACACGGCTCCCCACTGTCCCCGAGGAGCCAGCCAGCCCCCAGCACCTCCTGTCCTTGTAGACCACAGAGTACGAGGAAAGAAACGCGTAGAGCCAGCTCCGGCCAGCGACAGTTGAGACTGATGGTGCCTGAGTGGGAGAGAGAACAATAAACCCGGAACTGAGGTCTTTTCCGAGACAGCACTGGGCTTAGGGATTTACACAACATGACCCCATTCAACTCCACAAGCCCATAAAGAGGGGCCCTGACTTCCCTGCTTTACAGCTGAGGAAAGTGGAATGGGCAGGTCAGGGTGTGGTGGCCCCAGCTGGGAGCACTTTCCCCTGCCGGCCCAGGAGGTAGGAAGAGAGCGGAGCCAGGAACACCGCAGCAGAGCCCAGGACACCCGTGGGGTCCAGAGTCGGGAAAGGAACCGGGAGGGGGCGGCAGAGGTGCGGAGGGGAGAGGGGTGTTGAGGCCTGGGCTCACTTGCTCTGTGATCTCCAGGAAGGCCCCGGCCTCACTGAAGCTGAGTTTACTCATCTGTAAAATGGGATGAACGTTGGCACCAACCGCATAGGGCAGGAGGATCAAATGAGAAGGTCGGGAGGGATGCAGGCCCCCGCGCAGCCAACGCCGTGTCTGTCTTTCCTCTGTCTCTCGCGGAGGCTGGGTTGGCTGACTGGAGAAGAGAAGCTGGGGAGAGCAGCCGGACCCAGTGCTCACCCGGCTGCCCTGACCTCCAGGAGCATTTCCCGGAGGATACAGGCGACCTCGCTCCTGTTCCATCTGTGGGGACGAGTAAGCAATGTGGTGGTGGCTCTGCCCAGAGTGAGCACTGTCCTGGAAGCCTGCACCCTGAGGCTGGTTCCCGATGGTTCTGCCTTCCCCAAAGCGGCCGTTCCTACCAGGCCGGTTCCCCTGCGGAAGCTCCCAGTGAACACCCGAAGCCTCTGCCACACCCCTCAGTCACAGCCCCCGAGACCGGGTAGGTTTGCCTGTGAGCTGGGCGGGTGCCCCAGGAGGGCAGACCTGGACTCCAGCAGCAGAGGAGAAGAGATGTGGCGCCAGGGGGGCAACCAGTGGAGCCACAGCAGGCAGGCAGATGTTATCCAGAAAAGCAAACCCAGGCAGAGTGGTGGGCAGCATAGCTCAAATCCAGGCTTTTCACCCCAAGTCCAGAATGTTCTGCTTTGAGGCAGAGGGAGCAGGCGAGGCAAGGGTGCTGGCGGGGGCGAGGGTGGCGTTGGGGGGTTGAGGACGGCGGCGGGGGGGTGAGGGCGGCGGCGGAGGGTTGAGGGCGGCGGCGGGGGGGTGAGGGCGGCGGTGGGGGGGCGAGGGCGGCGGCAGAGGGGTGAGAGTAGCTGTGGAGGGTTGAGGGCGGTGGCGGTGGGGGTGAGGGCGGTGGGGGTGGTGAGGGCGGTGGTCAGGGGTGAGGGCGACAGTCGGGGCTGAGGGTGGCAGCAGTCAGTGGTGAGGGCGCTGGTGAGGGCAAGGGTGGTGGTGCGGGGTGAGGGCGGCAGCGGGGGTGGTGAGGGTGCTGGTGGAGGGCAAGGACGGCGGTGGGGGGGGCAAGGGGGGTGGGGGTAAGGGCCATGCCCCTTGCTGCACCGAGGGACCCTGGCACACCTTGGAGGGATCCCCCTCCCACCAGCCAGCAGCACCCCTAGGGTGCCCGGCTGTCCCTGCTTGAGTCCTGTAGACTCTGGCCCATCAGGGGCCACATGTGGCTCTGCTCAGCCTGGGGGACGAGCTCATGGTAGACAGGGAGGGGTACGGGCAAAGACGCCCCCAAACTGCCCGCATGGGGAGAGAGCCTAGCTGGTGGGTGGGATGTGTGGCTGGAAGATGTGGGCTGCAGGCAGGCCCCACTGGTGCAGCTGGAGTTCAGGCTCCCCAGAGCCAGATTCCAGTTGTTGAGTCTCCCCCTGAGACCTTGCTCCATTCCCAGGCAGACCCTCCCACCCTGGCCCACTTATAGATGCCCTTCAAGGTACAGCTTAAATCTCGCCTCCTGCCTCAGACAGCTCGGGCTGCTATAAGAAAGGACCACAGGCTTGAGGGCTTATACACAGCAGACCTCTCTGTCTCACAGTTCTGGAGGCTGGAGTCCAAGATCAAGGTGCTGGCATGGTTAGGTTCTGGTGAGGGCCCGTTTCCAAGCTGCAGATGGCCAGATTCTCGCTGTGTCCTCGCATGACGAAAAGAGGGCTGGTAGCTCTCTCGGCTCCCTTTCATGAGGGGAGCGGTCTCATTCACGAGGGTCCACCCTCATGACTTAATCACCCACCAAAGGCCCCACCTGATACCATCACTCTAGGGATAAGGATTTCAATATATGAATTTGGGGAGGACAGAAACATTCAGTCCACTGCACCTCCTGCATAATTCCAACTCCTTCCAGTGGGGGTGCACCCTGTGCTCTGAACTCAGCCTCTTCCCCCAATTTCGTGAGATACTGTGTGAAGCAGCATGGCTTCATGGAGCAAGACAGCGCAGCAGCTGTGGACGTGGGCTCTGGACATGGGCTCCAACTGGAATGTGTAGCCCCGAGTCCCTGCTCTGCCACTTACTGACTGTGTGGTCTTAAGCAAGTTACTTTCTCTCTGCTTCACTGTCCTCACTCGCAAAATGGACACAGTCATTGGCTTATTGTGAGAATTAAATGAGTTAATATGTATAAACTGTCAAGAACAATGCCACCACAATCATCATCATCACCATCACCACCATCATCATCACCATCATCACCACCACCACCATCATCACCATCATCATTGCCATCATCACCACCACCACCATCATCACCATCACCACTATAATCATTGCTATCATCATCATCATCACTGCCATCAACATCACCACCATCATCATCACCATCATCACCATCACCACCATCATCATCACCATCATCACCACCATCATCATCACCACCATCACCACCATCATCATCATCACCATCACCATCATCATCATCGTCACCATCATCACCACCATCATCATCACCACCATCATCACCATCACCACCATCATCATCATCACCATCATCATTACCATCTCCACCATCATCATCACCGTCATCACCACCATCATCATCACCATCACCACCATCATCATCACCATCACCACCATCATCATCACCACCATCACCACCATCATCATCACCACCATCATCATCACCATCATCACCACCATCATCATCACCACCATCATCATCACCATCATCACCACCATCATCATCATCACCATCATCATCACCATCACCACCATCATCATCACCATCATCACCACCATCATCACCACCATCATCACCACCATCATCATCATCACCATCATCATCACCATCACCACCATCATCATCACCATCACCACCATCATCATCACCACCATCATCATCACCATCATCATCGTCATCATCACCATCATCATCATCGTCACCATCACCACCATCATCATCACCACTATCATCACCACCACCATCACCATCATCACCATCCAGGTTGAATTTCCAGCTCCTTCTCTACTAGCTGCATGGCTTCAGGTGGGCTACTAAACCTTTCAGTACCTCGGTCTCCTCTGTGAGTGGAGGTAACAATGCTTCCACTCCCAGGTACCTCTGAGGATGAACGTGGCTAACCTGTGTCCCTGATACGACAGTGCATGTGGGTAGTCACTTCCTTGCACCAAGAACATGCGCAGAGTATCACCTCATTTGGTCTTCTCAAGGACCTGGGGGGTGGAAGTATTCCTATCCCTATTTTACAGATGGAGAAACAGGCTTGGGTAATGCAGGATTCTGCCAAGGCCTCAGAGAGGTCTGGAGGAGCTTGGAGAATGCCCAGAACCACCTGTGGCTGGACTCTGTCCCTTCCTCTCTTCTCGTCGGACCCACCCCCTCCATCAGCAATTTTCACTTCCAAGCACGCAGCAGAGCCCTTGGGGAGCTGCAGCAATGCTGATGGGATGGGTCTGGCTGGAGCTTGGCTCCAGAACCTCCCCTGGCTTCCCAGGGCCGCTGAGCGAGCTGAGTTGAGACAGAGGCCACCGACCCCTCTCAGAGCCTCCTGCAGTGCCTGGCACTGGGGAACTGTCATGACTAGCTAGAGCCTGGGCCAGTGGTTCCTGTGTGGGAAGGGGTCCTGACAGTACAGCAGGGGAAAGGGGGTAAGGGCTGCAGTGGGTCCTGCTGAAGTCCAGCCTCCAGCCCTGGGGAGAGGGTGTCTCCCTCAGGAGCCCCCGGGCAGGCAGATTAGGGGCAGGGCTGCTGGCACCGGGCCCAGCTGCTCTGGGCAATACGTTTTGCAAGCAAGAGTCCGGGAACAGGACACATGAGCTGGTGCACAGACGTGACGTGACGCACACCAGGAAGGGTATCCTGGGCAGCTGGGGTTGCAGGGTGTGGCACTGCTGTGGTGTCACAGGTGTGGCCCAGCCAGACCCCCAGGGATCCCCCCCAGGGAAGGTGTGGCTTGCAGGGACCACATCTGGACCCGGCTCTGCCTCTCCCTGCAAGCCACGCATGCTCCCTGGGGGGATCCCTCCCCCACATCTTGTTTTAGCCACAACACTCACCGGGTGACCTCCCTGCAAAAAACTAGAAAAAATTCTCAGTGAATGAGCCTCCCCGGGCCACTCTTTCTCCATGTCCTCACTGGCTGTGTTACCTCCACTCTCAGAAGGGGACACTGAGGCTCAGAAAGGTCCAGCAGCTTGCCCAGGGCCACACAGCAAGCCCGCATCAGGACAGGGCCAGCCTCTGCTCCTGGTGTGTCTGTCCAGAACTCGGGTAGCCACATAACATGGCTCTGCAAATGTTTCTGGAAAGTGGCGATGAGGCAGCAGGTCTGTGTCCACACTGCATGTAGTGGGAGGAGAAGGGCCACAGGTCTTGGGGCCAGGCTGGGCTGTACCCGCTCCTGAGTTTGACCCCACCATGGCCTCCCCACCGCCTCCCCTCCCGGATTCACGGTGAATTCCACAAACATTTCCTGCTCACCTGAGTGACAAGCACCTCGAGAGAAAACGACACAGGGGCTTAGGTGGGCAGGGACAGCAATCCACAGTTGCCCGCAGACACAGAAGCCGGGTGAGAGGGGCTCCTTGAAAGGCAGGTCTGGAGAGGCAATTCCGGAGGAGCTTCCAGCTGACGGGGAAGCCCCGGCCTGTCTGGTGACGGCTCACAAGCCATCCAGCCAGGGTCGGGGGACCAGGAGGGACACGGCTCACAGCCCGTCCAGCCAGGGTCGGGGGACCAGGCGGGACACGGCTCACAGCCCGTCCAGCTAGGATCAGAGGGACCAGGAGCGACATGGCTCACAGCCCGTCCAGCCAGGATCGGGGGTACCAGGAGGGACACGGCTCACAGCCCTTCCAGCCAGGATCAGAGGGACCAGGAGGGCCCACCCCACGCTGAATGTGGGCTGACTGGAGCACTCTGAGAGGACGGGGCGGGGGCTGCTGCTTTGCACCGGTGTCCAGAGGGCCTGCCCGGCTGCTCAGTCAGGACACCATGGTGCTTAGCCCCTCAGCTGCATCGGGGCCGAGGCTGCAACTCCCCTTCCCGACGTGCATTTCATTCACACATCGCCAGCCCTGGGAGAAGTCCCGAGAGAAACAGTGTTCCGTGTCGGGCGGTTCGGGGAACACCAAACGCTGTAACCTCCCCTCCCGCCCCCTTGAGGGGTCTGTCATGTGTGTGGACGAGTCCCATGGACGGAAACCCGTCACTGCGTTGGACCCAGATTCCTGGACGTGTCTGACTTGAGCCCTTTGTGTAGACCACAGACCGAGGCAGTGGAGGCCGCCAGGCTCTTGGCTCCAGGGCCCCCCTCACTCCGTCCCCCTCTTGACTCCACTGTGACCCCTCTGGGCCCGGCTCTCCCTCTCCCTGCAGGCCACGCATGCTCATCACCCTCCCAGAACTGCTCACCACCCTCCCGAAACTGTGTGCTGAGGCCCCTGCTGAGCCAATGCTCTGCCGCCGCCGCCATCCTGAAATGCTTAATACTTCTTAAAGAAAGGCCCACATTCTCATTGTCTTCGTCTTTTTTGTTTTGTTTTGTTTGTTTGAGACAGGATCTCACTGTGTCACTCAGGCTGGAGTGCAATGGCTTGATCTTGGCTCACTGCAACCTCCGACCCCCAGGCTCAAGCGATTCTCCCACCTCAGCCTCCCCAGTAGCTGGGATTACAGACACTCCACCATGCCTGGCTATTTTTTTGTATTTTTAGTAGAGACGGGGTTTCACTATGTTGCCCAGGCTGGTCTTGAACTCCCGACCTCGTGATCCTCTCACCTCGGCCTTCCGAGGTGTTGGGATGACAGACGCTCCACCATGTGCCCACACGTTTTCATTTTCTATGGACCCTGCAGATGACATAGCTGACTCTGCCTCTGTGCCTCGGTTTCCTGTCCTGAAAAGGGGAGGGGTTAGTAAAAAGGACAGCTGCCTCTCAGGGTGCTGAGTGAAGACTCGTGGAGTGCTGAGAACAGGGGCCCTGGCCACCAGACCCTACCCACGGCAGCCATGCCCCCAAGAGGCCTCCGGGGAACCTGGAAGCCCAGGTGGAAACCCATCCCTCGGGCGCCAAACGCTCCCTCTGATTGGCCGCAGAATCAACGCTCCCTCTGATTGGCCGCAGAATCAATGCTCCCTCTGATTGGCTGCAGAATCACTTCCTCCCTGTGGGCTGGCAGCCTGGGGGCAGGGTGGGGGTATCTCCCGCACCCCTAAGGGTGTAGCCCATCTCTCCTCTGCTGTGGACACTCAGCGCCCACCCCAGGTGCCTGGACACCACCACCACCCTGGACACGGCTGCCTGGAAGAAGACGGGTTCCCACGCCACCCTTGAGAAATTTGCCTGGTGGGCCCACCCGGCCCTTACCTGCCACGCCCGGCACAGACCAAGCAATTTCACTTCCCAGTCCCCTGGGTGGGTGGCAGCAGGCAGGGTGGGTGGAATGTTCCAACGCCCACACACTGCACACTTCCGTTCGGGGCAGCTGGGCAGGGTGGCGTCTGGGAGCCTGAGCCCCTCAGAGTCCAAGGAGCCCAGAGAGGGCCCAGCTTCCGCCATCGGGGGACGGCTGGGGACAGCGCCTCTGCTGTCACGGCCTGGAGTGCCGCTGAGCCCCAAGGGCAGATCCCGAGTGGAGGACACTGCACAGCCCTTCTGAGCCTCCTCTCCACATGCTGTGGGTGGTGGGCTGGGCCCCGGGAGCTCTAAGCCAGGCCCTGGTCTGTGACACCCTCCTCGGGCCACCAGACAGAGCAGGGTTGATTTGCAGAGCAAGCAAAGCCTCAGAATGTGCCTTCCAGGCCATGGTGGGTAGCAAGAGGCAGGACTCTTCTAGAAGTAGGGGTCTGGCCTGAGGCTACATCCTTCGCAGGACGGTGCTGGTGGCCCCGGGCTCTCCCGGCAAATCCCTGCAGCCCCAGGTCTCCCTGCCGTGCTGGAAGGAGGGCCGCTTAGGACCGAGGGAAAACCCTCCTGTGGGTGGGAGGCCGGGGTCCTAGGAGGTTGGCCTTGGATCTGCAGGGCCTGCTCTGCGGGACCCGGAGAAGCCACTTGGAGAGGGAGCTCTGGAGCCACAGGGTCACGACTGTGTGTTGCTCAGATCTGAAGGTTTGTGAAGCCTAGAGGTCGGGTGACGGGCCAGGCTCACGGGACGCCCTTGCTTCACGAACATCTCTCCCTGAACCACCACGAGGCCTGGTCAAAGGGAGTTCACTCTTGGCGGAGAGAAAGGAGACACGTCTCACACGCCTGACGGGGAAAGAACAGGAGCGAGCAGCTGTTCCCGCCAGGCCGATGAGGAGACTGAGGTTCAGAGAGGAACCCAGGCAGCCGGTGGGCAGCAGTCTGGGGCCCCAGCGCTGTGATGCTCCCCTGCCCAGGTCCTGGTTAGGAGCCTAGTCTAACGGGACTCCCTGATACCTGAGGGGCCATGCCATCCCACAGGGCACCCTGAACACCAGCTGTTGGCCATTCCCCTCCCCCTCCCCTCCCCTGCAGGAAGCAACGTACAGAACCAAGCCAGGGCTGATCTTGTGGGGCTCGGGACTGTGTGGAGCCCAGAACACGGCCGAGGCTCCCCGGCTCCCGCAGCCCAGAGGCAAGACCCAGGCTGAGGCCCGGGGAGGCTCCTCTGTGCCCCTCCCCACAGGTCACTCCCGGAGCCACCCATGCCCCTGGGTCAGAGTCAGGGCTCTTGGACGGCCTCTTTTCCTGGAAGCCATGAGGGCTTCTGGGTTACGTGGCCCAGCCAGCCCAGTGGGTGACCAGGGTGGGGATGGTCACGCGCTCAGCAGAAGGCTAGCCCACGTTTCCGGGGCCCCCAGCGGCTGGGAAACTCCCAGGGGCCGGGCCCTCCTCACCCAGTCTCCCTTCCTCCTTCTCTGGACTGGCCTGGCTGGACCACACCTGGGGCCGTGGCCACCTGTGCCCCCTTTTCTCAGCCTGTTCTTCTTTGGGCCTCCTGGGACACTCAAGCACCCCAGGACAAGTCAGGGCCAGCAGACTCCGCCTGCAAAGAGGGCCCCCATCGCAGAAGCCCTTGGAGACGTCAGCCCTTACGGTGCAGAGGGGAGATGGAGCCACCGTGCAAAGGATGCTCCAGCCTCACAGCCAGGAGGCTGGATAAGGCCGAGTGCACCAGGCCCTTGGGCAGCCCAGTGGGCAGAGCCCAGAAGAGGGGGCCACACGGCCTGGCCTAAGGAGCAGGGTGGGGACCCCGCACCAGGCAGACACCGTCAAGCCTCCTCATGCCCCCTTGGCCTTCCCTTACTTGTCTGGGGCTCCCTTCCTGCAATCAAAGAGCCCCTGGCACCTCCAGCCCTTGGGCCAGGGGACCTGGACCCCACCCCCATGCGTCCCTAGAAGCTAAAGGGACCCTGTGGAAGGGGGCTGGACTTAGGCTTCTTGCCCCCCAGGTAGGCATCAGGGGAGCAGGGCAGGTCAACGGCTGCTCAGAAGCCTGGCAGGGTTTGCAGGGCGTGGGCTGCCCCAAGCTCATCTGCACAGAGCGCTGACTTCCGGCCCCAGGACCAGAGCAGGAGACATGGCCGGGGAAGAAGAGCAAAGGTAGAAAGTGAAGTGCCGGCGGGGACGGGGGTGCTGGCCCAGGAGTCATGTGTGCTGGCCTGGGAGGGTAGAGAGCGGGGCGCCGGCGGTGGGGGCAGGTGGGGGTGCTGGCCCAGGAGGCAGTGCGCTGGCCTGGGAGGGTAGAGAGTGGGGTGCTAGCGGTGGGGGGCAGGTGGGGGTGGCCCAGGAGGCACGTGTGCCAGCCTGGGACCCAGGGGTTGTGGGACTGTCCCTCCAAGCCAGGGGTCCTGGCTTTGTCCTTGAATCAACTCATGCTGTCAGGAGCAGCCAGGCCGCAGGGGTCAAAGGTGACCACAGGCTCCAGCAGCTTTCCTGGGCCCAGAATCCCCGGTCCAGGATGGGCCTGGAGCGTGACCACCACCATAAGCCCCCAGACACACTTCATCCAGCCACCCTTGAGGGCGGGTCCCGGGTAGAGAGGGGCTCCCCGTTTCCCTTTGGGCCCTGTGTTTCTATGGGGGCACCCAAAACCCAGCGTTTTTTGGCTTCTCTGCAGGCCTCAGTGCATACCTTCAGCAGCCCCTCAAGCCCTCCCGCCCTGTCCTCTCCCCAGCTCCCACTGACCTCACTCCCTCCCCTGCCCCTGCAGCCCTCCTGCCGCCATGGCCGCCCCGCTCTGTCACCCTCCTCTTGTCAGAACCCATCCTCGTCCACAGCCCGTCCTTCCCACCGTCTCTGCTCTGGGCTCTGGGACCCTGCTTGGTCCCCGCCATGCCCCTTAATTGTGGGGTGTCTCAAACACTCCTGTGATTCTCACAGCCTTTTTGAGGCTGGGTGGTCCCAGACCCCCACCACCACCAGGAGACCCTGCAGCTCCTCAACCTCCCCTTGTCTGTGGGTCTCCATCAGCTTTGGGTCCTTGGGCCAGGTTGCCTCATTCCCATCACCCCGCCAAGCCTGGGCCCCGGGCTTCACCCCTCACCCCCTGCCCTACCTCGCTCCAGGCTGGACACAGCCATGCCCTCATGGGCTCCCCCTGCTCTGCTGATCCTGCTGTCTCCATGGCGATGGAAGCTTTGGAGAGCTGGGGCTGAGCCCCTGGAGGCCTAAGCTGGAGTTGGTGCACAGTCCCTCCCGGAAAACTGCAAGTTTCCCACTCCTTGTGGGGGAGCAGCAGGGCCCCTGTGTGGGCATGGATGAGGGGTTCCCACTCCTCGTGGGGGAGCAGCAGGGGTGAGGGGTGCAGGGACGGGGCCACCTTTGCAAGGAATCTCCCCACCCACCCTGGGGCTTCACGCTCCTCACCGTGGGGGTGGAGGCTGGAGGTCAGCATTTCCCCCAGTGCCCAGCATCCCTTCGCCCTTTCGGTAACCAGACCTTGAAAATCACTACGAAACTTCCTGGGTGCAGGTGGCCTCAGCTGTTAGCCCAGGGCCCTGGCAGGAGGCTGCTGGCCCGTCTGGCCAGGTGTTGGCCACTGGCCCGTGGAAGCCAGGGATTGGTTAGGGGAGCTGCTCCTAGCTGCTATTTTACTTCTTCATAGTTTTCGATCATAAGGTATTTTTCTCCTCTTAAAACTTCTCCCCAGGTGGCTCCTGTAATTCATTTGGGGGCGTGAGGTGAAGACGGGGCCAGCGCCCCTGGGGCAGCTGAGACCAGGGCGGGGAAGACCATAAATCAGGCAGGAGCCAGTGCCCGGTGCCCCAAGGTGAGCACATGGAGGGACAGTGACTGCTGGTCCTGGGAGCGAGCACAGAGCCCACGGGAAAGCGAGGAGCTCAGTAGGAAAGTGAGGAGCCCACCAGGAAAGCGCGGAGCCCAAGGGAAAGCGCGGAGCCCACTGGGAAAGCGAGGAGCCCACGGGAAAGCGAGGAGCCCAGTGGGAAAGTGCAGAGCCCGCGGGAAAGGAAGGAGCCCACGAGAAAGCGCAGAGCCCACGGGAAAGGGAGGAGCCCACGGGAAATCAGGGCTGCACTGCACACCAGTTCAGATGCTTCCAGTGTCCGCTGGGCGCCGGTCCGTCCCAGAAGAAGGTGGGTGCTCAGGGGCACCCTCAGCAATGTGCTGTGTCCACACCTGGGGGCTGCTTCTGAAGGAGGAGGGGGATTTGCAGGAGGAGGGGAGAAGCCGAGGAAGAAGGAAAGACCCCAGGGCCAGTTGCGGGGCCGCCCAGCTGGGCTGCTGCTGGGCAGGGGGACATGTGCGGACAGATGTGGAGCTTGGATTTCATCCTGTAAATTCAACCTGCACTGACCAGGCCTATGTCTGCCTGAGAATCAGCCTGGGGTTCCTTCAGCGCACGCATACAGAATCCTAAAAGGCCGTGGGAAGCAGCCCGAACCTTTCCTTAAATCGCAGAAGGGAGCAAGGGAAGAATCCACATGGCGGACAGGCTGAGATCTCAAATCCCAGTAATCACTATGACATGGTTAAGAAATAAGGTGCAAATCCCACCAACAATTCCAAAAGGAAACTTCATATGCAAACCAAAATCACATCAATCAGCTGAGTCTTCATTTTCTTCACATGCCCACAAAAATAAGTATCCCTGGGAGGACAGTGACGGGAGGCAGAGGCAGGCTAAGTCCTCGCACACGGGGAGATGGTTCCTCACACACGTGGTCAGAGAAAAATACGGCAAGTACCAGAAAATTAAAACAGGATGAATATCTCTCTAACAATTAGCAAAAACTGGAGTGAAATGTACCTGCCAAGGGTGAGAAAACAGCAAACACACAGAGCAGCACCAAGAAATCGTCGCCCTGAGATGACGGGAGCAGACGTATGACTGGCAATGGCAAGAGCAAAACACATGAGCGGATTTTCCCCTCGCAGCCTCAGATCTGCTTTCTGTCCTTGTGGGTTTGCCTCCTCTGGGTACGTTCTGAGTTAATTTTTGTATAAGTTATGAGACTTAGGTCAAAGTTCCTTTTTTTTTTTTTTTTTGGCCTGTAGATGTCTGATTCTTCCAGCACCATTTGTTGAAAAGCTACTCTTCTTCCACTGAATTGTTTTTATACCTTTGTCAAAAATCAGGTGGGCCTATTTGTGTGGGTCAGTTTCTGGGTTTTCTGTTCTGTTCTGTTTTGTTCCGTTGGTTCAAGAGTCTACCCTGATGCACACACGTCACTTTCTCAACATTGTCACAATGGATGAGGCTTTAATATCCACGCCAGCTAGAGTGATGCCTCCACTTTTTTCTCCCTTGTTTCAGGATTGGTTTTGTTTGTTTGTTTGTTTGAGACGGAGTCCCGCTCTGTCGCCCAGGCTGGAGTGCAGTGGCATGATCTTGGCTCACTAGAATCTGTGCCTCCCGGGTTCAAGTGATTCTCCTGCCTCAGCCTCCCGAGTAGCTGGGATAACAGGCACAACCACCATGCCCAGCTAATTTTTGTATTTTTAGTAGAGATGGGGTTTCACTATGTTGGCCAGGCTGGTCTCAATCTCCTGATCTCGTGATCCACCCACCTCGGCCTCCCAACATGCTGGGATTACTAGCGTGAGCCACCGAGCCTGGCCTACTTTTTGTATTTTTTAGTAGGAACAGGGTTTCGCCATGTTGGCCAGGGTGGTCTTGAACCCCTGACTTCAGGTGATCCACCCACCTCGGCCTCCCACAGTGCTAGGATTACAGGCATCAGCCACCGCACCTGGCCAAGATTTTTTTTTTTTTTTTTTTCCGAGACGGAGTCTTGCTCTGTTGCCCAGGCTGGAGTGCAGTGGTGCGATCTTGGCTCACTGCAACCTCCGCCTCCTGGGTTCAAGCGATTCTCCTACCGCACCCTCCACAGTAGCTGGGATTACAGGCGCCCGCCACCACACCCGACTAATTTTTGTATTCTTAGTAGAGACGGGGTTTCACCATGTTGGCCAGGATGGTCTCGATCTCCTGACCTCATGATCCGCCCGCCTCAGCCTCCTAAAGTGCTGGGATTACAGGCATGAGCCACTGCGCTAGGTGATTGTTTTAAGTATTCCAGGTCCTTCGCCTTTCCTTATAAATTTTATTTTATTTATTTTCTTTTATCTTCTCAATCCGAACGGTTAACCCCAAGCTCACAACCACTCTGCTCTTAGCTCCTAAGGGGGATTGACATTTTTAGATTCCACACATTCATGAGATGGGTAGCGTGTGTCTTTCTGCACCCAGCTGATTTTACTTAGTGTGACGTTCTCCAGGCTCGCCCATGGTGTTGCTCCTTTTTGAGGACTGCATAGTACTCCACCGTGGGTGTGCCACACTTTCTTCATCCATCCACTGATGGGCAGAAGGTCAAGGGTGGGTCCTGTCTCCACCATCCTGCCACCACCCCAATGGCACCCCCCACTGCCCCGCCGCCGGCCACTCTCCCATGGTCTTCCTGCTGTGGAGGCTGAGCTGCCCAGGGAGGCTGAGGCTGGAGGCAAAGTTTGGCCATCTTTGCCAGGGTTCAGGGACACAGCTGGGGCCCCTCTTGCTGCTTCCTGGGCTCCTGCCTCAGCCTCCAGGCCTCGTCTCAGGCTGGAAGAGCCTGCAGAGGCTTCTGAACCAATGCTCCTGGATGACCTGTGGGCCAGGAGGGACCCAGGAGGCCCACGAGCTGTGGAAGAAGAGAGCTCCAGAGGGTCAAGGGGTGTGCCCTATGTGCCCGCCCTTGGGGCCCAGACCCCTCTGCCAGTGGCAGGAACCCAGCCTTCCTTCTGACCCTGCAGCCCCAGGCTTGGAGCCCAACCATCCCGTGACACAGACAGCCCCTGGGGGCCTGGGTCCCAGGGGCAGGGAGGGGCTACCCCCATCAGTACACAGCCCTGACAGTCCAGGTCATCTCTGGGGTGACGCCAGACACGACAGCCTTTCCCTACCCCTCAAGTCAGGCCAGCCCAGCCCTGGCACCTCCCTGGCAGTGGTTAGCCCGGGTTAAAGTTAACTGGGCGCTCCTGTCACCCCCGCCTGGCAGTGGGGACCCTCCTGCTGCCTGCACCGAGTGGCTCGCTGGTTAACTGCAGACGAAACCAGCGGCTCTCAATCCCTCAGTGTTTCCTCACAGCAGCGTCTGCGCTGTTGAGGGTGATTGTGGTGTGAGCACCTCTGCTGTGTGTGGAACTGGAAGCAGCTCGCGCTTGGTGGCAGCTTGGGTTGCCAGTGCCACTGACCCCAGGCGTGAGGCTCCAGGCCCTGGTGGAGGAGACAGGCAGGAAGGGCTGGTGGGGCAGGAGGGCCCAGTACAGACTGCACCATCTCAGACTGGCCTGGGCTCCCTCTAAGGAGGCTCCCAGAGGCCCAGGTCCTGCAGCTGTCCAGGAGGAGGCGGTGGGACGAGGCGTCCCAGGGTAGAAGGAGCTCGGCCCCTCCCCTACTCTCTCATCCTGACTCCGCAGGGCCCTGCTGGGCACACGCCTCTCTGCCTCTCACCAATGCCCAGTGGTCCACACCCCAGCTCAAGGCTGAGCAAGTGGTCTGGCAGGCACCCTCCCTCCACCCTGCATCTGTCCTGCAGACATCTCAAGGGGAGGAGAGGAGGACAGGAAGGAGGGCAGGGGCTCCCGCGTCCACCTGGGAGGAGGAGAACAGGAAGGAGGACAGGGGCTCCCACATTTCACCTGGGAGGAGGACAGGAAGGAGGACAGGGGATCCCGTGTCCACCTGGGAGGAGGAGGACAGGAAGGAGGACAGGGGCTCCCACATTTCACCTGGGAGGAGGACAGGAAGGAGGACAGCGGATCCCGCGTCCACCTGGGAGGAGGAGGACAGGAAGGAGGGCAGGGGCTCCCGCGTCCACTTGGGAGGAGGACAGAAGGAGGACAGGGGATCCCGCGTCCACCTGGGAGGAGGAGGACAGGAAGGAGGGCAGGGGCTCCTGTGTCCAGCTGGCTTTGCCCACTCTCTCTTGGGCTGGCACTGCTGAGTGCTTTGTGGGCGCTGGGGCTGGTGACCTCGAGGACAGCTGGGATTGGTGGAGGTAACCCAAGATGAGAGTCCAGGCCTTGGACAAGTGACCTCTCCCCGCTGGGCCTGCTGCCTCCTGCGTGAAGTGGGACAGCCAATCCCAGCCCTGCAGAGAGGTGGGAAGAACGGATAACCCAGGGCTGGCTGGCCCCACAGCCCTGTGAGGACGTCCTGACATTGCCGTCGGCCCAATTCCTGAATGCACTAAGGCAGGAGTGGTGGTCGCTCTGAGGCACAGGCTGTCCTCATGAGGTGGAATCCAAGGTGTTGGGGGTGCCACTGAGAACCCGAGGCTCTAGAGGGCTGCCCCCAGCATCACTGGGCATGGCTGGGAAAGTGCTGTCAGTGCAGCCAAGGGCCAAGGCACCTGGGACCCCACGATTGCCTGAGAACTCTCTTCCTGAGCGTGGCCCGCTTCACTGAAGACGGGAAGGCCGCTGCCAACGAGGCTGGCTATCCGGGCTGACCCGGGTGCCCTGCCTCCCTCCAATCTTAACTGTCAGCCACCAGGAGGGTCTGCAGGGTGGGCCATGGGACCCTGGCTCTGCACTGATGCTGGCTGCCATGGCCGTGTGGAGGAGCAGGGTGGGGTGACCAGGTAGTTCCCAGCAGAAGGAACCCATTCGCTGGTCCCCAGGGCTCACCTAGGGGCTGACACTGAGGCTTGATGGAATGGAGGGTGCCCAGCACTGAGCGTGGCACACCCAGAGACACGCACACCAGGCCCACAGTGACAAGCAGTGCCACGTGGGGACTCAGGGCAAGACAATCACACTCATGCTGTCACACACGTGTGCAGGCAGGTGCACATGGCCAGTGGTGCTGGAGCCGCCTGAACCGGTTGTGGGAGCCGATGGGGCTCCCCTCTTCCCCACTCCAAACTGAGTGACATCACATCATAATTGAGTTACATCATGTCATAGCTTGAAGTTGGTGGGAGAGTTTACACCACAGAAATGGACGAACATTGCCAGGCAGGGCTGTTGCAGGTTTTGGGTTCCTGCCTACCAGCACCTACTGCAGCACGGTCACATAAACAGGTGCACACGGACACACACGCCTAGACACACATGCATTCCTGCACATTCATGGAGGCTCATGGGCACACACGCAACCCTGCATGCTCACAGTGGCTCGTGGTGTGTATGCACCTGGTGGATGCTCACGGACCACACACACGGGTGGCGCACTCTCCCACGTGCTCACAGGCGGATGCACGCCTAGGATCACCCGCATGTGACTCTGCACACACTTGGAAGTCCACCCACGCTCACGCACACACACAGGCGGGGCACGCAACATCACAGCCAGAGCACCCGGACCCGGCCACCGCACATGGCTGTACAGTGACATTTAACCTGCTCTGGGGATGGGGCTTTGGCTGTGGCACTGGCCCTGATGTTTGAATCTGGGGGTTCACTGAGCCCTCACATCCTACTCAGGAAGCTGAGGTACAGACGTGCGAAGCTGAGCCTGTTGTCTGCACATCTCTGCACGTGTGGGACCAGCAAGAACCCCAGGACGGGCTCAGCCTCTGCTCCCAGCTCCAGGAGGCCAGGTGCCCTGCATGAGCCCGGGCAGGGAGGCCCACAGAGCCGTGAGCCCAGGAGAGGGGCCCCTTCTACAGCCATCAGGAGATGCCTCTCTTCCAGGGGTAGCAGCCTGGTGGCACCCGCTCGGGGAACTGGAGGCCCTGGCTGGGGAGGTGCTGACCCCGAGAGGCCTCGGAAGGTGTCGGGGCTCCTGAGACCCTGCCAGTGGTGCCCCGTGACGGAGGTGTGCGACCTGCCGGCAGCAGGGTGCTGACTCTCGATGGGGGTCCCCTGACTCAGCCCATCTGTCGGGGTGATGGGTGGAGCCCAGGTGGGGGCTGGCAGGGTGGGGGCTGAACACCAGCAGCTGCCCACACAGGGTTGGGGGAGGCCAGGCACTGATGGTTCCAGGCTCCGTCCCTCCCCGGCGGTCACTCCAGCCCATGGTGTCACTCTGTAGTCGGACTGTGGCTGCGGGAACGGCCCTTCTGCCTGCCTTGATCTGATCGCATCCTGAAGGGGTCCCAGCCCCACAGCTGGACACGCTGGTGGTTCATTGTCCCGAGTTCACATCTGCTCTTCGTTTCATTTTAGCAGGACGCGCCCAGGCACCCGGGAGGTTAAAGGAAAGGTCAGCGCCACGAGGGTGCTTGGCAGGTCTGTGCTGATTCCCACTGAGCGGCCCCGCACTCTGAACCTTCCCTTCTCTTCCAGATGAGCTGAGAACAGGCAGCAGCTGCAGAGGAAGGTGGGCTTTGCCCTTCTCCCAGCTCCTGCGCCTCACATCACATGCACCTGCAGCGGTCACAGTGGGCCTCAGACCTCAGGTCCTGCTGGGTAGCCACAGCGGGCCACAGAGCCACCTCCGGGACATGCAGGAGGAGCGTCCAGGCTGAGGGAACAGCCAGGGCTTCGGCGGAGGAGCTCCCAGAACATTTCAGGGGCAGCAAGAAGGCCCGTGTGGTGGAACAGAGTGAACCCAGGGAGGCAGCAGGGGCCGGGTTCCAGGGCAAGGCCACAAGGTCAGCTGAGTAGCCCAGGCCCCTGACCTCCCCAATCCCAGGGTTAGGCCGTACCTCCCAGAGCCTCCTCCAGCCTGGGGCCTGGGAATGCCCAATGCAGAGGAAGACCCAGGGGCCTGAGGTCAGAGGTTGCAGCCTAAATGCAAACTGTGACCAGGAGCAGCCTGGGTGGCACAGAGGGGGCGTGGCCTCGAGGGCGGGATGGGGCAGGGCCCAGGGTGGGACCTGTCAGACACGGGCTGGGAACAGGTGAGGGGAGTGACAGCCACAGGGCAGATGCCACAGGCAGCTCCCCGTTCACTCCCGCAGCTCCCAGCCATGCCCTGGGGGTTAACTCCCCGTTCACTCCCGCAGCTCCCAGCCATGCCCTGGGGGTCGGCTCCAGCCCTGTGTTCCTGCCGCAGGGCACCGGGAAGACGACGAGGTTCTGGGGAGCAGGGTGGCCGCAGGAGCCCCAGCCACGCAATCTGAGGTTCTGGGGTGTCCAGGGTATTGAGGCATCTCAGGGCCGAGTCTCGCGGTCCGTCCCGGAGGGTGTTCCTTGCTTGTCCATTGTGGGGCATTCCAGGGCTTTCTGAAGCTGAGGTTGTCCTTGGTTGGATAAAAAAAAAGTTAACGCTGTGAAGAGCATTGCGGTGCCTGAAAATGCCCAGAAGAGGCTTCTGCCACCAGGCGACCAGTGGCCAGGGTCGGCCGCCTTCAGGCGAGCGGGTGTGAGGGGGCTGGTGACCCAGATGCAACCTGTCCTGGCCCGAGGACCCAGCGCATGGAGGGGCAGGGAGCCATCCTGGAGGGGCCTCACTCAGTCCTCCAGCACCTGCCCGCCCTTCTCCCTGCACCGCACCGTCCACGAGTCACAGGGAGACGGGCCCCCCAGCACCCGCCCGGCCTTCTCCCTGCACTGCACTATTTGCAAGGCTCGGGGAGATGGGCCCCCCAGCACCCGCCCGGCCTTCTCTCTGCACTGCACCATCCGCGAGGTGTGGGGAGACGGGCTTGGGTTGTCTTCTAGGGTGACGTGGTGGCCGTTGGTGGCCGTCAGGGCAGGGTGGCCACTCCCTTGGCTCTTCCTGGCTCCTCGCCCACCTTGCGGAGGGAGCAGCCTCATCCTCAGGGCTCGGACACCAGCTCCACCTCGCGGCGCCAGGTCACTCCATGCAGGAAGAGGAGCTGGAGGCTATGACCGCCGGCTCTGTCCCCAACACCTCGTCTCCCCGATGCCCGGGAGTTGTCACCTGCGTCTCCAGGGTCAGAGGTCATGCATAACCAACATGGGGCTCTTCAAGCAAGGGAGGCGACAGAGACAGCGGGGTCAGCACAGAGCAAGTGCCGGCAACCGCTCTCTAGCAGGAGCCTGGCCGAGGCTCTGTTCCACCCCGTCCTCAGCCTGAGGCTGGCCTTTCACGTCCAGTTGGGATGCCCTCTGGCCCTCAGACGTAGGTCAGGACTCCCGGACTGTGCCCATGGCAGGCAACAACCCCCGGGGTCATCCCGCCAGACTCTCGGCCAGCCCTGCTGTCTTGCCAGCCGCCGTGTCCGCACAGGAGCCAGGGTTGGCACTCGATGAATAAACGCCTTTCAAGAGAAGAAACGCAGGGAGCTGGGTGTGGTCACCGTGGCAGACCGTTGGGGGAGGCGGGGGGCTGGGCAGGGGACAGGGTGGCCGGGGCTGGCGTGTGTCCCAGGGGACCTGGCAGGGGAAGGTACGCCCAATCAGGAGGCTCCTCGATGTGACGTGGATCCGTGTTTCCTCTTCTTCTTCCTGGTGGTTTACGTAAGAGGGAGAGCAATGGGGACGGGCAGGGACAGAGCTGCGGGCTGAGGTTCCTCCGTTCGGCGAAGCCCCTTCTCTCTGCCCCCGCCTGCTCTGGGCTTTCTTGGCTATGTCTGCTCCTGACAGGAGGGATGTGTGTTGCCAGGGGTGGGGGCTTGGCGTGTGTGCGTGTGAGAATATGTGTGTGTGTTTAAAATACAAAAAAAAAAAAAAAAGAAGCGTGCCTATACTCAGCCGCGAGACGCTGGCCAGCCTCCATCCGTGCCAACTCCCCTCCGAGCTGGCACTGGGGACTCCGGAGGCACGGGGAGGAGGAAGGTGCGGGCAGCTTGCGGTGAGGATGGACGCGTGCCACCGACGTATGCCAGCGGCTGCAGGGGGCCAAACGCCTATCCACAAAACCCACCGCGATCGCTGGCAGCCGTGGCGGGAGGCGGCAGCAGTTGGCAGAGGTGCCAGGGAGGGCCGGCTGGGGCAGGTGGATCCTGGCAGCAGCAGCGCAGGTAAAGCGTGCGGGCTCGCGGGGTGTGGGCGCCTGGCATCTGCGTCGGGTGCCAGAGGCCGGGGCCGGATCTTGGCCTGGCTCTGGGTTGCAGGGCGTGGCAGCATCAGGGAGGGCTGAATCCCGCAGGGTTCTGGGCCAGCCTGGTAGAGGACGGCTCCTCTCGGCTTCCCCAGCGTCGCCCTGGGGCCTGTTTCCAGCTGTGCTTGGCCCTTCGTCCTCCAGGGAGCTCGGTTGGGTGGGCTCGGTGGGGCCAGCATGGGGTCGGCCACATCACCTCCGCCTGATGCCCTGTGGGCCCCCAGGGCCAGGTCTCCTCTGCCCAGTTCCGTATAGTCCCCCAGATGGTCCCCAAATGTTGGTCGCTGTCCCCATGCGTGGGCTGCAGGGCTGTATCTTGGGGCCCAGGGCTCCTAGGGGAGTGCGTCTGCCTTCCCTCTCGTCTTCCCGGAGCCCCCGCCCCACCTCTTGCTCCCAGCCTGGCTTGGTGCCTCAGAGCCTGTGCGGAACGATGGGACAGACGCCAAACGTGTGGTAGCAGGAGTGCGGGTGACGGTGCAGCAAGCCCAGCTGCTGAGGGTGGGAAGGAGCCCGAGGTGAGGGACTCCCCAGCAGCTCCAAGGCAAAGTCCTGCTGCCCTTCCCAGCAATTACAGGCTGGGCAGAAAGAGCTGGGGGCCGTGGGAGAGGGGATTTTCACCTGCAGAAAGGTGGGTGACACCCAGGTGGGCCAGCGTGGAGCTGGCAGGGCTGGGGGTGTTAGTCCCGGCGTCTGGCTGTGGCCCCTCAGCGTGATCCATGGCGAGCAGGATGGCAGAGGCTGCCAGCCACAGCATCAGCTGGCAGAGGCTGGCACCAGACCCATGCCCTGGCAGGAGCATGGCACAGAGGGGCCCTGGCTGTGCCGGGGGCTCTGGGCTGGCCGCTGTCCCAGTCAATGCTCTGGGCAGCCAATCCAGTCCCAGAAAGAAGGTTGCACTGGAGGGGCGATTAGAGCACATGGGCAGGGGCTGGGGTAAAGATGGCTGGGTGGCTGGGCCCCCAGCTCCTCCAAGCCCGGGAGGAGGTTAGGCCCATGGACCTTAAAACTCCGAGCCTAGAGTCGGGCTGGCCCACAGGAGCCTCCACCTTGAAGGGGCTAGGAGGGGCCTCTGAGGCCAAGGTCAGGAGCCCGGGCTGGGCTGAGGGGCAGGGAGGGCTGGGGGGGCGGGGGAGGGCAGTGGTCATCTGGTCCAGACGCCCAGGGGTCGGGCAGAGGTCGGGAACACAGGGTCCTGGGGTCGGACAGAGCCGGCAGGACTGAAGGCCCACGAGGGGTCTGGGCTGTGCTTCAGAGCTTCAGGGAAAGGCTCAGAGCCCCGCAGAGGCCCAGCCTGAGACATCCCGGGGGCGGAGGTGCGGCGGGGCTCCCAGGGACTGGCCATCCTCAGCCTCCTCTTCCCCTTAAGCCCCGGGAGGCGCTGCTGTGGCGGCTTCAGTCCGACTCTGGCCAACACTTCATGACGGGGGCTTCCCCTTGGAAGTGCTGGCGGTGGGGTCATCCCGGGTGGGCCTTGGCGCAGGTGAGCTTCCCCAGTGGCCGCCTGGACCCGGCCCTGCAGTCCCTGCCCTCAGATGGCACAGGCGTGGAGGGCGGGCAGGGTGGGCCCCAGCATGGGTGTCAGTGGGATAAACACTCAGGCAGGGGGGCTCCGGGGATTTGGGGACACAGCAGTGGCCCTGGCCCCTCAGGCTCAGGGGTGGGGGGCGGGGCACAACACATTCCAGGATTCCCAGAGGAGACTTAGATGGGCGAGGTGCTGGCTGGAACCCTGGCTTGGGTCTGCACTGGGTGGGATGGCAGCACCTGTGGGTCCCAGGCCTCAGTCGTGAGGAGAGTGGCATGAGTGGATGCCCCTCCCTCGAGGGCCCCAGGGGACCTGAAAATGGCATGGAGGGTGGGACAAGCTGGAAGCTGCGGCCCCCACGATGGAGACTGGGGACCGGGCTTCTCCCGCTCTGCTGGGCAAGGTCCCCCCCCCAACCTCTCACCCCCCACCCCTCACCTGCAGGCCTGAACACCCAGCAGGCACCTCACCCACTGAGGGGCTTCCGGGGTCCTGGCTGCCCACTGGGCTTCCAGCAACAGGTGCAGGTCCCTCCGGCCCCAACCACAGCCCCGTCCCATGCCCCGGGTGTGTGCCGCCCCTGCGGCGCCCCATTCCAGCCCTGCCTGACCCAGGTCAAGACTGTCTCTCAGGCCCCTTCCCACCCTCAGCTGCTCTGACCCGGCCATGAGCCTGAGTAGGAAGGGTGGGCAGGGGGCTGTCCCGGGATCGAGGAAGTTGGCCCTGCCATCACCCCCACTGTTTCACCCACAGCTGCCCCTGCACAGGGCTGGTCTTTGTCAGGGGCGCAGCCTTGCTGGGCCACAGCAGAACAGGGGACCCTGCTGCCTGCCGCAGCCCTCCTCCCTCCACCTCCGAATTTCACAGTCCCTGCTTCCCGCGCCGGCTCGGAGCTCCCTAGAGACTCCTGCCAGATGTTCCTGGCAGCCTCACATCGCTTCCCTAATGAAATATTCATGGGCCTTTCTGCCTCTTGACATAAAGCCTTCTGCAGCTCCACGCACCATGGAGAGGGAGCTGGCCTCCCAACAAACCCTAGGAAGGAGTGGGCGCCCGGCCAGCCCCTCCCCCTGTGCCAACCCCGGCCGCCCACTGTGCCTCCCGAGACAGTGGCTGGGCCTCCGCCTCCCCTTTGCTCTGCTAAGGGTCAGGGGTCCAGCTGCTGCGCCCTCCCCCAGCCCAGAGGCCTCCCTGCCGCCTCCGCCTCCCGAGAGCCCAGTGCCAGCTGTGCGGGCACATCAGCCCTGGGGCTGGGCTCTGGAGGGAGGGCAGCCGCCACCCCGCATAGGAGGGAGCCAGTACCTGTGTGTCCAGGACCACCCTCACAGGCCCAGGGAGGAGGGGTTCTCCCTACCTCTTACTTCAGTACCTTGGTGGCCAAGAGCTCCTTACCCCATGCCAACAAGACCAGGCTCCTGGAGTCCACCTCGCCCCTAGCTGCATGGTGGCCAGCCTGGTCTTGCAGTCACCCGATGTCATCCGTCCACACCTCTGTCCCTGTGCTCACGCACACGGTGTGGGCACCACGCCGGGTTCTGTGCGTGGAGATCAGACTTCATGACGTTGAGCAAAACCTGCCCAGCCTTGCGCTCCAGGTATTCACGCCAGCCCCCACCAGGTCATGTGGGCGGAGGACCTCGGGGCAGGGGTGGTGAGGGCAAGAAGGACAAGACGGATGGAAAGTTCCAGGGCCTGGGAACTGTGTGAGGAGTAGAAAGCGGCCAGTCAGTGAGTCCTACACAGAGGGGACCTTTGTGCCCCAGGTCAAAGGAGAAGGGAGCGGGCCCCAGCCGAGTCCACACCAGCCTCTGCTCGGTCCACAGGCCCTGTCTGGCTCTGCTAGGTCTCCTCAGTCAGGAGGTCCATGAGACCCCGGCCCCGGGTTCTGGTCTGTAGGTGGTGGCCACAGCGAGGCCCCTCTGAGCGGGAGTCTGCCCCACATGGGGTGCCCTCTCCACGCGCCTGCGTGGCTCACCCTGGGCTCTGCTCTGCTGTGCAGGCAGGGGCCCAAAAGGCTTACCCGGGGGATCTAGGGCTGCCCCAGTCTCTGTGATTCCCGCGCCCCCTTGCTCCTGGCCTCTGGGTCAAGCCTTTGTCTTTAGCGGTCATCTCGACCTTAACTGTCACCTACAGTGGCAGGGAAACAGTTACCCTACCATTCACAGAGACAGTCTCAGCCTCCACATTTCGGGAGACAGAAGTTCAGAGAGGCCATGTTGCTTCCCTGAGGCCGCAGAGCCAGAAAAGAAGCTGCCTGGGCGCATCTATCCAGGAGCCCCGGCATCGTCACCAGGGCCACACAAGCAGCGAGGACCCTCCCGGGAACCAGCTCCCTGACTGGGACGCCCCAGCCCTCCTGAGCTCACTGCCCAGGGATCCGGCCAGTGCCCCTCCCCCATGCGGGCAGTGGGCTGGGACGCGCGGGGGGAGGGGGCTTGGGCCGCGTCGTCCCTCCGCCTCCCCAGGTCCCAGCCGTCTTGCTCCCTGAGCTGCTGGCGGGGTAATAAGCTCTGCGTGTGGTGTGGAAATAAAGCACGTTCCACGGAACAAATGGTGTTAATGTGCAGAAGCACTGCAGCCCGGAGTTACCCAGCGCCTGGAGGGCGGCGCGGCAGCTGCACCAGAATGAGCGGCTGCGCGGAGAATCAGCGAGGCCATACGTCCCCGTCCCCGTGGAGGGACAAAGCATCCCAGCCCTGGCCCCCAGCAGCGCCGGCCCTCCAGGCGGGAGGCGGTTCCAGGAAGTGAAGTGAGCAGGTGCTGGGACTCCCCTCCCCTCCTGGAGGCGCCTGCCCAGAGTAGTCAGTGACCACCCCTAGGTCCCACCTGACGGCCCTGCCTGGCCAGGTGTGGTGGCCACTGGGACAGCCTCCCTCAGACCCGAGGCCACTGCCTGTGGGGTCCAGCGGCCTTGTCCTGTCTCAGCTGCCATCACCCCACCAGGCCCCCAAAATGTGCTCTGGGGCCCATCCCGCCACAAAGCCTGGGGTCTCACTGCTCCTCTCCTAGAACGGCCACTTTTCTTCTTTACGCAGGGGTCACGCTCCAGGCCTTTCTCCAAGCCCTCCCCGCGCTGGGACGCATTTACCCGCCTGCCTGTTGACTTCGGCTGGCACCCACTCCTGGGCTGCTCAGAGCTGCTGCTCCCTGTTGATGAGCACTGTAGGTGGCTTCGAGATGCACGCCTCGGGACGATCTGCCTTCCTCCCCCGCCTGCCATTCCCGCACTGACAAACGTCTGCCCTGGGTGTTAGGAGCGAGGTGCACATTGCACCTTACATCCTCATGGGCGGCTCCAGGAGCCTCACTGCAGCTGATGAGTACTTAACACCATCATCCATCTGTGTGGCCGTTGGGGCTGGCACAGAAGCTCTGGATGCCTCTACCTGGAAACCAGGGCTGTTCTCCCTGGATGGCAGGAAGGAAGCAGGTGGGAGGCGGGCGGAGGTGCTTGTTCCACCGGCACTCCTGGGTTCTGAGGACATGGCACTTCCCCGCCTGTGTCTTGCTTTGGCCATAGGTTCTGAGCTTCTGCTTCTCCTCTGTGGGTACGAGGGCCGCTCTGGCATTATGTCTTCTAGACCTGCGCCTCCTTCAGACGTCAGGGCCGTGCACTCAGACACCTCCAGTGAAAGCTTTTGGGGTTTGGATGGATGGACAGATGGACAAATTAACAGCATTCTGCACTTGGAATGACAAAACTTTAGGCAAGAAAAGGGTCATTGGAGAATATCTAGTCCAACACTCTAATGGGATAGAGAGGGAAACTGAGGCCAGCAGAAAGCATGTCACCTGACCCAGTCACAGCCCTTGGATACAGAGGGAAACTGAGGCCAGCAGAAAGGATGTCACTGGACCCAGTCAGCCCTTGGATAGAGAGGGAAACTGAGGCCAGCAGAAAGTGTGTCACCAGACCCAGTCAGCCCTTGGATAGAGAGGGAAACTAACGCCAGCACAAAGGATGTCACCGGACCCAGTCAGCCCTTGGCCTAGGACCTGCAGACAGGCCACCTGCTGCTTCTGTGACCCCCACAGCCCAGACTCACACATCTTCCTCCAGGTCAGGGAGTGAAGGGGTCTGCAGTCCTCTCCAACTGAGGGCAGGGACAGTCTCTACGTCCTGAGACCCCAGGCCCCTGACCTACCTGCCGGCCTGCCTGGCAAGGGCACACCTATCAGGTTGCACCATAAGGCCACCGGGCTGGGTCTGACTCACCCACAATCCATCAGCCTGCTGGTCTTTACACATTCTGGGAGAGGCAAGAATCTCTGTAGTTGCTAAAACACTTCCTCTTGGTTATTCTGAGAACTAAAAACACACATTATTTGAAAGTCTTGGGTTTAGTCTAATCTAAACCCCTCAGGTCGTGACTTAAGCTCTGGCCTCAGAGGTCTCCATTTATGCTTGGATGAGCCACTCCTTTGGTCTTTGTCCCCTCACTGGAAGGCATGTCCATGAGGAAATGGGGAGAAGAATATAGAGCTATGAACTTGGAATTTTGGTGTCAGAAGGACCTAGGTTCAAGTTCAGGCTCTATCACTAGCTAGGGACCTCACTTTCTTCATCTGTAGACTGACGATAATAATAGTACATACCTCAAAAGAGCTGTGCAGATTCAAAGTGATCCTGTGTCTAAACCTTTCTGTATGATGTCTGGTACCAAGTGAATGCCCAGAAAACGGGTAAGGATTGTTGTGATGATGATGATGGTGAGGATGGGGATAATGATGATGGTGATGATAGGGATGGTGATGACTGTGGGGATGGTGGTGATGGTGATAGTGATGATGATGGTGATGATGATGGTGGAGATGATGGTGTGATGATGATGATGGTGATGGTGGGGATGATGATGATGGTGATGATAATGCTGCTGCTTGCAGCGTGAGTGGACTTGGATCAGTGTGTGGATCCTCCCAGGACTTCCTCGGAAGTGCTGGGCACACATTTCCAAAAGGAGCCTCCTTCTCATGTGCAGCTACAAATAGCATGTCTAGCAGATTGGGGGCTGCCTAACCAATCCTTTCATCAGCGTCCCCATGGACAGGTCTTTAAGAAAGCTAAGGTCAGGACCAGGTGCCATGGGTGCTCCAGAGATCCAGCACAAAGCTGTGTCCTGCAGGTGTTTAGAGACAAGTGGGAAAGACATGCTGGACTTTGGGAATGTTAAGCGTCCATGCTCCACAAGAATAAAAGAGGCCTCATGAAGCTTCACAAGAGCAGTGGCCCAGGGAGCGAGGGGAGAGACAGAAGGCTGGGCAGAGGCAGTCGGTCTGGACAGGGCCCTGAGACTGGTTACCTGAGACAGAGGTGAGGAAGAGGACGTGCCAGGAGAGGGCCCCATGGTGTGCAAACTGAGGGCTCCTGTGTCGTGTGGTAGGAGGTGGCTGGAAGAATGGGGTAGGACAGGCCCCCACAGGCAGGAAGGTTGGGTTTCTCCAGTAAATGCAGAGCGAGGCCCTGTGAGAAAGGGTTCCAGTCTGGCCCGTCTTAGCTTTCAGAGTCACGGCTCCCGAGCCTGCCTGCTCCTTACTGGCCCCGCCCATCTCTGATGCCAGGCAGCCTCTGGCCTCTGTTTCCCTCTTAGTCAAACTCCGACTTTGCAGAGAAACTCCGTTCTGAAGCAAAATTTTACTTACAATGGCAATTTATAGCACATCTGCTTGGGAGGGGCCGTGGCTGTCGGGGCTGGTGGTGAGGGTGGCTGCAGCGAGGGTCCCAAGTGCCCTGCCGCCCCCACCCGCCCTGCATGGAGGCCCCTTGGCAGAGCTCCAGGCTCTGCTTCACACGGCTGGCCTGAGGCCGCCTGTCTGGACCCAGTCCAGCCTCTGTGGCTCCTGCCGCCTGCCATGGCCTTCACCCTAGCACCCCCATCTGAGGTTCTGACCTCTGGATATGAGCACCAAAGGCTCCTGGGGAAGCTCTATGTGCCAGGCTGGCAACGTGGGGTTCCGCAGTGGGGAAAAGGGGGTCTAGATGGTTGCTCATGGGCCCCCCTCTTCCCTCACCTTGGACCAGGGTGCAGAGCCGACTGCTAGTTGCTGCAGCCCTTTCCCGGGCCAGGGGGTGGCCGGCGGTCACTGCCGGGTTCCATCTGCTGGATGCAGGAGAGTGGCTCCAGATGCACTGGGAGGGCCGCGTTCGAATGTCAATTCCATCTTCTCACAATCATTTTCCGCATCTTCTTAGTGCCGGGCGAACGCAGCCTGCTCGTTTGAATGCATAATTAGCCCAAGCATTCTACCTCGCTAATTTCAAGGCAGGGGAAGGGAATGGAGGGGGGCTTGGGAATTTGCATATTAATTTAGCCGAGGGAGAGAAAAATTGTTTACCACTTCCTTCACACAGTTGCTCACAGAGGACTTAACTCTTTCCTGCTCCGCGTCTGGGGCTTGGGGGAGAGGGTGTGCATGGGAGGTGCGGCCAGCCCTCCCGCTGCGTCCACTCCAGGGCGGTCCCTGCACACAATGTGCTGGGCTCAGCCACAGCCCCCTTTCTTTGCAAGGACCACATGGGGGCTGTCTGGGTGCCAAACATGTACGGACAGGGGCTGCTGGGGACGCCCTCCTCGGCTGGTCCTCACCTGCAGTTTTCAGGAGCCAGAGACACCTGGATCCACAGTGTTCATCTATTTTCTCCACAATGCTCCCCCAGCCCCAGATCGGGCATCAGTACAGTGCTGGGTAGAGGGGGGGCACACACGCTGCCCCCACACCAGGGTGACAGGGGCAGCCGGCAGAGGGTGAGGTCCTGCAGAACCTTTGAGTCAGGGAGAGTAAGCGTCCACTGGGGGAGTCAAGGCAGGCTTCCTGTAGGAGGTGGTATCTTCCCTGGGCCTTGTAGGGTAAGCATGCTTCTCCAAGCGAGGGTGCAGGTGACTGGAAGGTCCTGGGGCCTAGGGCCACACCAGAGACCCTTGGGGAGTCTGGGCCATTTATCCTGACCCGATTTGAGTGAGGGCTTGTGAGGTCTCAGAAGTCGGGAAGGCTTGTGCAGGGCTCGGATGGTGGATTGCGGCCTGTGCCAGCAAACAGCCCAACTGCTCCTCGCCCCTGTCTAGTCTGTGGAGTGGAGAATAATTCTAAGGGTTACTAAGAGGTCTGCAGCGCATCCCCTTGGAAAGGGCCTGGTGCCCCACACCAACCTGGCAATACCGGTTCTCCCAGGAGATGGTTTCCACATCTGTGTTTCTATATAGAAATGATCATCCACCTGCATTCGACACCCCCAGGCACTTGTGAGACCAAATGGGGAGAGCGCATGGTGTTTTGCACGGCCCTGCCCCAGCCCGGGAGGTGCTGGACAGGAGCCACCCGCTGTCATGTCTCCTGATGGCAGCCATGAGGCTTGCACGGGGTCCCCGTGTTCCTGTTGTGCACAGATGCCGCCTGGATGGCAGAGCTCGGCTCCGTCTTCTTCAGGACAGGGAAGGCTCTGCTGCTGGGAGGGGCTGGCATGTCAGGAAGGGCCATGTTGGGGGACGGGAGGGCAGCTGCCGGGGGCTTTAAGCACCCATGGCGGGGAGGGTGGTGGCAGACAGAGAGGGCCATGAGCGGGAATGGAAGGATGTCAGAGGCGGGGACGAGGCTGAGCGAGCAGAGCTGAGATGGTCTCTGCGGGGTGGAGGCCAGGCCGGCCCAGACCTGGCCACTCTCATGGTGACTTTAGGCTACTCCCTTCTCAGTTTCTTGATCTGTAGCTTGAGAGGCCGGTCCCATCCTGAGCCACGGCAGGCATGACGGATCAATCATAGAATCTTCTCCCGCCACCTCACGGGAATTCCAGGACGCCACTGCTCGTCAATTCTCCCTGGCAGTCGGGCGGCCCCTGTTTGCCACCTGGGTTAGATGAGTTCCAAGACGCCCTCATGCCTGGGCCCACTCAGGGCTAATCTATGCCCCCCACACAGGTCACCCAGGAGCCCACGGGCCTCAGCGTTGAAGACCCCACAACGGCTGTCTCCAGTGAATAGGAGCAACCTCAAGCTCTCTCCATGACGGCCGCAGAGCCTGGAGACCTGGTGCAGACCCCTCCTGCTCCCCCCAGCAGCTTCACAGCAACCAGATGCATGGGGTCTGCACCCTGGCAGGCCAGCCCCACACCCATCACTGCACCCTGGCAGGCCAGCCCCACGCCCATCGCTGCACCCTGGCAGGCCAGCCCCGCGCCCATCGCTGCACCCTGGCAGGCCAGCCCCGCGCCCATCGCTGCACCCTGGCAGGCCAGCCCCGCGCCCATCGCTGCACCCTGGCAGGCCAGCCCCGCGCCCATCGCTGCACCCTGGCAGGCCAGCCCCGCGCCCATCGCTGCACCCTGGCAGGCCAGCCCCGCGCCCATCCACACGCCTGGGAAACCCCAGCCACACGCCTCCACCCGCTCCCATCTCAGCAGCACACTGTGACCCAAACACGGGCTGTGGGTTCAGAGACCTGGGTTCCGGAAGTCTAAGCTCAGCTGCTGACTGCCCTGTGACCAACGGGTCAGCCCCCACCCTGCACTTCTGTCCACACATCGTGGCGACCTGCTGGTCACCGGCCACGCCTGGCACACAGGATGTGCTCAGTAAAGCCTGGGCTCGTGAGTGCCACGCACAAGTTCAACAGAGGAAGCTGCAGAGCAACGGCTACGCAGGCCAGGACGGGAGGCCCGGGGAGGCCAAGGGCATGCTGAGGCCAGGACGGGAGGCCCGGGGAGGCCAAGGGCATGCTGAGGCCAGGATGGGAGGCCCGGGGAGGCCAAGGGCATGCTGAGGCCAGGACGGGAGGTCCGGGGAGGCCAAGGGCATGCTGAGCCCAGGACGGGAGGCCCGGGGAGGCCAAGGGCATGCTGAGCCCAGGACGGGAGGCCCGGGGAGGCCAAGGGCATGCTGAGGCCAGGACGGGAGGCCCGGGGAGGCCAAGGGCGTGCTGAGGCCAGGACGGGAGGCCCGGGGAGGCCAAGGGCGTGCTGAGGCCAGGACGGGAGGCCCGAGGAGGCCAAGGGCATGCTGAGGTCTAGGTGGGAGGCCCAGGGAGGCTAGGGGTGCCCGGAGGTCTGGGCGGGAGGGTGGTGGGAATACCAATAGCTGAGCTGCTCTGCAAGTGCTCACAGGCACCCACGGGGGGCCAGCCGAGCACAGGAGTTTGCTGCTGCCAGGAAGACACCGACGTGGCCCAGAACCAGGAAAGCTGCTGCTGCCGTGAGATCAGGGCTGGTGGGGCCAGACAGCGGCAGGGGCCGAGGACACTCCTGGTCCTAGTGCTGGGAAGTCGGAGCCAGGCGCTTCCTCAGTCCCCCAACCTAGCCAGGCTCCCAGGCCAGCCCCTTGCCATGGACGCCTCTGCTAGACGTGAGGACAAGAGGCACTGCTGCCATGGGGCCCTTTCCTGGGTTCAGCCCAGCATGGTTGAGATGTGTCCCTGTGGTGTCAGAGAAAAGGAGGGACGTGCGGTTCAGTAACTGGCCCAGAGCGCCCAGAGCCGCACAGCCAGTGACAGATGCTCATGGACTACCGGCCTCCTCCCGTCCCTCAGGGGATTGCAGGTGTAGGGAAAGGGCATTCCCCGGGGCAGGGGAACTCGAGTGGAGGGCCGGCACTCTGGAGAACTTGAACCCAGGCCGACTCGGTTGCCCTCCCACCTGAGCCGGGAGTAAGGTTGCGCCAAGGAGCAGGCGTGACATCAGCTCAAACAGGAGGGGAGGGAAGGAGCCCCAGCGCCGCATCCCCCCTTGCCCAGGCCTCCCTGGGCTCCTCCTGCACAGGATGGGGTGAGGCCAGGACTGAGAGCAGCCTATGGGCACTGACCGGAGTCCAGGGAGCCCAGCACTCCCTCCATGGTCCTCGCCGTCCGACTGCTGGGATCCACTTGGGGTCAGTGCCCAGTGGGCCTGAGAGCCCCTAGGGCAGAGGACAGACCCACCCCCGCATCATGCCCACTCTGCCACACCCAGCTGGGGGAACCTGGACTCGCAGCTGCCCCTCCGAGCTGTGGGTTCCTGAGGAACAAGGGTCAGAGGTGACCTCTCCCCCTCACCTGTTCCTTTGGAGACTGTGAGATAAAACTGAATGGATTCAGAAGCTGAACCGAGGGCAGAGGCCAAGAGGCTACAGGATGAGTGGGGCCCCGGTGTGTGTACGTGGAGCTGGGCTGTATGGGATGGGTGGGGGACCTGGTGTGTGGACATGGAGCTGGGCTGTAGGGGATGGGTGGGGGCCCTGGTGTGTGGATGTGGAGCCGGGATGTGGTCAGGCTCCCCAGCTGCCCACAAGGGACAGTGCCATTAGGCGGATGCTGCCCTTGGGGAATGGCTTTGGGGTGTCAAGAGGATCTGGCTCTAGCCCTTGCTCCCCCAGGCCAGCCAGGCTGGTTCCCTCTGTGGGGCCTGGACATCATGGGCTGGCCCTGGAGTGGCTGCCGCCTTCCATCCATGAACCAGCTTCATCTCACTGTCATTAAAAACCCAGGTGTCGGCTGGGTGCGGTGGCTCATGCCTGTGATCCCAGCACTTTGGGAGGCCGAGGTGGGTGGATCACGAGGTCACATCGAGACCATCCTGGCTAACACGGTGAAACCCCGTCTCTACTAAAAATACAAAAAAATTAGCCGGGCGTGGTGGCGGGCGCCTGCAGTCCCGGCTACTCAGGAGGCTGAGGCAGGAGAATGGCGTGAACCTGGGAGGCGGAGCTTGCGGTGAGCCGAGATGGCGCCACTGCACTCCAGCCTGGGCGACAGAGCGAGACTCTGTAACAACACCACCACCACCCAGGTCTGACAGGTGGGGGAAATCACACGAAAACCAGCACCCGGGGATGGCCACAGCTCAGCGGCAACCCCGCTTCCAGCCCAGGGCCAGGCCCCTCGGGGAGACAGGGTGGGGACTCTCTCCCCCGCCCCCACTGCTCTGGGGTGAGCTGGGCTGAGCTGGGTAAGTGTGGACCTGTCATCCAATGCGGGTGCCCGAGGAAGAAGTCAGGCGGCAGGCAGGCGAGGGTAGAGGCTACCAGCCACTTGTCAGGGGCTGCAGGCACAGCTCCCGATGCCAGAAGTGTGGCGGGGTGGCCACAGCGGCGCCACACCCGTGTCACACGGCCAGAACCTAACACCTTGGTCTGGCCAGCCCTGAGCCTCTGATCTGGCCAGGAGACCCAGGGCTTGCTGCCTTGGAGGCTTTAGGCAAATTCTTTTGGCTTCTGTGGCCACCCCTCTCTCCTGGGCTGGGAGGAAGAGCCCCTGTGGGAAGATCCACCAGGGCCTGGGAAGAACCCTGCTGTATCTCTCTTCCTTGCTGAAGGAGGCGGCCAGGTGCCCCCACCACGTCCCATGGCCCCACGGGCCCCTGAACACCCAAGGAGGCCACGGGGCAGGGCCTGGCATCAGGAGCCAGCCAGACGCCAGCTCTGATTCTCGAAATTTCTCCATGACTTTGTCCAGCCACTTACCCCTCTGAACCTCCGAGGAGACACCTGTCCATGGTAGTACGTGGGTGGCAGGTGACAGCACAGGGAGGGCACAGGATGCTGGCCTCATGGAGGGGCCTGGCCTGCAGGAGACACTGTCACCCTGGGGCTCTGCCCTCACTGCAGAAGCAGGCCCTTGAGCTGCAGTGAAGTGCCGCTCTCAGGGAGCGGCGGGTGCCACCGTCTCATCCTGCAGCAGGTGGTCACTGTACATGAGCCACAGCGTATGTGGATGGCAGCCCCAGACAGAGACCTGCGCCCCGCAGACCTCCACCTTGGGAAGGAGGCAGGGCGAGCACCACCCTTCCCGGGAAGGGGTGTTGATATGGCCGGCGCGGCGGGGGCAGCATTGACCGCAAGGGGTTCGTCCTCACCACCCACCACCTCGAAGCCTCCCTCTGTGGTGAGCACGGCATGTTAGGCCTTGGGGATTCTCTGCTGTGGCCTCAGGCCAGTTGGGAGTCTTGAGGAGGCTGCCCCATAGAGAGCCCAGGGCCTGGCCAAAGCGTCACCACCCATGGCCTCGGACTGGAGCTGAGAGGGTTTCAGACCCTGTGCCTCTCCCCAGGGTGCCGTGCACATGCCGGATGGACATCTGCAGAGAGCTCAGAGAGGGCTCCAGACATAGCTCGTCCCCTCCGCCTGAGAACAGGGAGGCCTCTCCAAGGCCTGGACCCTGTGCAGAAGGGGAGCCGGTGTGCAGAGGGTTAAGTGCTGATGAGGGGCTGGCGTGCAGAGGGTTAAGTGCTGATGAGGGGCCGGCGTGCAGAGGGTTAAGTGCTGATGAGGGCTCCGTCTCTGCATCAGTGAGCTTAATACGCTCCTCATTTGCATACTGCAGTGTGCGCGATTAACATGAACTTTTAATTTCTTCTAAGTAAATTACTTCTTGCCGGTACGTGAGGCGCACAAATGTCAGAAAAATGGGAGCGCCTTACTGAGTCGGGGAGGGGATGGGAGCTGTTGGGAGTCACCCCAGGAACATGCACGCGCACGCACACACACACACACACACACACACATGCACACACGCATGGATTCATGTGGGCCAGCAGCGCACACACTGGCCGCCTCTGGCCAGCCGTGCACAGACCCAGGACTGGCCGGCTGCCTCCACCCGGCAAACTCGCCCTGCACACCCAGGCTGGCTGCGAGCTGCCCATTCCCGTGCCCAGCCTCACCCCCTGCATGCCTGACACTGGCACACACACACGTATGGGATCCCACCCCAGAGAGCCGACAGACTCACCCAGCCTCAACTTCCCTTTCTGCTTCTACTTTTTAGGGTTAAATAAGGATGTAAATTTACAGGGATTAAAACAAAGAATCCAGAGCAAGGAAGTCACAGAGGCTGTTCCCCTGCCCCTGCCCCCAGGACTGGAGGGAAGCCCGCTGGGGCTGCTTTGGGGAAAGCCAGATGGAAGAGCCCCTTCCTGGAAATTCCCCAGCTGCGAGCCCAAGTGAGACACCGACCCTCCACCCAGGCCCCACCAGGAGCCTGGCCTCTGCCATTTCTCCTTCTCACAGTGCCTAGGTGCTCGCTCCTCCCCGCACGCTCCTCTCCTCACCCTTTAGAAAGCAAACATCGGAAAACGTGGAGGCTCCCAGACCTCAGCGGCCTCCACTGCATCTGAGGCAGACGCCGGACGCCATTTCAGCACCTCGGAGAGGGCCAGCAGCCAGCACTGTGGGATCCAGGGCAGAGCTTAGGGGGTGGTGGCCACCTGAGCCCGGATATCATGGGCACACGGGACCAGGAGCGTCTCAGGAGGGGTGTGGTCAAGGAGCCTCCAGCTGGACCCTCACAAAGGCCTGTGCCCGTCCACAGTAGGCAGCACAGACGCTGTGCCCACACAGACCTGGTGTCCAGCCTCGGCGCCACAGCCCACGGGCCCAGGTCCTGGACAGATCACTGAGACCCTCTGGGGCCCTGTCTTCTCTGTGCGCCTGTGTCCACCTAGGGCCGGGGCCTCCTTAAAGCACATTCACCCCCCTACCCTGCGTCATGTCGAAGCCACAGCCGGGTGACTGGGACCATGGGGCACCACCCAAAACGCAAAACTGACCCGACCAGGACTGGAGCCGCTGTCCGGCACCCTGCAGAAGGGCTCCTCAGCCACCCCAGGACAGTGGAGATCAGGCTCAGGACACTACAGGGGACAGGCAGGACCCCTCCCTGCCCAGCACTCACTGCAGGGCTGTGGTTTCTCAGCGCCCGTCTCCTGGGGTGTCTCAACCTCTAACACTTGGTTCTTGGGGTCCATCTCCTAGCCTCCCTGGGTCCAGAAGGGTCAGCGGAGAACCTGCCACGTTGATGACTTTCAGGCGGCCAAGAGAATGGAGCAAACCCCTAGCCTGCCCGCACCTCTCCGCCTGCACCTCACACCCCGGTGCACCTTGCTAGAGGCCAGCAGCCCCGCGCAGACGAGCTCAGGACTGCGCAGGGCACAGGCCCCATTGATAATGCAGCCGGCCGTGACTGATCCAGACTGTGGGCACCCTGCCCTCAGAGGGTGGTCAGGGAAGTCTTCCTGGAGGAGAAGGCCTAGCATCGCACTATGAATGCATCAGGATGAGGAAGGAAGAGACCTGGCAGGTGGGGATGGAGCCTACGGAGTCTGAGGCTCTGGCTGGGGACCCCGAAGGGGACAGTGGGGTGATTTGTCAGCTGGGGTGGGTGTCCTGACGCCAGCAGGGAGATAGTGAGGTGATTCCTCAGCCGGGGTGGGTGTCCTGAGGTTGGCAGGGGGACAGTGGGGTGATTTGTCAGCCGGGGTGGGTGTCCTGACGCTGGCAGGGGGACAGTGGGGTGATTCCTCAGCCGGGGTGGGTGTCCTGAGGCCGGCAGGGGGACAGTGGGGTGATTCCTCAGCCGGGGTAGCTGTCCTGAGGCCGGCAGGGGGACAGTGGGGTGATTCCTCAGCCGGGGTGGCTGTCCTGAGGCCGGCAGGGGGACAGTGGGGTGATTCCTCAGCCAGGGTGGGTGTCCTGACACTGGCAGAGCAGGGCTGCATTCACAGACCTCTCCTCCTGTCCTTGGCACAGCACCCCGGGCAGCAGGTGGGAAGCCCCCATCTGGCCTCCACCTGGCCCTCATGGAGCAGATAGGGAAAGAGGTGTGGAGGGTCCCTCAGTCAGCTGAATGGTGGAGGGCAGGATGAGGGGGATGGGGAGAGCCAGGGTTTCCTGGTGGGGCTGCCTGTGTGTGGCCTCAGCGAAGCTGGGGGCCTGGGGGTGGGGGCGGGAGCAACAGTAAGGACCTCGGAGCCACAGAGGGAGGACAGCTGGAAGAAGGTGACCTCTGAGCAAGGGGCTCGAGAGTCCCAGGCAGCGCCGTTCCCACCGCCCCCGTTCCAGAATTTTCCATGACTCTCCATTGCCACCTCCTTTCGTCTCCCGGCCTGACATCCCCCAGAACAGCCAACGTCACTGTCTCCTCCAAATCCCGCACTGCCTTCACCTCCCAGCTCCTCTCCTCTCATTGGTGTGGTGGCGTCCACCCCTCTACCTGTCCTCACCTGCTGGAAGTGGGAGAAGGGCCCTGCACACTGGAAGCGTGGGGAACACTCAGGGAGCCCTGTGGCTTAGTCCTAAGCCAGGGGCCACCCTCCCTGTACCTGAGGATGTGAGCCTGGGACCCTGGGGAGGGGCGCTGTCCCCTGCCTTTGAGCTTTTAAGAGGCAGAATCCCACCCTCTACTCCCGGCACCCTGCTGCTCATGCCAGATCCTCTCTCCTTGCACGAGACTGACAATTACCCCTTCCCTGGCGGCTGGGGTGTCCGTGTATGTGTGTGTGCGTGTGTGCACGTGTGCAAGTTCATGTGTGTGCGTGTGTGCGTGTGTGTGTGTTCGTGTGTCCATGTGTGTGTGCGTGTGCGTGCGTGTGTGCATATGTGCATGTCTATCTGTGCTCATGAGGTGACTGGAGCCCAGCTTTCCCCCATCACTGAAATTTACATTGAACCGCAAATTAATTTCATAATTTTTTCCTCTCTAATTATGCCAACATCTGCTGCAAAGCCAAGCTGTGCACATGCATTTTAATATCCCCCTCCCCCTGCAGCATCGCTGTCTGCTTCTGTGCTGAACTTTTCAATAATTATCACCAGGAGAAGATCTTGACTTCCATTTCTCTTGCTTTTCAAGAGGGAGAGAGAGAGAGAATGAAGAGGAGGGAGGGGGAGGGGGACGAGGAAGGAGAGAGAAAAAGATAAAGAACAAGGCGGGGAGAGAGACGGCGAGGAGAGAGAGTGGCAAATTGATAAACAGGTCTCGCATTGTGTCTTGGGGAGAGCGGTGGGGGCGGGGGTGGCAGTGGTTTCTTTGTTGCTGCAGGAGGAGAGGATGAATCTGAAGGGAGAGAGAGGAACGGACGGCAGGGGCAGGAGCAGAGGAGGGAGAGAAGGAGCTCCGGGTGAAGCAGAGGGGGCCGGGGAGGGGCAAGCAGGTGGGGGCTGTGCTCCCAGGCACACCCGGCCCCCCGGCCTCAACACAGGCCCTGCCCCTCTCCACCTGCCTCTACAAGCCCTGTGGCCACTTTCTCCAGGACAGAGGAGGCCGCAGCCAAAAACAAAGTTTCTTCCCACCTCCTGCCAGCATGCTGGTTCCTGGCTGGTGGCCCTGCTCTCACCACGAGGCCGTGGGCACGGCCAGTTTGGGATGTGCTGGTGCCTCTGCTACGTGGCATCCTGCTGGGTCCCTGACAGGAGGCCTAGCCTGGCCTGTCTGCCTGACCTTGCCAGGGAAGGTGCCCCAAGTGTGCTAGGAAAGAATGCCAGGCACCAACTCCATAGCCAGCCTCTCCTCCCACTGGTACCGCGGCCTGCCCGGCCTCCACCACCACTGAAGAGGGCAGGCGCGGGACACCCAGGGGTCAGGGAAGCTCCCAGAACGATGCCCTCCATCGGACCTCAGAGAGCACGGGCCTGACTGTGTCCATGCATGCGCCAGAGTGTGCTCTGTGTGTGTGCGCGTGTGGGTGAACCCACGTGTGAGTGTGCATGTGAGTGTGTGCAGGTGAACCCACACGTGAGTGTGCGTGTGAATACATACGAGTGAACCCACGTGTGGGAGTGTGTGAGTGCGGGTGAACCCACGCGTGTGTGTGTGAGTGCGTGTGGGTGAACCCAAGCATGAGTGTGAGTGTAGGTGAACCCACACATGTGTGTGTGAATGCGTGCGGGTGAACCCACGCATGTGAGTGCAGGTGAATCCACACGTGAGTGTGTGTGTGAACTTGTGGGGGGGAACCCATGCTTGAGTGTGTGTGTGCACGTGCAGCTCTGGCCACCCACTAACATTTGCTCAGCTCAGCCCTGCAGTGCGGGTGGACGCCCAGGGAGGCCATGCACTTGCCTGCAGTCCGAGTGCTGGGCTCTGGCCCCAGCCCTGCCCGTGTGCTGTGTGAGCCAGGGCATGGCACCTTCTGCCCCTCCATGAACCCAAGTCTCTTCCCTCACCAGTGAGAGCAAATCCCGGCACCACGACCGGAGCACCAGCACAGATGCAGGGTGAATGGCAGCACACACGCTCCCTGGGTGCCCTCGGGCCTTGGTCTCAGCTTTGGAACAGCAAATTGGCTGTGGGGAGGGGGTCTGCTTCCCCTTCTACCTCCTGAGTCCCCCTAGAGCCCACCTCCTCTGCTTCATCCCATGACCCCCTCTCTGGAAGAGCTCCCAGCTGCCCACTGCCTCCCACACCCCCTCTCCTCTGGCCTGTCCAGCCACGGTGGCTGGACAGAAACAACACACTGGATCACCCTGCCCTGGCCTGGAACCTCCTGCTGCTCCTCACTGCCATCCCATCGAGTTCACCCTCCCATGCCAGCCCTTGCCCCAAATCCTCAGGGCACCACGTGCACCCTCAAAACTGTCCTCGCAGGGCCCCTGGGGCCCTTCCACATGCTCTCCCGGTGGCATGGACGTGCCCCTTCCTGGCCCTCTCCCGATGACCTCACAGCTCAGCCTCCCTGCCTTCCTCCAGGTCTTCCCTGCCTGTACCAGGCTTTCCCCGGCAAGCTCACACCACGCAGGGTCCTGAGTGGATGCCACTCGTTTATTCCTCTATTTCCCCCACTCTACCATCTCAGAGCTTTTTGAGGGCAAAGCAATTTCTCTGTATCCCCAGAGCCTAACTCATGGCTGCTGTTTGATACTTTAAATAAATAAATAAATAAATAGGCCGGGCGCAGTGACTCACGCTTGTACTCCCAACACTTTGGGAGGCCGAGGTGGGTGGATCACCTGAGGTTGGGAGTTCGAGACCAGTCTGACCAACATGGAGAAACCCCATCTCTACTAAAAATACAAAATTAGCCCGGTATGGTGGCACATGCCTGCAATCCCAGCTACTCAGGAGGCTGAGGCAGGAGAATCGCTTGAACCTGGGATGTGCAGGTTGCGGTAAGCTGAGATCACACGACTGCACTCCAGGCTGGGCAAAAAGAGTGAAACTCCCTCTCAAAATTTTAAAAAATCATAAATAAATAAATGACATAATTGAAATACATTATGAAACTTTTCTGGATCCATTTCCTCATCTAGAAAATAAAGAGGTTGAATTTCTGACAGTCCAGACTCCCCTCCACGCCTTTAAATGCCGGCTCTGGCCCAACTGAAAGACCAGGAGTGGTTCGTGAGAGCAGTTCCCACTGCTTCAGCCCCAATTCAGATAAATCCACCTTTGTTGAAGCCACGTTGTGCCAGATGCCACAGAGAATTTTCAGAGGGCACACAAGCAGTGAAGACGCCTGTGAGGACGGGTGAGGCTCAGAGCGGAGATCAGGTGAGGACGGGTGAGGCTCAGAGCGGAGATCAGGTGAGGACGGGTGAGGCTCAGAGTGGAGATCAGGGGAGGACGGGTGAGGCTCAGAGTGCAGATCAGGGGAGGACGGGTGAGGCTCAGAGTGCAGATCAGGGACGCATTACTGAGATGTAGCGTGTGGATGGGGCCAGGAGGAACGAGGGGCTCTGATGGGACTGAGGGTGTGGTGGGAACGGCACTACAAGTGGGAAGGCAGGATGCTGCCAAGGCAGGGCATGGCGTCCACTCCCAGCCATGATAAAAATCACGGGTGTCCGTCAGGCTCATCCTCCTTCTATAAACAATTGTTTAACTGGATGAAATGTAAATGAACTGTTTTCAGGCACTGCACAACAGATATTTCCACGTGCACCCAAGCTTTCTGCTGGGAGGTACTTTCCAAACCACAGGACAAGGAAGTGGGGACTCAACCCAGCACAGATGTCTCAACAGGCAGAGAAGCAGAGCGGGGAGTATGGGGCTGCCGAGGTGTCCGCAACTTGCGGCGAACAGAAAGGAGGAAGCTGTGCAAAGAAAAGGAGCCCAGGAATCTGTACAGGAGTTCCCTTGAGCCGTATAGGAAGGACTTCACAAGGCCTGGCCAAGACAAAGCGTTTTGCATGGAGGAAAGAGTTTGGAGGTAAAACAGTGCTGGAAGACACTGTGTGACCCAAACAGCTTGAGTGGAAAGACCTCGCTGACAACCCCAGTAAGGCAGGTCTCAGGAGGACTATCCTAGCCACAGGCTAAGGATTGCTTGAGAACCTGCCCTCGCAAAGTCTAAACTCAAGCTGACAGCCATCTCCTAGAACAAAACTTCCCATCTTTAAAGATGACAACATCATCCAAACTCTCAATATAGCCTCCATGATGTTCAGCATACAATAAAAATTATTATATATGCAAAGAAGCAGGCAAATTTAACCAGAAGAGAAGTTGATAGAACAGAGCCAGAGATGACACAGATGTTGGAATTCAAAGAGAAAGATTTAAAAGAAGAGAAAGACATGAGTGAGGAGATAGAGATTCTCAAAAGAATGGAAACTATGGAAGGGGAAATGATATTAAAAAATCTAGAACTAAATATTATAATATCTAAAATTTAAAATTCACTAGATGAGTCCAACAGAGGATTGGACTACAGAAGAAATGGTTAGCAAACTTGAAGATGGATACATAAAAACAATCCAAAGAGCCTAGGCATGGCAGGTCATGCCTATAATCCCGGCCCTGTGGGAGGCTAACACGGGTGATCACCTGAGGTCAGGAGTTCGAGACCAACCTGGCCAATAGGCTGAAACCCCATCTCTACTAAAAATACAAAAATTAGCCAGGCATCGTGGCACATACCTGTAATCCCAGCTTCCCAGGAGGCTCAGGCACGAGAATCGCCTCAACCAGGGAGGCAGAGGTTGCAATGAACTGAAATCGTGCCACTGCACTCCAGCCTGGGTGACAGAGTGAGACTCCCTCTCAAAACAAACAAAATCTTTGACTTCTAATCAGAAACAATGCAAGCCAGAGGACAATGGAACAGTATCTTTAGAGTGTTAGAACTGTGAGCTCAAAATCCTACACTCTGCAGGAAAAAAAAGTCCTTCAAAAATTAAGGTGAGATAAAGCATTCAGATAAACAAAATCTGAGAAAATGAATCACTAGAAGAACTGTACATAAATAAATGTGAAGGAAGCCCTTCAGGCTGAAGGGAAATGATGCCACATGGAATTTCAGATCCACACAAAGACGTGAAGAGCCCTGGAGGTGGCAAACATGAAGTAAATAGAAAGTCCCCTTTACCCACGTATTAATATAAAGTCTGCTTTACTCATATATTAATATAAAGTCTGCTTTACTCATGTATTAATATAAAGTCTGCTTTACTCATGAATTAATATAAAGTCCCCTTTACTCCTGTATTGATAAAGTCCCCTTTACTCATATATTAATATAAAGTCCCCTTTACTCCTGTATTAAGATAAAGTCCCCTTTACTCATATATTAATATAAAGTCTGTTTTACTCATATATTAATATAAAGTCTGCTTTACTCATGTATTAATATAAAGTCTGCTTTACTCATGAATTAATATAAAGTCCCCTTTACTCCTGTATTAAGTCCCCTTTACTCATATATTAATATAAAGTCCCCTTTACTCATATATTAATATAAAGTCCCCTTTACTCATATATTAATATAAAGTCTGCTTTACTCCTGTATTAATATAAAGTCCCCTTTACTCATATATTAATATAAAGTCCCCTTTACTCATGTATTAATATAAAGTCTGCTTTACTCCTGTATTAATATAAAGTCCCCTTTACTCATATATTAATATAAAGTCCCCTTTACTCATATATTAATATAAAGTCTGCTTTACTCCTGTATTAATATAAAGTCCCCTTTACTCATATATTAATATAAAGTCCCCTTTACTCATATATTAATATAAAGTCTGCTTTACTCCTGTATTAATATAAAGTCCCCTTTACTCATATATTAATATAAAGTCTGCTTTACTCATATATTAATATAAAGTCTGCTTTACTCATGTATTAATATAAAGTCCGCTTTACTCATGAATTAATATAAAGTCCCCTTTACTCCTGTATTAAGATAAAGTCCCCTTTACTCATATATTAATATAAAGTCCCCTTTACTCATATATTAATATAAAGTCCCCTTTACTCATATATTAATATAAAGTCCCCTTTACTCATATATTAATATAAAGTTCCCTTTACTCATATATTAATATAAAGTCTGCTTTACTCATGTATTAATATAAAGTCCCCTTTACTCATATATTAATATAAAGTCCCCTTTACTCATATATTAATATAAAGTCTGCTTTACTCCTGTATTAATATAAAGTCCCCTTTACTCATATATTAATATAAAGTCCCCTTTACTCATGTATTAATATAAAGTCTGCTTTACTCCTGTATTAAGTCCCCTTTACTCATATATTAATATAAAGTCCCCTTTACTCATATATTAATATAAAGTCTGCTTTACTCCTGTATTAATATAAAGTCCCCTTTACTCATATATTAATATAAAGTCCCCTTTACTCATATATTAATATAAAGTCTGCTTTACTCCTGTATTAATATAAAGTCCCCTTTACCCATATATTAATATAAAGTCCCCTTTACTCCTGTATTAATATAAAGTCCGCTTTACTCATATATTAATATAAAGTCCCCTTTACTCATATATTAATATAAAGTCCCCTTTACTCATATATTAATATAAAGTCCCCTTTACTCATATATTAATATAAAGTCCCCTTTACTCATATATTAATATAAAGTCCCCTTTACTCATATATTAATATAAAGTCCCCTTTACTCATATATTAATATAAAGTCTGCTTTACTCCTGTATTAATATAAAGTCCCCTTTACCCATATATTAATATAAAGTCCCCTTTACTCCTGTATTAATATAAAGTCCGCTTTACTCATATATTAATATAAAGTCCCCTTTACTCATATATTAATATAAAGTCCCCTTTACTCATATATTAATATAAAGTCCCCTTTACTCATATATTAATATAAAGTCCCCTTTACTCATATATTAATATAAAGTCCCCTTTACTCATATATTAATATAAAGTCCCCTTTGCTCATGTATTAATATAAAGTCTGCTTTACTCCTGTATTAATATAAAGTCCCCTTTACTCATATATTAATATAAAGTCCCCTTTACTCATATATTAATATAAAGTCCCCTTTACTCCTGTATTAATATAAAGTCCGCTTTACTCATATATTAATATAAAGTCCCCTTTACTCATGTATTAATATAAAGTCTGCTTTACCCATATATTAATATAAAGTGTGCTTTACTCCTGTATTAATTTTATGTTAAAGACAACTGACCATTTTAAGTAAAAATAATAAAAAGATATTATAAGAGTCATAATATTTGTGAAGTAGAATGTATGACTGAAACACAAACATGGGTAAATGGTACCATATTGCAATTTTCTTCCATTCTACATGAAGCAAAATAATATAAATGCAAGGTAGACACTGTAATCCTTGGTGCAGCTGTTAAAATCCTAAACAGAAGTGTAGCCTCCAAATAAATAAATACACACACACACACACGTATACGTATATGAAATAAATAAAATGGCCAGGCACCATGGCTCACACCTGTAATCCCAACACTTTGGGAGGCTGATGTGGAAGGATCACTTGAGCCCAGCAGTTCAAGACCAGCCTAGGCAACACAGTGAGACCCTGTCTCTCCAAAAAGATTTTTTAAATTAGCTGGGCACAGTGCCTCTCATCTAGTCTCAGCTACTCAGGAGGCTGAGGTGGGAAGATTGCTTGAGCCCAGGGGTTTGAGGTTACAGTCAGCTAGGATTGTGCCACTGTACTCCAGCCTGGGTGACAGAGTAAGACCCCATCTCTAAATAAATGTTTTTTATTAAAGAATATGGAATACTAAGAAATAATTAAATAATTCAAAAGAAGGCAAGAAAGGAGGAAAATTCAAAACAAAAACCAAGGGGGACAAATATAAAACAAATAGCAAGATGATTTATGCCCAAACATGTCAATAATTACATTAAGTGTAAATTGACTAACACTTCAGTTAAAAAGCAAAGATAATAAAACTTAAATTTACAAAAGCAAAGATTGCCAGTCTGGATTTAAAAAAGCTAGACTCAACCATCTGTTGTCTGCAAGAGAATAGTTTAAATATAAAGCACAGATAGTTTGAAAGTAAGAGGATGGAAAAAGATACATCACACAAATAGTACTATAGGCAAGCTGGAGTGATTTCATTAATATCAGACAAAATAGACTGCAAGACCATATTATCAGAATTAAGGAGGAACATATAGTCATAAACTTGTCAGTTCATCAGAAACACAAAACAATCCTAAATATACACACATTTAATAACAGTTTCAAAATATGGGAAGCAACATAGATCCACAGAGAAACACAGACAAACCCACAATTCTAGGGCGTTCAGTGCTCCTCTCTCAGCAACTGAATGTGCAGACAGAAAATCAGCAAGGATGCAAAAGACAAAAACAACATATCAACCAACATGACTTAGTTGACATTGATAGGACACTCCCACCCACCCAGAACAGAACACAAACTTTTTTTTCAAATGCACATAGATCATTCACCATAAAACATGTCAACAAATGAAAAGATTGAAATCATATAAGATATGTTCTCTCACTATAAAGTTAGAAATTAATTACATTAAGATATCTGTAAAATGTCCTTAAATATTTGGAAATTAAACAATAAACTTCTAAATAACATATGGGTAAAACAAGAAATCACAAAGGAAATTAGAAAATATTTTGGACTAATAAAAATGAAAACATGACATATCAAAATTTGGTGCTCTAACCAAAGCAGTGCTTAAAGTTGAATTTATAGCTTTAAATGCTTGTGTTAGCAGACTAAAGGTTGAAAACAAATGATCTAAACTTCCACTTTGAAAATCTAGAAAAAGAACAAATTAAGCTCAAAAAGGATGTATTAAACAGCAAAAATCAACGAAATAGAAAATGAACAAACCATAGAGAAAAGTCAAGAAATTCACAAGTTAGGTCATTGAAAATATTGATAAAATTGATAAACTCCTAGATTACTAGAGAGACAGAATATAAATGACCAGTAACAGGAATGAAAGATAACACATTGCCACAGACCCTGTAGGTATTAAAAGGAGAATTAGGGAATATTCTGAACAACTTTATGCCAATAAACTTGACAGTAGAGGGAATGGACAAATTTCTAGGGCGTTCAATACTCCTCTCTCAGCAACAGAATGTGTAGACAGAAAATCAGCAAGGATGCAAAAGACAAACACAACATATCAACCAACATGACCTAGTTGGCATTAATAGGATGCTCCCACCCACCCAGAACACATACTTTTTTTTTCAAATGTACTTAGATCATTCACTATAAAACATGTCAATAAATTCAAAAGATTTAAATCATTTAAGGTTTAAATCTTCTGAGATTTAAAAGACACAAATTACCAGAACTGACACAAGAAGAAATAGAAACTCTGAAAGGACATCTGATTTTTAAAAAAAATGGCAATCATAATTGAAAACCTCCCCCACTGAAAGAATAGGTTGTTTGGTTCTGGGAAGGATGAGTCATCAGCTTTTACTGAAGAACAGTCTGGAAAGATTGAATGCAATTGGGGCAATGGTGAGAACAGTCACTGTCATGAACCATTTCTACAGCATCTACCACAGCCACGACACCTGGTGATTTACTGACCATTTCTTACAACCCTGAGTCATAGACGAGGTAAGTGGCTGAGTGTTTCAGTGCCTTGCCAAAGTCACACAGGAAGTGGCAGAACTGTCTTCACACCTCACGTCAGGGAAGGTACTCAGAGCCTGGCTCCCTCATCTCCTTTTCTCTCTCACGCATGAGTGTTTGGTGCAAAAGACAAAGGCTCGTATGAGAAGAGAGGAAACTGTGGAACCCACTGAAATCTTTCAACACTGCCCTTGGTGGGATTCCCTCCTGTTGTCTAGACTCTTCTGCAACATGAGCTCCTCGAGATAAGGAACTGCATTTTAAATAATACTAAAATAAATACAAAACCAAAAATAGGCATATACATGGATATGATAACCATAGACTTTGTTCTCCAAACCAAAAACCCTTTGCTGGCTGAGAGAGTGCGGTGTTGGTAGTAACCTCAGGCAGGGACCTGAGAACCAAGGATAAGCAGCCCACCTAGGGCAGCGGTGGATGGCAACCCCACCCTCCAGGAGCTTAACGTAATACCCCTCTTATTCACAGCCCCCCAGAGTTGCCTGACTGCACTTCACAAGCATCCATTCCCTTGGGCCTCTCATCCTCCCAGGGAAGCAGGTGGGCACTATTGTGATTATTATTTTATTTATTTATTGGTCACAGTGCAGTGGTCCGATCTTGGCTCACTGCAACCTCTGCCTCCCAGGTTCAAGCAATTCTCCAGCCTCAGCCTCCCGAGTAGATGGGACTACAGGCATGCACCACCACACCCAGCTAATTTTTATATTTTTAGTAGAGAAGGGGTTTCACCATGTTGGCCAGGCTGGTCTGGAACTCCTGACCGCAGGTGATCTGCCTGCCTCAGCCTCCCAAAGTGCTGGGATGACAGACGTGAGCCACCGCGCCCAGCCTGGACATTATTATTATTCCCATTTCACCAGAGACGAAAACAAGACCAAACAGGTTGTTGATTTTCTTGAGATCAGAGAGCAGGGACCCATTCCAGGTTCCTCATGGCACAGTGCACTCTTTCTGTGAAAGCTTTTACCTCTCCTGTGATTTTCGGAAAAATTGGAAAAGCCAAACACAAAATGAAAGCTCACAACACCTTTTTGTTTCCCTTTTTGCTTCAGGTGCCAGGAAGTCCAGAACAAAACCTTAGGATGGTTTGGAGCACGATGATCCCTGCAACCTCTGTGATAACCTGCTAGTTCCATTCCCACTGTTCTGGTTTTTGTGTGTGTGTGTGTGCCTCTGCGATAACCTGCTAGCTCCATTTCCACTGTTCTGTTTTTCTCGTGCCTCTGCGATCACCTGCTAGTTCTATTTACACTATTCTGTTTTTCTTGTGCCTCTGCGATAAACTGCTAGTTCTGTTTCCAATGTTCTGTTTTTTTCTTGCATTTCCCAAACCCCTTTTGGAAGCAGATGGGTACAAGCTATAAATAACTTATTTAAAGGAATCAATCTGTGTGCACAGGTGGGCCTCGGCATCTGCTAACCTGTCCGACGCTCAGTCTGCTAGAAGTGCTGCCTGGGGGTCCCCAGCCACCGCCCCGTCTCTTGTCATCTCTAGGCGCCTGCTTCTGAGGGAGCCCCACCCTCCCTTGCAGCTCCATCCTTGCTGAGCCCACCCCAGGCAGCGGATGACTGGGTGTGTATCTGGTACAGAAATGAGGCCCTAGCTTAGGAGCCAGGCATCCTGAACTTAAATTCCTGTTCTGCCCCTTAATGTGTGATGCTAGAGGTGCCTCCTCTGAGCTCCAGCCCCGCAAGGCCAAAACTCAGGGCCCTCCTGGAGCCACCCCTGCAGAGCACAGGCTGGGGAGCCTCAGGGTCCGTGGAACTCCACTCACTCTGCTGCACCGCCCAGCCTCTTCCCAGGCTCCTGGTGCCGACACCACCTTTGCCCACATCCCCCAGACGAAGCTCAGACATCAGTGAGAGAAGCCCCTGCCACTCCTCCAAGGCAAGCCCAGTGCCCCCTGTCCACACCCAAGGTACCTGCACGCCGTGTGTCCGTCTCACTCCAGCCGTTCTGCCTGGACCCTGGTGAGCTGGGAACCTGTCACACAGTGCCCTACACGCCATGGTTCTCGGCAGGTGTGTGCAGAACAGGTGAGCCACAGAGCCTAGGTACCCTGAGCCTCCTCCCCTGTGGGTGGGCAACCAGCTGCCGCCCCTCACACAGCAAAGGACATGGAGACCCCTCGTTGGTTGAGACCCTGTCCCGCTGGGAAGAGTGGCAAGGGCTGGCCATGTCATCCCCAGACCAGGAGCTGACAGCAAGCCCCCAAAGGTGGCCTCAGGACTGGAGGCAGAGGCCAGTGGCTCCCTGGCCACGTTCCTACCCTCTGGGAGAAGCAGGAGGCCCCAGACCTGCCTCTGCAGACCCCCTCCTCCGGTGTTTGCTATTTTGTTATTGTTGTTAATTCCTCGCCAGGTGGAACCCGGCACTGTGGGGCTTAATTAAGCTCAGCCAGCTGTTGCCGTACACGGGGAATGTAATGCATGGCAGAGTCAGCCCCGAGCAGTGGAGGTGGGGAAGGGGTGAGGGGCCGGGAGGGCCGGGAACCCCAGGTCCAGAATGGGGTCTGTGTTAGGGGACGGGAAGCTGGGGCTGCTAGAGGGGTCTCTCTGGGCAGGTCCAAGGATGTGGGTTGGACTAGGCCACAACTGCCACCTCCCCTCCCCTCACTGATGAAGAGATCTCAGCTCCTGAGAACCCAGACCCCGAAGGACAGAGAGAGACTCTGCAGAGGCAGTTCCTGCTGCAGGGGGGACAAGAGACCTGGGCAACCCTGAGGGTTGAATGGCCCAGACCCTGGGGGCAGCACCAGGTGGGGATGCATGTGAGTGCGGGTGCACGTGCAACTGTGCATGTGTGTGAGTGTGTGTGTATGTGTGTGACTGGGTGCATGTGTGATGTGCCTGTGTGTGTGCATGTGTGTGAGTGTGGGTGCCTGTGTGACGTGCCTGTGAGTGTGTGTGTATGCGTGTGAGTGTGCATGTGAACGTGTGTGTATGTGACTGGGTGCATGCGTGACTGTGCCTGTGAGCGTGTGTGAGTGTGTGTATGTGACTGTGCCTGTCAGCGTATGAGTGTGAGTGTGTGTATGTGACTGTGCCTGTGAGGGTGTGAGTGTGTGTGTGTGTGACTGTGGGTGCACGTGTGACTGTGCCTGTGAGCGTGTGAGTGTGTGTATGTGACTGTGCCTGTGAGCGTGTGAGTGTGTGTATGTGACGTGCCTGTGAGCGTGTGAGTGTGAGCGTGTGTGTGAGTGTGACTGTGGGTGCATGTGAGCACCATCTCTACAACACGGTGAAACCTCGTCTCTACTAAAAATACAAAAATACAAAAAAAAAAAAAATTTGCCGGGTGTGGTGGGAGGTGTGTATGCGTGTCGGTCGCAGGATGCAGGGTGTGTGTGCACATACAAGATCCTGCGTCCACATGTGAGTCTCTGGGCAGGGGTTAGGCTGGCGCAGCACTTCCCACTCTTCTTTCCCAGAGCGTGACTTGACTTCCATGAGATATCACAGACATTCCATGAAACCATGGTTAGATGAGCGTGCAAAGCTCTCGGCCAGACAGGGCTGAACTGGTGTGCTGGCTGCAGGACCTCCCTGAGCCGCTCCCGTGTGCTGTGGGCACCATGGGTCCACTATGAAGCCTTTTATCTGAGAGGCGTCTGTGAGTTGAGCCCCTGCTGGGAAACGCTGCTGTCACTCAGGCTGTGCATGTGAAGAGGTGGCCTGTGGTGCTGGGGACAGGTCTGGGTAGGGCAGACAGGTGGAGGGATGGTACCCACACCTCCAGCCTCAACGTCCTCAAACTGTCGTTTCCTCAAATGTATAAAGAACTCCTATAAATTAGTAAGATTTATAGGACGATGGATGCCCAAATGGCCAAGAAACCCATGAAAAGTGCTCAGCCTCAGAGAGACGCCACCACACACCCACCCAACAGCTACAGTGAAGAAGGCACAAAACCAAGGTTGGTGGGGACGTGGAGCAGCTGGGGCTCCCGCAGCCGGTGCAGGGAGAGCCAACCGCTTGTCTCACTCCGGTGGCTGCTGCTGGGCGTCAGCGCGCCTGCGACGGCCTCCAGCCTCTCTTGCCCACCTAGAACATGGGTTCTGCCTTCTCTGCCCTCGCCTGGGTCACAGGCCTCTCTCTGACAAAAGTTCACCAAGGGGCGGAGGGCGGGGTGTGCAGTGAATGAGGGGCTCCTCTCTCCTGAACTCGCACTTAACTCATTTTAACAAAGCACCAGGAAATGAAGTCAGGGGCCAGCCTGCGACCAGGGAAAGAGGGGAAAAGTAAAAAATAATCATGCCCTTCTCTTCTCTTCTCCTTTCCTTTTCTTTCTTTTCTTTTTCTTTTTTTCTTTTTTCTTTTTTTTTTTTTTTTTGAGACAGTCTTGTTCTGTTACCCAGGCTGGAGTGCGGTGGCACAATCTCAGCTCACTGTTAACCTCTGCCTCCCAGATTTAAGCAATTCTAGTGCCTCAGCCTCCTGAGTAGCTGGGATTACAGGTGCCCGCCATCACGCCCAGCTAATTTTTGTATTTTTAGTAGAGACGGGGTTTCACCATGTTGGTCAGGCTGGGCTTGAACTTCTGACCTCAGGTGATCCACCCGCTTCAGCCTCCCAAAGTGTTGGGATTACAGGCATGAGCCATCGCACCCGGCCGATATACTACTCTGTCATTTTCTAAGCACATTCACCATAAAATCTCCGTTGGCCCTCACCACACCTTAGTGAGATAACAAGATTTTAATCATCTGTCCCAAATCACACTGTCAGTGGCAGGTAAGGACTAAACGAAACCTGGTAGAGGGGATCACGGCATGAAGCAGGTCGCCTCGGATGCTGTGGCTGCGAGCGACAACCTGAGAGGATAAGGAAAGGAGTTCCCGGACAGGAGTCCGGAGAGGGGCAGGTCCCGCGTGGGCTGACACGATGGCTCCATAATGTCACTGGAGACCCTTATTCTTTTTGCGTCTTCAGGCCATTGGGAGACAATTTCCCATGGGCCTGTCGCTGTGGCATTTCTGCACATCTTGCAAGCAGAGACACTGATCGTTTTTGTTCCAGATGATCTTTGCAAAGATTTTAGCTCTGCAAACAGCCTTGGTAAAGAGAACATCCCCTCCAAAGCAGAAGGCAAAGTTGTTTGCTGTTCAGTGTGATAGAGATGCCTTTTCCTCCAGGATAAAGGACAGGCACGCTTGCTTGTGGCCCATTGTGCGAGTTCCCTGAGCTCGTGTTTCTTCCACTGTGATGCAAACACCCTGTGCGAAGCATCCCCTGGACCATCAGGGCTTGGGAAACCAAGGCAGCCATGAAACTCAAGCTTGGCCGAGTGCGGTGGCTCACGCCCGTAATCCCAGCACTTTGGGAGGCCGAGGCAGCTGGATCACCTGAGGTCAGAAGTTTGAGACCAGCCTGGCCAACACGGTGAAACCTTGTCTCTACTAAAAATACAAAAATACAAAAAACAAACAAACAAACAAAAAACAAAAAAAATAGCCAGGCTTGGTGGGAGGTGCCTGTAATCTCAGCTACTTGAGAGGCTGAGGCAGGAGAATCACTTGAACCCAGGAGGTGGAGGTTGCGGTGAGCCGAGATCATGCCACTGCACTCCAGCCTGGGTGACAAAAGCAAGACTCTGTCTCAAAACAAAATGAAACAAAACAAAAACAAAAACCTCAAGCTGCTTGCTGTGCCATGAGTAATAAAGGTCTTCGCTTCTGATCCAGGAGTCTCGTGTATTCCACTAGCATCTTTAAAACAATGGCAAGCCAATGTGTTAGCCTCAGACCTCTCACGGTTCTTGACAGTTTGGTAGCAAGATGACTCAGCAATGTGGGGTATCACACCCAGAGTAGGGAGTAACACATAGAAAAAGGGAGCTGTGTCTTCCTGTGGATCTCCCTTAAGAGCCAGAAACAAATTTCCCAGAAGTCCTCCTTGTAACCACGCCCCTGGGACGCGTCCCTGCGCTTGACCGGGAGCAAATGGACCCACCTGACTCAGGGGTTGGCTGCTCCAGGGGCTCTAGACATGGCCGCGGGGCTGGCTGCTCTGGGGGACCCACCTGACTCGGGGCTGGCTGTTCCAGGGGGATCCACCTGACTCGGGGGCTGGCTGCTCTGAGGACTCTTGTCTGCAAGGCTGCCTCTCAGCGTCTACATGGGGAGCGTCTGTGTCCAGAACGGTGCCGGCACGCGGAGCACTCCATGAATATTTGGTGAACCAGAAGGTGTGATTGTGGTTGTGCAGCTTGCTCTGGGAGTCTGCAGGGCTGCCAGTGGGAGGAAGAGGGGCTCCAGAGGAGACCACCGCCCTCCTGGCCCCGTCTTTGACTGAGATGTGCTGTCTCTGCACAGTAACTGGATGCTGCTCTGTCTGGAGATTTGGGGTCCAGCCCCTACTTCATCAGCCCCCCGGGACTCAAGCTGCCTGCAGAATGCTGGGCAGGGTCTGGGCAGCCCCTCCGACACCTGCAGGGGGTCCCGCGGGGTCCTGTGGCGGCATTCCTGGGCCAGCTTCCCCTCTGCGTCCTGCCCTGTACCTGGCACCAAGGGGTGGCAGCAGGAACCTGCCGATGCGGCTTCCGTGGTGCTTTCCCAGTGGCTGCCATCCCGTGCCCTTGGTGCCGGGACCTCGCTTCTTCCTTCTGGGGCCTTTGGCTCCAGGCTCCTCCCCTTGATCTTCAGAGGCCAGGACCCAGGAACCCTCCAGGCGAGCGGTGCCCCTCCCTGCCCCAGGCGTGCTGGTCCCAGCTCCTCTACCTGTGGTATCTCCTTCTCAGTGTACGGTCCTGCTGCTCCTGCTCCTAAAGCACTCCCAGGGCTCCCCCACTGCTCTGAAAAGAAAATCCAGGCCAGGCACGGTGGCTCACGCCTGTAATCCCAACACTGTGGGAGACCGAGGCAGGCAGATCACCGAAGGTCAGGAGTTCAAGACCAGCCTGGCCAACATGGTGAAACCCCGTCTCTACTAAAAATGCAAAAAAAATTAGCTGGGCGTGGTGGCGGGCGCCTGTAATCCCAGCTACTTGGGAGGCTGAGGCAGGAGAATCATTTAAATCCAGGAGGCAGAGGTTGCAGCGAGTTGAGATCACGCCACTGCACTCCAGCCTGGGCAACAAGAGCAAGACTTCGTCTCAAAAAAAAAAAAAAAATCCAAACTCCACTCCACACCAGGACCATGTGCTTTGGGGCCACCTGCGGCCTGCTCTGTGGGGTAGCAGCTGCCTGAGTTCCCTGCAGTGGGGTGGGGTGAGGCTGGGTCCAGAAGCCCTGAAGTGGACGTGACCGTGTCCCTTCCTGCCATGGCGGGGGGAAGCTATCCTTCCCTGGTGCACAGCTGACCCCTCGGATCCTTGTCCCTGCAGCCCAGCCCCTCCTACGGGTGCTTCTGGGAAAGGAGACATTGCATCAGTCCACATTCAGCCCCGAAAACAGAACCACTCAGGCACTGGTAGGAAAGACAGACCCGGTTCTTGTCCTCCTGGGGACTAGGAAGATGGCCGCACCACCTCCTGCTTCCGGAGGCTGGGCTGGGCTCAGGAGGATGGGCTGGAATAGGGAGGGTGCCAGCCATTCTCTGCCTGCTCCTTAAAACTTTGCTCGGAGGGAGTCGTGTCTCCTGACTGTGCTGTCATCAGAAGTGGCCATGGGCTCTTGCCTGCTGGTCCAGCTTGTGAGTACGTCTAGCTGGTGGGGGCTCATCTATAGCCAGAAGCCCAGTGCAAGAGCGAGCAGTGGAGTTAGCGTTTCATCCTCTCCAGGCAGGAAGAGCTGGAATGGAGGCTGGAAGAGCCATGCTGAGATCCCTGCACAGCCCACATGTGACTGCCTTACCCACGCACCCCCTTTCATTCAGCCCAGACCTCCAGATGACATCAGCGACCAACCATGCTGCTGACAAGCACAGAGGGGTGTGCCCTCCCCACATCGGACCAGACTCTGTGTCTCACTCTCCCCAACATATGACACTGGAAAGACAAAGTCTGATTCCATTTGAATCATAAACGCTTTGCGGCAGCAACTCCACTTAAGGGCCATCCCGTGGCTCTGACTGTCCAGGGGCCCATCCCCACGTCCTCGCAGACGGTGGACGGAGGACGGCCCCAGAGTCTTCCCCAGGCACAGCTGGCTGTGGGTTAAGTATGATCAGGGCTCTGGTGTTTGGGAGAATCGTAGTGAAGCAGAACCAGCTATCTTACAGGAGAAACAGCAAGAAACAGCAAGCTGCAGGGCTGCGTTGCATCGTGCGGCTCTCAGCACTGGCTGAATACTAACATTGTCTACGAAGTTAAAAACATCAACAACAACAAAAAACCCGCTCTGCCCAAACCCATCCACTGGGATGGATGCAGCTTGTGGGGGTGGGGCCAGTCTTCTGAATTTTTAAAAACTTGCCTCGGTGATTGTCTTTGCTCAGGATGCTGTAACAAATCATCACAGGCTGCGGGGCTGAAACCACGGGGATCTAGTCCTCACTGTTCTGGAGGCTGGAATCTGCCATCAGCGTCCGAGGACGGGGCGGGGAGGGCCCTCTTCCTGGCTGTGGGTGACGCCTTCACTCTGTGCACTCCCAGGGGTCTCCCTTGGCCTCTTTGGTGAGGGCACTGATCCCATCGGGGGGACCCCAGCCTCCTGCCCTAACTGCCCCCCGAAGGGCATTCACCCTCCCCCGAAGGCCACCTCCTCACTTACCCTCCCCCGAAGGCCATTCACCCTCCCCTGAAGGCCTTCACCCTCCCCCGAAGGCCACCTCCTCATTCACCCTCCCCCAAAGGCCATCACCCTCCCCCGAAGGCCATTCACCCTCCCCCAAAGGCCACCTCCTCATTCACCCTCCCCCAAAGGCCATTCACCCTCCCCCAAAGGCCACCTCCTCACTCACCCTCCCCCAAAGGCCATTCACCCTCCCCCGAAGGCCACCTCCTCACTCATCCTCCCCCGAAGGCCACCTCCTCACTCACCCTCCCCCGAAGGCCATTCACCCTCCCCCGAAGGCCACCTCCTCACTCACCCTCCCCCGAAGGCCATTCACCCTCCCCCGAAGGCCACCTCCTCACTCACCCTCCCCCGAAGGCCACCTCCTCACTCATCCTCTCAGGGTAGGATTTCACCGTGGGAGCTTTAGGAGGACGTGAACACCTCTGCAGTGATTTTGATGTGAACTGTGGATGGAGACCCCCATTCTGGGCTTTGCTGCCACATGTGTGGGTGCATGTGAGATACACAGTGTCAGACACATGCTTTCCTGAGCAGGGCCCATCTCTGGGAGGATTCAGAAGACACTGTGGCCCTTGGGGGTTGCAGATGGAGGGGAACTGACTATTTTTCCTGCTGTGCTGGCTGTTGGCTGTGCTGGCTGTTGGCCATGCTGGCTGTTGACCGTGCTGGCTGTTGACCATTCTGGGTGTTGACTATGCTAGCTGTTGGCCGTGCTGGCTGTTGACTGTGCTGGCTGTTGACCATTCTGGGTGTTGACCATGCTAGCTGTTGACCGTGCTGGCTGTTGACCGTGCTGGGTGTTGACCGTGCTGGCTGTTGACCGTGCTGGGTGTTGACCGTGCTGGGTGTTGACCGTGCTGGGTGTTGACTGTGCTGGGTGTTGACTGTGCTTGGCTGTTGACCGTGCTGGCTGTTGACCTTGCTGGCTGTTGACCGTGCTGGCTGTTGACCATTCTGGGTGTTGACTATGCTAGCTGTTGACTGTGCTGGCTGTTGACTCTGCTGGGTGTTGACTGTGCTGGCTGTTGACTGTGCTGGCTGTTGACCATCTGGCTGTTGACCGTGCTGGCTGTTGACCGTGCTGGCTGTTGACCATGCTGGCTGTTGACTGTGCTGGCTGTTGACTGTGCTGGGTGTTGACTATGCTAGCTGTTGATTGTGCTGGCTGTTGACCATCTGGCTGTTGACCGTGCTGGCTGTTGACCATGCTGGCTGTTGACCGTGCTGGCTGTTGACCATTCTGGGTGTTGACTATGCTAGCTGCTGACCGTGCTGGCTGTTGACCGTGCTGGCTGTTGACTGTGCTGGGTGTTGACTGTGCTGGCTGTTGGCTGTGCTGGCTGTTGACCTTGCTGGCTGTTGACCGTGCTGGCTGTCGACCGTTCTGGGTGTTGACTATGCTAGCTGTTGACTGTGCTGGCTGTTGGCTGTGCTGGCTGTTGGCTGTGCTGACTGTTGACTGTGCTGACTGTTGACTGTGCTAGCTGTTGGGCTTGGTGTTATAGGCATGTCTTCCCTATTTAACATTTACATTTTTTTAAATTAAAAATGATGTCTTCTCTAGGCCTCTCTAGGCCCTACCTCCAAGAATGGGGTTTCTGCTCAGCGATGATCCTGGAGTGTTAATTGGGGCAGACAGGCCCTCCTCAGCCCCCTGCTCCTGCGTGGAGTTCGCCTCCCCACAGCCCCCGTGCCCCAGGACCAGGCGTTTGTTGTGCAGAGTGTGGGATGCCAGCCCCGGGCAGGGTGCAGGGGGCCTCGGGCAGGGTGCAGGAGCCTCGGGCAGGGTGCGGGGAGCCTCGGGCAGGGTGCAGGGTGCAGGGAACCCCGGGCAGGGTGCAGGGTGCAGGGAGCCCTGGGCAGGGTGTGGGGAGCCTCGTGCAGGGTGCAGGGAGCCTCGGCAGAGTGGTTCCACCTTGGCAGCCAGCCTTGCTGAGGTCCCTGCACTCCTTGCTGTGAGCAGCGGCTATGTCTGCTGGGCTGGGCCCACCGCCTGTTAGGTCTGCCTCCTCCAGCTCCCAGCCCAGGGGTGAAGCCACCTGCATACAGCCGTGGCAGATCTGAGAGGGGTGCTGCAGGGGAGGGAAGCAGCTGGGAGCCCAGGGAGGAGGCAGCAAGTTCCCAGAAGCCCATCGGGGAAGGCTGCTGCTGAGGTCAGGCACCAGCCACCAAAGCCGCCATCCCCCTCCTCGTCCTCCTGCCGAGGTCAGGCACCAGCCGCCAAAGCCGCCGTCCCCCTCCTGGTCCTTCTGCCAAGGTCAGGCACCAGCCGCCAAAGCCGTGGCCCCCCTCCTCATCCAGCCCCTGCTAGTGGCCTAGGCAAAGACCCCTCAGCAGCACCTCTGGCCTTAGCTCGGGAACCAGCTCTCCAGGACCCAGCAGAGGCCACCTCCTGGCGGGGGGATGCAGCCTGGGCCGTCCCTCAGCTCAGCAAGGAGGGCCCCAGGCAATGCTCTGTAAAGAGGGGGCGGCACTAGATGGGGTCTCCAGGTGTGACCTGAGCCACCTGACTGCCACCTGACCCACCTGGGCTTCACATAAATTCAGATGCCCAGGATCCATCCAGCCAGACTGGGCGGGGTCAGGAAATGCACATGTAACAAACACCCCGGCTGGCCCATGTGCTCACCAGCTGACGGTTTCCACGCCAGAGGGTCTCGAGGCGGCCCCTAGCCAATCCCCTTCAGGTGCTCTCATGGAATGTGGCTTGACTGGAGGAGAGCAAGACTGGGTGTTCCAAAGGGGGCCTGGGGCCCTGGGGAGCCCCAGCAGGTGGGAGAGAGCGGCTGGGAAAGAAGCGGTGACAGACGTCCCCGGTCCAGCGGGGCAGGTCCCAGGAGAGCGTGGCCTGGTGGCCCCGGCTTTGCAGCCACTGGGCGCTCCCACAGTGTTGGGGGCCAGGTCTGGCCTCCTTTTTCCACCTCGAAAGTGCAATCAGGAAGACTGCAGACTGCACAGGGCAGCCCAAGCCTTCCCTGCAGTCCCAGCATCCCCCCACTCCCCACCCCCCACTGCTCATTTTTAATTGGATTTAATTATTTTCCATTTAATTGCATTTTTTAAAGCTCTCCCCAGTGGGGCTCTTGATCTGAACATCCCTCACCTCCCCTCCCCTCCTCTCCCCTGCCCTCCCCTCCCCTCCCCTCCCTTCTCTTCCCCTCCCTTCCCTTCCCCTCCCCTCCCCTCCCCTCTTCCTCTCCTCTTTGGAAACGAGCCTTGGCCTCAGCGGAGAAGTGAGACAGGGCTCCCTCGGGACCTGGGAAGTGGGGGTTCTCCGCCCTGGGGTGGGGGCCTAGAGCCTGGGGGTGTCCTCGTTCACCAGCCAGAGTCCCCTTGGGCCTCCACAGCGTCTGTCTCCCCACCTTCCATCCTTGCTGCCCCCACCCAGTCCCATCTCCCCATCGACTCCTGACTGTCCTTCCCCACTCCTGCCAGATCCAGATGTGATCACGCCGCTCTGTGGAGAAGCCTTCCTGACCCGAACCCCAGCCTGGCACAGAACTCCCATCTGGCCCCTTTTCCTCCCCAAATGCAGCCCTGTCCTCAGCTCCAGCTGAAGGTGGACCTTCCTCACTCTTTCTCTGCCTGCACACCCGCCCAGGTGCTCACCTCTCCCCGCTCACCCGCCCAGGCGCTCACCTCTCTCCCCTGCACTCCACAGCCTGCATTCAGCACACATGTGGACGCACTCGGGAGACACTGGGCCCCCGGCGCTGCGACCACAGGGATTTGCTGAAATTCCCATGAAGAGGTGGAGGTCCCCCTCCTGAGCCTGGGTGGGCGTCTGATTTGCTTTGACCCACAGAACGTGGTGGAAGTGGTGTCCTGCCCTAAGAGGCTGCGTGGCCTCCACCTCTGCCCTCGCGCAGCCGCCCAGAGAACCCCATGGAAGGAGCTGCCGGCTGCCTGTAGGAGACCCGAGGGGCGCCAGCTGCCATCCCCAACTGTCAGCCCAGGAGAATGGCACATTGCTGTTGTTTGAAGCCACTGAGATCTGGGTGTTTGGTTCCACAGCAAGTTAATGACACACCTGCCACTGCGAACAGCACCTTACCTTTCAGACTCAGCCAGATCTCCCCCAACCCCCTGCCCAGCAGCTTCAGCCCCCACTTCCTCCTGGTCCCCACAGAGCTTCAATCAGTCTCATGGCTGAGGCCAGATGCCCTCATCCTCCTTCAGCAGCTTCTGATATCGACCAGGTGGAATTCAGGCTGCCTGCGAACCAGCATCAAAGCCATACCCATCGACAGTGCCTCTGTCCCCGCCTCCTGCAGCCCCAGCTCCAAAACTCCATGCCCTGAGTGTCTTCTCATTCTCCACCCCTGCTGGCTGCACCTGTCCTGCCCACGGAATGTTCTTCACCAACTTCCCATCCAACAAATTCATCCAAGACCCGGATGAACCCTCCCTTCTCCTGCAGACTGTGACCCAGCCACAAGCCCTTTCAGTTTAGATTGTTACTCCTCTTCTTGTTTACGTGGCTCAGCCACCCAGTGGCTCACTTCCTTGCAGCCCCTAAACAGAGAGACGTGCCTGAGCACCCCCCTGCACTGTAAAACTGGTATACAGAAGGAGTCACATAAAGAATGAGATGGGATGAAAAGACACACAAACCCAGGTGCTAATGTTTTTACTTCCTGCAGCCCCCAAGATGCGTTCACCTCTGCCTGATTTACTTCTCTACCTCATGGGATTGTGTCCTGCAAGCCCCCAAGATGAGTTCGCCTCTGCCTGCAGCTTCACAATAGATTGGAAACTTGAGGTAAACATGACCTGTGTTTTACTGTTGTGCTTCCCAAAGGCTAGCAAAGTGCCAGTGCATGTGGCACCAGCTCAGCAAATACCTGTGCATGGATGGACAGGTGGATGAATGGGTGGGTGGGTGCATGGAAGGGTGGGTGGGTGCATGGAAGGGTGGGTGGGTGGAGGAATGGGTGAGTGAATGGATGGATAGATGGATGGGTGGATGGATGGTGGGTGGGTGGGTGTGTGAGTGGGCAGATAGATAGATGGGTGGATGGGCAGATGAATGGATGGGTGGGTGGATGGATGCATGGATGGATGGATGGATGGATGGATGGATGGATGGGTGGATGAGTGGGTGGGTGGAGGAGTGAGTGAATAAGCAGATGGATGGATGGGTGGGTGAATGGGTGGATGGATGGTGGATGGGGTGGATGGAGAATGGGTGGACGGATGGATAGATGGATGGGTGGATGGGTGGGTGAGTGGACAGATTGATGAGTGGATGGGCAGATGAATGGATGGGTGGGTGAATGGGTGGATGGGTGGTGGGTGGGGTGGATGGAGGATGAGTGGACAGATGGATAGATGAACGGGTGGATGAATGGGTGGGTGGATGAATGGATGAACGCATGATGGGTGGGGTGGATGGATGGATGGATGGATGGATGAGTGGGTGGGCAGAAGAGTGGGTGAATAGGCAGATGGATGGATGGGTGGGTGAATAGGTAGATGGATGGATAGGTGGATAGGTGCATGTGTGGGTGGAGAGATAGATGGGTGGATGAGTGCATGGGTGGGTGGATGGATAGATGGGTGGATGAGTGCATGGGTGGGTGGATGGATAGATGGGTGGATAGGTGCACGTGTGGGTGGATGGATAGATGGGTGGATGAGTGCATGGGTGGGTGGATGGATAGATGGGTGGATGAGTGCTTGGGTGGGTGGATGGATAGATGGGTGGATGAGTGCGTGGGTGGGTGGATGGATAGATGGTGGATGAGTGTGTGGGTGAGTGGATGGATAGATGAGTGGATGAGTGTGTGGGTGGGTGGATGGATAGATGGGTGGATGTGTGCGTGGGTGGGTGGATGGATAGATGGGTGGATGAGTGCGTGGGTGGGTGGATGGATAGATGGGTGGATGAGTGCGTGGGTGGGTGGATGGATAGATGGGTGGGTGAGTGCGTGGGTGGGTGGATGGATAGATGGGTGGGTGTGTGCGTGTGTGGGTGGATGGATAGATGGGTGGATGAGTGTGTGGGTGGGTGGATGGATAGATGGGTGGGTGAGTGTGTGGGTGGGTGGATGGATAGATGGGTGGATGAGTGCTTGGGTGGGTGGATGGATAGATGGGTGGGTGAGTGCGTGGGTGGGTGGATGGATATATGGGTGGATGAGTGCGTGGGTGGGTGGATGGATAGATGGGTGGGTGAGTGCGTGGGTCGGTGGATGGATAGATGGGTGGGTGAGTGTGTGGGTGGGTGGATGGATAGATGGGTGGATGAGTGCGTGGGTCGGTGGATGGATAGATGGGTGGGTGAGTGCGTGGGTGGGTGGATGGATAGATGGATAGATGGGTGGATGAGTGCGTGGGTGGGTGGATGGATAGATGGGTGGATGAGTGCGTGGGTCGGTGGATGGATAGATGGGTGGATGAGTGCGTGGGTCGGTGGATGGATAGATGGGTGGGTGAGTGCGTGGGTGGGTGGATGGATAGATGGATAGATGGGTGGATGAATGGGTGGATGGATAAAGCGTGGGTAGGTGGGTGGGTGGATGGATGGTGGGTGAATAAGTGTGTGGATGGGTGGATGGGTCGATGGCACACATCCATGAGGGCAAAGTAGAGGCTTAACTTCCCAGATTAGTAAACTTTCTGTGCTTCTCTGGAGTCAGAAGAAACAGTGAGAAGTTTCATATGCAGCCAGAAGGGGTTGAGAGGAGGAGGTCTGGCAGTTTCTTCCAAGGACCCTTAGGTAAGTTCCAAGGACAAGGACAGCGGGGCTCACAGGCGGGACGTAGACCTGACCTAAGAGGAACCAACTGCAAACCACAGCTGGCTGCCCAGAGCCGGTTCCTGCTGCCCCTTCACTGCAGTGGCTCTGTCCTGGGTCACCCAGGCTGGACTCAGCTCCGTTTCTGCATGGGAGACTCGAAGAGTCCGGTGGGGAGGTGGCCCCCCCTCATAGTTCTCGTGTTGTCCCTGATCTGCAGAGTTGCTGGTTGCTGTGTGGCTGTGGCAGGGTCTGCTCCTATGACCCAGTGGCCTGACCCTCCTTTGGCTTTTCTGAGTGCAGGGCCTGGGGTGTGTCCAGCTCTGTGATGAGTCCAGTTTCTGCAGGACACCCCCATTGCCAAGGCCACAGGCACAGCTGCCAGGACACCTGGAGCCTGCCCTTGAGAGGGTCCAGCCCACGCACTGTGGTCCTCACCCCAACTCTACAGACAGCTCCCTCCCCACTGCCCACCGTGGTCCTCGCCCCCACTCTACAGACAACTCCCTCCCCACTGCCCATCATGGCCTCATCTCCAGCGCTGGACAACCTTAGGGCTGCAGCTTGTCCTCCGCCCACTCTACAGACAGCTCCCTCCCCACTGTCCACTGTGGCTTCATCTCCAGCGCTGGACAACAGCAAAGGTCACTTAACCAGATGCCCAGCTGTGCGTGGTCACCTCCCTGTAGCACATTCCAAGTTGTGTGAGTTCTTGTGTGTGTGTACATGGGTGCGTGTGTGCAGGCTTGTGCATGGGTGCACGTGTGATGTCCATGTGCACACACACTTCTCTATCCATACGTCGCATGCACATAAATGGCAGCTCTGCTCATACACAGACCTGCCCAGGGACCCACAGGTGGAACCCTTGGGAAGGAGGAAGGTGGGAAATAACCACAGGGAAACGTGCTCCTTAGAGAGGGTGATGTCAGAACAATGATGTCAAAACAAAAGCTGCTCTCTGTCCTGTCTTGAGGAGGTGCCCTCATTGGCTTCTCAGACCACCTGCCTCCTCTCTCCCTTGCTCTCTTTGGCCTCCCTTTCTCTCTCTCTTCACCTCTTTCTCTTTCTCTCTCCCTCTCTCTTCCTGATTCTTTTCCCTTTCTCTGCCTTTCCTTTTCTCCCAACACCTTTTTCCTTCCACCTGGCTCATTCGTGGGGCTCAGGAGTGGGGGAAAGTGATGTTTCCCCGCAAGATGAGGGTTCAGCACCATGGACAGAGGAGCTGCCCTCTAAGAACTTCCCCAGACCTGTCACAGCCATGTGGAGACTCCACCCCACAGCCTGCAGGTACACCTGTCCATTCCCTGGGCAGACCCGCCCAGTGCGACAGGGCTGTGAGCTGGACACACCCACACCCTGTCTCTAACCCGTGTCGCGGCCCGTGAGGTCAGCACGGCGGTCCCCACTTGACAGATGTGGACCTCAGAGTAGGATATGACTCACTCAGGGTCCCGAGGAAAAGAGGAGCAAGGAGTTCAACCCAAGGCCAGGTGTCATGGGTCCTCCTGCAAAGATGAGGTGGGTGTGTCAGGGTCCTCCTGGCACAGATGAGGTGGGTGTGTCAGGGTCCTCCTGCAAAGATGAGGTGGGTGTGTCAGGGTCCTCCTGGCAAAGATGAGGTGGGTGTGTCAGGGTCCTCCTGCAAAGATGAGGTGGGTGTGTCAGCGTCCTCCTGGCAAAGATGAGGTGGGTGTGTCAGGGTCCTCCTGCAAAGATGAGGTGGGTGTGTCAGGGTCCTCCTGGCAAAGATGAGGTGGGTGTGTCAGGGTCCTCCTGCAAAGATGAGGTGGGTGTGTCAGGGTCCTCCTGGCAAAGATGAGGTGGGTGTGTCAGGGTTCTCCTGCAAAGATGAGGTGGGTGTGTCAGGGTCCTCCTGGCACAGATGAGGTGGGTGTGTCACGGGTCCTCCTGGCAAAGATGAGGTGGGTGTGTCACGGGTCCTCCTGGCAAAGATGAGGTGGGTGTGTCAGGGTCCTCCTGCAAAGATGAGGTGGGTGTGTCAGGGTCCTCCTGCAAAGATGAGGTGGGTGTGTCACGGGTCCTCCTGGCACAGATGAGGTGGGTGTGTCAGGGTCCTCCTGGAAAAGATGAGGTGGGTGTGTCACGGGTGCTCCTGACAAAGATGAGGTGGGTGTGTCAGGGGTCCTCCTGGCAAAGATGAGGTGGGTGTGTCAGGGTTCTCCTGCAAAGATGAGGTGGGTGTGTCACGGGTCCTCCTGGCAAAGATGAGGTGGGTGTGTCACGGGTCCTCCTGGCAAAGATGAGGTGGGTGTGTCAGGGTTCTCCTGCAAAGAGGTGGGTGTGTCAGGGTCCTCCTGGCAAAGATGAGGTGGGTGTGTCGGGGTCCTCCTGGCAAAGATGAGGTGGGTGTGTCAGGGTCCTCCTGCAAAGATGAGGTGGGTGTGTCACGGGTCCTCCTGGCACAGATGAGGTGGGTGTGTCAGGGTCCTCCTGGCAAAGATGAGGTGGGTGTGTCACGGGTGCTCCTGACAAAGATGAGGTGGGTGTGTCAGGGGTCCTCCTGGCAAAGATGAGGTGGGTGTGTCAGGGTCCTCCTGGCAAAGATGAGGTGGGTGTGTCACGGGTGCTCCTGACAAAGATGAGGTGGGTGTGTCAGGGGTCCTCCTGGCAAAGATGAGGTGGGTGTGTCAGGGTCCTCCTGGCAAAGATGAGGTGGGTGTGTCAGGGTCCTCCTGCAAAGACGAGGAGGGTGTGTCTGGGTCCTCCTGGCAAAGATGAGGTGGGTGTGTCACGGGTCCTCCTGGCACAGATGAGGTGGGTGTGTCAGGGTCCTCCTGCAAAGATGAGGTGGGTGTGTCATGGGTTCTCCTGGCAAAGATGAGGTGGATGGTGGACACTGACCCACTCTGGAGACCTGGACTCCCTGCAGTCCTTTACACACCAGAACCCCGGGCTGCCTCTCCATCGGAGCCTCATCCTGTGCATGAGGTGGGTCTCACAGAACCAGCCTCTGGGCAGCCCAGGTGGGTGTCAGAGCCTCTGATCCCATGTGAGGGTGAGGTAGATGGCTCAGCCAAGTCCCCTGTGTCCACTGGGAACCCACTCCCAAGAGAGACCTTCCCACTGTCACCGTCAATCATTTATTTATCATTCTAATTAATGATTGCTAATGATCACTAATATCTGCAGAGAACAATCCTGCTCACCACAAGCTCTTGCCCCCCGGGGGCCATGGCATTTGCTCATGAATAAGGCCAGGTACCCACATAGACCCGCCTCTGGGGAGAGAAAGTACAGCACTGGAGGTGATATGGACCAGGGGCAGCCAGAGACAGCCACAAGGAGGAGCTGGCCACTGTCCCCCAACAGCAGTGGTCTGTCCTGAGAGACGGGGCCAGAGGCCTTCTCAGCCACAGGAGTAGGAAGTCAGGTTTTCTTCTGCCCCGTGGTGTTCTGAAGTTTTTCTCATTTGTGCCTGTTTTCTTTTAAACATGCTTGTATCTACCCAGGTAGGAGGAAATGAGGCTTCTCCTGCCGGCCTTCTGGGACCAGAAGAAGGCAAAGGAAAAGTGATGGAAGGGGAGGGGGGAGTGGGGAGGAGATGGAGGGAGAAGAGGGGAGTGGGAGGAGATGGAGGGAGAAGAGGGGAGTGGGGAGGAGATGGAGGGAGAAGAGGGGAGTGGGGAGAAGATGGAGGGAGAAGAGGGGAGTGGGGAGGAGATGGAGGGGAGTGGGAAGGAGATGGAGGGAGAAGAGGGGAGTGGGGAGCGAGAGGGCAAAGGAGGGAGGGGAGTGGGGAGGAGATGGAGGGAGAAGAGGGGAGTGGGGAGGAGATGGAGGGGAGTGGGGAGGAGATGGAGGGAGAGGGGAGTGGGGAGGAGATGGAGGGAGAAGAGGGGAGTGGGGAGGAGATGGAGGGGAGTGGGAGGGGGAGGGGATGGAGGGGGAGGTAGAGGAGCGGGAGGAGATGGAGGGATAGGGAGGGGAGTGGGGAAGAGATGGAGGGGGAGGGAGGGGAGGGGGGAGATGGAGGCAGAGGGAGGGGAGTGGGGAGGAGATAGAGGGGGAGGGAGGGGAGGGGGAGGAGATGGAGGAGGAGGGAGGGGAGTGGGGAAGAGATAGAGGGGGAGGGAGGGGAGGGGGAGGAGATGGAGGAGGAGGGAGGGGAGTGGGGAAGAGATGGAGAGGGAGGGAGGGGAGAGGGGTGCCCACCAGCCAGGTCCCACCTCTGTTTGGCTGCTGGAGCCTGTGACCACGCAGCAGCCCCAAGCAGGGAGCATCTGTCTGGTGGCTGGAGGGAGCCGGTGTGCACATAGCTCACTCCCAGCCCTGGGGCAGCTCTGAGCTGTGCTCCACGCGTTCCCCAGAGACCCCCACCTGGAGGAGGTGCCACTCCCCTCAGCAGTGACTGGCTGATGGCGCCTACTTCTTCGGGGATCTTGCCCTCCCATCTCACTCCCCTGCCCTTGGGGTCGCCCTGCAAATGGTCCACTTGCAGTCAGTTCCTTGTCTCCAGGTCAGTTCCTCGTCTCCAGGTCAGTTCCTCGTCTCCAGGTCGGCTTCTGTAGGAGCCCGGGCCGATGTGGCTGAGCCTGGGCCGATTCCGGGGAGTGGAGTTTGGGGCGCCGTCAGCACCTCAAGGCGTGGCCCACCCGGGAGGAGGTGGATGCACTCTGGGGTTGCTCCTGGAGCGGTGCCCCGAGGCCCCTGGTTGGCACTGGCGGTGGACTCCTGCCTCTTCTTCCTTGCCCTCTCCTCAGCCACCCGCGTTGGCCTTCTGCTCCTCACCCACCTAAAACCTCCACCTCGAAGCCTTTGCTCAAGCCAGTCCCTCTGCCTGGAGGTCCCTCCCCTGTACTCACCTCTGACTGGCCCAGCCCCCGATTGCCTCAGCATCCCACCTCCCAGCCCACCCCTGCATCCAACCCCACTGCTCCTGACAGCCCTGGAGCGATGCCTGCCATACTCCACTTGCTGTTTTCAGCCTGAGGAAGGAGTGGGGGAGGAAGTGGACACACGTGCCTGCTCCCGTGGCACCCACTCTCGTGGCACCCGGACCCGTGGCATTTGCTCTCCTGGCACCTGCTCCCATGGCACCCACTCTCGTGGCACCTGGTCCTGTGGCATTTGCTCTCCTGGCACCCGCTCCCGTGGCACCTGCTCCTATGTGTGGGCAAGGAGGAGTGCATTAAAGGGAGGGGCTGGTCCCAGAGTCCTCTCTGGGGAGGTGGCAGTTGAGCAAGGCCTTGAAGGAGGTGGGCGGGCTGCAAGGACGTCTGGAGGAAGAGGGCTCCAGGGGGCCTGCAGCTCATGTGAGGCCATGAGCAGAGCAAGCCCAGACCAGAAAGGAGGCCAGACCCGGTGGCCTGGGCTTCCCATGGAGGGCATTGCAGCCATGGAGGACGCAGGCAGAGTGGCGGCCTGGCTGACCCAGCCTCAGCAGGAATGGCCTCCTCCTCACAGGGCCCTGAGGCGGCTCCGGCACCAGCTCACCTCCTTCCCCGCAGGAGCAAAGTTGTTTATGTGGTCGTGTGTTCAGCACTTGTCTCTGCCAGCTGGGCCGACACCGCAACGACAGAAAAGATAGAACTCGGCTGGGACAGGAGGATCACTTGAGGTCAGGAGTTCAAAAGTAGCCTGACCAACTTTTGATGGCAAAACCCCATCTCTACTAAAATACAAAAACTAGCTGGGTGTGGTGGCGTGCACCTGTAATCCCAGCTACTCAGGAGGCTGAGGCAGGAGAATCATTTGAACCTGGGAGGAAGACTTTGCAGTGAGCCGAGATTGCACCACTGCACTCCAGCCTGGGTGACAGAGCAAAACTCTGTCTCAATAAAAATAAAAATAAAAACCAATCAATCAATAAACTCTCTGTCTGCTCCCAGCTGGGGTCTGAGGTGGGGTCAGTTACCTGAAGGTGGAGACCAGTGGGCTCTAGTCCTGCCTGTTCTGTGATGAGAGGAGATCTCCCCAGGGTCTGACCCTCCTCTGCTCCGCCTGCCTCTATGCTCAGGACTGGGAGACCCCCCCATGACAAAAAGCGCAGGAGGCCAGGCAGCAATTGCAGTTGCAAAAAAAAAAAAAGATCAAATTCAAACTGGGAACCCAGCGCATCAAGGACTTAAAACGGTGAGATGTCGCCAGGCTGCGCACACGCGGTAGACTGCCGCCACTCGGCCTCTCCACCCAGACCTCAGGGACAGCTCCCCGGAGGGGTGTGACCCCATGGGATTCCCCACTCACCAGGTGCTTGGAGGCCCCCTCCTCCTGGCCCCTCCACCTGCACCTGAAAACTTCCCTTCCAACTGAAACTTGGGGCCCAGAGACGATGGCCAAGGAGAGAGGCTGAGAGGGAACAACGTGATGAAGTGTCAAGTCCCCGTCAGCTGCGCTGGTAAACTCCATATTTCCCACGGCATTTAAACGCCTGCAGGCGGATTAATAAGGTCTCAGTAATAGCGCGGCCGTGCGTGCTTATTCTATCTGGAATGCCAGTCGCTCAGGCTGTCTGCATGTTGATGGCGGCCGGGATTGAGGACAGGCGCGTGCTGGCTTTATCTCGCCCGCGCAGGCTACGAGGCCTTATCAGGCCCGCCCGGCTGTGCAGCTGCGTCCTCATGGGCTCCCGCTGCTTCCCGCTGCCTGCTTTGTAATCAGAAGAGAAGTTGCTGCCTTGATATTTCCATTTTTATCTCTTTTATTTACTTCATTTTAATGTCTTTCAGGGAATATTTTCTTTGCAACAAGGCAAGGCTGTTGGTCGCTTACATCTTCCTGCGGCCCCTGCCCCTCGGCCAGGCTGGGGAAAAGGGGGTGAGGGGTAGCGGTCTGGGCTTCCCTTCTCCCCAGCACCTCCTTTCCCCACCGCAGCCTCTCCCCCTCGGTCCCGGCCTCATCTGCTCTCTTCTCCTATCTTCTCCTATCTTCCATCTCCTGCTTTCGTTCCCGTCTGCTTCCAGCCCTTCCTGGCTGCCGTTGCCGGGTTGGGGGGTGGGGGGGTGCTCCCCAGTGATTCTCCCCTCCAGATCCAGATCCAAGCCCCACAGCCTCCCTGGGCAGCCTCTGCTGCTCCCATGCAGGCTCTCCTCGCTTCTCCCCCGGGATCCCAGTCCCAGCCCAGCCCCCTCTGAGGGCTCCACTCCAAATGCCAGCTGGGTGCCCCTGATGGTGGGGCCTGGGTGTGGGGCCTGGGTGTGGGGCCGGGCCGGGTGTGCACAACACAGCCCGCCCCAGTCGAGGAACGGGATGGTTTTGAGTGCGTCCACCGTCTCTTCTGCTGCCACCTGATCCTGCGAGAGATGCAGTTATCTTCCTCTCAGACAACGAAACTGGGGTTCCAAGGGGTTCTCGGTCACGGCCACCTTGCTCCTGCTGTAGCTCGTGATGGAAAGCAGAACGCAGGATGGAGGTGGCACGTGACCTGCTCAGCCTCGCCGAGGCCGAGCTGACCCGGGGCCTGGCCCATCCACCGCCTTGCCGTGCCGCCCCTCCTGTGAGGCAGGGGTCAGAACACGCTCATGAGACAATTCAGCGAAACTGGGGCTGGCAAAGCAGATGGGATGGGCAGAGGGGCTGGAGCCTACACCCTGACCCCCACTGAGCCTGGCTCCTCTGTCCCCCCAGCTCTTCTGTCCCCCCGGCTCCTCTGTCCCCCCGGCTCCTGTGTCCCCCCGGCTCCTCTGTCCCCCCAGCTCTTCTGTCCCCCCGGCTCCTCTGTCCCCCCGGCTCCGGCTCCTCTGTCCCCCCGGCTCCTATGTCCCCCCAGCTCCTGCGTCCCTCCGGCTCCTCTGTCCCCCCAGGTCTTCTGTCCCCCCGGCTCCGGCTCCTCTGTCCCCCCGGCTCCTGCGTCCCTCCGGCTCCTCTGTCCCCCCGGGTCTTCTGTCCCCCCGGCTCCGGCTCCTCTGTCCCCCCGGCTCCTCTGTCCCCCCAGCTCTTCTGTCCCCCCGGCTCCGGCTCCTCTGTCCCCCCAGCTCCTCTGTCCCCCCGGCTCCTCTGTCCTCCCGGCTCCTCTGTCCCCCCAGTTCCTCTGTCCCTCCGGCTCCTGCGTCCCTCCGGCTCCTCTGTCCCCCCGGCTCCTCTGTCCCCCCGGTTCCTCTGTCCCCCCAGCTCTTCTGTCCCCCCGGCTCCGGCTCCTCTGTCCCCCCGGCTCCTCTGTCCCCCCGGTTCCTCTGTCCCCCCAGCTCTTCTGTCCCCCTGGCTCCGGCTCCTCTGTCCCCCCGGCTCCTCTGTCCTCCCGGCTCCTCTGTCCGCCCGGCTCCTCTGTCCTCCCGGCTCCTCTGTCCCCCCGGTTCCTCTGTCCCCCCAGCTCTTCTGTCCCCCCGGCTCCTCTGTCCTCCCGGCTCCTCCGTCCCCCCGGCTCCTCCGTCCCCCCAGCTCTTCTGTCCCCCCGGTTCCTCTGTCCCCCCAGCTCTTCTGTCCCCCCGGCTCCGGCTCCTCTGTCCCCCCGGCTCCTCTGTACTCCCGGCTCCTCTGTCCCCCCGGCTCCTCTGTACTCCCGGCTCCTCTGTCCCCCCGGCTCCTCTGTCCCTCCGGCTCCTGCGTCCCTCCGGCTCCTCTGTCCCCCCGGTTCCTCTGTCCCCCCAGCTCTTCTGTCCCCCCGGCTCCGGCTCCTCTGTCCCCCCGGCTCCTCTGTCCCTCCGGCTCCTGCGTCCCTCCGGCTGCTCTGTCCCCCCGGTTCCTCTGTCCCTCCGGCTCCTGGGTCCCCCAGGCTCCTCTGTCCCCCCAGCTCCTCTGTCCCCCCAGTTCCTCTGTCTCCCCAGCTCCTCTGTCCCCCCAGCTCCCCAGTTTCATGTTGCCAGTGGACACATCCTAAAACCCAGAGCCTGGAAATGTAACCTTATTCAGAAAAAGGGTCTTTGCAGGAAAACTTAAGTGAAGGATCTTGAGATGACATCGTCCTGGGTAGGGTGGGCCCTAAATCCAACGGCCAGTACCCTTAGAAGAGAAGGAGGATGGAGTCAGATGCGCAGGGAAGGCAGCTGCGTGCGGACAGAGGCAGAGATGGGAGTGAGGGCCACGAGCCAGGGAGCCCCGGGAGCTGGATGAGGCGGGAAGGGCTCCCAGCGCCTTCAGAGGAAGCCAGCGCTGCCCGCACCTTGATGTCAGCTCACCGCTGCAGGCTGTGAGAGCCCCAACTTCCACTGTCATGGCCCCCAGAGTGTTGGTGCTTTGATACTCAGCCAGAGGACACACACGGACCCCCACCTGGCTGTGACCCCTCTTGGGCAGATGGCAGGACTCAATCCACTCCGAGTCTGCAGCCGGGAGCCTGGAGCCTCCACCCGCAGGAATTTCCCCCAGCGCAGGAATGAGGTGGAGTGCCAGCAGCTTAGGGTTGTCGGGAGCCGAGCACAGGAGGCTCCCAGGGTGCTGAGCCCAGGAAACTCGTGGCAGCCGGGCAGCATGGTGCTCCCCAAGCACACTTGGCCCCCACATCTCCCGGCCGTGCTGTCAGCACTCCTCCTCCTCCCTGGAGATGCAGAAGCTGTGGCTTCAGATCTCAGCAGCCTGCAGCCTGGATCCCTGAGTCACCACATGGAGGACTTGCCCGACTCACACGGAAGCCGTGGCTGTGTCGAGTGGAGGGTCTTGCCGCCCAACAGCAATCCCAGCCCGCCTGACCCACGCATCCTCTCCCCAGTGATCCAGGCCAAATAGAGTATGGAGCCCACCCCTGGGGGATGGGCAGGCCCAGTTCTCTGTCTTCTTCATAGACAGTGAGTGCTGACCAGAGGCCACACCAGGGCAGAAGCTGGATGGAGGCGGCTAAGGTGGCTTTAAAAACTGGGACTCTGAGTATTCGTGGGGGCTGCATGTTGGTCAGGAATTGTTATTTTCCAGAATTCTCTCTGAAGAACAGGAGGTGCTGGAAGCTGGCAGAGCACCCATGTGGCTCCTCGTTAGAAGGAGAAAGGTCGAGGCTGGAAAGGGCCCCTCCCCACTCCCTGCAGGTGCGGAGGCTCCATTCCCCACAAGGAAGCAGTGGGCGTGGGGTCACCTCCGACATCGCGATGAGGCTGCAGCACCACTGGGCCACACAGGAGGCACAGCGTGGGTCACTCTAGCGGCCTTGAGCGATTCCGGGTTGGAGGAGGAGGGGGCACAGACAGAGGAGGGGGCAGCGGAGGAAGCCCCGGGCATGGGAGAGGCCCCAGCCCAGGGACGGAGGTGTGTGTGGGTGCAGGGAACGTCTGGGGACTGGTCCATCTGGAGGGATGGCGGACACGTGGCAGCAAGAGAGAAGACAGACGGCGCGGTCTGCCTGGAGTCCGCTTTCAAGGTTGGTGCTGCTCAGATTGCTCCTAGAAGCACAGGGTACCCCGTCTGTTCCTTCAGGGTCACCTTTCCCACGGCCCTGTCCTTCCCGGAAAGATGGAGTCTAGTGACCGATGAAGGCTGGGCTGTGCAGGTCTTCCCACAGTGCCAGCCGGATGGGCCCCTAGTGCACCAGAGCTGCCCGTGGGGTCACACGGCCCCGTGGGGCCTGCACCACACGTCAGCCCTGCCTGCTTCCCTTCACACGTGCTGGTCCTAAACATCTTCACACACCCAAATCCAGTCTCAATTCGGCTTCCAGAGACATCTGAAGATGTGGCGCCGTTTGATGAGAAACCCAAGCCCCTTGCAGCAGTGCGGTTCCCTCCCCACGCCCACGCCTCACGCTCCTGTCCTCACACGTTCTATGACTCAGACCCCACGAAGCTCATGATGCTGGACACACACGCCTGCAGATTTGCCCTTTAAAAGAGATGACGAGGAGAGGACAGGCGCCTTGTTCACCTGCACGGTCGCACATGGGCTGTCGCCACCCTGCCCGTCAGTGAGTTCCTTATCTTGTGCAGATTACGCAGCTTTAGCATGTTTTTGTCATGCGGCTCTTAGGACGGCAAATGTTCTCAGTTTCATTTACTTCAGAGCGCTTTTATTTCACCTTCACCTTCACTCTGAGGATTTCCTGCTGGATTCAGAGCGGTGGGGGCGGCTCATTGTTTTCACTCCTCTGCCCTCCGCCCCCCGCCCCCCGCCCTCCGCCCTCCTCCCTCTGCCCCGCCCCCCCGCCCTCCGCCCTCCGCCCTCCTCCCTCCTCCCTCCTCCCTCTGCCCCGCCCCCTCCCTCCGCCCTCCTCCCTCCTCCCTCTGCCCCGCCCCCCCCTCCTCCCTCTGCCCCGCCCCCTCCCTCCGCCCTCTGCCCCCCGCCCCCTCCCTCCGCCCTCCTACCTCCTCCCTCCTCCCTCTGTCCCGCCCCCCGCCCTCTGCCCTCCTCCCTCCGCCCTCCTCCCTCCGCCCCCCCCCGCCCTCCGCCCTCCGCCCTCTGGTTTTTGATGAGGAGGCAGCAGCATTTGGCACTTCTGGCCACCCTCTTCTCCGGCTTCTTCCACATTTTCGTCAGTTTTCAGCAGTTTGACTGTGCTGTGCCTACAGATGTGTTTCTATTTATCCTGTTTGAAGTTAGCTGAACTTCTTGGGTCTATAAATTGATGCTTTTCACTACGTCCAGGGAAGTTTGGGCCATTATTTCTCTAAATAATGTATTTGAGCTCCAATCTCTCTCTCCTCCCATTTGGAGACTCCAATTACACGTGGAGTTGGCAATTTCACATTGTTCTGTGACTTGGCTCTGCCTCTCTTTTTTAGTGTTTTTAAAATTTCTGTTCTTTAGATGATTACCACTGCTCTGTCTTCAAGTTCATTGATCTTTTCTTCTATCATTGCAATATGCTGTTAAGCCTATCCAGTCTAATTAGCTTTGTTTTGTTTTGAGACAGGGTCTCACTGCATCTCCCAGGCTAGAGTGCAGTGGATTACAGGTGTGATTCCAGATGTGAGCCACCGCGCCTGACCTCCCAAAGTGCTGGGATTACAGGTGTGAGCCACCACGCCCGACCTCCTAAAGTGCTGGGATTCCAAGTGTGCACCGCCGTGCCCGGCCTCCCAAAGTGCTGGGATTACAGGTGTGAGCCACCTTGCCCAGCCTCCCAAAGTGCTGGGATTTCAGGTGTGAGCCACTGTGCCTGACCTCCCAAAATGCTGGGATTCCAGGTGTGCGCCATCTTGCCCAGCCTCCCAAAGTGCTGGGATTCCAGGTGTGAGCCGCCGTGCCCGGCCTCCCAAAGTGCTGGGATTCCAAGTGTGTGCCGCCACGCCCAGCCTCCCAAAGTGCTGGGATTACAGGTGTGAGCCACCACGCCCGGCCTCCCAAAGTGCTGGGATTACAGGTGTGAGCCACCGTGCCTGGCCCAGTGAATTTTTTATTTCAGGTATTATACTTTTTAGTTCTAGGATTTCTATTTGTTTCATTGTTTTATGTGAAGCCCTGTCTGTTCACCCATTGTGATCACATTTTTTTGTTAAGCAGTTGAGCACACTTCTTTTGGGGTGAGGACTGGGATTTATTTATTTATTTGTTTTCATATAGGATCTTGTTCTGCCACCCACGTTGGAGTCACATGACCACAGCTCACTGTGGCCTCGACCTTTCAGGCTCAGCTGATCCTCCCACCTTGGCCTCCCAAGTAGCTGGGAACATAGGCGCCACCATGCCTGGCAGTTGAGCACATTTTTGTTTGTTTGTTTGTTTGTTTTTGCAGACAGCATCTCACTCTATCACCCAGGCTGGAGTGCAGTGGCACAATCTCGGCTCACTGCAACCTCCACCTCCCAGGTTCAAGCCATTCTCCTGCCTCAGCCTCCCAAGTATCTGGGATTACAGGCACCCATCACCACGCCTGGCTAATTTTTGTATTTTTAGTAGAGATGGGATTTCACCATGTTGGCCAGACTGGTCTCGAACTCCTGCCCTCAAGTGACCCCCCCACCTTGGCCTCCCAAAGTGCCGGGATCACAGGTGTGAGCCACTGCGCCCGGCTAGTTGTGCCCATTTCTAATAGCTGCTTTAAAGTTCTTGTTTGCTAACTTTGGCATCTCAGTGTCTACTACTAGTAACTGTTTTTTCTGTTGACTATGGGCTCTGCATTCCTGTTTTTCCGTGTACCCAGCAGTGTTGTATGTTGAGTACTGGGGATGATGCACTGTAGACACTTTGAATTCTGCTTCTTCCCTTGAAGAGTCTTGCTTTTTCCATCTTTTCCTGCCTTCTCTGGTGTTAACTATATAAAATGCTCAGTCCTCCTCCCGCATCAACTTCTTTTCATAATTTTCTCTTTGTCTTTGGTTCTCTGGAGTTTGAACATTATGTGCCTGGGTGTGGGTTTTCGTTGTTTGCCATACTGTTGCTGTGTTATCCTGTGTGGCATTTCCAAGCTTCTCATATCTGTGGTTTGGTAGCTGCCCCAGGCCCAGCCTCCCACCAGCCCCCGCAGCCCTGGCCGGGCTGGAATTCAATGCCCTGGAGGGTGATGTGTGTGGCAGCCCAGATGAGTCACCTGCAGGCACCAGTGCAGGCGGCTGAGAAGGGCTGCATTGACTCAGTCCCAAAACCCATATTATTGGCCCAATCCAGTGTGACTGGCTTCTCATCCAAGCCAGTTGATTGAGGCTCAAGGCCAGGAGTCCAGAAGATGGGTGAAGGGGTGCAGGAGGCTCACTCACCATGGCTGGACTCATTTAGGGTGGCTGCACCTGCGAAGATCTGGAGCCCTCTCTCGAGGGTCAAAACATGAATGGCTCAAGGCCAGGAGCCCAGAAGATGGGCGAAAGGGTGCAGGAGGCTCACCCACCATGGATGGACTCATTTAGGAGGGCTGCACCTGCCAAGATCTGGAACCCTGTCTCGAGGGTCAAACTCCTACTCCACCCTCAGTCCCCACAGGTGCTGGCTCTGGGAAGCCCAAGGGGATACGCCCCCACCCAAGACTGTGAGGCCTAAGAGGTTTACCTTACGGGTTGGATGGAGCCCCCCACCAATTTATAAGTTGAAGTTCTAACCCCCCAACACCACAGACGATGGCCTTCCTGGGAAATAGGGTCTTTCAAGATGATCCAGGTGAGATCGCTAGGGTGGGCCCTCACCCCACAGAACTAGCTTCCTTCTAGAAAGGGCAGGTGTGGACACTGAGCTGTGCACGCAGGGAGAACGCTGGGTGAAGAGGGAGGCGGAGATCGTGGTGATGCACCCACAAGCCCGGGCGCACCAGAGACTCCCCCATCCCCCAGAACCCGCCGGGCGCACCAGAGACTCCCCCATCCCCCAGAACCTGGAGAGAGGCCTGGAGCAGATGCCCGCCCCCACCCCTCCAGCACCGCAGAAGGAGCCGGCCCTGCAGACAGCTTGGTCTCAGAGCCGTGGGAGAACAGATCCTTGCTGTGGAAGCTCCTGGTCTGTGCTGATTTATCACGGCAGCCCCGAAAGACTCCCACGCCAGCCACCAGAGCAGACTCCAGCTGTCACCAGGGGATGGCACAGGGTCCCAGAGGCCCCCCCGCTCCACGCCAGGGGCTGCCCCTTTCGTTGATGGCTAAAAGGGGTGAGAGGCTGGGTGAGCAGGATGGGGCTGGGGTCCCAGGGACCTCCAAGGCTGCAGTGTCACCCTGTGCCCGAGGGCCACCCCTCGGCCCTCCCGGCACCTGTAGGCCAGCCTTTGTCAGGCTGCGGGGGTGGCCGGTCCCTGCAGGGGACGCGAACCCATTTAGCGGATCGTGAGCAGCCTTTTTTAGTGAGACAGAATAAAATGGAAAGTGTGGGTGCTGAGAGGCACAGGCCCCAGGACGAGGTGCCCGTGTACCCCAGAGAGACTGTGTGTGCCTGGATGCCGGGCACTGGGTCTGGGAAGAGGGAAACAAGCTCCTTTCTCAGACAGCCACTCATTCCGGGGCCCTGGACGTGGGAGCTTTCCACACAGAGCCAGTCTCCAGCTCTCTGTGGATGACCGTGGGGAGCCCTACGATTTAGCCTGATTACATTGAGTCACCGCAGACCCGGGGAGCCCAGGGCTGTCCTGCAGCTGCCCCCACTTCAGCGCCAGTCTCTGGGTCAGGCCACCTGTGCTTCTCACTGACCAGCTGTAAACCCAGACTCCTGTGAGCCCTGAGCCCCGGTCTGGTGTGTGCTAGGCCAGCTCACAGGACTCAGAAACACTTACACATGCTGGTTTATTATAGAGGATGTTACAAAGGACTCGCAGGACGGGGTCCGTAGGGTGGGGTCCGGAAGCTTCCAGAGCGCAGGAGCCCTGTCCCCACTGAGTGGGGGTGGCCGCCCTCACGGCACTGATGTGTTTCCACCCTGGATGCTCCCAAGTCCTGTCTTTTGTCTTTTAGGGATTTCTTTTGAGGCTTCATCACATAAGCATGACCCCTGATGACCTCAGCGTCCCAGCCCTCTTCTTCCCAGGGGCTGGGGCTGAGAGTTCTAGGCTTCTAATCCTAGGGGGGGCTCTCTGATGTGCAGCCCCCATCCAGGAGCCCCCATGGGTACCTCAGTAGAACAAAGGATGCTCCTGGCATCCCGGAAAGGCTAAGGGTTAGGAGCTCCATGCCAGGAACTGGGGCAGAGGCCAAAGGTACGTTTCCTATGACGCTGCAGTTTGTGACTGTGAACGTCCCACAGCAGCCTGGCGGGACAGACAAATGAAGCGAGGAGATGTCTCCTCCAGCAATGCTGTGCGGCAGGAACGTGGGAGCCTGAGACTCACCCCCCACACGAAACAGAACTCAGAGGCAAGGAGGCGAAAAAGACGTCGGGTCCCGGCCACAGGCAGGCGACGCTGTGCTGAGGAAGGGACACGCACAGAGGCCTAAAACGACGGAGAAAGCAGGGATGTGATCGCAGCTCGTGCTGGGGCTGAAGCCACCTCCTGGGGCAGCCGTGGAGGATGCAGGGGCTCAGGGCGTCCCACCTGCTCTGTTTCCTGCTGCCCCAAGGGCGTGTGCACTTCACAGTGCAAAGGTAAAAGAAATGCTACAGTAAATAAAATGGAAGCCACGGCACTTCTCCAAGGGGAAGGGGAAGGGGAAGGGCTGCTGTCCGCCACGTGTGAGCGTGAACAGATCCCACATTCACGCACACAGAAATCACATAGACTCTCGTGCGTCTAAGTGGCATTGCTGTGTCATTTGCAGAACACACAAGAGCACGTGAATATTGTGAGGAGATAAAATGCCTTCCTCACTGTAGATTGTGCTCAGAAAGGCTCGCAAGCCACAGACCTGGGCAGATTTCAATGCAAACACTAGGAGAACTGGCTTCTCCTGATCCCCATTTGAGGGATGGGCAAACAGGCTTGCGAGGATTGGGGACAGCCAGGGATCCCCAGCCAGGCCCCAAACCTGGCTTGCTGTTGGGGGAGCCCTTGCCCCAAGCCGCTTGTGAGAGCCTGACTGTGGCCTTAGGGCCGCCCAGCTCGGGGCCCCAATTGCCGCAGGGAGGTCTCATCTGGGTCCCACGGCTCAGCCACTTGGGGACTGGGGTCATGGATGCCTGGCACTGAGGGGGCACTGGGTTCCAATTCTGGTGCTGCCTTTTCCTGCCTGGGAGACCCTGGCTCTCAGTGGCTTCATCCGTCCCATGGGAGAAGGGAGTGGAGCCCATGCCACCGCCCGGTCCTGGTACCAAAGCAAAACGCCCAGGACAGGAGCTGAGGGAGGTGGGTGGTAGACAGGCCCCCTGGGCTTCGCTGGCCTGGAAGCAGGTCTCCGACCTGTCCAGCAAGGGCTGAACCTGCCTCAGCATCCGTGCTCTCGGACCCCAGGACTCTGGACAGGCCCAGTTCCTCCTGAGCCACCAAGACTCCTGGTCCTGGGGCTCCCTCGGCCATCCCTGGAGCTGAACAGGTGCTGACCACAGAGAAGCCTCGTGCACAGGTGCCTGGGGGGCACGTTATGGGGCAGGGGCAGGGCCGACCGACTCCAGGTAACCTCAGTTTTCTCATCTGCCGGACGGTCCTGTTGCTTCTTCCCCAGCTACAGCCAGATTCCAGCTCCTCCCAGCTGCCAGCCATACCTCCCCTGTCCAGCCCCAACCTCAGACTCCAAAACCACAGCCTCCTCACTGGGCCCCTGGTTCTGGCTCTCACAGAAGGGAAGAAGGAGAAAAAAAGGGAGGGAGGAGAAAGGGAGGGGAAGAAGGGAGGAGGGAGGAGGAGGAAGGAGGAGGGAAGAGAGGAGGGAGGGAGAGAAGAAGGGGGAGGGAAGAGGGAGGAGGGAGGAGGGGAGAGGGAGGGAGAGGAGGGGGGAGGGAGGAGGAAAGAGGAAGGAGGAGGAAGGGAGGGAGGAGGGGAGAGAGAGGAAGAGAAGAAGGGGAAAGGAGGAGGGAAGAGGGAGGGAGGAGGGAGGAGAGAGGAGGGGGGAGGAAGGAGGGAGGGAGGAAGGGAGGAGGCAGGAAGGAGGGAGGAGGAGGGAGGGAAGAGGGAGGGAGGAAGGAGGGAGGGGCATCTGCTTTGTTTCCTCTCCACCCCCTCTGGACATAAGAGCAGTAAGGGCATCCGTTACATGAAGCAGATGGAACCCTCATGTGAACCCCAAAACAAGTTGCAAACATATTGTTTAGTCCCAACCACGTGTTGGGATGGAGGGGAAGGAGTCCTGGGGCCCCTGGGGATGGTGCTCCCGGCAGGGGGAAGCAAGTGCTGAGGCTGTGAGGCAGCCGCAGTGCTGCCAGTGTCTCCACCCAGAGCGGACCCAGCTCCTGCCCAGCTGCAGCCCGGGGCTGGGCTCTGAGCACAGGCTCACAGCAAAGGGTCCCAGCTGGTGGGCCTGGCTCTTGTGGAGGCCCCAGGACACTCCTCCCACTTGGTGGAGCAGGAGCCAGCCCCTCCAGAGGATCTTGGGGCTGGGAGGGGCTGAGGAACGAGAGGGGGACAGGGAAGCTGGGCAGCAGGTGCCGCTCCTAACATCCCTGACCGGCTGCCGGCCTCGTCTGAAATCCAGAGCTCATTTGCGCTCATCAGTTGGCCGACAGATGGGCCCCGGCTTCATATTTTTGGATTCGGTTAGATTCGAGGGCTGATGTGAACCGACTCAGAGACTCAGAGCACAGGTGTGAGAGCAAAACAGCCCTGGGCGGTGGGGGTGGGGGAAGCCGCAGGCAGCCGAGGGAACAGGGCTCTCGCGCTTGGGGCTGGGAGCCCACCCAGGCAGCTGATGGGGGGCTGGGAGCCCACCCAGGCAGCTGATGGGAGACACTCCAGGTGCCCCTGGGGAAGGAGTACCTCGGGGTGGCTGGGGATTTGGGTAGAAGCCTCTTGAAGGGGCGCCTGACGCTGTGACCCCTGCCCCCAGTTCACCGTGGCCGTGATAAGGAGGCGGCCTGGCTGGGCTATGGGAGATAAACTCAGAGGAAGGCCAAGCAGGCCGGGTAACTGCCTCTGTCACAGCAGGAACGCTCCCAGCCCCCTGCCCAGTATCTCTCGGGCCACCTTGGGCAGACTGGGGGAAGTTCCCAGGCACAGAGATGGGCTGCCGGATGTGGAGTTGTCTGCAGACTCAGAGCCCCAGCCCCACCCTGTAGAGGCGATGACCCCGGGGGTGGGATGCGGAGGTGGCCCAGGAAGACGTCCCCACGGTCGCCCAGCCGTCAGCAGCAGAGTCCCAGCCCGCCCCCAGCACTCCCGGCCCGGGGTGCTTTCTGCAGAGAACAACTGACTTTCTCTCACTATACCCCGTTATCCCTGTAGGATGGTGGGGAAACTGAGGCCCAGGCGGTCAGGGAGCCCCACATCACAGACACAGCAGGCCCAGAGAGAAGCCATGCACCTCACCAGGATGCGGAGGCCTCGGCCTCCAGAATCCACGAGGCCGCCACGTTCCAGGGTACCCAGTTGTTTGGGCAGCCTGGGGTATCCCAGTCACCAGGCAGCTCCGGGCCCGCGGGTCGCCAGCTGTGTGTTTGGCTTTTGTCATGGGCTGGAGTCTGGAGTCTTGGAAAAACAAATTCCTACCCTCGGGCTCCAGTCTGTCTGGAAAGAAAAGACTCACATTTACAAACAAGCAGACACATAACACGCCCCCCAGCGCCCACGTGTGATCAGGCATGTGCTGTGTGGGTCACGTTGGGCTCCCTGGGCCCATCACAGGGGCACTGTTCATTCGTTCCTTCTACAAACACGTACAAAGCACCTACTGTGTGCCTGGTACGAGTCTAGGCACTGGGGACACAAAAGAAACACAGCCCCCAGCCTTGTGTTCAGGTAAACAGGGGTATTTGTGGAGGAAAGGGTTCCTAAGGGGACCAGGGCTGCTGCATTTTATTTATTTATTTTTTGAGACAGAGTCTTACTCTGTCGCCCAGGCTGGAGTGCAGTGACACGATCTCAGCTCACTGCAACCTCCGCTTCCCAGGTTCAAGTGATTCGCTTGCCTCAGCCTCCCGAGGAGCTGGGATTACAGTCATGTGCCACCAGGCCCAGCTAATTTTTGTGTCTTTAGTAGCAATAGGGTTTCACCATGTTAGCCAGGCTGGTCTTAAACACCTGACCTCAGATGATCTGTCCGCCTCGGCCTCCCAAAGTGCTGGGATTACAAGCGTGAGCCCTACCTTGCCCAGTCGCTGCTGCATTTTAAAGCAAAAATTGAGATTTTCAGGGCAAATGTAGAAGTGAGCCTCTTCCGGACTCCTCGGAACAGCCAGGCAAGGGGCACCATGAGTCGGCTGCAGCCCTCAGGCGGGTACAGCTGAGGGTCCCCATCATAGTGAGGGGACACAGGGCTCCCAGCCAGCCACCATCCCCATCCCTCGAAGCTAGGCAGGGGAGAGAGGCAGCCCCAGGTGGAGGGAAAGTGGGAAGGATCCACACAGCTCCCCAAGGAGCCTCCTCGGAGAAGAGGTACACGTGGGGTTCCACCTGGGAAGAGGAGGGCTCCTCCGCTCTGCAGGCGTGAATTTGCTCCAGGCCTCCGTTGCAAGAAGCTCTCCTACTTTGGGTCTAACAGAGCTGCCTGAGGCCCTCCCCAGGACAAGCCCCCTCATCACCAGTCTAAGCCTGCTGTCCACACCTGGGGTGGTGCTGTCCTGTCACCCCATCCTGAGCCCCAGAGCACAGGTACTGTCACTGAGGCACACACTCAGGTGCCAAATCCGCTCCCCAACACAGCACACAGCCTCCCGCCGACTAGAGCTGGGCCCAGCAGTGTTCCGGCCCCACTCAGCCTGGAGGAAGCTCTGCTCTTCCTTCCATGGCCACGGCTAACTCTGTTCCCTCTGAGCCCTTGCCTTTATCCCCCCGAAAGGCAGGGACCCCACAGAACTTTCCCAGCTCCCTGGCAGCCAGACACGGCTGTGAGACCCGGCTTAGCCAGTCAGCTGAAAGGGGAGAACTGCATGAGGTTTCTGGAAGAGATTTTCCTCCCTGGCTCTTTCTCTTCCTTCCCTGAACGCAGTGGTCAGAAGCTGTGACTCTTGGAGCTGCAGCACCCATCTGGGAACCATGAGGCAACAGGTCGGACAACAGCAGGCCGGGCAGAGGCCACGACAAGCCGGATGACAGCAGGCCGGGCAGAGGCCACGACAGGCCGGATGACAGCGGGCCTGGCAGAGGCCACGACAAGGCATGAGAGGGAGCGGGCCAGGGTCCCTGATGACGTCACTGACTGACACACCCAGTCCAGAACCTCAGGACGGGCCCCACGCAGGCCTGTGTTTTTCCATTTGAAGCTGGAGAGGGCCCAGCAGCACCCCCGTGGAGCCCCCCACAGTGCCCCGTCTGCCGCTGCTGCACTGGGCCACCCCCCAGGGCCTCACAGCCCAAATCACCCACTACCATGACTGAGGACGGGTGACTGGAGCTGGGGGTGGTGGGTTGTGAGGGAGGGGCTTCCGTATGGAACCACCGGGAAGCCCCAGCTGTGGAGAGGGCACAGGAGGGCAGCTCGCTCAGGGCTGTGAGGGCTGAACCTGATGTAGCCTTCAGCTGATGGGACATGGGGAGCCAGTGCTTGTTCTAGAGGGGAGGCATCCCTTGCGTCCAGGACAGATCCCAGCTCTGCTCCCATCTCCCAGGGTGCCAGGGGTCTCTCAGGGTCTCTGGAAGGAGCCGCCGTGGGCTGGGAGAGAAGAGCCAGGAATTCCGAGTCTTCTGTGTGGCCAGAGGGTCCCCTGCCAAGATGACCCTGTGAGCCGCCGTCTGGTTTACCATGCAGGGCCGCAGGTGAGCACCTGGCTCTTCCCCAACCAGGGATAGGGCCAAGAGTGGGAAGAGGGAAGTTACCAGATGCTGCCAAGGCTGCAGATGCACACACCCATCGGGCTGGCGCCAGGCCCAAGCCCCTCAGATGCCCTCAAGGCCTCCTCAGGGCCAGGGCAGCTGGCACGGTCTCGCCCCACCTGACAGATGGCAGGGCGGGCAGCAGCCAGCGAGGGGCCGGCAGGACTCAAGTCCGACCCCCGCAGACACCCCTGGGGGCCCCACCAGGCAGCGCCCCCGCTCGAAGGCAGTACAGGCGGGAGAGGGGCCATATGGCCCCGGCTCCCAGCTCCCACGGAGGCCGCATCTCCCAGCTGCTCTGTGCTGAAAACATTTACATCCAAATACGTCCCAGCGCGCCGTGTTTTTGCCTCAAGCCAGCCTGGGAGTCTGTCGTCGCCACCTGGGAGGCCCCGGTGCCCAGATTAGGGAAGGCCTTGCCTTCCAGGGACCCCACGACTGAATCCGCAGTGGCTCCGAGATGCTGGCCGGGGCTGGGGGCAGGAGGAGCTTTGCACGTGCGGCTGGTCCTGCGGGGAGCGTGCCTCCCAGAGCTTGACCCACGCCTGGGCCATGCGGGCTGCCCCGAGTTGCCTCTCCCCTTGAGGCCCTCCCCGCCCTGCAGTCATGCCGCACGCCTCACCCCTCCCACCGCACGGCTTTGCTCCCCTGTCTCATGGTCTGCTTTGCTGTCTGTCCCTGGTGGTGAGGTCAGACCCCCAGCCTCGTACAGGGACCAGCAGCCAGCTCCCAGCGGGCCCGCAGGACACGTGTGTGCCATGCACGAGACACTGAGTGGGTGGGAAGGGGATTGCTGGGAGCCAGGAGCTCCCGTTGCCCTGCGTGGAGCCGAGTGGGTGGGAAGGAGACTGCTGGGAGCTCCCGTCGTGGAGTGGGACCATCACCCAGTGCTGACCCCTGGCTTCCCATCTGCAATATGGGACCGGAGGATAAGAGCGGGTTTGCGCCCCTGTGGCCCTGCACGCAAAGGCCCATAGCCCAGGGCTTGAAACCACAGAAACACGTTCTCGCATCTCTGGGGTCCACAGTCTGAATCAAGGTGTCGGCAGGGCCACCCCCTCTGAAGGCTCCAGGAGGAACCTTGTGATGGGGTCAATTCTGCCCCACAGATTCCCATGTGGAAGTCCGGATGGGACCTCAGAATGGGACTGTATTTGGAATCAGGGCCTTTAAATAGATAATTAAGTTAAACAGAGGCCATCAGAGTGGAGCCCTAACCCAGTCCAACAGGTGTCCTTATAAGAGGAGGAAGCTTGGACTTACAGCCGGGTGCGGTGGTTCAAGCCTGTGATCCCAGCACTGTGGGAGGCAGAGGCGGGTGGATCACCTGAGGTCAGGAGTTTGAGACCAGCCTGGCCAACATAGTGAAACCCCATCTCTACTTAAAATACAAAAATTAGCCAGGTGTGGTGGTGTGTGCCTGTAATTCCAGCTACTCGGGAGGCTGAGGCACAAGAATCACTTGAACCCGGGAGGCAGAGGTTGCAGTGAGCCGAGATCGCGTCATCACACTCCAGCCTGAGTGACAGAGCAAGACTCCATCAAAGAAAAAGAAAGAAAGAAAGAAAGAGAGAGAGAGAGGAAGGAAGGAAGAAAGAAAGAGAGAGAGAGAAAAAGAAGGAAGGAAGGAAAGAAAGAGAGAGAGGAAGGAAGGAAGGAAGGAAGAGAGAGAGAAAGAAAGAAGGAAGGAAGGAAAGAAAGAAAGAAAGAAAGAAAGAAAGAAAGAAAGAAAGAAAGAAAGAAAGAAAGAAAGAAAGAAAGGGAAGGAAGGAAAAGAAAAGAGAAAACAAAAGTTGGACTTACAGAGCCGCCAAGGGTGCGTGCACGTGGACAAGGCCACGCACGGAGGCAGCTGTCAGCAAAGACAAGGACACAGGCCTGGAAGAAGCCAAGCTCATCAACAACTTGGTCTCGACCTCCAGCCTCCAGAACTGTGCGAAAGCTGGTTTCTGCCACCAAAGCCCCTGTGCGTGGTGTATTGTTCTGGCCGCCCTGCCTCTTTCTTCATGTATTAATTCAGGATTTGCTGAGTGTCCATTTGCCGTGTGCTGTTTGGACTCTGGGGCTACAGCAGGAAATGCAGCTGACAGCATCTTACACGATGCACCTCTTTGTATTTACCCAGACGAGTTGGAAACTTGTGTTCACACAAAAACCTGCACAACGGTGTTAAAGCAGCTTATTCACAATTGCCGATGCTGAGACATGGAAGCTACCAAGATGCCCTTCAGTGAGTGAAAGGAAATGAGCTCCCAGGCCCTGAAAAGACACGAAGGGGCCGGGCGCTGCGGCTCACGCCTATAATCCCTGCACTTTGGGAAGCTGAGGTGGGTGGATCACTTGAGGTCAGGAGTTCAAGACCAGCCTGGCCAACATGGAGAAACCCCCGTCTCTACTAAAAATACAAAAATTAGTTGGGCGTGGTGGCGTGCTCCTGTAATCCCAGCTACTAGGGAAGCTGAGGCAGGAGAATTGCTTGAACCCAGGAGGCAGAGGTTGCACTGAACCGAGATCACACCATTGCACCCCAGGCTGGGTGATAGCGCGAGACACCGTCTCAAAAAGAAAAGAAAAGAAAGGAAAAAGACACGGAGGGACCATAAATGCATGCTGCTGAGTGAAAGCAGCCCGTCTGCAAAGACCACACACTGTAGGGTTCTGACTCTGACATCCAGGAAAGGGCAAAACTGTGCAGACAGCACAAAGATCAGTGACGCCAGGGGCTGGGGAGAGGGAGGGACGGAGGGATGTGCAGCAGGAACACGGGGGACCTGGGGCAGTGAAACTACTCTGTATGATACCACAACGGTGGGTCCACATCAGGATACGTTCGTCCAACCATAGACTGCACAGCACCCGGTGGACCCTGAGGTCGTGCGGCCTGTGGGTGATGATGCTGTGTCCAGGGGGGTCTCAGCTGTAACAAACGGCCACTCTCGTGGGGATGCTGAGCCCAGGGGTGCAGGGGAACCCTCTGTACTTCATGCTCAATTTTGCTGTGAACCTAAAGCTGCTTTAAAAAATAAAATATGTTTAAACAAAAAAAAAAAAAAGAAAAAGAAAAAGAAAAAGCTCATCTCCCTGGAGCTGACCTAGCGGGAGAGACAGGCAGTAAACAACGTTCAGCACATCAGAGAGTGCCACCTGCTATTCAAGACAAGCAAAGCAGGGAGGGGGCTGCAAAGCAGGATGGGGGCTGTGGGGCTGTAGGGGGGCAGGCGGATCTTCACAAGGGGGTCCCAGAGGCGAGGGTCTGAGAGGCCCGGGGTGAGCCGTGGGCAGAGTTGGGAGTGGAGCGGGCTGTGGCTGGGACAGGGGGACAAGGAGCAGACAAGGGCCGAGACCCTCACTCAGAGCAGACCCCACATCATACCCCCCCTGCAGCACATGCCTGAGAGACCCCCCGGCTTGTGGGTTTGCTGAGTCACCCACAGCCTTCCTGGGGTTTCTGGGTGTCCCAGGACCCTCAGATGCCCTGCTACAGACCCCAAGGCCCCTTCCCCAGGGTCCAGCATCCAAACCCCCTGGGGGCTAGCGAGAAGGAACTTCCAGGAGGAGCCGAGTGAGCAGAGGGAAGAAAGGAAGCACGACTGGAGGGCTGAAGCAGGTCCCTGGACATGGTGGGGCAGCCGGAAGGCGGTTGGAGGCCGGACCCCTGCCTGCAGGGCCAGCTTGCCTGGGTGCTGAATGATAAACCTCATGCTGTGACAGCAGGAGGCGGCTCAGGGGCCCAGCATGGAGCCCCCTCCCCTGAGCTGCCTGATGGGGGGACTCAGCTTGGTGGTCTTCCCTGCCCCCACCTCTGAGCTGCCCGATGTGGGGTTTCAGCCTGACGGTCTTCCCTGCCCCCATTTCTCCTCCATGACCTTCAGCTTTCTCCCAAGAAGCCCTACCCTCTCGGGCCGGCCAGGTTGGACCCCCTTAGACGGATAAGGCCAGGTTGGACCCCCTTAGCCGGGTCAGGCCTGCAGGCGACAGCCAGGAAGGGGCTGGACCCTGGACCCACCCCCACGCCAAGCACCACAGACATGTGCTCCGAGCTCAGGTGGCTGGAACTGCCAGGGAGGTCCCAGAGCCTCAGGGAAGTCCCTCCACCCACCCATGGGGAGAGACAACCGTTGCAATGACAGAGTCACAGTGCTGGCTCACCCTGTCCCCAAGCAGACCCCGGGGCAACCTCGTCCCTCCAGATCCCCTCGGGGACAATCGGAGCAGACCCAGGACAGCCCCAGGTGCCCCACGCACAGATCCTGGGTGGGTGAGGATTTCTGACAAGCTCCCAGGGTCAGGGACTGCGCTCTGAGAACCCTCGGACTCCCCTCCCAGACCCCTCTCACTTTCCTCGGTGTCTGGAGTCGGGACTGAACATGGGCGCAGGGTCAGGGACTGCGCTCTGAGAACCCCTGGACTCCCCTGCCCGACCCCTCTCACTTTCCGCGGTGTCTGGAGTCAGGACTGAACACGGGCAGAGTGGGAAGGGTGTTTTAGGCCAGGGCACCCAAAGGCGCCTTAAAAGAATCTGATGTTTAAAATGTTTCAAGTTCAGTGAAGCAGAGTGCTTGATCCACAAGCCTGTGTTATATCCTCTAAGCTTGTGTGTGTCTGAAAACAAGGTCAATAGAAACCTAACTATTAAAAAGCCATGAGGCCGGGTGCAGTGGCTCATGCCTGTCATCCCAGCACTTTGGGAGGCTGAGACAGGAGAATCGCTTCAGCCACGAGTTTGAGACCAGCCTGGGCAACATAGTGAGGCCCCATCTCTACAAAACATAAAAAATTAACCAGGCATGGTGGCGGGCGCCTCTGGTCCCAGCTATTCAAGAGGCTGATGCAGGAGATTCGCTTGAGCCCAGGGGGTGGAGGCTGCGGTGAGCCAAGATCGCACTGCTGCACTCCAGCCTGGGTGACAGAGCAAGACCCTGCCTCAGAAAAAATAAATAATGGAAGCAAAACACAAAGTTTTTTTCTTATTGGATACAGGCCAGTTTGTCTTCCAGTTCAGCTCTAAGATACAATAACAGTGCTGTGATCGTCCATCACACTCACAATCGCCCAGGACGCGAATGGTTAGGGTCCTGCAGCCTCTTCAGGGACGAAGTCCACGTTTGGAGCAGGTCAGGCTGCATGGTTCTTAACCCAAGACTCCCAGATCCTTCCGGATCCTTCCGGGTGCCTGGAATATCCTTGGGCCTCTTGGCCAGACCTAGCTGGGTCTTCCGTGGCCCCAGGCCCCACTGCAGCCCGAAGTAGCCACTGGTGGGAGGCAGGAGCTTGGCACTGCTTGGGGGAGGTGTCTATGACGCAGGAGGTGGCACCCTGGCTCTGGAGGGCGGGCGGCTGCCTCTCCCCACGCACCACGCGCCACGCGCCACACACACAGAACCACACACCAGCCTCTTGGTATTTTCCTCATGTTGGATGCCGCTCGATGGCCCAGGTTTACCCAGTTCCCAGGCTCCGGGCTGAGAACAGAATGTTCCAGAATGTTCTAGAACATTGGTGGGTAGGCCAGGGCCACGTTCTTCCCTCTTAAGCTGCTGTGAACACCCAGGCAGGACGGAGGGGAGGAGAGGAAGAGCACAGGGCAGGGGTTCCCTCGTTCATTCCTTCTGCTGCACACACACCACCCCCCGTCGGCAGAGCCGTGGACTCGCGGACTCACAGGAGATGAGATGAGGGCAGGTCACCGGTGTGGGGCCTGCGGACTAGACATGGCACCAGCACAGGGGCAGCCGCCTCAGCCTGAGTCAGAGGGAAACCGGGGCGGCACCGGCACGTCGCAGCCCTCACCCCGCCTGGGCTCCTTACAGGGAAAGTGGCCTCCGGACGGGGCTTCCCCCTTTGCAGCTGGGGTGCAGCAGCCCAGGACCCTGGGACCCCCAGGGAGGCTGGGACTTTCCCCTCTGGGAGCCTCGGTTTCCTGTTCTGCAGAACGGGCAGCCTTGCCGGGTCTTGATGCCTCCTGGGCGCTGGGGAGGAGCAGAGACCACGGTGGGCAGAGGGCTCCGTGTCCTGGAAGCTGGGTGGGTGTAGCCACAGCAGGCTCTCTGCCTCAGGGAGAGGACTGGCTTAGACCCAGCCTGAGTCCCAAATCCCACCGCTGGTGACCTGGGAAATTGCTTAACCTCTCCAGTCCTGTCAGACACCGAATATATGCCACCAGGTCACCAGCGTCCCCCGCAAGTCCAGGGTGCTCAGGAAGCGGGGGCGACGCTGTTGCTGCCCTGATGCTCAAATTCCTGTCTCTGTTCAGACTCCACCCTGCTGGGCTCAGCCCCATGCGCTTCAGGAGGGGAGGAGGATGCCAGCCAAGGGAACAGCGGGTCCTGTGGGGCTGTGGCCTCTGACTGCCGTCAGCTCTCTGTCCCACACCCACTACCCGCCTGGGGTGGCTGATGAGCTGGGGAAGGCCCTCCTGTCCGGGCAAAGGCCACTGAGCCCCCTAGGCCTTGGGGGCTGCCCCAGGGTCCCAAGGCTGCGCTGGGCGGCCGGGCCTGGAGTCTCAGCCCATCCTGCTCTTCGGAAGCAGCTGGGGAGACCGGCCATTTCCTCTGTGTTCCCTGGGATGTGTGTGGGGCAGAGCCCCAGGGGAGTCCTGAGGGCGAGAGAGGTGGAATTCAGCCTAGAGAAGTTCCAGGTGTCGTGTGGGGGACCCAGAGGTGGGTGTGCCAAACTCCGCCAGCCAGTCATCACCCATGGAGCCCTGCGCCTTGTGCCGGGAACACAGCCCTTGGAGACAGGCAAGGTTCCCGCCCAGGGCTGCTTTCCTGTGGGTCCAAGGAAACCAGCCCACAGCAACTGCAACCCAAGGTGCTAATGCTGTGATGGAGGCGTGCAGGGGGCATGGAGCCCAGGAAGGTGTGAAGGGGGTGTGGAACCCAGGAAGGTGTGCAGGGGGTGTGGAGCCCAGGACAGGACAGGGCACTTCCTATGGGCTCTGAGGGCTGGGTAGGAGCCCGCCACGTGAGGCAAGTTTCGATGGGAGGGCTGGGGAAGGCCCAGAGATGAGGAAACACCCTCAGGAGAAGCGGCTCTGATGTAGGGTTGGGGCAGAGTGTGGAGGGGCCCCCAGCCACCTTCAGGGTCTGGCCTTGATCTTGAGGGAGGTGGGCAGCCACTGAAGGTTTAAGAGGAGGGGCGGGGCAGCCACATCACAATTGAAGCAGGTCTCTTGCCATGGGGGCGGGAGGGCTGTGGGGGAGGAGGCTGTGGGGGAGGAGGCTGTGGCTGACTCCAGGGGGCGGCGGTGGGGCTGGGAGAGCCCTTTCTCCCTTCCAAAGCACTCTTCCGGAGAGGGGCCGCATCTGCAGGGATGCCGACCTGAGCTCAATTTAGGAAGAGCTTTCTAGCAGCAACGCGCCTGCCCCGGAGGCGGCCATGGCCAGAAGGCGGTGTGGGGATTCCACTGTCCCCCTGGGCTGGCCCCTTCACGGCTCAGGGATCTCGCAGGGGTCACAGCTGCCCGTCCGTGCTTGCCCACCTTCACGGGCACCATAGGAGAGTCCAAACGTGGACGGTTTTATTAAATCCTCACCACACCCCCATTCAGCTGACTCTGTTACCTTCTTACTTTACAGTTGGGGAAACGGGTCAAGACATTTGCCCAAGCGTACCCAGCACAGACAGGAAATGCTGAGTGTGAACCAGGGGCCTGTGACTTCGAGACCCTCAGTGGGGTTCCGGCTGTCCCACCGGAGACTCCTGGAAGCTGAGGTGGTGAGCGGGACCGGGGGACACCTTCGAGGGAAGCTGGAACCGCGGTTCTTTCCTTGGAATTCAGGGGATCCGTGGACTTGGATGAGTTTCATCTGGCATTGTGTCGTGTCTCTAACCAAAATTTAGCCTTTCCTGTAACCAAGAACGTGGGCACCTCCCCAGGGTGTCAGCCGCGCCTGTGCCGTTGACACCGATAGAGCTGCCCCAGGGCCACTTTGGTGGGCCCCAAGCAGCCACGCCTTGGGAGGGTCCAGGGCTCCACAAAAGACCCCCCTCGCCTTCCACTCACCACCACGTCTCCTAATGCGGTTCCCACGCCTCACCACTTTAAATCATGGCTTAATGAAAAGCACAGTGCTCACTACACCAGAATGTTCTAACGGGGTGGTAGCTGTATTTTGGTAAAATGGGTTTCCTTCATAATTCTGTGAACTTATTTGCTTACTAGATGCCCAAGGAGTCCACACACCGGGAAGGTGAAGACCCCGATTCCAGTTCCGTGCTCTCATTGGGGTGTCTCCGGCCTGCGCCTCGGCTCGGACTCCCCAGGTAGACCTGCTCTTTCTGGGGGTGGCAGGAGCGCCCAGTAACTGCAGTCTCAGAGCCCTGGAATCCTGCACCACTTTGTACCAGGTTTCCCCAAATCACCCCAGCCCTCCGGCCATGGCACCTTCTCCGTGGTTCTGGGTTTGCTCAGCCGTGCCCTGAGCTGGGGAGTGGCTGAGCATCCAGCTATGAGCCGCTTCACCTGCACTGCCTTGAACACCCGGGGCAGGTTTTTTCCTGCCTCCACCCCCGGCCCCCACTCCCTCTGTGGCTCACCCCAACTGTCCACACCTTATTCAGGACCAGAAAGCCGGGGCAAGGCTCCTCCGTACATGACACTGTTCAGCATCCTCTGGAGCGGCTTCGCGACTTACATTCCTCTCTCCAGGCTTTGTGACTGGGGATGGCACCCTTGTGGGCCTCCTCCCTCCTCTGTAAAGTGGGCTGGCATGAGACTTACATAAAACCATATTACCACTTATTCATTGATCCACCTATCCACCCACCCACCCATCCACCCATCCACCCACCCACCCACCCATCCACCCATCCACCCACCCCTCTACCCATCCATCCACACATTGACCCACCCACCCATCTATCCACCTACCCACCCATTCACCCATGCACCCATCTATTCACCCATCCATCCATCCATCCATTCACCCATCCACCCATCTATCCACCCATCCATCCACCCATCCATCCACCCATCCACCCATTCACCCATCCACCCACCCATCCACCCATCCATCCACCTATCCACCCATCCACCCATGTATCCATCCATCCACTCATTCACCTGTCTATCCACCCATCCATCCCTACCCACCCATTCACTGATCCACTCATCCATCCACCCATCCACGCACCCATTCATCCACCCATCCATCCACACATTCACCCACCCACCGATCCATTCACCTACTCACCCATTCACCCATCTCTCCATCCACCACCCATTCACCCATTTATCCATCCATCCATCCATCCATCCATCCACCCATTCACTCATCTATCCACTCATCCACCCATTCACCCGTCTATCCACCCATCCACACATTCACCCATCTATCCACCCACCCACCCACACACCCATCCACCATTCATTCACCCACACACCCATCCATCCACCTACCCACCCATTCACCCATCTCTCCATCCACCCATCCATCCACACATTCACCCACCCACCTATCCATTCGCCTACTCACCCATTCACCCATCTCTCCATCCATCCACCCATCCACCCATCTATCCATCCACCTACCCATTCACCCATTTATCCATCCATCCTTCCACCTATTCACCCATCTATCCACCCATCCACCCATTCACCCATCTACCCACCCATCCACCCATCTATCCATCCACCACCCATTCACCCATTTATCCATCCATCCATCCATCCACCCATTCACTCATCTATCCACTCATCCACCCATTCACCCGTCTATCCACCCATCCACACATTCACCCATCTATCCACCCACCCACCCACACACCCATCCACCATTCATTCACCCACACACCCATCCATCTACCTACCCACCCATTCACCCATCTCTCCATCCACCCACCCATTTACCCATTTATCCATTCATCCATCCACCCATTCACCCATCTTTCCGCCCATTCACCCATCTATCCATCCACCCACCCATCCACACATCTATCCATCCACCCACCCATCCACCCACTCACTCACTCACCCATCTATCCACCCACTCACCCATCTATCCACCCATCCATCCACCCATTCACTCATCCACCCACCCACCCATCCACCCATCATCTACCCACCCATCCACTCACCCACCCACCCATTCATTCATCAATCTATTCATTCATCTATTCATCCAGCAGTGAAGGGTGTGTGTGTTGGGGGTGGGGGGGTTCCTACATGCTAGAAGAGAAGGCAAACATAAGACACCCTGCCTGAAGGAAGGCCTCCTCACCCACCCCCACATGGCGTCATCTCCCCCACTGCCCCCTCACCCTCCTCCAGTTCTCTGGCCATCCTACAGATTCACCAAAGCCTGCCTTAGGGCCCCTCTGCCCACCCAGGGACAGTTTCCCCAACTGCCCTATGGGCCCCACATGCTGGGCCATGTTGATGGAACGTGTCTCCTATAGTTCCCAGAGAGCAGGACCAGGGGCTGTCTTGGACACCGAAAGAACCCCAGTAGGCCCTAATAGGTCTTTTAGGAAGGAAGGAAAGGCCCCTCCTGCCCCGAGAGGCTGGGTGCTGGCTGCAGACAGCAGAGGTCCCTGGGAGAAGCCGAGGCCCCTCCTGCTGCCCCCACCTCTGCAGCCACTTCCTCCCCAGCCCCTTATCTCCTGGCCGCCCAGCTCTGAAAGCCACAGCCAACGTCTGCTTCCCCACAAGCACCAACTGCCCGGCCTGGGGGAGAGGAGGCCGGTAGTGGGGAGGTGGGGAGTGGTGCCCACACCCCCAGGTGGCCGCCAAAGTTGGGGGGCAGCTCCTGCCCCCAACTTGTGGGCAACTTTCTTCTCTTCTCTTTCCAACCCCACCTCCGTCAGACCCCCTGATTAGACACCAGGCAAGACGGGGCCAGGCGGGGAGCTCAGGGCCTCATTGCGAAAGTGGAAGTGTCCCATCTGTGGGGGGCGCAGGTGCAGGCCTCGAACATCTGCCTCAGGGCTGGGGGCAGGGCTGCCTGTCTCCTACCCCGGGTGGGGGGAGCCACCACCCTCACCCAGGGTGCTGTCCTGCTGCCTCACGGAGTGGGGGCTGTGCCCCCTGAGACCCTCAGTTCCCCGACTCTGAGACTCTCACTGCACACAGCTGGGGAATAGGCACTGACACAGACCAACCCCAGCCACATGCTCACGGTGGCCCCGGCCCATGTGGCGGCTCAGAGCCTCTGCTGTCTCCACTCCCGGAAACGCTGTAGGAGCTGACGCCGTTAGGATCGTGCACCCTGCACAAATGAGGAAACCAGGAGGGTCAGGGCCCCCAGGACCCTCACTGTGAATCCCACCCTGAGCCAGAGCACAGGGAACAGCAGGGGACGTGGGGACCGAATGATGGCACCAGGGGATGGGCCCCGGGCTGGCAGGAATGTCCCCTCCAGCCTCAGTCCTGGGGGCAGAACGGCCGACCACCCAGGGCAGGGGAGGCCCCGGGTGGGCCTGGCGTCTGGGAAGTTCCCCAGCAGGAACAAACACATCCCCACTGTAAGCTGGACACACACGCTGGCATGCAGCTTGTTGTCACCAACTCGAGAAAGACACTCGACTATTGGGACAGGGAGACCCGGGACACCTGGAGACCCTGCGGGGAAGGAGTCGGCTTTTACTCCTGCACGGCTTGAATTATTAACTGCGTGCAAACGTGACCTAAAACTCAAATCAAATCAAATCAAAATAGCACAGATGCCCGTGAGCCGGCCCTGGGTCTGCGGGCTCCACACCTCTGGCCTGTCTGAGGCCGGGAAACCTCCAGCCATGGCATCAGAAAAGCCACCGAACCAGGGCTGCAGGGCCGAAGGGTCACTGTCCCCTCCCAGGAAGCTCCTGCCCTCTGACAGTTGTCAGGGAGCTTTAGAAAGTGGCTTTTTTTCCCAGCATCTGGGATGTGCCTCACTCTCTCAGCCCAACGGCCGCTAGAAAGGGGTCCTAGGACTCTCCCTAGGGTCTAAGTAGTCCCAAGAGTGCTCTGAGGTGGCTTCTGGAATTTCCCAGACTGGAGAAGCCACCTACCCCCGACCCCCGCAAACTCCAGGCTGCTCACCGGAGGCGGCCGCTGGGGCGTGGGGTGAGGGTCTTTCTGAGGCACCCCCGGAGAGTGGGGGAGCCCTGCTGTCTCCACAGAGGGCCAGGAGCCCTGTGCACGAGGCCAAGCAGAGAGAGAGGGTTTCCTTCCCAGCAGGCGGGAGGTACTTTGAGGACAGGTCAGGTGCCCAAGAACCCCGGAGCAGGGGCTGAGGAGAGGCTGGTCAGAGGCCCCGCCTTGCTCAAGGGCACAGTCAGCAGACACAGGAACACGGGCAGGGTGGCCCCTGGAGCGGGGGCAAACTAAAAGGGGTGCTGGGGAAAGCTCGGCTGACTGAGGGCTAGCGGAGAGGGAGGACACCCCCAGATACCCCAGGCTGAAGGAAGGGCCAAGCCCTGGGGGGAAGATGGGTGGGCGGGACAGGCCAAGGGCTCTGGGCCAGGATGGAGCTGCCCTCAGGCCTGCACACCTGCCCTGGGGCCGAGGAAACACATGCCCAGTGGCCACGCTGTAGGGCTCAGGGTGGGTGGGACGTCACCAGAGCTGCCTGGGAGGAGGAAGTTGTTGGAAGGTCAAACCGGAATGGCCCGAGGGAAGGCCGCGCAGGGCAGGGCCCCAGATGGTTCCTGTCAGGGAAGTGGCGGGCGCAGCTGCAGGCCTCCGGCCCCGGCATTATCACGGGGACACAGCTGGCTGCCTCACCCGCAGGCTGCAGGGAGACCTTCCCCAGCCTGCAGCCCCAGGCCCGCCCCGCGTCACATGAGCCCCAGGGCTCCCACCCCCTCCCCAGGGCAGAGGACACCCAGTTGGTGGCCGGGAGGGCCTCGGCTTTCCAGGGACAGAGGCCCAACTCCAGGACGCCCCAGCTGGCCCAGCCCCTCCTCTTTCCCTCAAGGCTGCAGGAGGTCGGGAAAGGCAGTCCTGGTAGAGGCCTGTCCTGGGCTCCAGGTTGGCCCCTGAGGGTGGCCCTCCTCATGCCGGCTTCAAGACTGAGGGACAGGGCAGCCAGTTCAGCCTCGGGATCCACCTGTGGCTCCATGTCCCAGACGCACCCTGTGCTGGAGAGCGGCCTCCTGGCATCTGCCGGCTGCTCCGCACCCCGGGGTCCCAGGAAGGGCGGCCCAGGTAAGAGGCTCGAGGGGAAGGTGGTGGGGTGGGGGCAGAGAGCGGCAGCCGGTGCCGGGGCTGTGACTCCTTAGAGCTTCGCGGGGCCTGCCCAGCTTAGTTGACAGTGCCGGCACGGATGGCCGTGTTGACTCACCTCAGATATCAACAGGGCCACCCCACAGGCAGGTCCTGCACAGCTGGGGCAGGTGGGCTGGTGAGGGTTTGGCAGGTGCCAGCCAGGTGCCCCAGCCCCACCCAGAGGCAGATGCTGGAGGCCGGGCTGCTCAGCCCCGTCTAGGAGGGTGGGCTGTGTTCTCCTGGGGGTGGGAGGGCCGCAGCCGGGAAGTGATGGGGGGGTCCTAGAAAGAGAGCCCTCCTCCTCCTGGGATGCCCTCCGGGTGTGACACCTCACAGCAGGTTGGATGAGGAAACTGAGGCCAGAGGGGAGGGCACTGGCCCAAGACCCCGGTGAGGAGGAAATGGACCCAACCCTGGGCCCCTGTCCGAGGAACGATTCCAGCCAGGGCAGTGGGGGTTTACGGGGAACCTGGGCCTGCCCTTCTGGGGGCTTCGGGCTCTGGGGAGGGGTCCAGTCCAGCAGGACGCCAGCTATTGCTGATACCCCCCACCCGAGCCTGCGAAGTCCCAGGACAAGGATCCCCGGACGCTGGGGGCTGCAGCTGCAGGCTGGTGGCCCCGATTCCCAGTGGCCCTCGTGGCCACACTCCCAGCAGCCGTCGGAACCTTCAGGAGCTCACAGTCTCCCGTCTCGCGGGGCTCTCACTGAGGCCGTCAGGTCCAAGGTCTGACTGCACCCCTGACACTCACACACAGAACCCGGGACCGAGGGGTGTCCCCATCTCTGGAGACCACATTCCCTGAGCAGGTCCTGGCGGCGGCTGCCTGAGGCTGTTCCCACCTGCAGCTGCCCGTGGGGCCCCAGGGCCATCCCCCACAAGGGCCCCAGATGTGAGCAGGAACTTCCCAACCCCGGGTGCCCGGAATGCAAAGGCCGGACCTCACCACAGCCAGTGCTACTGTTCGTTTCTCCCGAATGGGTGACTCAGAGCCACCTTCAAGGCAGCACCAGCCCACTGGCCCTGGCATCTGCCATCCCGTCCTCTCTGGAGCGGCCCTGTCTATCCCCTGGCGCTGAGTGGCCTTGGGCCGGGTGCTTCCTCCCTGGGCCTCAGTTTCCTCATGGTTCAGACCCTTCCGACCTGCTCCCCGCGTGAGAGCAGGTTCTCACCGGCGCGGAGAGAGACGGGCTCTGAGGCGCATGGAGAGCCGCCGCTTTGTTAGGATGGGGGCGTCTACTGTGGAAGGACGGGGGTGTCTACCGTGGAAGGAGGTTAGGGCCAAGAGGTGGCCCCGTGCCTGAGTCATGCGAGGGGCTGCTGGCTAGAGGCATGAAACAGAGGGTCAGGGCGGGCCTCTGACATGGCTGCAGGTGAGGAGCAGAGGGTCAGGGTGGACCTCTGACATGGCTAAAGATGTGGAGCAGAGAGGGTCAGGGTGGACCTCTGACATGGCTGCAGGTCAGGAGCAGAGGGCCAGGGTGGCCTCTAACACAGAGTACCCAGCCACTGTGCCCACCCCCAGGGAGCCCCTGCTTAGGGGCTGCAATGTGAGGAGGGAGCAGGGTCTCACTTGGGTGCGGGGTCCTGCCCCTGGCTTCTAGGGGCTTCTGTCCGTGCAACCACCCGGCCCTATTCCAGGGTACCCATGGGACAGCCTTAGCCACATCAGGCAGCAGAGTTACATGTGAATACCAGCACTTGGGGCTTCTCATCCTGTACCCCAGGGGCCTCCCAAGGCCCCCAGGGGACAGATGTGGGAGCCTTGTGATGCCAGAAAGCCTCGGCATCAAGCCTCGCCTGGCTGGAGGAGCGGGGGCCATGGGGGGCATGGGAACTGCGGGGGGTCCTGGACAGACCTGAGGGCACCTCAGCCCCACTGTGTGGCTGTCAGGCACACAGGCCTCCCAAGAGTTCCTAAAACCTTTGAGGCCTGAAAACAGGCCGATTGGCTTTAAACTCTGGGGAGAACAGTAATATTTCTAAAAGCTGAAGTAGAAGAACCTTCCTGTCTTTAGACCAAAGGCGTACTGAGCAGGGCTGTGTTGCTGCGCGTTTGGTGGCGGGCAGGAGAGACGTCTGTGTGCTGTGCAGGGGGTGGGAGGACCTCAGCCCCTCGTCTCCTCTGACAGCGTCCTGGGGGCTGAGGTGTAAGCAATCAGAAGATGGCCACAGAGCACACGCCGCCGTCTGGGGGCCGGGACCCCTTCCCTGGGCTCCTTCACCAGCCCCCTCACGCGGAGGGTCTGGATCCTCACTGACCCCTGGGCCCAGTGGTGCAGAAGGAACCCCTGAAGACGGTGCTTGCGGTGCTGGGTTTACGAGGCGCCCGCTGTGTGTGCTCGGAGCTGTGCAGGCTCTCACCGCCTTGTCCCCCCAAGCCCACTTTGCAGAAGAAGAGGCGGAGGTCAGAAAGGTGACCTGACTGCCTCAGGAGAGAGGGATGGGAACCAGGTCACCCGAGGAGGGTGCCAGGGACAGAGATTTTGAAATCCACCTGGCAAGTGTAGGCTGAGGCAGAGAAGTTTCAGTGCCATGTGCTGGGACCTCCATGGGGGAGAAACTGAGTCAGGCCTGCCTGGTGTCACCTTAGAGGGACGACGTGGGATCTCGGGGAGGTGGTGAGCACTATCAGTGGAGGGGTGCAGGCAAAGGCGGGCGGGTGTTATGGGGACCGGGCAAGGCGGGAGATGTTATGGGGACCGGGCAAGGCGGGCAGATGTTATGGGGACTGGGCAGATGCTGTGAAGGCACCATCCGTGCAGGAAGCTTGAGCCCTGGCTGGAGCCCACCTGGCAAAGGGGTCACGTCCAGAGCCTGCGGTCAGCCTGGGCTCCCTCTACCCGACCTTGCCCTTGGGGCTGGGCTTTGCCACCACTCACTCTCCATCCTCCATCCCCTCAAGTGGCCATCCAGGCCCAGCTGTCCTCTGGAATGTTGTGGGTCTGGAACGTCCTGGGTCCAGAATGTTCTGGGTCCGGAATGTTCTGGGTTTGGAATGTTCTGGGTCCGGAATATTCTGCATTGGAAGGTTCTGGGTCTGGAATGTTCTGGGTCTGGATTGCCCTCCCCGGGTGTTTCTATCTCCTGGGGCTGCAGTAAGGATGGGCTGCAAGCTGGCTGGGGGCTCAGAACAACAGAGGCTTCTGTTCTCACAGTGCCGCAGGCTGGAAGTCCGAAACTAAGGCGTCAGATGGCCGTGCTCCTCCAGGTCCTGCCTTCTCCAGGTCCTGCTGGTCCCAGGTGTTCCTGGGCTGTGGCCGCCGTGCCGCAGCCACTACCTCTGTCTTTGCAAGGCCGTCTCCTCCCTCCCAAATCTTCCTCTGCCTCCTTCTTCTAAGGCCCAGCCCACCCTAGGCCAGAGCTCCAGCCACTCACTCTGCACTCCAGGCGGTGGGACACAGGGAGGCACTGGAGAGGCTGCAGGCAGCCCCGGTTATGGGAGGTGCCCCATCAAGGGGGCGCGGTGGGAGGGGGAGTGGACATGAGCAGCCGGGCGGTCTCAGCCCGACTCCTCCTTCAGCCGCAGGCCCTGTGTCTGCTGGGCTTTGGAGCTGGTGGATCATGCAGAGCTCGGCCAGGGTGTCTGTGGGCTCCAGCCAGAGGCAGGGAGGTCAGTGTGTGCATGACAAGACGTCTGAGGCCACAGACAGACAGACAGGCAGCCCCAAGGGTGCCTGCAAAGGGGCCGGATGGTAGCTGTCAGACCTGTGTCTGTGAGCAAAGTGCCATCACAGCCATCATCCCAAGGTCCCCAGCACCCTCAGACCTCACCTCCCGCCTCCTGTCCCCCCTTTTGTTGACCACATGGTGTTGGGGGGCTCCATGTCGGGGAGCCAGCCTGGGAGTGCTGCTGTTACTGCTATCACAGAAGAAGAGACTGAGGTTCTGAGAGGCACACAGCAGGCTCTGCTGACCCTGTGGGGCAGAGGCAGATGGGCTGGAGATGTGAGGATCTTGCTGCTGTGAAATCAGACTGACCGTGGAGTCCAGCCCCAGGCTCGGAGGGAAGCTTGCCCTGGAATCCCTCCTGGGTCAGTCATGGCAGAAAGCCAGCAGCATCGCAAGGGGACAGGGCTGCCAGTGCATGGACAGCTCCATGAGGGAGGATTTACGAAGGTCAGACAGAGGCGGCAGAGTGCAGAGCTCTGGGGCCAGAGGGTGAAGAGGAATGGATGAGCTAGTAATAGAGAGAGGGGCATCCACAGAGGCAGGAAGTCCTCAGGAGAGTGGACGGTGGGACAAAGCCTGACTCCCCCCCAACTATCTCCCCACCGGAGGCTCCACTGGCACAGAGCAGGGAGCAGGGGCTCTGGGCACGTCCTCACTGCCAGGTGCAGCCAGCTTTCCAGGTCCCATAAGTGCACCTCCCTCCCTCCCTCCCCAGTAAGCGTGGCACTGCTTCCCTGAGGCCTCAGTGGCTGCTGGAATGCTCCGCTCCTTCCCCATACCAGCCCATCCCCACACACAAGGACAGCAACCAGCCATGTCCTCCTGTCCAGCAGAAAGACCTTGAATCAGCACCTAGGAAGACAGGGGCGGTGCCTAGGGTCAGGGTGCAATCCGGGCCAGCTTCCTGGAGGAAGTGGCCCCATGGGGGCGGCTCTAGGAGGCCACTCTTTAGGCGAAGACAACTTTCACTTCTCACCACATGTGGACCGAGAAGCAGTGCGTCCCGTTAACCTGCCTGGGCGCTGGGCAGGGGTTTTCCGGCACTTTCACTTCCGTGACTGCAGTTGACCGGGGAGGCGCAGGCAGGAAGAGCGGCCTCAGGGAGAGGCCGATTGGTCACAGCTGAGCCAGGACTCGCCGGCCAGTGCTCCTCCGAGGAGACGTCGGCCAGGGGCAGCTGGAGAGAAGCAGGGAAAAGAGAGGCCTGTCTGAGGGCCGCCCACCCACCCTTTGAAGGAACTCCAGCTGGGAGCTGTGGACTGGGTCACTCAGGTCGACTGTTACAAAGCCAGAGGCCGGCCTGCAGCAGGCGCCAATGAAGTTCTCAGCACAAAACCCCCAAGTCCACCCCCAGGACGGCCGCTCCCAGGCCTGTCGGGCAGTTGCCCAGGACACAGGTCCACAGCGGGGACCCCACCGAGGGGCTTCCTCTCCCAGCTCTGCCCACCCCAGGCCCCAGGCAGCTCTCTCAGGTGGGCAGAGAGTGGCTGGGTCACCATGTCATTTGAAAAATCAAGGCCAGGTGCCGTGACTCATGCCTGTAATCCTAGCACTTTGGGAGGCCGAGGCAGGCGGATCACTTGAGGCCAGGATTCCGAGACCAGTCTGGCCAACATGGCAAAACCCTGCCTCTAGTAAATATACAAAAATTAGCTGAGTGTGGTAGTGGGTGCTTGTAATCCCAGCTACTCGGGAGGCTGAGGCGGGAGAATCGTGTGAACCCAGGAGGCAGAGGTTGCAGTGAGCCAAGATTGCGCCCCTGCACTCCAGCCTGGATGACAGAGGGAGACCGTGTCTTTAAAAAAAAAGGAAAATTGAGTTGATGAAAACACGTCAGCCACATCACACCTGCGCACACCCACGGCCCAGCCCTCCCGGCCCGACCCCACCGCGTCGGCCTCCGGCACTCACAGCCCCGGCTGCCTGGCGGCTCCACAAGCCTCCCGAGCCCGTGCCTGTGCTATGCCCTCGCCGAGGAGCCCCCTCCCGACCGACCTCCTTCCCTCGGTGTTCCTCTCCTTCAATCTGTCACCCCATGAGAAAAACCAGCTGCCCCCTTACGTACTACTCATCCCCCGGCCCCCAGCGTCGGCTGCACGAGACAGGGGCTCTGGTGCCTGCTTGCAGCAGGGCCCTCAGCAGACGGTGCTGGCCCAGGAGGGTGCTGAGCCCTGGAAGGCGTGAGTCTATTCCATCTCCAGGCGAGGCGAGGCCTCCGTGCTCCTGGTCCTTCAGTTGTTACTTGGCTGTGTGCATCCTGCTGGTGCTGAGGCAGGGACTGGCTCCACAGTTTTCCCAGGAACTCAGGCCCTGTGGCCCCGGAGGGAAGGGGCAGACGGCAATCCCTTCCCGGCTTTCACCCGGCAACACTTCAAGGGCATCGCTGACCTCAGATGAGGACACAAATCAGAAAGGTCAGGAAACCAGCCGAGCTCACACAGCGGGGCTGGGGTGGGCCACGTCCTCCCAGGCTGTGCATCTCTGCCAGGGACCCTCCCAGAGGCAAGGCAGCTGAGGTCGCATCTCAGGAGAGGGACCCCACTGCACGCCCTGCTCTGAGACGAGAGCCGCGCCCTCAGCTGAGCCCCTCCGAACCCACCTCTCCGTCTCCTTGCTTCACCTGAGGAAGCCCCACGCAGGTGCTGCCTGACACCCGCGTCGCCGACCCCTGGATCAAGCACATCCTGACACCCAGCTGATCACACAGCAAGGCTGCCGGCTTGGGGCCGCCGCCACCGCCTCCTGGAGTGAAATCCTCTCTCGGCCCAGGACAGCTGCAGAGCAGCCGTTTCACTGGCAGCTTTTGGAGAGTGGGCCAACCCCTCCCCCAGGCCTGCCTCCCACTGACGTGAATTTCCATCAGCTTTTCCAGGCGCCCCCTTTGTGGAGACGAGGACTCCTGGGGTGAGGGCCCCAAGTGTGGCTTTCTCCCTGGGAGGAGTGGGGCCAGAAGGCATGCCCTCCTGAGAAGACATGGCAGAAGCCTCCAACAGCCACAGCTTCTGGGGCTCATTTTGGGAGGCCCCTGTGGAGGGGGATGGGGTGAACCCACAGCCTTGCAGAAGATCGGGGGCTCTGCCAAATCGCAACCCCCCAGGCCATGCTCACCCTAACTGGACCGGGTCCACGGTGCCCTCTAGTAGGGCCCACCGGGAGCCCCAGCACCTGCCCCCCGGCACCTGCCACTCGCACCCTGGCAGCCAAGCCTGGCCTGCTGCCCTGAGCCTGCAAGATGCAGCCCCACGGGCGGTGCTGAGGTCTGTGCGTCGTCAGGCCGGCCCCGCCCCCCTCTCCCTCGGCTCCCTGGTCTGTGAGGGGCAGTGGCTGGACCCGACCATGGTGGGAATGGAAACTGCTGTCCACCGGCCACGCTGACCCCAGCCTGTCTCCTGTTTGTAAAACGGGGTGGCGGCGAGCCCCTCCTGAAGGCTGGGGTGGGATTTGGTGAGGAAAGACCCTCTTCCTGGCACTCCTTCCCAAGGGGCCCCGCTCTTGCGACCCCCGCAGCTGGCCCTGCAGACACCAGGCCTCCCACCCCTGCCAAGGCCAGGAGGCACCAGCCGGGAGGGAGCCCAGTAGAGAAGGAACTGGAGAATTCACCCCACCCTGTGGGCTCCCGGAGCTTCCTCCTGAGCTCCCAAGTCCAGGTGTGTTTTGAGTGTCTAGAAAGTCCCGACTTCACAGACCTGAGGGGGACAGAGTGGGGGAGGGGACCTTGCAACCGTCCCTCCAGCCGTGTCCGCTGCAGCCCCTCACTCCAGATGGCGGTGACCCCGGCGGCATCCGGGCCAGGCTGCAGCCGAATCCCAGAGCCGGTGGAGCCAGCCTGACCCAGCCGACTGCTCACGAGAGGATGGGGGATTCCTCAAAACGGGGGCACCAGGCCGCACACTGGGGCTGGGTCTGCTGAGGGCTTGCTCTGGCTGGGCTCCCAGATTTAGAGAGCAGATCTTAGGCTCCTGGCCCCCGATTTGTGTGAGGCCTGCAGCGCTGCAGACCCTGGAGCTCAGAGGGGTTATGGTCCATGGGGGTCACATGGCACTCAGGTCCAGGGCCTCGCCACCCTGTCACTGCAAGTCACCCAATCAGCCCCCACCCGCTGACCGCACACCCCTCCGTGCCAGGCGCAGGGTGCAGAAATGAAAGAGGCGTCCCCGCTGGAGGGGCTCGGTGCAAACTGGACCCCGAAGCTTCTTGCCGCTTATTCCCAAGGGGGCCTGCAGTGGTGGGTGTTGTCCTGACACCCCCAGCCCCAGACAGACGGACTGACAGGCGGGGGACGGACAGCCGTCTCAGCTGCTTCTGCCCCTCCAACACGGCAGCATATTCTAGACCAAGGGTTGGGACCACGTGTTCTAAAAGGTCACCAGCAGGTGACAGAAGATGCCAGTCAGATCTGCCCTCATCTGCTCTCGGCCCCCAGGGGCTTCTCCCACCCCAGGTCCTCCTGAGACGCAGCTGAGGCTGGGCCTGGCTCTGTCCCCACTGCCAGGAGCCGTGAGGCTTGTCCTGCGGCCCCTCAGCTGGGGCTTCCTCGTCTGCAGTGCAAGGGGCCGTCCCCACCTGGGGGGCTCTCCGGGCGGCGGGTGGGAAGGGAGACAGCAGGCAGCCGCTTCCTGGCGAAACTGAAACTGCCAGGTGCTTCCCGCCCCTCCCTACTGAGCCCCTCCCCAGGGCCAGAGACAGCTGGGACGGGCAGTCCTGCGGCCAGGGCCCCTGGCAGTCCCCTGTGGTCCACCCTTATTCGGCCTCTCACCAGGGCGTGCCTCTCTGGGCCTATTTCCTCCAGGTGGGCCCCAGCATGGGCGGTATGGGGGGTTCCTCATCAAAGCCCTGTGGTCACATGGTCCCAACTCAGCCCCATGACCCGTCGAACCCACAGAATTTCAGTCACTTTAGTCATGGTGCGAAAAGAAGGATGCAGAAAGCTTAAAAGTTTATAAACTGAACATGTGTGAAAATGGTGACATTCTGGAGGCCACAGAGCGACCTCTCCTCTTTCCCTTCTACTTCCTACCTCTGGCTGCAAGGGAGGGTGGGCGCCTCCACACAGCTCACGCCGACCCCCGCTGGACGCGCTGCTCCGGGGCAGGGGGCGTCCTGAGTTCCCCGGTGCCCTGGACAGGAAGGGGCAGTGTGAGGGCTGAGCCGCGACGAGCCCCCAGGCAGTGTGCGCCTGACCCTCACCCCTGTGCTCTGTGGCTGATCTTTAACCCCCCAGGAGAAGCCAGGTCGCGGGAGCCACGCAGGGCAGCACGCCGTCCCCGTCCCCGGCCTGCTCCTTCCTTCCCTCTTCTTTATAGAAAGGAATTCCTGTAGGTCCAGTGTCCCCAGCCCGGAAGGCCACCCCACCTGGGGGCGGCGAGATGGGATCAAGGGGTTGGGGGGACCTAGCTCAGAGGCTTAGCCACCCCACACCCCACCACGGCTTCCTCATCGGTAAATGGGGCAATAGCAGTCCCCGTCTCCGGCACATCTGTGAAAACTGAACAGGTGGACGCATGGCAGCACTTAGGGTGTGGAAAGCCGTCCCCAGGCATCCTGCCCCGTCCCCGTCGCTCCCAGGCAGTGTGTCTCGCACAGTTACAGAAAAGGCATCGAATTCTCATTTTCCTTTGCAATTTCCTCTCTCGACACCTGCGAGGCTGACTGCATTGAGCATGGTGCTGCCTCGTGTCGGGGCCGAGTGGCACCTCGGGGGCTGGGGGGGTGGCATGGCGCTGCCTCGTGTCGGGGCCGAGTGGCACCTCGGGGGCTGGGGGGTGGCATGGTGCTGCCGCGTGTCGGGGCCGAGTGGCACCTCGGGGGTTGGGGGTTGGGGGTGGCACACACCAGCGCACTGTTCTCAGCTTCCCTATGGAGAGAGGTTGAGTGCGTCAATTTCCCGTGCTACAAACAATGCTTCAATCAAGGATGCTTTCCCTCGTCCCCTGGGGCCCACATGGTTTCTCCAAGGCAAACACAAGACATTGGCCACAGGGACTAGAGTGTGATACGAAGTTCTCATCCTGGGCTTCCAGAGTCCAGGGTGGGTGTGGGCCCTATCCCGGCTTCCTGGGGGAAATGAGCGCCTGGTCTCTGAGGGGCAGCAGTGGGCGTGCTGCATCCGACTTCCATCTGGGTGGCTCTGCAAGCCAGGCAGGGCCAGGGCACGGGAGTCACTGGAGACGCCCCCCACCCCAACCCACCCAGCTCGTGTTCAGAAAGGCCTCTGTCCAGCGCAGGTGTTGGTGATGGCAGGCAGTGGTTCTGGAGGTCAAGAGTGTCCATTGCTCCTGGAGGAATTCCTTGTTTGTGGAAACCAGGGCCGGCCTCCAAGGGAGGCTGGGAAGCTGGGCGCTGGGCAGGGCCTGGCACCGGGTGCTTCTACTGCTTCCACTACTGAGTTCATGGGAGGCCAGAGGTTGATTGGGCCTGGTCCTCGTCTGGACATGGGTTTGGTGGTCACCCCAGGTGGGATGAGGGTGTGGCAGGGGAGGTAGCCCAGCCATGCTGCACAGGTGGGAGAGGGGCCGGGAGGTCTGTGGACTCGCGATCCCCCGCTCTGCTCTCCTCTGTGGGCACTCACAGGGGCTGCCACCCCCCTACCCCGGCACAGGCCTCACTCCTGCCAAGGACCAGGGTAAAATGGCAGCCCTGTTAGCTGGCTGCTCTGGAGTCTGTCCCTAGAGACGGCCTAATGTGGCCAAGATGTGTTTCAGGAAGCCGTGCTGTGACTCAGGTCGGGGAAGTCCTGGGACTGTGCAGGCCAGTGAGCAGAGTGACCCTCAGAGCAGAGCGACCCACACAAACCGGGAAAGCCCACTCCGTCCAGAGGGGCCCCACCTTGCAGCTACGAGAGGAGGCGAGGTCTGCTTTCCCTGGCCAAGGAGTGGCCCAGGGGGAACTCTGTATGCACCCATGCTCTGTGGGGTCTCTCTGTTCCTGCTGCCGAATGGGCCCCCGTCCCCTCCCCTGACATCAGCCCACAGAGGAGGGACCGGGCACAGTGGAGAGGACCTGTCAGGTGCCAAGCACCAGGCCCGATTCTCAAAGCCGGTGGTTCTGTGGGCTTTTAATGCTTTTGTTTGCGAGCTCCCTAAAACTTTTTTTTGACAAGCCAAGTTCCCCTATAAGATGAAATTGCTTACAAAGCAGCCTCACCCAGCCTGGCCACACACAGACCTTATGCTGCTTCGTTTTTGGCAGATAATGGTGGCCCAGGAGCCACTAGAGAGGTTTTCAAACATGACAGGTATCTGTGGACAAGACGTTGTTAAAATAAATAAGGTGACAGCTGCACCCCGCAACCTCACCACTGGGTCACAGAAGAACAGCTGCATACAGTGTGTGAGGCATGTGTTGGCCGTGGCACACACCTGTTCTGCAAACTCTCTGCCCCGCAGGGACCTAGCCCCCTGGGTTGTAGAAGCAGGATTCGGGGCCTGTGGCTGGCGCTGCGCACCAAGTATCCTTCTAAACCAAAGGCTGGACACAGGACCCTTGGCAATGGTGCCACATGGGCCAATTTGCAGCCTCTAAACATTGATTAAACAGTCTCAAAAACTGTATTTTCTAGCATACCTAATATGTTACCAGTGTTTGGCATCTGGTCTTATGAAAATCTGCACATTTAGCTCACTTGATTTATAGAAATGCTGCCTTAAAAACAAAGGGCAGAACTGGTCCTCACTGAAAAACAATCTGCCCAGACTGATGTTTGTCAGATATTAATTCAAATAAGCATGTTATTAAATGATCCAAATGCCTCACTTTGAATTCTAATTGTGATATAGATGGATGGATGTGTGGGTGGGTGGGTGGGTGGATGGATGGATGGATGGATGGATGGATGGATAGATGGGTGGGTGGATAGATGGATGGATGGGTGGATGGATGGATGGATGGAGAAGTGCATAGGTGGTGGGTGGATGGATGGATAGATGGATAAATAGATGGTGGGTGGGGTAGGTGGATGGATGGATAGATGGATAGATGGATGGATGGATGGATGGATGGATGGATGGATGGATGGATAAGTGGATAGATGGTGGATGGATGGATGGATGGACAGTTGGATAGATGGTGGGTGAGTGGATGGATGGGTGGGTGGATAGATAGATGGATGAATAGATGGGTGACTGGATGGATAGATGGTGGATGGATGGGTGGATGGATGGATGAGTGGGTGGATGGATAGATGGGTTGGTGGGTGGATAGATGGATGGGAAGATAAAAAGGTAAGGAAGCAGGAAGGAAAGGTCAAAGTATATTTTTCAAATCTTAAAAACATAGTTCTTATACACACATACAGTAAGCATGTGTGAAAGGTGTATTATTCCGCGATGAGGGAGCCAGTCGGGCAGCCCAGGTGATTCAGAGGGGACGAGGGACATTAAAGACCCCATGAAGAAGGAAAGCCACACGGAACCTGACGAGTGGGAATTAGTGAAGTGCAATCTTTCTTCAGAACAACAAGTAGCTTGCAACTTGTCAGTTTTCTGCACCCTAACCCTAACTGAAGCCTCACCAGCAGTAAATTAAAAGTCAAAAGAGGCCACTGGGCCCTTGGCAGCCTGGCTAACACCAGGAGGGCCAGAAGTCAACGTGATTTTTTACACCTTTGGGTCTGTGGTTTCCGAACAGGAGGCAGGCAGGGCATGGGGCCTGCCCCAGGTTTTCACTGGTGGGTCGAAGCCCTGTCATCAGACTCATGCTAGAGAGAGGCAACCCATGAATTGGGGGAAGAGCAGGCAGGAGCAGCACACAGCTGACCCCAAGCCGTGTTTGCAGAACAATCTGGAAGGTGAAGACCCACATATGGATTCCTTTAAGCCGATCGGCCCAGGTATGCAGATGGTCTTGTGTGCGTGGCCCTTTAAAGACCCCCATAGAGCTGTGCCACCTACCTCACAGGTGCAGGGCTGGGAGCTCTGGGCAGCTCTCTGTCCTCTCCTCACTGCAGACAGAGCTCTTCTCTTTCTCAAGATGCACTGCAAGCGAGATGCAGAGTCCCCTAAGTCACCACGAAGAGACAGAGGCTCAGAGGGATGAGGAACCCACGCCCGTGTGGCCAGGCCAGGCCTCCTGCCTCAGACGTGCACGGACCCGAGCCTCCCTGCATTCCAGGATCCCGCAGAACCCTGAGTCACAGAATGCGGCTCTCCTCGGGCCGCTGTGTGCCTGGCTCACGAAGTGTCAGCTGAGCAGGGAAATCCAGGCATGACGCCGCTAAAATCTATTCCTGATGCGCACTGCAGCGCGGTGCTTCAGCTCTGAGAACATCACACTAAGTGAAAGAGCCAAGAGGCCGCATACGGTCTGGTCCCATTTTATGGAATGTCCACGATAACAAATCCACAGAGACAGAGTGGATTTGGGGTCACCATGGGGAGGGTGTGGAGAAGACAGTGACAGCTCCTGGGGCCGGGATTCACTGCGAGGTTGATGATGTGCTCTGGAGTTAGGTGGAGGCGCTGGTTGCAGAACGTTGTCAGTGTACTAAATACCACTGAATTGTGCACTTTAAAATGGTGAAAATAGTAAATTTTATGTTCTGTTTATCACAAATTTTTAAAAGATCTTAACATTCTTAAAAAAAAAAAAAAGCCTGGCAGAAGATGAGCGCCCGCCCCTGGCAGAAGATGAGCGCCCACCCCTGGCAGAAGACGAGCGCCCACCCCTGGCAGAAGATGAGCGCCCACCCCTGGCCTTCCCCCACTGTCCCTGGACTTTGGTAGAAACTCCTTACAGCCTCTGTCCAAGCCCCCACCTTCTCTCCCTCCGGCCCTGGGCCTGTGTCTGCTTCTTCCAGCTCCCCCTCCAGATTTGAAGAAGCACCCCCAGCATCCTGCCAGGCCCAGCTACGCATCTGCCCAGGGCCCCTGGCACTGACTGTGTCCCTGCAGCTCAGGTGCTGAGGATGTGGCTTTGGACCCAACCTCCGTTATCTCCCCTCTGCAAACCACAGAGTGGGGTGGCGTGCCCTGTGCCCTCCTGGAGGCCCTGTGGAAATCAAGCAAGTGGAAGTTTTCAGACACGCGGGGTGGGGTTGCCCAGCTCCCTTCCGAGTGGACCTGGGAATTCATGTCGGTGCTCAGAAGCCGTGCAGGGTCAGCGCCCCTCATCTCCAGGGTTCGGGGCACAGACGAGAAAGCAGCAGCAGGCTTTGCTCCCCCTGTTTTCCCACCAGGCGACATCTAAAGACACCCATGTTCGTGGCTGGGCCGAGCACCGTGAGGACCACAGGAGGTGCTGGGTGGGAAGGCACTGGCTCCGGCTACGTGGCTGTCTCCCCCCGAAACGTGGTCCAGGGGACTCGGCATCTGTGTTCAGTCCTCCCAAATGTGCCCTTTGGTGATCTGGCCCCACCACGTGCCCTCAGGGTGCAGAGTGGCCTGGGCCCTGGGCCTCTCCTTCGGGACTCACGACAGGCATGGGTAATGGATCACAATGCTTTTCCTGCTGAGCACAGAGGAAGCCTCAGCGTCCCCCACAGGACAGTGACCCCAGCAGACACAGTGGACACAGCAGCCTGGGAAGTGCATTCACCTTCGAGGCTGGTTCATGGCGTCTCATGTTATTTGTGGAAAATAAATATCCATTGGCAATTGATGCTTTTGTAAAAGTAAAAAAGTACGAGTATGCAGTGGAAATCTCCAGTGCTGAGTATCAGTTACTATGGAGTGGGAAAGCCGAGTGCTGAGTGTCAGTTACTATGGAGTGGGAATGTCCAGTGCTGAGGGTCGGTTACTATGGAGTGGGAATGCCCAGCGCTGAGTGTCGGTTACTATGGAATGGGAATGCCCAGTGCTGAGTGTTGGTTACTATGCAGTGGGAATGTCCAGTGCTGAGTGTCGGTTACTATGGAGTGGGAATGTCCAGCCCTGAGGGTTGGTTACTATGGAGTGGGAATGCCCAGTGCTGAGTGTCGGTTACTATGGAATGGGAATGCCCAGTGCTGAGTGTCGGTTACTATGCAGTGGGAATGCCCAGCGCTGAGTGTCGGTTACTATGGAGTGGGAATGCCCAGCACTGAGGGTCGGTTACTATGGAGTGGGAATGCCCAGCGCTGACTGTCGGTTACTATGCAGTGGGAATGTCCAGCGCTGAGTGTCGGTTACTATGCAGTGGGAATGCCCAGCGCTGAGTGTCGGTTACTATGCAGTGGGAATGCCCAGCGCTGAGTGTCGGTTACTATGGAGTGGGAATGCCCAGCGCTGAGTGTCGGTTACTATGGAGTGGGAATGCCCAGCGCTGAGTGTCGGTTACTATGGAGTGGGAATGCCCAGCGCTGAGTGTCGGTTACTATGGAGTGGGAATGCCCAGTGCTGAGTGTCGGTTACTATGGAGTGGGAATGCCCAGTGCTGAGTGTCGGTTACTATGGAGTGGGAATGCCCAGTGCTGAGGGTCGGTTACTATGGAGTGGGAATGTCCAGCGCTGAGGGTCGGTTACTATGGAGTGGGAATGCCCAGCGCTGACTGTCGGTTACTATGCAGTGGGAATGTCCAGCGCTGAGGTCGGTTACTATGGAGTGGGAATGTCCAGCGCTGAGGGTCAGTTGCTATGGAGTGGGAATGCCCAGTGCTGAGGGTCAGTCACTATGTGGTGGGAATGCCCAGGGGTGAGTGTCGGTTACTATGCAGTGGAAATCTCCAGTGCTGTGTGTCAGTTCCTACAGAAGGTTCCGTCACTCCCCGTGCGCCCCCTGTCTGGGAACCACCTCTCACGGGCTCTGGCGGCATCCACAGGCCCCCTTCTTTACAGATCTGTTACAGCAGGTTTAGAAAGCTCTAGAGACACCAGATCAGGATCAAAGCAAGGAGAGGCCGTGGAAGACAGAAGGCAGAGCCCCATCCACCACCTGCCCACAGCGAGACCTCAGACAGGTCTCACAGCCTCTCTGGATTCTGTGACTTCATCAGTGAATAGCATTACAGTTAAAGTCAAATTTCAGATAAACAAATTTTTAAATCGTAAGCGTATCTCAAATATTGCCTGGGACATGCACTAAAAATCAGTTATCGTTTATCTGACATTCAAATTTAACCAGGCATTCTGCATCTGTAATCTCCAAAATCTGGCAGACCTCCCTGTGATGGATTTGATCCCTGTAGCCAATAGGATTATGTCAGCTGCAAATCACAGAAAACCTAACGGGGGTGTAAACAAGGTTTGTTTCTACATGACCAAACCCAGAGGCGGGTGGCCCAGGCCAGTGCCACAACGACACTGTCTGGTACCTGGCATTTCTGCTCTTTCAGCTTCACTATCCTCTTGCTTATGGTTTCCTGGCTGCAAAGTGGCTGCCCCTGCTCCAGGCATCATGTCTGCATTCCAGGCAGGAAGGAGGAAGAAGGGGCAGAGGACAAAGACTAGGCCAGCCTCTTTTCATAAGGAAAATTGAGATTCTTGTGGAGGCCTCACTCAGCCGACTTCTGTTTATGCCCCATGACAAATGGATTCGTTCCGGTAGGTTCCAGTCCACAAATCAATAGTGTTCAAATGTGACACTCCCGAGGGCCTTCTCACACCAGGATTTTCAAACTTCTTTCTTCACATCTTCTCTGCTATCTTCAAACAGCCTCTGCACCCATAACCCCGTCGACCTGGCACCTGGCCCCGTGAGTTCAGCAGAGCAGGTGACGCAGTCCCATTTCACAGATGCCGTCCACATTGAACTTAGAGCTTGAGGCAGAAGAGTGCCCTGCCCTCCCAGCCCAGCAGGTGTAGGCCTGAGTCATTCAATACCACTCACATCTCGTGGGCTGTCCTGGGAGGGCAGACAAACCTGGGAATCAAGGACTTTGTCTTATCTCTGCCTGTTTTCTACTGAAAATCATCTGAGGGAAACAGACTCATCTTTCCTTGGAACCTTAATGATTTATTTATTTATTTTAATTTATTATTATTATTTTTTGGAAAATCTGGCTCTGTCACCCAGGCTGGAGTGCAGTGGTGCAATCTCGGCTCACTGCAGCCTCCATCTCCTGCGTTCAAGTGATTCTCGTGCCTCAGCCTCCTGCCAAGTAGCTGGGATTACAGACGCCCGTCACTGCATCCTGCTAATTTTTGTATTTTTAGTAGAGATGGAGTTTCACCATGTTGGCTAGGCTGGTCTCGAACTCCTGACCTCGGGTGATCTGCCTGCCTTGGCCTCCCAAAGTGCTGGGATGACAGGCTTAATGATCTTTTTAAACAATGAGCCACCTTTCCTCCTGTAATCCCAGATACCGTCTCTGCCCTGCTCCCGTTTTCTCTCCATCGCCTTTCCCAGCTGCTGGGAGGAAGGAGGAGGAAAAGGAGGGTTTCCCCGGGACCTTCCCTCTCCTGCACCTGGGTTCCCTCTCAGGCAATCGCAGCATCACATTTATTTCTAGAACATTCTCTACTGCGCCTGGCTTTTACAGGTGGTATGACCCATGCCACCTCCTGCCTCTGCCTGCACCTCTGTCCAAGACCTGCAGGCTCTGTAAGCGCTGGGTGCTGCCTTGGTGCCCGGGCCTCCTCACAGGCCCTGAACACCCACGTGCCTCCAGCCCTGGGCGTGCATGCGTGTTCCCTCCACCTCTCCTGGGAGCCCACCATCATCGCCAGGACTACTTCAACTCTCTCCCGCAAGGAGACCCCTCTGCTCCCCCAACAGGGTCATGCCCTGTCCCCACCACCCGTCCGCGGCCACAGCAGCTGCTCATGTGACTGTCCATGTAGCGTGTATGAGACCAGGACACAGCAGGCCCAGGCCAGACCTGAACACATGGCACACAGCACATGTGGCGTGCCTGCCAGTAAGGACGGGGGCACACGATTCAGCGCGTCAATCAGCAGGGCGCTGCCCCTCCAGCTGCTGGGACCTTGGCATCGCGAGGATGGGGCTTCCTCTCTGTTCCCCTCTGAATCCTGGCCCTGGGTTGGTGCGGCACAGCCCGGGCACACAGCACTTGTCTATTAGGTGAATGAGCAGCTGACAGGGTTGCCAGGGGTCGGGGCAGAGAGAGGAATCAGCCCTCTGGGAACTCAGGCCCGCTCCATGGAGGCAAAGGGAAAAGGGCGGCAGAGGCGGTACAGGGTCCCACTCTGACCATACCCCTAGGGAGCCAGGCCTGTGGTGTGAGAGCTGCCCACGGGGGACCCACACCTGCAGCGGGAAGAGCCCAGAGCCAGCGCAGACCTGGGCTACGCTGAGGCCCTGAGGCCCCAGCCCTGGGAGAGCAAGTTCATCTCCTTCCAAAGGCCACACCGAGGCCCCCAGCCCCCGGCCCTGGGGGAGCGAGTTTGTCTCCCTCCAAAGGTAGTGCTGGGCTGCTGGGCGGCGACTGTGCTTCTCCACCTGCCCCCACCCAGGCCTCAGTCTCCCCATCTGAGAAATAGGAAGGACACCTCTCCACCAGCTTCTGCTCCAGACGACACGCGTGTGATGCCCAGGGATGTGGGGCACTCACGAGCGCTGCACCGGGACCTGGTGTCACTCTAACGCCCCGCCCCAGAACCTTCTTCCCCCGCCGCCCCGCCTGGCATTACTCTAACACCCCCACCCCAAATAAAACTTCTCCTTTCCTTCCTGGAGGAGTTCCCCATTCGAGGTGACCACATCAACCTCAACTTCTCCCTGGGAGCTTTGGGCTCTTGAAGCTATTTTAGGCTCAAAATAGCTTTTTGAGGAAGCTCAAAGCTTCCCTGGGAGCTTTGGGCTCTCGAAGCTCTTCTGCCATAGCCTGTGCCCAGGGCCCTTTCCTCTCGGGATAGGTTTCTGCCGTCTGAGGCCCCGACAGCCTGACCAGGCTTCCTACGGCCTCGTGGGTGTGCACGGCCTTGACACCCATCCCGCTACTGCCCTGGTGCGCTGACAAAGTTCCGTGGCCTCTCTGTGAGCGAGGGATTGTGAGCAGCTCACAGGTACTTTCGTTCCGGGTCTACTGTGGTTTTCCAGCAGCCTTGTTGAGGTATAACCCACACATCTTACAACTCACCCATCTCAAGTACACAAGTCAGTGGCACTTAGCAAAGCCCCAGAGGTGTGCAACCATCATTGCTAACAAGTTTTAGAACATTTTCCCCCAAAAGAAACCCCATGCCCACGGGCAGTCAGGCCCGTTCCCTCCCTCTGCCCTGCCCACCACTGATCTGCTTCCTGCCTCTGTGGATTTGTCTTTTCCGGTGTTGTGTGTAAGCGGGATCCTGTGTCCAGCTCTTCCACTCGCCCGTGTTTTCTGGGTCCATCCCCACTGGAGCGTGTGTCGGACCTGCCTTCCTTCTTATGTCTGAATAAGTGTGCACTGCATCTGCTTTTGAGTTTATCTGTGCTCGGCTGACAGTCTATGGAGAACCTTGTCTCACCACAGCTGTGTGTCTCAGGTGAGCCACTGACCCTCTCTGGGCTTCCCAGATGTACACTGAGGACAGGTGTGGGGGTCAGCAAGGGGATGTGTCTGGGGGTGGAGGGACTAGCTATCACCTTTGCGTCGTCCTCCCTGGGCTGAGGGGGCATCGTGGTCTCTGTGCAAGCTCCGACCCCGTTTGTGCTGTGTGAGTAGCACTGTTATCCCGAGTCAGGTGACAGCCCCACGGAGAGTGCTCTGCCATGTCTGCTACTGGCCCTGAAAGGCAGTGGCATCTGCCGTGGGGGCGGGGGTGTCCCGAGGGCAGGGAAAGGCAGCACTTCTGACCAGGAACCTCTGGGGCCATCAGCTGGCTGTCCAGACTGTGAGGTTAGAACCACCGGCAGCATTTGGTGAGAGGGAAGATGCCGGGGAGTGGGTCGATGGGGGAGGAGTGAGCAACCAATCTCGTGTGATGATGGTTCTGCTGGGCAGCTGCCCGTGGGCATAACCTCTGGGGCCTGAAGCCCAAGGGCGGTTTTGTTCCGGGAGAGAGCGTGACAAAGACGTAGAGGGCCCCGACTTCAGGCTGCCGCAGTCTCCGGGTGAGCCACTCATTCTGTGGTTCAGCCGACTTCAGGCTGCCGCAGTCTCCGGGTGAGCCACTTCTTCTGTGGTTCAGCCTCTGCATTTCAGAGGCCCTGGCAAAGTACAGTGTGGACTGGAGGGTGCCAGGCAGCTGAGAACCCCAGGGGCCGGGCTTGGTGCAGCTGCTGCAGGCCCCTGTGACGCCACCTGGAGAAGGCACAGAGGGAGGGCAAGGGCCATGCGGTCCAGTTCCAAACTCGGTCAGGAAAGCAGCCGAGGAGCAGATGCCAGCCCCCGCCGCCCACGCCTGGAGCGCCTCTTTCTCCCAGGGCTCCGCCAGCAGGGTCCACCAGTAACAGACACCAGGCCAGGTGGGGCAGCTGCAGGTTGGGGTAATGGAGACAGAGCCTATGGGTCCCAGCCTCGCCTCCCTCTGCCACGGTATTGTGTGACTCTAGACAAATGCTTTCTGGGCCTCCATGTCCCCTGCTGGGAAGCCCCGACCTGTGGAACTAAATGAATGGGGCCATGCCTGTGAGGCCAGTAGAAGCTCCGCGTTCCTCTACCCTCCACCCTCCGGGAGCTGCTGGGCTCTGAGCCTGGGGGAGCAGGGTCATCCTGGGCTCAAAGAGCAGAGAGCCCTGAGACCCCTGGGGAAGAGCAGGCGGACACGCTGTGTCCCGGGGACCCGGCGGGTGGGTGAAGGTCTCCCGCCCACCCTGGCACAGGCCATGAGCTCCGTGTGCGTGGGGTTCTCCCGTGATGCAGGTCTTCGCCCTCCGTCACACGCGTGATAAACAGGCTCTGACTCAGTTTCCTGGCCATTCTGTCTGGAGGCTCTACATGGCCTCGGGCTGGGGCCAGGCGGCTGCCCTCCACGGCTCTCCTGGCAGACAACTGACATGGAGTCTTTCCCAAAGCCTTTGAGTCTTTCCCAAAGCCTCAGGGAGCAGGAACTCGGCAGGCCTGGGGGTTGGCAGCCCTGGGCAGGGTCGGGAGCCCTGGGTGGGGTCAGGATCCTTGGGTGGGGTCAGGAGCCTTGGCTGGGGTCAGGAGCCTTGGGCGGGGTCAGGAGCCTTGGCTGGGGTCAGGAGCCTTGGGCGGGGTCAGGAGCCTTGGCTGGGGTCAGGAGCCTTGGGCGGGGTCAGGAGACTTGGCTGGGGTCAGGAGCCTTGGGTGGGGTCAGGAGCCTTGGGTGAGGTCAGGAGCCTTGGGTGAGGTCAGGAGCCTTGGGTGGGGTCAGGAGCCTTGGCTGAGGTCAGGAGCCTTGGGTGGGGTCAGGAGCCTTGGGTGGGGTCAGGAGCCTTGGCTGAGGTCAGGAGCCTTGGGTGGGGTCAGGAGCCTTGGGTGGGGTCAGGAGCCTTGGGTGAGGTCAGGAGCCTTGGGTGGGGTCAGGAGCCTTGGGTAGGGTCAGGAGCCTTGGGTGGGGTCAGGAGCCTTGGGTGGGGTCAGGAGCCTTGGGTGGGGTCAGGAGCCTTGGCTGGGGTCAGGAGCCTTGGGTGGGGTCAGGAGCCTTGGGTGGGGTCAGGAGCCTTGGCTGGGGTCAGGAGCCTTGGGTGGGGTCAGGAGCCTTGGGTGGGGTCAGGAGTCTTGGCTGAGGTCAGGAGCCTTGGGTGGGGTCAGGAGCCTTGGGTAGGGTCAGGAGCCTTGGCTGAGGTCAGGAGCCTTGGGTGGAGTCAGGAGCCTTGGGTGAGGTCAGGAGCCTTGGGCGGGGTCAGGAGCCTTGGCTGGGGTCAGGAGCCTTGGCTGGGGTCAGGAGCCTTGGATGGGGTCAGGAGCCTTGGGTGGGGTCAGGAGCCTTGGGTAGGGTCAGGAGCCTTGGCTGAGGTCAGGAGCCTTGGGTGGGGTCAGGAGCCTTGGCTGAGGTCAGGAGCCTTGGCTGGGGTCAGGAGCCTTGGGTGGGGTCAGGAGCCTTGGGTGGGGTCAGGAGTCTTGGCTGAGGTCAGGAGCCTTGGGTGGGGTCAGGAGCCTTGGGTAGGGTCAGGAGCCTTGGCTGAGGTCAGGAGCCTTGGGTGGAGTCAGGAGCCTTGGCTGAGGTCAGGAGCCTTGGGCGGGGTCAGGAGCCTTGGCTGGGGTCAGGAGCCTTGGCTGGGGTCAGGAGCCTTGGATGGGGTCAGGAGCCTTGGGTGGGGTCAGGAGCCTTGGGTAGGGTCAGGAGCCTTGGCTGAGGTCAGGAGCCTTGGGTGGGGTCAGGAGCCTTGGCTGAGGTCAGGAGCCTTGGCTGGGGTCAGGAGCCTTGGGTGGGGTCAGGAGCCTTGGGTGGGGTCAGGAGTCTTGGCTGAGGTCAGGAGCCTTGGGTGGGGTCAGGAGCCTTGGGTAGGGTCAGGAGCCTTGGCTGAGGTCAGGAGCCTTGGGCGGGGTCAGGAGCCTTGGGTAGGGTCAGGAGCCTTGGCTGAGGTCAGGAGCCTTGGGTGGAGTCAGGAGCCTTGGCTGAGGTCAGGAGCCTTGGGCGGGGTCAGGAGCCTTGGGTAGGGTCAGGAGCCTTGGCTGAGGTCAGGAGCCTTGGGTGGAGTCAGGAGCCTTGGCTGAGGTCAGGAGCCTTGGGCGGGGTCAGGAGCCTTGGCTGGGGTCAGGACACTTGGCTGGGGTCAGGAGCCTTGGATGGGGTCAGGAGCCTTGGGTGGGGTCAGGAGTCTTGGGTAGGGTCAGGAGTCTTGGGTGGGGTCAGGAGCCTTGGGTGAGGTCAGGAGCCTTGGCTGGGGTCAGGAGCCTTGGGTGGGGTCAGGACCCTTGGGTGGGTCAGGAGACTTGGGCAGGGCTGTAGGGGAAGGGGGCTGTCAGAGTAGATGGGTGGCCGGCCTATCATGGTGGTCAGGGTGCCTGTTGTGGTCAGGGGACCTTTCATAGCAGTTGGGGTACCATCGTGGTGGCTGGGGGAGCCCACTGTGGTCAGAGGGCTATCTTGGTCAGTGGTGAGATTTGGGGTCTTCAGAGGAGGAGTGGGAGCTCCTGGGCAGTTCTCTGACTGGCAGCTGTAGAGGGGCCATGACCACACCCAGGCATGAAGGACCAGGACTCTAGATGAAAGAGCTTCCTGCTAGGTAGCCACTGTCCTGACATGGTGTCAGCTGTTAGAGGCCGCCTGCCCTCATTTGCCCAGGGCAGGAGCACAGCCCACCTGCTCTGTGGGCATCTCTGTCCCTGTCCTCACCAGCCCAATGCAGGTGACAAGGCCCATGGCAGCCCCAAAGTCATCTTAAGGGGAGCCATCCCCCTTAAGGGAAACCCAGAGACACATATGATTAAGATTCAGGGGGTGCAGTCACAGCGAAATAAACCCAAATGTTTATTTTCCCGGGAGTAAACTGTGCCTTCAATAGGCAGACATAAGGGTCTCAGGGTGCCGAATACAGCAAAAGGCGCTTTGGCATCCAAGCCACACACAGCCTGGGAGCAGACACCTCACCTCGTCATCGTCCCGGCCACTCCTGCTGGCACTGTCCCCAGCCGGGAGCCCCCAGGCCTCTACATTCCGATCCTGCCAGATCCTGATCCCCACTGCTCAACCCCAGCCTCCCCACACTCAGGGTCCCAAGAGTGGGCGGCAGCTGTGGGGACCATTTTGAGGGCTCCGCTGGGAGCTGTGGGAACCGTTTTGAGGGCTATGCTGGCCTCTGGACACAGTGTCTCCAGGGCAGGGCCAGCTCACCATCTGGGTGGACATGGGGAGCCTGGCTGGCTCTCCCCACGCTCACTCCTTCCTTCGTTCTTCCGTGAACCTTCACCACTGGCTGTGTGCCTGTCAGCCCCGCAGGCCCTGGAAGAAAGGGATGCAAACGTAGAAATGAGGGTCCCTCGGCCTCTCCACCGGGAGCGGGTCTGGCTGAGCATGACAAACCCAGCCGAGGGAGAGAGGCGATGGCCCAGCCCAGGCACGGCACTCCTCATTCCTCCTCCTCTGTCATCGCTGGGGCCAGCAGGACTGGGGGCCGATCTAACCGGCAGACGGAGACCAGGTTGTGTTTTTTCTCGTGGGTGAGGACGGTCACTCATTAGATCATCTGCTCATTCAGCAGCAAACCCGATGGCGGGACATGCCGTCTCGACACAGGCCCTGCGTGGGGGTCCTGGACATGCCGTCTCGACACAGGCCCTGCGTGGGGGTCCTGGACATGCCGTCTCGACACAGGCCCTGCGTGGGGGTCCTGGACATGCTGTCCCCAGGGTGTGGGGGTGGGGGGGAAGGAAGCCTTGAGCTGTGGCTCCAGGGGGTCCGCCAAGTATTTGTTGAGGGAGAACACAGAGATCCGTGAACAATTGTGATGGGCTGTCATGGGGGTATGGGAGGCGTCTCTCCCAGACTCAGGAAGGGTAGATCAGGGAATTCCTGCCTCCCAGCAGGAATGGCCACTCAGCAGGGACCTGAGGCTAAGAGGAGTTTGTGGGCAGAATGTTCTGGGCAGGGGAGCGGTGTGTGCCTGTGAGGCTGGAGCTCAGAGAGGCGATGGGGGCGAGCAGCAGGCACCCCAGGCTCAGGAGCTGAGACTTTATCTCGGTCAGGGAGTGGCAGGGCCGCATTTGTCTTGCTGAAAGCCGTCTCGGTGCCCCGTGGGAGAAGGACTGGAGGGCGGCAACTCCCTCACCCCATGGCCTGGGCATTTGTCCTGCTGAAAGCCATTTTGGTGCCCCGCGGGAGAAGGATTGGAGGGCGGCAGCTCCCTCACCCTGTGGCCTGGGCATTTGTCTTGCTGAAAGCCGTCTCAGTGCCCCACGGGAGAAGGACTGGAGGGAGGCAGCTCCCTCACCCCGTGGCCTGGCACAGCCTCCCCGGGTGTCCTGGCTCCAGCAATGATAGACGGCTTTGTCAGTGCCGGGATGCATGCGGTTTGGAGATTGTCCACCCTGGGGCCTGGCCAGGTATCTGGCTGATAAAAATTAGTCTCTCTGTCTCTGCATAGTAGCGAGCCTGTTCCCATCACTCGGGCTGTCAGCACTCAGGTGCCCAGAGCAGCTTCCGGCTTAGATCTCACAGGCTCCTGGGGCTGCTGGGGCCGGGGAGACCCAAACCCACCTCTGCACAGGGGTCCTGGGCCAAGGGTCTGTGCCAGAATGCTGCAGCTGCGAGTGACAGAAACCCAGCTCGGAGGCGTCAGGGACACCTGGGACTGTGCTGGCTCAAGCACCAAACTATAGGATGGGCAGGGGCACCGGTTTCAGGCCCCACAGACCCAACCATTAGCACACCCTCCGCCGCTCTGCCCACCTTCTCTTCCCAGCGGCTGTCCAGGCCACTCTGGGCTTGCCTCCCACGCAGATCAAAGAAGAGGTCCTTCCTCTCTTGTTCCAGTTCAAAAACTCCCAGGGAAGGATTGTGATTGGCCGCGTGTGGTCACCTGCCCTCCTCCTGGACCAATCGCTGGGGCCGCGGCTGCCTGCATGACTGTCCTGCTAGCCCTGTGCCCACCCTGGGGCCGTGGCAGCAGGTCTGTGACCCGAGCTGGAGCTGAGAAGCCACAGACCCGAGGGGAGGGAATGGCAGCAACCCGGTCGCCACCCTGATTTTGTACTGCAGGTGCAATTTTAAAACTGATTTTTTAATTTAAAAAAGCAAAGATGAAACAAAAATACTTATAGGAAAATTCAAACATACAGGTAACAGAAAAGAAGGTGAAAATAAAATAAGACGCAGCTAATGATACCTCTCAAAGAATTGTATGATAAGGAAATGAGAACATGCAGTCACTCAACAAACAAAGGGAGGGATGGAGACCCAGAAGACAGGTGCCAACACTCGACCCTCTGTGCTGGTGCCAGTCCAGGGGACGGGTGAACAGACCCGGAAGACAGGTGCCAACACTCTGACCCTCTGTGCCGGTGCCGGTCCAGGGGACGGGTGAACAGATCCGGAAGACAGGTGCCAACACTCTGACCCTCTGTGCCGGTGCCGATCCAGGGGAGGGGTGAACAGATCCGGAAGACAGGTGCCAACACTCTGACCCTCTGTGGCGGTGCCGGTCCAGGGGAGGGGTGAACAGATCCGGAAGACAGGTGCCAACACTCTGACCCTCTGTGCCGGTGCCGGTCCAGGCGAGGGGTGAACAGATCCGGAAGACAGGTGCCAACACTCTGACCCTCTGTGGCGGTGCCGGTCCAGGGGACGGGTGAACAGATCCGGAAGACAGGTGCCAACACTCTGACCCTCTGTGCCGGTGCCGATCCAGGGGAGGGGTGAACAGATCCGGAAGACAGGTGCCAACACTCTGACCCTCTGTGGCGGTGCCGGTCCAGGGGACGGGTGAACAGATCCGGAAGACAGGTGCCAACACTCTGACCCTCTGTGGCGGTGCCGGTCCAGGGGACGGGTGAACAGATCCGGAAGACAGGTGCCAACACTCTGACCCTCTGTGGCGGTGCCGGTCCAGGGGACGGGTGAACAGATCCGGAAGACAGGTGCCAACACTCTGACCCTCTGTGGCGGTGCCGGTCCAGGGGACGGGTGAACAGATCCGGAAGACAGGTGCCAACACTCCTGACCCTCTGTGGCGGTGCCGGTCCAGGGGACGGGTGAACTGACCCGGAAGACAGGTGCCAACACTCCTGACCCTCTGTGGCGGTGCCGGTCCGGGGGAGGGGTGAACAGATCCGGAAGACAGGTGCCAACACTCTGACCCTCTGTGCCGGTGCCGGTCCAGGGGACGGGTGAACTGACCCGGAAGACAGGTGCCAACACTCTGACCCTCTGTGGCGGTGCCGGTCCAGGGGACGGGTGAACTGACCCGGAAGACAGGTGCCAACACTCTGACCCTCTGTGGCGGTGCCGGTCCAGGGGACGGGTGAACAGACCTGGAAGACAGGTGCCAACACTCTGACCCTCTGTGGCGGTGCCGGTCCAGGGGAGGGGTGAACAGACCGATGTGGTTCCTGCCCTGGAGAACAGGGAAACGCAGAACAAGCAGAGACAGATCCAGATAAAGAGAGGTGAAGAGAGACGGGAGAGGAGGAGAGGGGGCCAGTCATGAGGAAGAGAAGCAGGGAAGCCGTGTGACTTCGAGAGTGGCGGGGGTTTTCGTTCCTTCGTTTTCTTTTCTTTTTTTTCAGACAGAATCTCTGTCACCCACGCTGGAGTGCAGTGGCACCATTTTGGCTCATTGCAACTCTGCCTCCCGGGTTCAAGTGATTCTCCTGCCTCAGCCTCCCCAATAGCTGGGATTACAGGCACCCACCACCACGCCCAGCTAATTTTTGTGTTTTAGTAGAGACGGGGTTTCGCCATGTCGGCCAGGCTGGTCTTGAACTCCTGACCCTAAGTGGTCTGCCTGCCTCGGCCTCCCAAAGTGCTGGGATTACAGGCGTGAGCTACTGTGTCTGGTCCCTTTTGTTTTCTTCTTGTGGGATTTGCCTACTCATGAAGTTTGTTGAGCGTTATTTTGAGTGCTTGTATTGTTCTTCTCTGTAGCAATGTTTGTGTGCTGGGGCCACTGTCGTTTGTCCCCACACCCACTCCCAGCCCATCTTCTTTCTTTTTCTTTTTTTTTTTTTTGAGACAGAGTCTCGCTCTGTCACCCGGGCTGGAGTGCAGGTGACTCGATTTCAGCTCACTGCAACCTCCGCCTCCCGGGTTCAAGTGATTCTCCTGCTTCAGCCTCCCGAATAGCTGGGACTACAGGCACACACCATCACACCTGGCTAATTTTTGTATTTTTGGTGGAGATAGGGTTTCGCCATGTTGGCCAGGCTGGTTTTGAACTGCTGACCTCAAGTGATCTGCCCTCCTCGGCCTCCCGAAGTGCTGGGATTACAGGTGTGAGGCGCCGCGCCCGGCCTCCCAACCCATCTCTTATCGGGGTCCCCTGTCTCTTTCAGGACATGGAAGTTGCTCATGCCTACACGGCCAAACCCCTCCAGCTTCTTAAAATTTTTTCAGAGTTTCTCGGCTGCCTTAATTTTAAACTGGTATTATATAAATTGCTCTGCTTTTTTCTCCTAATCCTTTCACTGTTCCAGTTTTTCACATTTTATTCTTTAACCCAAGTGGAGTTTATTTTTCCAAGTGAAGTAAGGAGTATATAATTCATTTTCCCCACATGGGGCAGTTGTCCTGACACCATCTACTGGGGAGTTTGTGCTTCTCCAGGGATTTTAAATGCCACCTCAATCCCATCCACATTCCCTTTTACACACGAGCACCGGCTGCTTTTCCTACGGGACACTTCCGATTTCCAACTGTTTGTGCTTGGCCTGGTTCTCGTGTGAACTTCAACAAAGACAAGAGAGAACTCTGAACTTGTCTTTGAGCCACATTGCAAATGTGTAGGCCAGCCAGCTCTTAGCCCCGTTTTACAGGAAAAACTGAGGTTTGGCAAGCTTCAGTAACTTGCTTTCTATTGGATATGGAGAGTGAAGGAAGAAAGAAATGAATACGTGAATGAAGCCACTTCACAATTAGGAACCTCATTCTGCAAAAGCAGCGATGCCGATGTGAGTCAGGGGAGAAAGCCAAGAGACACTCCTGAGGCAGGGAAGCCTCCTGTCCGGAGCCCGGACTCCCTCTGCTTTAGGGTTCCTCCCTGCCTCCGGGAGGGTCTCCTTGACCTTGTGGGCAACTTGAAGCCGCGTCATCTGGTGCCCACACCAGACGGCCCAGGCTGACGGCCAAGGCAGAACCTGCTTGGGCCAGTGTGGGTCCTTTTCCCAGCTACCCCTGCACAGTCACCCTCTCCCAGTTCCCCAAGAAAGACCAACGTCTCTCTGCCTGGGGCCAGCCTGGTGCCTTGCCCCCAGCTCCCCACTCGCCACGAATGTGTCTCTGCTGCAACCTGCTGATTTCTTGTCTTTGCATGAAACAGAATTGAGGGGGGACAGAACCGATTTGTCAGCTGATAGTTATTAAAAATGACTTTGATGACCAATCACCACGTGGCTTGCGGCATCTGACTCTCAGAAGGAGGTCACAGTGAGATGGTTAGGACACAGCTCCCGTTCTGATCGAGTTATTTATGGGACTGAAGATTCTCTGGCTTTCACATTAAACACCCACCACGGGAATGGAATTAATGTCAAATCCTGTCTTTTTCTGGCAGTATTATTCATGCATGAATACACAAACTACTACCAAAAAGTGCCCCTCCCTCCTTTTACGAGATGTCTTCCAACAAAAATTTACTTTGTATCTTTATTTTTATTTTTGAGACAGGGTCTCGTTCCATCACCCAGGCTAGAGTGCAGTAGCGTGATCATAGCTCCCTGCAGCCTTAACCTCTTGGGCTCAAGCAATCCCACTGCCTCAGCCCCCTGAGTAGCTGGGACTACAGGCACGCACCACCACACCCGGCTAACTTTTTTATTATTTGTAGAGATGAGGTCTTGCTATGTTGCCCAGGCTGGTCTTGAACTCCTGGGCTCAAGCGATACTACTTCCTTGGCCTCCCAAAGCATTGGGATTACAGGTGTGAGCCACCAAGCCCAGCCTACTTTGTATCCTTATTAGTTCTCAAAATGTGTAATACATTCACATTGTTTGTATCGGTTGTATACTACCAATAATTATAACGATAATCCAGCCCAGGAAATAAATTTTAACATAGGAAAATGTTTAAATCTTGACATTCCAACTATGTACCTAGTTTTGTACGATAGGGGAATCAAAAGACTTTCAAACATGAAAACATATTAGGATAAAAATCGGCTGGGTAGAATGGAAGGAGGCATTAAGGGAGAGAAGGGCCATGTAGAGATTCAGGCGCTGCAGAAGAGTCTGTTTGTATCTGTCTTTTAAACGGCAAATAAAATGTCATTGATATCCTCATTTTTGTCTGCTGAATTTTTTAAGTTAATAGATTTTATTCTTTAGCGTGGTTCTGGGTTTACAGGACAACTGGGCGGAAAGCGCCGAGTTCTCATTACTCTTTCCGACTTGTTCCCTAGTGGGGGGTCCCTACATTGCACCTGGCACTGGTGTGATACATTCGTTACAACCGATGAACCAATACTGACACCTTTTCATTAACTGAAATCCATAGTTTACATTGGGCTTCTCTCTTGGTGTTACATTCTATGTGTCTAGACAAGCATATGACTTGCGTCTACCATTAGACTGTCATACAGAATAGTGTCACTGCCCTAAAAATCCTCTGTGCAGTCTGGGCAACACAGCAAAACCCTGTCTCTACAAAAAATAAATACAATTAGCTGGGGCTGAGATGGGAGGATCGCTTGAGCCTGGGAGGTCAAAGGATGCAGTGAGCTGTGATCACGCTACTGCACTCCAGCCTGGGAGACAGAGTGAGACCCTGTCTAAAAATAAACAAACAAAAAAACTCAGCCAGAAGCAGTGGCTCGTGTCTGTAATCCCAGCACTGTGGGAGGCCGAGGTGGGCAGATCATGAGGTCAGGAGTTCGAGACCAGCCTGGCCAACATGGTGAAACCCTGTCTCTACTAAAAATACAAAAATTAGCTGGGCGTGATGGTGGGCGCCTGTAATCCCAGCTACTCGGGAGGCTGAGGCAGGAGAATTGCTTGAACCCGGGAGGCAGAGGTTGCAGTGAGCCAAGATCATGCCACTGCACTCCAGTCTGGGAGACAAGAGCAAGACTCTGCCTCCAAAAACAAACAAACCTCTCTGCTCTCCCTACTCAACCTTCCCTATTCTATAACCCCCTGAAAACCACTGACCTTTTTACTACTTCCATCATTTTACATTTTCCTGAATGCTATTGAGTTGGAATCAGACAGTATATAGCCTTTTCAGATTGACTTCTTAGCAATATTCACTTTTTTTTTTCTTTTTGAGATGGAGTGTTGCTCTGTTGCCCAGGGTGGAGTGCAGTGGCATGATCTTGGCTCACTGCCACTACAACCTCTGCCTCCTGGGTTCAAGCAATTCTCCTGTCTCAGCCTCCCAAGTAGCTGGGATTACAGGCACCGCCACCACGCCCAGCTAATTTTTGTATTTTTAGTAGAGACGAGGTTTTGCCATGTTGGCCAGGCTGGTCTCGAACTCCTGACCTCAGGTGATCCGCCCCCTTCGGCCTCCCAAAGTCCTGGGATTACAGGTGTGAGCCACCACGCCCGGCCATCAATGTTCACTTTCCATGGCTTGATAGCTCACTACTTTTGTCATGGATAACACTCTATCGTCTACATATGCCACAGTATTTTATGTATTCACCTGTTGAAGGCGGTCTCAGTCGCTTCTAAGTTTTGGTAAAAACGAATGAAACTTCTATCAACATTAATGTGCAGGGTTTTGTGTGGACATTAGTTTTTAACTCATTTGGGTAAATACCAAGAAACGTGAATGCTGGGTGGC